>NC_000005.10:59484807-60109807 GCF_000001405.40 Homo sapiens | reverse complement strand
TTCAGTTCCCACCTATGAGTGAGAATATGCGGTGTTTGGTTTTTTGTCCTTGCGATAGTTTACTGAGAATGATGATTTCCAATTTCATCCTTGTCCCTACAAAGGACGTGAACTCATCATTTTTTATGTCTGCTTATTATTCCATGGTGTATATGTGCCACATTTTCTTAATCCAGTCTATCATTGTTGGACATTTGGGTTGGTTCCAAGTCTTTGCTATTTTGAATAGTGCCACAATAAACATACGTGTGCATGTGTCTTTATAGCAGCATGATTTATAGTCCTTTGGGTATATACCCAGTAATGGGATGGCTGGGTCAAATGGTATTTCTAGTTCTAGATCCCTGAGGAATCGCCACACTGACTTCCACAATGGTTGAACTAGTTTACAGTCCCACCAACAGTGTAAAAGTGTTCCTATTTCTCCACATCCTCTCCAGCACCTGTTGTTTCCTGACTTTTTAATGATTGCCTTTCTAACTGGTGTGAGATGGTATCTCATTGTGGTTTTGATTTGCATTCCTCTGATGGCCAGTGATGGTGAGCATTTTTTCATGTGTTTTTTGGCTGCATAAATGTCTTCTTTTGAGAAGTGTCTGTTCATGGCCTTCGCCCACTTTTTGATGGGGTTGTTTGTTTTTTTCTTGTAAATTTGTTTGAGTTCATTGTAGATTCTGGATATTAGCCCTTTCTCAGATGAGTAGGTTGTGAAAATTTTCTCCCATGTTGTAGGTTGCCTGTTCACTCTGATGGTAGTTTCTTTTGCTGTGCAGAAGCTCTTTAGTTTAATTAGATCCTATTTGTCAATTTTGGCTTTGGTTGCCATTGCTTTTGATGGTTTAGACATGAAGTCCTTGCCCATGCCTATGTCCTGAATGGTAATGCCTAGGTTTTCTTCTAGGGTTTTTATGGTTTTAGGTCTAACATTTAAGTCTTTAATCCATCTTGAATTGATTTTTGTATAAGGTGTAAGGAAGGGATCCAGTTTCAGCTTTCTACATAGGGCTAGCCAGTTTTCCCAGCACCATTTATTAAATAGGGAATCGTTTCCCCATTGCTTGTTTTTCTCAGGTTTGTCAAAGATCAGATAGTTGTAGATATGTGGCATTATTTCTGAGGGCTCTGTTCTGTTCCATTGATCTATATCTCTGTTTTGGTACCAGTACCATGCTGTTTTGGTTACTGTAGCCTTGTAGTATAGTTTGAAGTCAGGTAGCGTGATGCCTCCAGCTTTGTTCTTTTGGCTTAGGATTCATTTGGCAACGCGAGCTCTTTTTTGGTTCCATATGAACTTTACAGTAGTTTTTTCCAATTCTGTGAAGAAAGTCATTGGTAGCTTGATGGGGATGGCATTGAATCTTTAAATTACCTTGGGCAGTATGGCCATTTTCACGATATTGATTCTTCCGACCCATGAACATGGAATGTTCTTCCATTTGTTTGTATCCTCTTTTATTTCCTTGAGCAGTGGTTTGTAGTTCTCCTTGAAGAGGTCCTTCACATCCCTTGTAAGTTGGATTCCTAGGTATTTTATTCTCTTTGAAGCAATTGTGAATGGGAGTTCACTCATGATTTGGCTCTCTGTTTGTCTGTTGTTGCTGTATAAGAATGCTTGTGATTTTTGTACATTGATTTTGTATCCTGAGACTTTGCTGAAGTTGCTTATCAGCTTAAGGAGATTTTGGGCTGAGACGATGGGGTTTTCTAGATATACAATCATGTCGTCTGCAAACAGGGACAATTTGACTTCCTCTTTTCCTAACTGAATACCCTTTGTTTCCTTCTCCTGCTTAATTGCCCTGGTCAGAACTTCCAACACTATGTTGACTAGGAGTGGTGAGAGAAGGCATCCCTGTCTTGTGCCAGTTTTCAAACGGAATGATTCTAGTTTTTGCCCATTCAGTATGATATTGGCTGTGGGTTTGTCATACATAGGTCTTCTTATTTTGAGATACGTCCCATCAATACCTAATTTATTGAGATTTTTTAGCATGAAGGGCTGTTGAATTTTGTCAAAGGCCTTTTCTGCATCTATTGAGATAATCATGTGGTTTTTGTCTTCGGTTCTGTTTATATGCTTGATTACATTTATTGATTTGTGTATATTGAACCAGCCTTGCATCCCAGGGATGAAGCCCACTTGATCATGGTGGATAAACTTTTTGATGTGCTGCTGGATTCAGTTTGCCAGTATTTTATTGAGGATTTTTGCATCAATGTTCATCAAGGATATTGGTCTAAAATTCTCTTTTTTGGTTGTGTCTCTGCCTGGCTTTGGTATCAGGATGATGCTGGCCTCATCAAATGAGTTAGGGAGGATTCCCTCTTTTTCTATTGATTGGAATAGTTTCAGAAGGAATGGTAGCAGCTCCTCCTTGTACCTCTGGTAGAATTCGGCTGTGAATCCATCTGGTCCTGGACTCTTTTTGGTTGGTAAGCTATTGATTATTGCCACAATTTCAGATCCTGTTATTGGTCTATTCAGAGATTCAACTTCTTCCCGGTTTAGTCTTGGGAGAGTGTGTGTGTCCAGGAATTTATCCATTTCTTCTAGATTTTCTAGTTTATTTGCGTAGAGGTTTTTGTAGTATTCTCTAATGGTAGTTTGTATTTCTGTGGGATCATTGGTGATATTCCCTTTATCATTTTTTATTGCATCTATTTGATTCTTCTCTCTTTTTTTCTTTATTAGTCTTGCTAGCGGTCTATCAATTTTGTTGATCTTTTCAAAAAACCAGCTCCTGGATTCATTAATTTTTGAAGGGTTTTTTGTGTCTCTATTTCCTTCAGTTCTCCTCTGATTTTAGTTATTTCTTGCCTTCTGCTAGCTTTTGAATGTGTTTGCTCTTGCTTTTCTAGTTCTTTTAATTGTGATGTTAGGGTGTCAATTTTGGATCTTTCCTGCTTTCTCTTGTGGGCATTTAGTGCTATAAATTTCCCTCTACACACTGCTTTGAATGTGTCCCAGAGATTCTGGTATGTTGTGTCTTTGTTCTCGTTGGTTTCAAAGAATATCTTTATTTCTGCCTTCATTTCGTTATGTACCCAGTAGTCATTCAGGAGCAGGTTGTTCAGTTTCCATGTAGTTGAGTGGTTTTGAATGAGTTTCTTAATCCTGAGTTCCAGTTTGATTGCACTGTGGTCTGAGAGACAGTTTGTTATAATTTCTGTTCTTTTACATTTGCTGAGGAGAGCTTTACTTCCAACTATGTGGTCAATTTTGGAATAGGTGTGGTGTGGTGCTGAAAAAAATGTATATTCTGTTGATTTGGGGTGGAGAGTTCTGTATATGTCTATTAGGTCTGCTTGGTGCAAAGGTGAGTTCAATTCCTGGGTATCCTTGTTAACTTTCTGTCTCGTTGATCTGTCTAATGTTGACAGTGGGGTGTTAAAGTCTCCCATTATTATTGTGTGGGAGTCTAAGTCTCTTTGTAGGTCACTCAGGACTTGCTTTATGAATCTGGGTGCTCCTGTATTGGGTGCATATATATTTAGTATAGTTAGCTCTTCTTGTTGAATTGATCCCTTTACCATTATGTAATGGCCTTCTTTGTCTCTTTTGATCTTTGTTGGTTTAAAGTCTGTTTTATCAGAGACTAGGATTGCAACCCCTGCCTTTTTTTGCTTTCCATTTGCTTGGTAGATCTTCCTCCATCCTTTTATTTTGAGCCTATGTGTGTCTCTGCACGTGAGATGGGTTTCCTGAATACAGCACACTGATGGGTCTTGACCCTTTATCCAATTTGCCAGTCTGTGTCTTTTAATTGGAGCATTTACTCTATTTACATTTAAAGTTAATATTGTTATGTGTGAAGTTGATCCTGTCATTATGATGTCAGCTGGTTATTTTGCTCATTAGTTGATGCGGTCTCTTCCTAGCATCGATGGTCTTTACAATTTGGCATGTTTTTGCAGTGGTTGGTACTGGTTGTTCCTTTCCATATTTAGTGCTTCCTTCTGGAGCTCTTTTAGGCCTGGTGGTGACAAAATCTCTCAGCATTTGCTTGTCTGTAAAGGATTTTATTTCTCCTTCACTTATGAAGCTTAGTTTGGCTGGATATGAAATTCTGGGTTGAAAATTCTTTTCTTTAAGAATGTTGAATATTGGCCCCCATTATCTTCTGGCTTGTAGAGTTTCTGCCAAGAGATCTGCTGTTAGTCTGATGGGCTTCCCTTTGTAGGTAACCCAACCTTTCTCTCTGGCTGCCCTTAACATTTTTTCCTTCATTTCAACTTTGGTGAATCTGACAATTATGCGTCTTGGAGGTGTGCTTCTTGAGGAGTATCTTTGTGGCGTTCTCTGTGTTTCCTGTATCTGAATGTTGGCCTGCCTTGCTAGATTGGGGAAGTTCTCCTGGATAATATCCTGCAGAGTGTTTTCCAACTTGGTTCCATTCTCCCCATCACTTTGAGGTACACCAATCCGACATAGATTTGGTCTTTTCACATAGTCCCATATTTCTTGGAGGCTTTGTTCGTTTCTTTTTATTCTTTTTTCTCTAAACTTCCCTTCTCGCTTCATTTCATTCATTTCATCTTCCATCACTGATACCCTTTCTTCCAGTTGATCGCATTGGCTCCTGAGGCTTCTGCATTCTTCACGTAGTTCTCAAGCCTTGGCTTTCAGCTCCATCAGCTCCTTTAAGGACTTCTCTGTATTGGTTATTCTAGCTATACGTTCGTCTAAATTTTTTTCAAAGTTTTCAACTTCTTTGCCTTTGGTTTGAATTTTCTCCTGAAGCTCGGAGTAGTTTGATTGTCTGAAGCCTTCTTCTCTCAACTCGTCAAAGTCATTCTTCGTCCAGCTTTGTTCCATTGCTGGTGAGGAACTGCGTTCCTTTGGAGGAGGAGAGGGGCTCTGCTGTTTAGAGTTTCCAGTTTTTCTGCTCTGATTTTCCCCATCTTTGTGGTTTTATCTACTTTTGATCTTTGATGATGGTGATGTACAGATGGGTTTTGGGTGTGGATGTCCTTTCTGTTTGTTAGTTTTCCTTCTAAGAGACAGGACCCTCAGCTGCAGGTCTGTTGGAGTTTGCTAGAGGTCCACTCCAGACCCTGTTTGCCTGGGTATCAGTAGCGGTGTCTGCAGAACAGCGGATTTTCGTGAACCGCAAATGATGCTGTCTGATGGTTCCTCTGGAAGTTTTGTCTCAGAGGAGTACTTGGCCGTGTGTGGTGTCAGTCTGACCCTACTGGTGGGTGCCTCCCAGTTAGGCTGCTCGGGGGTCAGGGGTCAGGGACCCACTTGAGGAGGCACTCTGCCCATTCTCAGATCTCCAGCTGCATGCTGGGAGAACCACTGCTCTCTTCAAAGCTGTCAGACAGGGACATTTAAGTCTGCAGAGGTCACTGCTGTCTTTTTGTTTGTCTGTGCCCTGCCCCCAGAGGTGGAGCCTACAGAGGCAGGCAGGCCTCCTTGAGCTGTGGTGGGCTCCACCCAGTTTGAGCTTCCTGGCTGCTTTGTTTACGTAAGCAAGCCTGGGCAATGGTGGGCGCCTCTCCCCCAGCCTCGCTGCCACCTTGCAGTTTGATCTCAGACTGCTGTGCTAGCAATCAGCGAGACTCTGTGGGCGTAGGACCCTCCAAGCCATGTGTGGGATGTAATCTCCTGGTGTGCCGTTTTTTTAGCCCGTGGGAAAAGCGCAGTATTTGGGTGGGAGTGACCTGATTTTCCAGGTATTGTCTGTCACCCCTTTCTTTGACTAGGAAAGGGAACTCCCTGACCCCTTGCGCTTCCCAAGTGAGGCAATGCCTCGCCCTGCTTCGGCTCGCACACAGTGTGCTGCACCCACTGTCCTGCGCCCACTGTCTGGCACTCCCTAGTGAGATGAACCTGGTACCTCAGATGGAAATGCAGAAGTCACCTGTCTTCTGCGTCGCTCATGCTGGGAGCTGTAGACTGGAGCTGTTCCTATTTGTCCATCTTGTCTCTTCCTCGATTTTTTTTTCAGGTTTTTAATTTTTTTAATTCATATTTTGATATTCTTCTTAATGCTAGATGTAAGTAAATTAGATTTTTCCCTGTTAATATTTTATAAACCATTTTTTCTTTTAATTTAGTGAGAGTGACAGATAGAATGATTTACTCTGAATTACTCTTCCTCTTGAAAGATTAAAGCTTGCTCTTAAGTAAAGTTTGTTATGCCTATCTGTTTTGTCTTCGGTTTATTTTTTTCCATGGAGCTGCTTCTTCCTTCTTACAAAATGAAGTTCTGGAGGACCAACAGGTCACTACATGTATTCATAGTTATATAAATTCTAGCAATGGTAACAGTTTGGCTCATGTTGGGGCCTGGCTACATGTTCTTCATTCCTGTTTAATAAATCTCATCTTTCTACCATATGCTAGTAATATATGGCTGGAATGCTGGTATGGGAATTACTCCCCTCTTTGCTGAAATAGTTCATCTCTTGTGTCCTTTTCCCCTTTTTATTCTTCTATTCTTCTTAGCCTAAGTGATGGTTGTGATTGAATTCAGAAGTTTGATATTCCTACTCGGTTCATGTCCACCCAAAAGCAGAGAGGAGCCCATCATCATCATTTGTTTTGAATCTGAATCCCAAGCAGGAAAAATAACTCCAAGGCTCTTACTTAGGCTGTCGTGTCTGTTCTGTCATGCGGTGAGTCAGCAACACTGACTGCATTTATTCTTCTGGGAATTGTTCTTCTAGGAGCTGTAGTAGTCATGGTACCTCCCTGCAGGAGTTCATGAATTAATAGGACTCATAGTGCAAAGTTTCTCTGAGAATTTTCTATAACACAAACTCCTTAACTTCCTGGTGGGTAATGTTTTCTGGGTGTTTTTTCTGTTTTCTGTTTTTTTTTTTTTGTCATTTCTTCTTTAGTAAAATGAAAATTGCAAGTAGAAAAGAAACTAAAAATGGATTTAGTGTGAGGACAGGTTCCTTTTCCTGGCAGGATTGTAGAACACTGGTATTCAGTTGACTGTTTACAATGAATATATCTTCTGGTTGGTCATGGCCAGAAGAGAAAATGTCATTGGTTTGTGCCCAAGCAAATTGATTATTAAAATACGTTGAATATGACCCCATGGTTGCAAACATCCCTTTTCTTAGTAATTCTTAGAGATGAAGAAAGTCTTTTATCTGTTTTCTATTTCAACTTTCTGGGTAATCTCTATCCTTTCTTTTTGATAAGTCTCTGTCTTCCCTCTATCAGTGTGAATAATGTTACTATTGAAAAACTGGTTCCCTAGCTACCTCAGTCCTGGGGTCTTAAGGTTTCTTCAAAACGTGACAGTCATGTTAAAATGAAATTCTCTGAATTTATTTAGAGCACTGTTTGTAAAAGTGTAAGTGTTATTATGCAGCCTTGCTTTCCTACCTACCTGAATTCTCTCCCCTACTCTCCCCAACTCATATTGCCAGCAGTGGGTAGCTGGCAGGATGTTTGAAAGATTTCTTCTTCACAATTCAAAAGGCTTGGTCGAGTGACAGGATTCATATCCCAAACCTCAACATCACACAATACTCCCATGTAACAAATCTGCACATGTACCCACTGTATTGAAAATAAAATTAAAAAAACTAAAAAAAAGCAAAAAAGCAAAAAAACAAAAAACAAAACAAAACAAAATCCCTGGTATATATTAAGAGTCCCAGTGACCTACTTCACTTGCAAATTAATGGCCATCTAGAGTGTGGAGTTTGGTTGAATGATTTATACTGCATTGTGATTCTAAAAATTAATTATTTTTAATTTCTTTGATACTCTAGATCAGTTTTCTAAGGTAAATGTGAAGTACATCAGTGACTCCAAACTCAATTGAGGTCTCCCGATTTTCTTGGACTGACTATGTATATTTTAAAGAATTATTTACTTTCATACTTTGCCAAGACCCAGACAGAAAGAAGCTTTCAGTGTTCGTGGCAGCAGAAAAGAATACTAATAAGTGTTAGTCATCCACAGTAAATTAAAAATATAATAATAAAGGAAAATTAAACTGCTGTGTGTTTGGGTGTTTGCTCTATCACCATAAATTCACAACCTCATCTTCTAGTCTCTGAAAAGGAGTGGGTGTGGCAGGAAGCATTTGTGAAATTCCATTAGCATTTTTAGAGACAATTACTCCACTAAATGATTCAGAATTCAGCTCCTAGCTTCTAAGATTCTACTTAGGCTTATGAAGCATTTTATTCTGCAACAGAGTATACATATAATGTAGAATTCCTAGGATTGAAAAACTTGTTAGCTTCCAACCCAAATTCTCTTACTTTTAGATGAGAAAATGCTGATGATTGGCCTAAAGTCTTATATCTACTGGTGGAGGAGTGGAAATTCACTCGTTTACCTTCGCACTGGAGGTAGATTCAAAATACTTCAGAAACGATGTTAGACTAGAGCATAATGCTTGGCCATTGGTAAATAAATAAATGAATATAAGATGTTGTGCCCTGAGATTCAGAATTGGCAGCAAGAATGTGGGTATTATAAAGGTATATTTTTCTTCTTGCCTTATTATTGAATAAGAGTACTTGAAAATGGATGAAGGCAACCAGATGTTGAGTCAGATTTCCTGAGCTTTGAATTTTGGACCTGCATTCATTTCATTTCTCTAGGAAGGTTGCCCCCCTCTTTATTTGTTCAGTGCTTATACCAGATTTTATTATACTGGAGATTTCTAAAGCCTCCAACCAAGGAAGATTCCCTGACTTCTGCCTTGCTGCTGCACCACACAAATAACCATATCAATTTATATTGCACTATTCTCAACCCCACAAACTCCATTTAGACCTAACAGCTATGGACAGTGGCCCTAATTTCCTAGGAACATGATCATTTTGTTCTTGTTTGGTGTCTATGCCAAGCTCCAAATCACAAAAAGCTGTTAATTCCAATTACCTTTTGCAAAATCCATTTTGAAGTCTTCTCACAGATGGATGTATTTAAAACACCTAGAAGGTTAACATCCTTTGTGAGGCCTCAGCTTTGACTTAGAAAAAGCTCATGCCACAGTGTGTATGTGTGAACATATTTCCTAAGAGCTGATATATGCCCATGGTGTCTCACTGCAGGGCTGGTGATAAATGATGAAACCATTTAGTGCATAAACTCATATAACCTTCCAGCAGAATCAATAATTTAGTTGCAATTTAGTTGCATACCTAAAACAATGCAAGGTTGAAGAACCCTGAGAAGAGTGGTAGCTCCTGATGACAGAAATAGGAGTCTCAGGTATTCTTCTTTTGTTTCCCAAGTGGTATCAAGCATGTGTCTGACTCACTGGTGCTATTTTACATTGTGAAGGAAGTATGGATGAGGGAAGGCAAAACCAGTGCAAATATTCTAGATCCACTTATTTCCTTCCCGCTTTCCCTTCCTCTCTTCCCCTCCTTCCTTTCTTCTTCTCTTTTATCTCTTCCTTCCTAAATTAATATTTTTGAGGGTAGGTAAAATAGCTATATTACTTAAAAGTCAAACTTTATAAAAAGGTAAAGCGGAGATGTCTGTCTCCCAATCCCATCTATTCCTCCTTCACCCTGTTCCCCATCTATGAGAAATTATATTTATTAGTGTCATGTTTATTTTTTCAGTGTTTCTATATGTAATACTCATTATATGTTATACAAACACAAATATACATATACATAATTTCCTTCCATTTTTATCAATTTCCTTCCTTTCTCACTGTCCTGCTCCTAGCTTTAATTTTACCAATTAATAAAACATACTAAAGATTTTTTTCATATCAGTGCATGAAGCTTTTCCTCTTTTTTCTTTCAACTGCATAATATTCCACTATGTGGAAATATCATGGTTTATTTAAATAAATTCTTATCAGGGAATATTTGAGTTGTTCCAGGGTTTTCTTTCTTTCTTTCTTTTTTGCTGTGAAAAACAATGTTACAGTGAATAACTAACATCATTTCTCATTTCATATGTGTACAAAGTATCTGTGGGATAGAGTTCCAGAACTGAAATTGCTGCTTGAAAGGGTAAATTGTTTCTGTGGATTTGTAGAAATTTCCAGATTTCCCTTTATAGTAGTTACACCATTTTATAATCCTACAGCAAAGTCTGAAAGTGTATTTTTCACACATCCTTTCAAAAACATTCAAACTTTGGATTTTTGTACATCTAATTGGTGAGAAATGATATACTTGTTTTCATTTTCAATCTATTCTTATAGATGAACCTGGACATATTTTCATAAGTTTAATAACCATTTGTTTTTCTTTCTCGGTAAACCGTATTTCCTTTGCTAATTTTTCACTGGGCATTTGGTGTTGATTTCTGTCAAATCTTTACAAAGTAGAGAAGTTTGTACTTTGTTTATGATCTGAGTTGCAAATACTTTTATTCCTTCCTTGACATTTATCATTTGCCTTAACTTATGGTGAATTTTTACCATGCAAATGTTTTTGATTTTCATGTTGTTCAGTATGTCAATATATTTTATATTCATTACATTCATTAGTGGCTAAAACTTCCCAAATGTTGGTAGGAATATGGATGTCTAGATTAGTGAGGCTCAAATGCTCCAGGCAAGATCAACGCAAAAAATACTTTTCCTAGACACATTAAAATCAAATTGTCAAAATCAAAGACAAAGTGAGAATTCTGAAAGCAGCAAGAGAAAAACTACTCATCACATGGAAGGGTACTCACAAAGGCTACAAGCAGATTTCTCAGCAGAAACTTTGCTGGGCAGGAGGGAGTGGAATGATGTATTTGGAGTACTAAAAGAAAAACAAAACTGCCACATAAGAATAATGAGTCTGTAAAAGCTGTACTTTAGAAATGAAGAGACATAAAATCATTCCCAGAGAAAAGAAAGCTAAGAGAGTTTATTTCCACTAGACCTGCCTTAAGAGAAATGCCAAAGGGAGTTCTTCAAGTTGAAATGAAAGGACCCGAAGTAACATCATGAAAACACAGGAAATCCCATAGCTAACATCATACTCATGTTGTAAAGCCAAAAGCTTTTCCATTAAGATCAGCAAGAAGACAAGGGAGTTCACTCTCACCACTTCTATTCAACATAGTACTGGGAGTCCTAGCCAGGGCCACTAGGCAAGAAATGGAAGTAAAAAATATCCAAATTGTAAAGGAAGAAGTTAAATTGTCTCTATTTGCATAAGGCATGGTTTTTTATAGGAATCTCTAAAAACTTCATCAAAAAACTTAAAATTAATAAATTCAGCAACGTTGCAGGATACAAAATTAACATACAAAATCCAGTTGCATTTCTGTACATTAACAACAAACTATTTGAGAAAGAAATTACAAAGACAGTCCGTTTACAATAGCATGAAAATAATAAAATACAGAAGAATAAATACAACCAGGGATGTGAAAGATCTGTACACTGAAAACTATAAGGCATTGATGAAAGAAATTTAAAAATACACGAATGAAAACATATTTTATGTCTATGTATTAGAAGAATTAATATTGTTAACATGCCTTTACTGTCCATGTAATATACAGATTCAACCCCTATCAAAATTCCAATTGCATTTTTATATAAAAATGTGTTGGGTACATTATAATTCTATTCTAGCTATTTGAAATATATAATAAATTATTGTTAACTATAGTTTTCCTACTGTCCTATCTAATGCTAGAACTTATTCCTTCTATTTAACCATATTTCTGTATCTATTAACCAACTTCCAGGCTGTGTGTTGACAGTTTTTCTAAGAGTTTTCCCAAGGCAAAGAGTAAGTGGAAGTCAATCTTAAATCACTGTGTCTGGCCGTGACCCGTGATAAAAGATTTAATGGAAAATTTCAGTTTAGATGAGGGTAACAGACATTCATCAGATACTGGGTGCTGGAGATAGATTCAGAGCTAAGTAAGAAATCCTATTTTTGAGATTAAGTAATCTCACTTCACACCCAGTGACACTGCAACTGTTGATTAAGAGTTTTCCAGTCTCTTTTTATCCCCGTTAGCCTACAGGAGCAGGTAAATATCTAGTTCCTTCTGGGTCTGAAGATTCTGTAAACTTAAAAGGAGAGATCCTTTCTGATTTGTGTATTATTGGATTTTCTAATGTCCATCACAGCACCGGATTTAACACTCACACACATGCACACACACACAGGATATATTGAATGAGTAAATAAATAACAGACAGGAGAGTTGTTACTAACTGATCTCTAATATTACCTTATTGTTCTAATAACTGTGGATTTGATATAACTTTGGGAGCAAGCAAGGTATCAGTCTTAAAGTATAGACAAATTTACTATGTCACCTCAGATACTCAAATAGAGAATATCCTATGCCCAAATGGCAAGGCTGAATTGACCCAAGTGATTAAGTCATACTCTTAAAACTGTATAACCTAATAACCTTTTATTAAGAATAAGTTCAGAAAAACAGTTCACAATTTCTTTTTACTTAAATTGTATATATTATATGTGCAGTTTTCAGATGTGAATGGGATTTGAGATCAGAAAGGCAGGGCTTCATACTGCATTTCTCCAACTTGCTCTCTATTTGTCCTTTAGCAAAAGACAATCTTTCCTTCTTTACTTTTTATTTGTTAAACACACACACACACACACACACAACTTCATAGCATCCAATGAGCAGTATCTAGGTACACGGCCAATGCAAAGCACTCATTTTCTTATTTCTCCTTCACATGTTTTTCATTCCTATTTTCCATCTTTGCCATGGACAAGACTTCATTCCCTAGCTGTGGCTTTAGAATAAGAGTATGACTAGATCATATTCATTTTTAGCTTAGCACATTACCTCCCATTTAGTTGAAATGAATATCAACAAGAATTCACACTTCTAAATGCTTGAAAGCACAATGTCCATCCAAGATCCAAGTGACTGAAATAATAAGAGCCTTGTTATATGAAGAAATACCCATTTTAATGATGTTTTCTGAGGCATTAACTGTTACTCTGAAAAGAAAGAAGAGTGTTGGTAAGACTTGGGTATGAGATAAAACAATTAGATATTTGCTTATAAACTGGAATGACCTTGTAAATGGCCCAGGAGCAATGTAATTAAATACCATAAAAGCTCAGAATTCCATTGTGCCCCCTGGAAACATCATAATTGCCTCAGTCATTAGCTTTCAGGGTTTCAGCCTTAAACCAGGATATTTCTAGTCTCATCAAAACTATACATTAGCATTCAGTGACTTGTAAGAGTAAACTTCCTTCTAGATAGTCCTGTGTGCTTATGAAGTACATCCAAATGAACATATGACATGAGGTGGAGTACAACTTAAAGTTGCCTTCTTTCATCCTATATATTTTTGTTTATTCTTAATGTATCGTGAACTTCAGTAGAGAGCAAACAAGTTGTCTTTATAATTTGAAGTTTTGCTTTCTCTTTTTGAAAGAAAACGCATAATTTGGAGATTCCATCTGTGAAAAAAACTTAATTAAACAATATTAATTTTTAAAATTCTATTATGTATAAGGTATAAGGAAGGGGTCCAGTTTCAGTTTTCTGCATATGGCTAGCCAGTTTTCCCAACACCATTTATTAAATAGGGAATCCTTTCCCTATTGCTTGTTTTTGTCAGGTTTTTCAAAGATCAGATGGTTGTAGAGTGTGGAGTTATTTCTGAGGCTTCTATTCTTTTCCATTGGTCATAAAAACCCTAGAAGAAAAACTAGAAAATATCATTCAGGACACAAGCATGGGCAAAGGCTTCATAACTAAAACACCAAAAGCAATGGCAACAAAAGCCAAAATTGACAAATGGGATCTAATTAAACTAAAGAGCTTCTGCACGGCAAAAGAAAGTATCATCAGAGTGAACAGGCAGCCTACAGAATGGGAGAAAATTTTTGGAATCTATCCATCTGACAAAGGGCTAATATCCAGAATCTATAAAGAACTTAAACAAATTTACAAGAAGAAAAACAAAGAACCCCATTAAAAAGAGGGTGAAGGATATAAACAGACACTTCTCAAAAGAAGGCATTTATGTGGCCAAAAAATATATAAAAAAAAGCTCATCATCACTGGCCATCAGAGAAATGCAAATCAAAACCACAATGAGATACCATCTCACGCCAGTTAGAATGGCAGTCATTAAAAAGTCAGGAAACAACTGATGCTGGAGAGGATGTGGAGAAATAGGAATGCTTTTACACTGTTGGTGGGAGTGTAAATCAGTTCAACCATTGAACTTGTAGATAGACAACTTGTAGATAGACAGATTCCATTGTGGAAGACAGTGTGGTGATTCCTCAAAGATCTCAAACCAGAAATACCATTTGACCCAGCAATCTCATTACTGGGTATATATCCAAAGGATTATAAACAATTCTCCTATAAAGACACATGCATATGTCTGTTTACTGCGGCACTTTTCACAATAGCAAAGACTTGGAACCAACCCAAAAGTCCATCAATGATAGACTGGATAACAAAAATGTGGCACATATACACCATAGAATACTATGCATCCATAAAAAAGGATGAGCTCTTGTCCTTTTCAGGGACATCGATGAAGCTAGAAACCATCATTCTCAGCAAACTAACACAAGAACAGAAAACCAAACACCACATGTTCTCACTCATAGGTGGGAGCTGAACAAAGAGAACACAGGGACATGGGGAGTGGAACATCACACACTGGGGCCTGTTAGAGGGTGAGGGGGCTGGAGGAAGGATAACATTAGGAGAAATACCTAACGTAGGTGATGTGTTGATAGGTGCAGCAAACCACCATGGCACGTGTATACCTATGTAACAAACCTGCACGTTCTGCACATGTATCCCAGAACTTAAAGTATAATAAGTAAGTAAATAAATAAGTAAAAAGAAATATGTTAAAAAATTATATTATGTAGATATTTTTGTTATCTTGCTTCATGCCAAGTGCTTTCATAAATGCTAGACTTCTATTTGTACATTTTGCTTTCATGAGGGTGAAGACAAATAAAGAGTGATCATTCAAAAATATTAATGTACGGAAAAGTAAAGTAACTGTAGGGCTTCCATAACAAAAGTACAACAAATTGAATGGCTTAAACAAGAGAAATGTATGTATTGCCTCACAGTTCTGGAGGCTAGGAGTCTCAAATCAAGGTGCCAGTAGCGTTGATTCCTTTTGAGTAAGCTGAGAGAAAGATCTGTCCCTGGCCTTTCTTCTTGGCCTGTAGATAGACAACTTCCTTCCCTGTATGTCTCTTCACATTGTCTTCCATCTGTGCACCTCTCTGTGTTCAAATACCCTCCAACTTAAAAAAAAAAAAAAAAAAAAAAAAAAAGCATGTCACTCACATTGGGTTAGGGCCTACCCTAATGATTTCATCTTAACTTGATTACCTCTGTAAAGACTTTATCTCCAAACCAAATCACATTCTAAAGTACTGGGGGTGGGTGAGGATTTCAATATATGAATTCTGGGGAGACCCAAAGCAATCCATAAAAGTAGCCATTTAAATAGAAGTATTTTTAGTCTTTTAACTTAAAGTCTCTCTACAGTGTTAAACCATGCCATCTTAATGTGTGTTATTTAGAATAATCTAAAAAATTATATATTTTCATTAACATTTAGGTTACCTTCAACTTTGTTTTTGATGTTTTGTAAGCTGCCCATAAGTGACTTTAATCACTCACTGTATACCACTGACAGATCATTTCTCATGAATTCAGTGATGTGCACTTTGAGACTCAGGAAAGAGGGAAACTTGGCCTTACTAAAATCATATAGTTAGTATGTGGCAGAGCTGATATTCAACTCTACATCTTGCTGCCTCCAAAGTTAGTGATATATGCATGGTCAATATTATTTTAAAATACTCATTTAGTGCTTGCCTTTTTAATAAAATGCTGATTTTCCTGATTATAAGTGTAACAGGTGATCACTGAAGAAAGTTTAGGAAAAAACTCAAAACTTATTCAGATTAATATTAAAATTACTCATAATTTCACCATCCATAGATAATTGTTGGTATATTATCTTACAGAAATCGTTTATAAACATTTTTATTATTCAATTTATATATTTATATCTGCAGAACTACATATGTAGTTTTACTTACCACCAAAACTTGTTGCAAAAAACATTTTTACATTTGCCCAGTTAAAAATCACCATTAATCTTAGTGGAGAATTATTTTTTAATTATTTAAAATAAGAATATTTTCATTTTTGCATTTTTCTAGAGAGAGCATGGCATAAGCCTTGTAAAGTTACTCCTGAAATTTAATTTTCTTTTCTTATTTCCTACTCTCTAGTCCTAAGAGATGAGTGGTTCAAGACAGAGTGGGGGTAAGGCAACAGTCAGCACTTTGTCTTTGCTCCACTCTCTGGTTCATCTCTGAAGCCTGATTTCTCTACCCAGGCATGAAGATACTTGAATAAGTAGCCTTTTCCATCCTTTTGCCCTGATATGAAAACTGGTATATCTCTTGAGAGAAGAGCCTCAAAAAATAATCTGAGATAGGAACAAGTGGAAAGCAGAGATAGTCTCTTCTTTTTAATTCACCCCTCCTTTGGTCACCTCCTGAATATAAAAAGAAGGACCCAGAACAACATGGTGTCCACGGCAACCATATCTAGGTATTGCAGAATTTTAGAGAACCCATGAAATCCTTTCAAAGGATAAGCAGGGGATCTAAATCGTGTCAGATGTATAGCACCCAGCACAGAGCTGAGGGCAGAATATGTGCTTCATGCATCTTTTTTGTTTGATGGCAATATCACTTCAAGGCTTCTTCAGAAAGATTCCATACCTACCTCTCCTTCTCACTTCTTTATAATCTGTAATTTACACACTTACCTCACAACTTTTCTGGGACACATTCAATCTATCAGATATGTAACCACTTGTAAGCTGTTGGTTTGATTCTGCAAGTTTTGGTGTGGTAAGACTGGAATCGTACAAATGATATGCTTGGATCAGGTAGTCCCTCGTGGTGAGTCATGTCTAGGCTCACCCCGATGCAGTCCAGTCATGCTTCCCCTATGACTTAGTTGTTTGTATTGTCCCCAGAGTCAAGAGTGTCCCAAGTCTATGAATCTTGCTCCAGAGCATTGTAATTTAGCCTACGGCCTTGTTCACACAAATAAATCTGGCATTAGTTCCAGCTGGCAGTGATATGGGCTTGGTGATTCACTTTTAGGCCTCATTGGAGTAGAGTTAAAGAAACTTCATTGTCAGAAAGAGTGAGATCTCTACCATGTGTCTTCTAAGAGTGTTCAGAGTGTTTTTTTTTTTTAGCGTGCAGAAGTCCTAACTTTATTCCTAGTACCCTCCATTCTCTCTTTTTTTATTGAAACATAAGAATTGTGCATATTTACAGGGTACATGTGATATTTTTATACATGTATACAATGTGTAATAATCAAATCAGAGTAATTAGGTTATCAGTTACCTCAAACATTTATCCTTTGTTTGTGCTGGGAACATTCCAAATCTCTTCTTCTAGCTATTTTGCAATATAAAATAAATTACTATTGCCACCTTATGATACTATCAAACACTATAACTTATTCCTTCTATCTAACTGTATTTTTTTACACATTAACCAAATTCTCTTCATCTCCTCCCTGCTTCCCTTCCCAATGTCTGGTAACCATCATTCTACTTTCCACCTTCATGAGATCCACTTTTTTAGCTTCCTTATATGAGTAAGAACATGCAATATTTGTCTTTTTGTGCCATCGCTTAACGTAATATACTCTAGTTCCATCTATGTTGTTGCAAATAACAGAATTTCATTGCTTTTTTATGGCTGAATAATACTATATTGTGTATATATTTCACATTTTCTTTTTTTTTTTTTTTTTTTTTTTTTTTTGAGACGGAGTTTCGCTCTGTCGCCCAGGCTGGAGCGCAGTGGCGCGATCTCGACTCACTGCAAGCTCCGCCTCCCGGGTTCACGCCATTCTCCTGCCTCAGCCTCCCGAGTAGCTGGGACTACAGGCACGCGCCACCATGCCCGGCTAATTTTTGTATTTTTAGTAGAGACGGGGTTTCACCGTGTCAGCCAGGATGGTCTCGATCTCCTGACCTCGTGATCCGCCTGTCTCGGCCTCCCAAAGTGCTGGGATTACAGGCGTGAGCCACCGCGCCCGGCCCACATTTTCTTTATCCATTCATCTACTGATAGGTATATAGGTTGCTTCCATATCTTGGCTATTGTGGATAGTGCTGTAATAAACATGGGAGTGCAGATATCTTTTTAATACAGTGATTTAATTTTTTAAAATGTATTCCCAGCAGTGAGATTGCTGGGTCATCTGTAGATCTATTTTTAATTTTTTGAGGAACCTCCATAGTGTTTTTCACAGGAGCTGTACTAATTTACATTCTCACTAACAGTGTATTAGCATTTCTCTTTCTCTACATCCTTGAAAGCATTGTTTATTTTTTGTCTTTTTGATAATTACCATTTAAACTGGGGTGGGATGATATATCATTGTGTTTTTCATTTGCATTTCCCTGATAATTAAGTGATGTTGAGGTTTTTTTAAATACACTCATTAGCCATTTGTATGCTTTCCTTTGAGAAATGTCTATTCATATCCTTCTCTGCTTTTCAATGGGATTATGTACTTTTTTACCTTGTATATTCTGGATGTTAGTCCCTTGTCAAATGAATAGTTTGCGAATATTTTCTCTCATTTAACAGGTTGTCTCTTCACTCTGTTGATCATTTACATTGTTGTGCTGAAGCTTTTTAGCTTGATGTAATTCCATTGTCTAGTTTTGCTTTTGTTGCTTGTGTTTTTGAGGTCTTACCTAAAAAATCTTTGCCCAGACCAGTGTTCTTCCAATTCATGAGCATGGGATGGATATCTTTTAATCTTTTGTGTCCTCTTAAATTATTTTCAACAGTGTTTTATAGTTTTCATTCCAGAGGTCATTCACTTGTTTGGTTAAATTTATTCCCAGATGTGTTTTTGTGTGTGTGTGTAAGTATTGTAAATGGGATTACTTTCTTGATTTCTTTTTCAGATTGTTCACTGTTGGTATATAGAAATGTTACTGCTTTTTGTATGTTTATTTTGTATATTGCAACTTTAATGAATTTGTTTTTCAGTTCTAACAGGTTTTGGTTGAGTCTTTAGGTTTTCCTAAATATAGGATCATGTCATCTGTGAACAATGATAGTTTGACTTTTTCTTTTCCAATTTAGATGCACTTTGTATCGTTCTCTTGCCTAACCGCTGTGATAGGACTTCCAGTGCTATCTTGAATAACAGTGGTAAAAGTGGGCATCATTGTCTTGTTCAGATCTTGGAAGAAAGAATTTCCATTTTTCCCCATTCAGAATGATGCTAGCTGTGGATTTGTCATGTAAGATCTTTATTGTTTCGAGGTATATTTCTTATGTATCCAGTTTGTTGACAGTTATTATCATGAAGGAATGTCAAATTTTATCAAATGCTTTTTCAGCATCTATTGAAATGAGCATATGGTTTTTGTCCTTCATTCTGTTGATACAATGTATCACATTGATTGATTTACATATGTTGAATTATCCCTGCAACCCTGGGATAAATCCCACTTGGTCATAATGAATATTTTTAATGTTTTGTTGAATTCAGTTTGCTTGTATTTTGATGAGGATTTCTGCATCTGTGTTCATCACTGATACTGACCTGTAGTTTTCCTATTTTGTTGTGTTTTTATCTAGTTTTGGCATCAGGATAATCCTGGCCTTTTAGGATGAGTTTAGAAGTATAGTTTAGAAGTATTCCCTTCTCTTCAATTTTTTTGAAACAGTTTAAAGAGAATTGGTATAGGTTATTCTTTAATCGTTTGGCAGAATTCAGCAGTGAAGCTGTCAGATCCTGGGCTTTCCTTTAATAGGAGGCTTTATTACTACTGCAGTCTCATACTCATTACTGGTTTTCAGGTTTTCTCTTTTTTCATGGGTTCAATCTTCATGGTTTGCATGTGTCCAGAAATTCATCCATTTCTTTTAGGTTTTCCTATTTGTTGGTGTATCAATTTTCATAATCTTGTCTGTTGCTTTTTTTTTTGTATTTCTGTAGTATCAGTTGTAATATATTCTTTTTCATCTCTGACTTTATTTTTTAGACTTCTGGTTGGTGTAGCTAAAAGTTTCTTGATTTTTTTTTCAAAAAACCAACTACATTTTGTTGATCTTTTGTATTTTTGTAGTTCAAATTTTATTTATTTATGCTTTGATCTTTATTATTTCTTTCCTTCTACTAATTTTGAGTTTGATTGTTCTTGCTTTTTTAGTTCCTTGAAGTACAATGTTAGGTTGTTTGTTTGAAGTCTTTCTACTTTTTGATGTAGGTGTTGATTGCTACAAATTTCCATCCTAGAACTGCTTTTGGTATATCCTCTAGGTTTTTGTATGCTGTATTTCCATTTTCATCTGTCCTAAGAAAATTTTTTAAATTTCCTTTTTAATTTATTCATTGACCAATTTGTTTTTCAGTAGCATGTTGTTTTCTTTCCATGGATTTGTACAGTTTCCAATGTTCCTTCTCTTATTGCTTTATAGTTTTATTCAATTGTGGTCAGAAAATATACAGGATATGATTTTGACTTTTTTGACTTTTTAAAACTTGTTTTGTTACCTAACATATGGTCTATCCTAGAGAATGTTCCATGTGCTGTTGAGAAAAATGTGCATTCTTCAGCTATGGGGTAAAATGTTCTGAAAATGTCTGTTAGGTCAATTTGATCTAGAGTAAAGTTTAATTCTGATGTTTCTTTGTTGATTTTCTTGTCTAGATTACCTATCTGCTGCCAAAAGTGGAGTGTTAAAGTCTCCTACTATTGCCTTCTCTGTTGTTTTTAACTGTCCTTGACTTAAGGTCTGTTTTATCTGATAATTATAGCTTTACTTCTGCTCTTTTTGTTTGTTTGTTTTCCATTTGCTTCTAATATCTTTTTAAATATCTTCACATTCAGTTTGTGAATGTCTTTACAGATGAAGTGAGTTTCTTGTAGACAGCATATAGTTGGATCCTTTTAAAAATTCATTCAGCCACTCTGTCTTTTAACTGAAGAATATAATTCATTTATATTCAAGGTTTGAATATTATTGATATGTAAGGATTTAGTATTGCTATCTTGTTACTTGTTTTCTGGTTGTTTTGTAGAATCATTTCTTTCTTTTTCTCTCTCTCTCTTACTTTCGTTTTTGTCACAAAATAATTTTCTCTATTAGGACATGTTGATTTCTGGCTACTTATTTTTAGTGTATCTATAATAGGTTTTTGCTTTGTTGTTACTACAAGGCTTATAAAAATATATTTATAACAGGTTATTTTAAACTGATAATAGTTTAACTTTGATGCAAATAAACAAAAATAAACTCTACATTGTAATACCACCCCCTCCCACATTTTGACTTATTGCTGTTTCAATTTACATATTTTTATATTGCCTAACTCTTAATCAATTGTTGAGATTATTTAATAGTTCTTCCTTTTAGCTTTCATACTTAGGATATAAATTGTTTACTTACCCTAATTATAGTATTATAGAATTATGCATTTTTCTGTTTTTTAATAGTGAATTTCATACTTTAGGTTTTTTTGTTTTGTTTTTTGTTTTTTGTTTTTTACACATTAGCATCCATTTTTTTTTCAGATTGAAGAATTCCCTGTAGCATTTTTTGTAGGCGAAGTGTCGTGTTGTAAATTTCCTCAGCTTTTGTTTGTCTGAGAAAGTTTTTTATCTCTTTTTCCTGTTTAAAGGATAGTTTTCCTGGGTATAGTATTCTTAGCTGGCTTTTTGTATTTGTTTCCTTCAGCACTGTGAATATAGCATCTCACTTCTTTTGGTCTGCTAAGTTTCTCTGAGAAATCCGCTGAAAGCCATATTAGAGATCAGTTGAATGTAATGTTTCTTTTCTCTTGCTGCTTAAAGTATTCTTTCTTTGTTTTTGATTTTTACTAATTTCATTATAATATATCTGGGTAGTTTTCTCTTTGAGTTGAATTTGTTTAATATCTTTGAGCTTCCTGCACTTGGATAGTGTTGGTTTTCTCCAGATTTCAGAAATTTCAGCCGTTACTTTTTGAAATATGCTTTCTAGACCTTTTCCTCTTTTACATAATATCTGTTGGAAATTTCTATTATGTGGAAGTTAGTTTGCTTGATGGTGTCCCCTTATTCTTCTTTACTCTTTTTTTAAATTCTTTTTCCTTTTGCTTCTCTGACTGGGTAATTTCATTTATTCTTTTTTCAAGCTCACTAATTCTTTCCTCTTTTTGATCAAGTCTGCTATTGAAGCTTTCTATGGAGTTTTTCAGTTCAGTTATTATATTGCTTGCTTCTAAAATTTGTTTGCTCTCTTAAAATTGTTTTTATTTTTGTGAAATTTCTTATTTTGTTCCTGGATTGTTTTCCAATTTCAATCTGTGTTTTATTGTGATTCTTTCAACTTCTTTAAGAGAATTATTCTGAATTTTCTGCCTGACATTTTGGAGATGTTGCATTCTTCTGTGTCTATTGTTGGAGTTTTGTTGGTTTCTTTGAGTGGTGTCATATTTCCCTGAGTTTCCACAATCCTTGTGTCTTTATGTTGATGCTTGTGTGTTTGAAGAGTCAGCTACCTCTTCCAATTATTGTGGGGGTTTTTTTGGTGGTGTTAGGCCTTTATTCCTTAGTAATGAAACTTCAATGTTGGCCTGTTATTTCTTCCCATTCTGGGAGTCTTATAGTGTGCACTGGTACAAAAACACTTTGCTGGAACTAACTTGTTGCCCTGCCATTGTTTCCCACTCTGGGGATGTTTTATAGTGAGCACTGGAAGTTAAAAGCTGTCCTGAAATTATATTGCTGCCCTACAGTTTTTTCCCAGTCTGGTAAAGACAGGTGAGTACCAGAACTCAGTCCCAACTTTTAGTTGTTTCTGGGCCAGGGGAAAGCTCCACCTGGGATTTATAAAAAATTCAGCCACAGATTTGGGCCTTTGCTTGAATGGTGCCCCCCCTTGCAGCACTATGGCATCATCCAGTCTCTTCAACATGGCACCCCCACTGATTGAAGCACAGAGTTGCTGCCTAGATCTGCATGCCAGTCTTTGAGATTAATGTCCTGTGCCTTGTCTTCCAATCAGCCCTCTGGGATACCCAATGGTTCCCATATGATGGGACTGGAGTGGGCTTCCCATGAAGATTCCCAGACTGATGGGGAGATTGAACATTTCTCCTGCTCTCTTGAGTTGTCAACCATGTGTTTGCATTTAGGCAGCAGATGGAATTATTGCAAATCATTTACTTTATAACCATTTGTCCCCTTATACTATCTTACAATCTACTTTTCATATAATTGTGATGAGTTTTCTGCTGTTATGGAAAATTCCATTTATGGCTAAAGCTTTTAGTAAATGCTATGAAGCTTGATGACTCTCTCTACTGAATGGGAATAATTATGCATTAGTTCATAAAATGTTCTTATGAGTTTGTTTAGTCACTAGAAAGGCTAGAATACTGATGCTTAAATATAAAAAATATATAGTTTAAAGAGCTATAATATCTAGCAGTTCTTTTGTTTCTAAAGCTCCCTGGACATTGAGTAACAAATAAGTTAATAAAGCAATAGTTTGTTATTTGATTTTATATCAGAAAGCCTAAATAGTATTTTAAAAATAAAGCTTCCATATATTCAATCTTATTGGAAAAAGTATTTGAAAAGCTCAACCTCAGCTTCCCCTGTTGTTTTATCTAGAATATTTAAGACTTTCTTAACATAAATCATCAAAAATATGTATTTTTTCTAGTTGAGATTTAACTAGATTAATTCAGTGTGTGGTATTTTTGGCTATCGTAATAAAGGTATTGCATTTCCAAACTGCAGAATATTTGCACTGAGTAAAATAGATGCCATTTTTTTACTAAGTAATTAAAACATTGTCAGAGGATATGCTTTTAAAAATTATCACAATAGCTGTAAAGTCAATTGTGTTAATATTGGCAATCTGTCCCTTCTATTTAGAATTTTGTGCCTTAGTCTCTGATAATTGCATCATTTACAAATCCCCTCTTTACATAAACATGGCCTTTCACCTAACCCTCTAAATTAATCAGCCCTCTTTTGATTACAAGTGACAGAAACTCAAATCAAAATAGCATAAGCAATTTAAATAATAACAACAATAAATGATGAAAGTTTATTAGTTATCTTAGCTGGAAGGATTTTTAAAGATGTAGAAATAAAATGAGTAACTGTAGAGTCAGTGCCTCAGAGACTCACCTCGTCATGAGTAGGACTTTTTCCCTCCATCACTTTCTTACCTCTTCTTAGCTACATCTACATGAAGGCATTCTCCACTTGGAAAAAAAGACGGAGGCACAACCTCCCATAGAAAAGAGTTTCTTTCTCCCATTATCAATATATCTGCTTGGATTCTGCTTGGCTATTTGCTTGGATTAAATGTTTACTTTTTAGATACATTACTGCTAATAGAGAATGAGAAAATAAGACTGGCTATGCCTGGAGGTTAGGAAGTGAGGAACAAGAGAGGGGCTTCGCAAGAATCATGTGGAATGATTGTGTGATGCTTTCTGAAAGGACATGAGTCTAGGCAGTCAAAAATACCTGGCTAAACACCCTAAGGCTATATTCCCTCTATATATTCCCTATTCCCTATATTCCCTCCCTTACCCAAACTACCCAGCATCTGCTATTCCCGAACTCTTTTCCCCTCTCATTTTTTTGCATTTCTATTGGAAGATTAACCTGTGAATAATCTTTTCAGGTTCCTACCTTTAAAAATACAGGACAAAGACAACTGCTTCATTATACTCTTATCTCAGTGGAGTAAAGAAAGTATCTAGAGTTCTGTCTCTTTTTCAAAGTAGATTATTACTCTTAGGAAAAATAAAATGGGCAAATCAGAGTTTATATTCAAAATATCTCGTAACACCTAAATAAGGCATGGACGCTGAACAATCAGAATTGGTCTTTGTGTAGACATTGCATCCTGGAGGCCCGTATTATATCAATCAGGCTTAAATTTCCTCATTGCTGGATCATTACATGGTCCTACTTATCTGGCTGATGGGGCAGGTTAACAGTTGAGGGCTAGGGGAGTTCAAAGTAGTAATTATTTATCCACCAGGACAGAAACTATGTAATATTTTGGTAATAATACATGACTGCTGACTAACCAAGGCGGGTCACTATGTAGGGGTGCAGGATTAACAGTTACTTAATAGAATTAGCCCTGCAGTGACAAACTTTAAGAGAGTTACGTGTTTGGAACATTGATTTAAAATGTTCTTTTAAGTAGTTGCTCTGTAGCTTGCTTGTTTTGTTTTCTTTTTCCCAAATGTACTTCAAATGGGTCACTGAATATCTTCAAATTGTATGTAAATTTTGGAGGGGAAGTGGTATATGCAGATTTTTTTTTTTCTGGAAAGAAGACCAATCACTTTTGCCAAATTCTCAAACAGGCCCATATTTCTCTCACACACATGCGTGCGCATGCGCACACGCGCGCGCGCACACACACACACACACGTTAAGATGCGAAGAATCACTGTCATAAAATGTCATATTTCTAATTTCTGTAAATGGGGAGAATTCCTCAAGCTTATATAAAAGTGATGTAAATAATTCAGTTACAATTATAAAAGAAATGGTATCACAGCAAATCCCTTTGGCACCCCACTGAAAATTTCTCTCTGATGTTTAAAACACCATTTCTATGCTTACTCTTACAGCTGTATTAATAATCAGATAAGGGGTTTATTTCTTGTCTATTTTGCTTAGCATATTACCAAATCTGGTTCATATGAACTCATGGGTAAAATCTAAAAATGTTCATGAATTATTCTTCATGAATTTTTCACAAAGCAATAATGTATGAAAAAGTGAACAATATAACATCAGCCAGAGACGCCTCAGTTCGCAATTTACAATGAAGAAAACTGGCATATACTTTAGAGGGAATTTCTAATAAGCCAAAAGGTTAAAAGCTAAATGGGGTCAAGAGCTGTCACCTTGACAAATGGTAAAGTCTAACCTTTGGCTCCCACCAGGCCAGACCATAACCGTAGAGTTACTAAAGAAAGCAACTGTCAAGGAACAAGCCCATTATTAAGACTGTTACTTAAAGTTCTAAGGGAACTTCCTTAAACCGTTCTATGTGTACTTTATTTATCTTGAAACTTTTTGGGAACAGCTGTATAACAGGAAGTAGTATTTCTGAGGCCCAGGAAGTGAGTAAGGGCTACACAAATTGGGGCTAATGACTCTATTTTGAAAAACAAACAAACAAACAAAAAAACTAAAAAACTTCTCAGGTGTTTTATGATGAAAGTCTACTTCTCTATCTTCCATACTGTTTGCCATCTTCCTTGATGATTACATCTGATGACCAAGCTCAGGCTTTCCCATACAAATTTATTGTGCCAAGTTTGCTTTGAAAGAATATTAGATTTTGTAGAGTTTTACATTATTAAAATCGTGAGTGGCTTCTTTTGCTTTTCACTGTTGAGTGTTTTTGCTACAGCCTAACCTATCTTTTTCTTATTGCTTGTTTTCTTTGTATTTGCTACTCAATATAGCTTGTCAAATGTGTAATTCATGTCATATACAGTGCTGTCTAATATAATTCATGGGTATAAAGTGAGAGAGAAATGTAATTCTAAAGTTACTTGAGGTGGACCACTAAAAGGTCCTGAGTTCATTTATTTATTCAGCAAATATATATTGTCCAATTGCAAGCTAGGCATCAAGTATATTCAAGGTGGTAAATAAAATGAGCCTGATCACTTCTTTTAGGGCATTTACAGTGAAGTGGAGGGGACGGACATGACTCAATCAGGTGAACACATCAGCCATATAATTACAAATGAACATGAGAGCTGCAAAATAAATAGACGAGAGAGCTTTGAAAAAGAGTAATAAAGGGGGCTACCTCAGATGGAGGGAGGAGAGGTTTTATAGCAAACTTCTCTGAGAAGAAAATATTTTAGCTATGACCTGAGAAATCAGAAGGTGTCAGTCAAGGTGGGAGAAAGAAAA
The DNA here is from genome assembly GCF_000001405.40 of Homo sapiens. Classification (NCBI taxonomy): domain Eukaryota; kingdom Metazoa; phylum Chordata; class Mammalia; order Primates; family Hominidae; genus Homo; species Homo sapiens. Next base: position 60,082,880 of record NC_000005.10, on the reverse strand, counting down.
TTTAAGTAGAGCGAGCAGCATGCCCAAAGGTCACATGAGGAACTGAGGAACTGATGGGAGGCCAGCATGGCAAGAATGAGTAGGAGAGAGAATGGCACAAAATGAAGAACAAGAGGGCAGTGTGGCAGCACTACTGCTGATACCCAGATATGTGACATTCCACCTCATTCCAGACACAAAGTAGAATTGCACTTCCTGGCTCCCTTGTGTTTGGGTGGGGCCCTGCTACTAGATCTAGCCAGTGAGTTGTGAGCACAAATGATGCCTGTAACTTTCTGGTCAATTTCTGAAACTAAAGTATGTAATGGATCAGATCACCTCTGCACTAGAGTAGTCATTCAGTAAGACAAGGAGGAAAAATGGTGCTGGGCCCTATGTGAGGAGACTATAGTGTCCTAGTCAGTTTGGGTTGCTGTAATAAATTACTATAGATTAGGTGGCTTAAGCAACAAACATTTATCTCACAGTTTTGGAGGCTGGGAAATCCAAGATTAAGGTGCTGGCAGATTCAATGTCTAGTGAGGGCACTCCTCTTGGTTTGCAGGTGGGTGTCTTCTTGTTATATCCTTACATCGTGGATAACAGAGAGAGGAAGCAGGATTTCTTATTTCTTCTTATAAGGGTATTAATCCCATTTATTAGGACTCTGCCTTCATTACCTAATTACCTCCCAAAGGCCCTACCTCCTAATGTCATCACACTAGAGGTTAGAATTTCAACATATAAATTTTGGGGGGCAGAAAAACATTCATTCCCTAACATAGAGGGTGAGGAAGATGAGAGGAAATGTCCCTTTCAGAGACTGAATTGGGAAGTAAACCACTTTGTGTAATATTGCAGTAGGTACTGCTATAGTGAGGAATGGAGAGTGGATGGGGAGAACTCTCCTTTGGTAAGAAGAAGGAAGAAAAAGATGTAAAGTAGTGCCTATGATCCTGATGAATTTACTTTACTCAAACTTTCATTAACCTCTACAAACAAAAAAGAACCTGAGAAGACTTTTGTTAGTCACTTTCCTGTGCATTGAGGAATTGTCCAGAGGGACTAGGGAAGCCCATCAGACTAATGGCAGACCTCTTAGCAGAAACTCCACAAGCCAGAAGAGATTGAGGACCAATACTCAACATTCTTAAAAGAATTTTCAAGCAGAGAAAACTCAGGATTAAGAAACTCACTCAAAATCCACACAATTTCATGGAAATTGAACAACCTGCTCCTGAATGACTCCTGGTTCAATAATGAAATTAAGGCAGAAATCCAGAAGTTCTTTGAAACCAATGAGAACAAAGAGACAACATACCAGAATCTCTGGGACACAGTTAAAGCAGTATTAAGAGGGAAATTTATAGCACTAAATGCCCACATAAGAAAGCTGGAAATATCTCAAATCGACACCCTAATATCACAATTAAAAAGAGCTAGAGAGGCAAGAGCAAACTAATCCAAAAGCTAGCCGAAAACAAGAAATAACTAAGATCAGAGAAGAATTGAAGGAGATAGAGACATGAAAAACTCTCCAAAAAAATCAACAAATCCAGGAGCTGTTTTTTTTTTTTGAAAAAACTAACAAAATAGATAGACCACTAGCTAGATTAATAAAGAAGAAGAGAGAGAAGAATCAAATAGATGCAATAAAAAATGATAAAAGGGATATATATCATCACTAATCCCACAGAAATACAAACTACCATCAGAGAATACTATAAACACTTCTATGCAAATACACTAGAAAATCTAGAAGAAATGGATAAACTCCTGAACACATACATCCTACCAAGACAAAACCAGGAAGAAGTCAAATTCCTGAATAGACCAATAACAGTCTCTAAAATGGAGGCAGTAATTAATGGCCTACCAACCAAAAAAATCCTAGGACCAGACTGATTCCCAGCTGAATTCTACCAGAAATACAAAGAGGAACTGGTACCATTCCTTCTGAAGCTATTCCAAACAATTGAAAAGGAGGGACTCCTCCCTAACTCATTTTATGAAGCCAGCATCATCCTGATACCAAAACTGGTAAGAGACACAACAAAAAAGGAAAACTTCAGGCCAATATCCCTGATGAACATCCATGCGAAAATCCTCATAAAATACTGGCAAACCAAATCCAGCAGTGTATCAAAAAACTTATTCATCATGATCAAGCCAGCTTCATCCCTGAGTTGCAAGGCTGGTTCAACATATGAAAATCAATACATGTAATCCATGACATAAACACAACCAAAGACAAGAACCACATGATTATCTCAATAGATGCAGAAAAGGCTTTAATAAAATTCAACATCCCTTCATGTTAAAAACTCACAATAAACTAGGTATTGATGGAACATTTCTCAAAATAATGAGAGTTAATTATGATAAACCCACAGCCAATGTCATATTGAATGGGCAAAACCTGGAAGCATTCCATTTGAAAACTGGTACAAGACAAGGATGCCCTCTCTCACCACTCCTATTCTACATTGTATTGGAAGTTCTGACCAGGGCAATCAGGCAAGAGAAAGAAAGAAAGGGTGATCAAATAGGAAGAGAGAAAGTCAAATTGTCTCTGTTTGTAGACAACATGATTTTATATTTAGCAAACACCATCATCTCAGCCCCAAAATTTCTTAACTGATAAGCAGTTTCAGCAAAGTCTCAAGATACAGAATCAATGTACAAAAATCACAAGCATTCTTTTACAGCAATAATAGGAAAGCAAAGCAGAAAGCCAAATCATGAATGAACTCCCATTCATAATCACTACAAAGAGAGTAAAATACCTAGGAATAGAGCTAACAAGGGATGTGAAGGACCTCTTCAAGGAGAACTATAAGCCACTGCTCAAGGAAATAAGAGAGGACACAAACAAATGGAAAAACATTTCATCCTCATGGATAGGAAGAATTGATGTCATGAAAATGACCATACTGCCCAAAGTAATTTATAAATTCAGAGCTATGCCCATCAAACTATCATTGACATTCTTCACAGAATTAGAAAAGACTATTTTAAGTTTCATATGGATTCAAATAAGACTTTGGATGGCCAAAACAATCCCAAGCAAAAAAAGCAAAGCTGGAGGCAGCAGGCTACCTGACTTCAAACTATACTGCAAGGCTACAGTAACCAAAACAGCATGGTGCTGGTACTGAAACAGACAAATAGACCAATGGAGCAGAACAGAGATCTCAGAAATAACACTACACATCTACAACCATTTGATCTTTGACAAACCTGACAAAAACAAGCAGTGGAGAAAAGATCTCTTATTCAGTAAATGGTGGTGGGAGAACTGGCTAGCCAAATGCAGAAAACAGAAACTGGACCCCTTCTTTATACCTTATACAAAATTTAACTCAAGATGGATTAAAGACTTAAATGTAAAACCCAAAACAATAAAAACAGTAGAAGAAAACCTAGGCAATACTATTCAGGACATAGGCCTGGGCAAAGACTTCATGACAAAAACACCAAAGGCAATTGCAACAAAAGCCAAAATTGACAAATAGGATCTAATTAAACTAAAGAGCTTCTGCACAGCAAAAGAAGCTGTCATCAGAGTGAACCTACAGAATGGGAGAAAATTTTTCCTATCTGCCTATCTGACAAAGGTCTAATGCCCAGAATTTACAAGTAACTTAAACATATTTATAAGAAAAAAACAACTCCATCAAAAAGTAGGCAAAGGATATGAACAGACACTTCTCAAAAGAAGATATTTACATGGCCAGCAAACATATGAAAAAAGCTCAATGTCATGGATCATCAGAGAAATGCAAATCAAAACCACTATGAGATACCATCTCATGCCAATCAGAACGACAATTATTAAAAAGTCAGGAAATGACAGATGCTGGCAAGGTTGTGGAGAAATAGGAATGCTTTTACATTGTTGGTGGAAATGTAAATTAGTTCAACCATTGTGGAAGACAGTATGGCAATTCCTCAAGGATCTAGAACCAGAAATACTATTTGACCCAGCAATCCCATTACTTAGTACATACCCAAGGGAATATAAATAATTCTACTACAAAGATACATGCACTTGTATGTTTATTGCAGCACTATTTACAATAGCAAAGACATGGAACCAAACCAAATGCCCATCAATGATAGACTGGTTAAAGAAAATGTAGTACATATACACCATAGAATACTATGCAGCCATTAAAAGGAATGAGACCATATCCTTTGCAGGAACATGGATGAAGCTGGAAGCCATCATCCTCAGAAACTAACACTGGAACAGAAAACTGAACACCACTTATTCTCACCCATAAGTGGGGGTTGAACATTGAGAACACATGGACACAGAGAGGGAACAACACACACCAGGGCCTGTTCTGGGGAGGGGATTGAGTGGAGGGAACTTAGAGGATGGTCAATAGGTGCAGAAAACCACCATAGCACACATATACCTATGTAACAAACCTGTATGTTCTGAGCATATATCCCGTTTTTTTTACAAGAAATAAAAATAAAGAAAAAAAAGAAAATCTCTTGCAACCAATGAAAATGAAAACAAAATATACCAAAACATATGGGATACAACTAAAGCATTGCTAAGAGGGAATTTCATAGTGATAAATACCTATATTAGAAAAGAAGAGAGGATTTTAATTTAGCAGACTCACCTAGAGAGCACAACTCTGATTTTGTTGAGAAAGCCTATCTCCACAGAACCTAAAACACACAAACTTTCAAGGTAGGGGAGATTGGAATCCAAGAAGAATGCAAAAACATTTTGCAAGCTGGTAAGTCTCTGGACTGGAGAATATCTGGATCAGGAAGGAGGCAAGATGGTCGACTAGATGCAGCCAGAAGGAACATCTCCCACCAAAGGACTGGGACATCAGAAAGACTGGCACACTCCTAGCAGATCTTCACAGGGAAGGCACTGAGGGCAGATAGAGGGAAGACACAGATGCTGGGCTGCAGAGGGAGGAAGCTGGGAACCCTGAGCAATGCTAGTGCACACCAGGACCGGTTCCTGGTCCCCAAGAACTCCTGGGGATGGGGTGAATTGAACAGGCCAGGAGCGATCCACTCTCGCATGGATCTCTGGAATCCTGGCATGGGGAAATCCTTTAACCACCATGGACATTTGAATTGGCAGAGAGAGCTGCTTAGAGAAGTGGAAGGGACAGAAGTCCAGCCAGTGCAGAGCCCAAAGGGTTTGGAGTGGGAGCACCTATAGTGGAGCATGGCCAGGGACACCCATCTCCCTAAGCTAGACTTGTTTCCATAGGAGACTGTAGCCCTAGGGGAACTGTCACCTGAACTCTGCAGGGAGGTCCTGCCCATGAAATGGCAGTCCACCTTGAGTACCCCCTTGGTCTGCTGGCCTCTCCAGGGGCCCCAGCCTGGCTGCAGGTGCTTGCAGTGCAGTCCCCAGGTAGCTCGTGGGGGCCTGCATTACAGCTCCTGTTCTAGTGGGTTAGGCCTGACTGGCAGAGTGCTCCAGCATAGCAGTCCCTGCAGACACCAGCATGCTTGTTGCCTCCCACAACTGCAGCGTCCCCCATGCTACTTGGCCTTCACATACTCACCAATGGCCACCCCCACATTGCTTTGCCACCATGTATTTGCATGGGCAGACTTTGCCTTCCTTACCCCACCAGGATATGTGCATGCATGCATCCTACCATACCGCTGCTGCCTGCATGAGTGCACCTTGTTGCCAACACCCCACTAAACCACCATTGTTGTTAGAGCACTGGGTGGCACAGAGCCCACCAGCCCTGCCTTTGCCAGCATTCTGCTCTGGCACCAACACTTCCAGCAATGTGAAACTGGACACAGAGAACAGCAGAGTCACCCCTGCCTTGAGCAGCCACCACTGCCTGCATGAAAACACACAGAGGGTCCACAGTCTTGTGTCCATCAGCACTTCAACCCCATGCTAATACCACCACCAGCACGAATGCACACACAGTCACTGGTGGGGGTCCCCGCCCCCAAGCCATGTCGCCATGTGGCCACCACTGCTGCTGTGAATGCCCACACAGAGGCCAGAACCCCAGCACCTGCTAGCACACTGCCACATCCAACAAGCATGCACCCTGCTGTGTTGCCACTGTCACTGCTGCTGGCACATGCAAATGAGAACAGATTCTGCTGCCTCTGCCCTATGAAGCTCTTTGTCTGGCACTACCCATCAGAGTGTTGTGACCAACAGTCCAGAAGTAACTCAGCCCCTCCAGTGAGCAGGTTCCTAACCTTGAGGAGCCAGAAAACAAAGTTGGGAACTGATACCAGTCCCCCAGGGTTAGAGCACACAGTCCACGAGTCCTGAGTTGAGTCTTGGTCCCCTAAAATCTTCCAGAAATTGAGCCAGTCAACTGAACCCACCTTATACCACCATGAAACACCCAAGGTCATGAAATAGAACAAAAGAAAAAAATCCAAAGGACAGCAATTTCAAAGATTGGAGGAACAGGCCAGGCGTGGTGGCTCACACCTGTAATCCCAGCACTTTGGGAGGCCAAGGTGGGTGGATCACGAGGTCAAGATATCAAGACCACCCTGGCCAACATGGTGAAACCCCATCTCTACTAAAAATACAGAAAACTAGCCGGGCATGGCAGTGGGCGCCTGTAGTCCCAGCTACTCGGGAGGCTGAGGCAGGAGAATGGCGTGAACACGGGAGACGGAGCTTGCAGTGAGCCGAGACTGCACCACTGCACTCCAGACTGGGCAACAGAGCGAGACTCCATCTCAAAAAAAAAAAATTCGAAAAAGATTGGAGGAACATCAGACCACAAAGATGAGAAAAAACCAGTGTGGGAACTCTAAGAACTCAAAAAGCCTGAGTGTCTTCTTTCCTCCAAATGATCATACTAGTTCTCCAGTAAGAGTTCTTAACTGGGCTGAGGTGGCTGATATGACAGAAATAAAATTCAAAATATATATAGAAATGAAGATCATCAAGATTCAGAAGAATGTTGAAACCAATCTGAGGAAGCTAGGAATCACAATAAAATAGTACAGAAGCTGACAAACAAAACACTCAGTATAGAAAAGAGTGTAACCAACCTGATAGAGCTGAAAAAACACAGTACAAAAATTTCATAATTTAATTGTAAGTATTAACAGCAGAATAGACCAACCTGAGGAAAGAATCTCAGAGCTTGAAGACTGGCTTTCTGAAATAAAATAGTCAGACAAGAATAAAGAAAAAATAATAAAAAGGAACAAACAAAACCTCCAAGAAATAAGATATTATGTAAAGAGACCAAATCTATGACTCATTGGCATCCCTGAAAGAGATGGAGAGAATGGAAGAAACTTGGAAAACATATTTCAGAATATCATCCATGAGAACTTCCCCAACCTAGCTAGTGAGGCCAGCATTTAAATTCAGAAATGCAGAGAACCCCCATAAGAGACTTCACAAGAAGATCATCCCCAAGACAGACAATCATCAGATTCTCCAAGGTTGAAATGATAGAAAAAATGTTAAAGGTAGCTATAGAGAAAGGACAGGCCACCTACAAAGGGAAGTCCTTCTGACACAGCAGACCTCTCAGCGGAAACTCTACCAGCCAGAGAGATTGGGGGACTATATTAAACATTCTTCAAAAAAAGATATTCCAACTGAGAATTTGATATCTGCCCAAACTAAGTGTCATAAGCAAAGAAGAAATAAGATCCTTTTCAGACAAACAAATGCTGAGGGAATTCCTTATCATAGACCTGCCTTACAAGAACCCCTGAAAGAAGCACTAAATATGAAAAGGAAAGACCGTTATCAGACACTGCAAATACACAGTGTCTCTATAAGTACACAGACCAGTGACTCTATAAAGCAACCACACAAACAAGTCTGCATAGTAACCACCTAACAACATGATGACAGGATCAAACCCATACAAATTAATACCAACCTTCAAGGTAAATGTCCTAAATGCTCCCAATTAAAAGGCACAGAGTGGCAAGCTAAATAAAGAAGAATGACCCAATGGTATGCTGTCTTCAAGAGACCCATCTCATATGCGGTGACACCCATAGGCTCAAAATAAAGAGATGCAGAAAAATCTACCAAAAAATGCAAAACAGAAAAAAACAGGGGTTGCAATCCTAATTTCAGACAAAACAGACTTTAAACTAACGAAGCTCAAAAAAGATGAAGAAGGATATTATGTAATGGTAAAGGTTTTAATTCAACAAGAAAAGCTGACTATCCTAAATAGGTACATACCCAACAGAGGAGCACCCAGATTTATAAAGCAAGTTTTTAGAGATCTTCAAAGAGAATTGGACTTCCACACAGTAATAGTGGGAGACTTCAACACCCCACTGACAGTATTAGATCATTGAGGCAGAAAATTCACAAAGATATTCAGGACTTGAACTCAACACTGGACCAAATGGACCTAATAGACATCTACATATCTCTCCACCCAAAAACAAGAGAATATGTATTCTTCTCATCACCAAATGGCACACACTCTAGAGTTGATCACATAATCAGACTTTAGACAATCCTAAGCAAAAGAAACAAAGTCATATTGAACCACAGTGCAATAAAATTAGAAATCAAGACTAAGAAAATTGCTCAGAACCATACAGTTACATGGAAACTAAACAACCCACTTTTGAATGCCTTTTAGGTAAATAATGAAATTAAAGCAGAAATCAAGAAGTTCCCAGAAACTAATGAGAACAAAGATAAAATATACCAGAATCTCTGGGACACAGCTAAGGCAATGTTAACCAGGAAATTTATAGCACTAAATGCTCACATCAAAAAGTTAGAAAGATTTAAAATAAACAACCTAACATCACAACTAAATGAACTAGAGAAGCAAGAGTAAACCAACCCCAAAACTATCAGAAGACAGTAAATAACCAGAATCAGAGCTGAATTGAAGGAAATTGAGACATGAAAAGCCATTCAAAAGATCAATGTATCCAGGGGCTGTGTTTTTGAAAAATTAATAAGACAGATGGACTGCTAGCTAGACTAATAAAGAAGAAGAGAGAAGATCCAAATAAACACAATTTTAAAAATAAGATAGTAATTACCACTGACCCCAGAAAAATACAAATAACCATCAGAGACTACTATGATGGTTTGTGTACTATGCACACAAACTAGAAAATCTAGAAAAATTGATAAATCCCTGGACATATACACTCTCTCAGACTGAACCAGGAAGAAATTGAATCCCTAAGCAGACCAATAACGAACTGTGAAATTGGATCAGTAAATTTATCAGTAAATAGCCTACCAAACAAAAGAAGTCCAGGACCATTCATATCACAGCCAAATTCTAGTAGATATACAAAGAAGAGCTGGAATCATTCTTATTGAAACTATTCCAAAAAATTAAGGAGGAGGGACTCCTCCCCAGCACATTCTATGAGGCCAGCATCATCCTGATTTAAAAAAAAAAAAAAACACCTGGCAAACACACAGAAAATAAAACTTCAGGCTAGCATTCTTGATGAACATGCATACAATAATCTTCAACAAAATATTAGCAAAATGAATCTAGGAGCACATCGAAAAACTAATCCACCACAATAAATTGGCTTTACCCATGGGAGGCAAGGTTGGTTCAACATACACAAATCAATAAATGTGATTCATCACATAAACAGGACCAATGCAAAACCCACATGATTATTGTAATAGATGCACAAAGGCTTTTGATAAAATTCATCACCTCTTCATGTTAAAAACCCTCAACCACCTAGGTACTGAAGGAACGTACCTCAGAAAAATAAGAGTTATCTATGACAAATCCACAGCCAACATCATACTGAATGGGCAAAAGCTTGAAGCATTCCACTTGAAAACCAGCACAAGACAAAGACGCCCTTTCTCACCACTCCTATTCAACATAGTATTTTAAGTCCTGGCCAGAGCTATCAGGCAAGAGAAAGAAATAAACAGCAAGGCAATACCAAACAGCCAAGGCAATACTAAGCAAGGAGAACAAAAAAGAACAAATCTGGAGGCATCACACTACCTGATTTCAAACTATTCTACAGGGATACGGTATCCAAAACAGCATGATTCTGGTATAAAAACAGAAACATGACCAGTGAAACAGAATAGAGAGCCCTGAAATAAGGCTGCACACCTACAACCATCTGATCTTAGACAAAGCAAAGGGGAAAGGACTCCCTATTCAATAAATGATGCTGAGAAAACTGGCTAGCGATATGCAGGAGATTGAAACTGGACCCATTCAGTACACTATACATAAAAATTAACTCAAGATGGGTTAGAGACTTAAACGTAAAACTCAAAGCTATAAAAGCTCTGGAAGACAACCTAAGCAATACCATTCCAGACATAGGAACTGGCAAAGATTTTATGATGTAGATACCTAAAGCAATTGCAACAAAAGCAAAAAAATGATAAATGGGATCTAATTAAATACAGAGCTTCCTCACAGCAAAAGAAACTACCAACAGAGAAAATAGACAACCTACAGAATGGGAGAAAATATTTGCAAACTATGCATCTGACAAAGTTCTTATATCCAGCATCTATAAGGAACTTAAATTTATAAGAATTAAACAACCCCATTAAAAAGTGGGCAAAGGACGTGAACAGACACTTTGCAAAAAAAGTACGTGCAGCTAACAAGCATATGAAAAAAACTCAGTATCACTGATCATTAGAGCAATGCAAGTCAAAACCACGAGATGCCATCTCACATCAGTCAGAATGGCTATTATTAAAAAGTCAGAAAATAACAGATACTGGTGAGCTTGTGGAGAAAAGGAAATATTTATACACTGTTGGTGGGAATGTAAATTAGTTAAACTATTGTAGAAAGTAGTGTGGCAATTCCTCAAAGAGCTAAAAACAGAACTACCTTTCAACCCAGCAGTCCCATTACTGGATGTATACGCAAGGGAATAGAAACTGTTTCATCATAAAGACACATGCTCACATATGTTCACTGCAGTACTATTCACAACAGCAAAGACATGGAATCAATCTAAATGCCTATCAATGGTAAACTGAGTAAATAAATTGTGGCACATATACTCCATGGCATACTATGCAGCCATAAAAAGGAATGAGATCGTGTCCTTTGCGGGAACATGGATAGAGCTGGAGGCTGTTATCTTTAGCAAACTAATGCAGGAACAGAAAATGAAATACTGCATTTTCTAACTTATAAGTGGGAGCTAAATGATGAGAAGACATGGACACAAAGATGGAAACTAGGCTTAGCAACTGGGTGACAAAATAATCTGTACAACAAACTCCCATGACACAAGCTTACTTATATAACAAACTTGCACATGTATCTCTGAACCTAAAATAAATGTCTTTTTAATATCTGGATCCAAATTGTTTTACTGGCCAATGGAAAAAGATTTTTTGCCCAGATGGCTAAATCTTTTGAATAATATTTGTGAAAAAGACTTTTAAGATTTTTGAATAATATTTGTGAAAAAGACTTTTAATAATATTAGTGAAAAAGACTTCCTTACAGAAGGCAAATTAAGTCTTAATTTAATTTGGCAGCTTTTAATGTGGCAATCTTTGATTCTTTATTCTTTTAGATGGCTGTGTGCACCAATTAAAGAATGCATCCCATTTGCTAAAGAAATTAAAATTTAAAAGAAAAAAATCTTAAACAATTTAATACTACATCTCAAGGAAGTAGAACAATAACAACAGACTAAGGCCAAATTAGGCAGAAAGAGGGAATTAACAAAGATTTGAGCAGAAATACATGAAACGGAAAATTCAAAAATAATAGAAAAAAATAAGACAACTAGGAATTGGTTTTACTGGTTTTTTATAAATATAAACTAAATTGGTAAAACCTTAAGTAAACTAACTAGCAAAAAAAGAGCGATGCCTCAAATAAAAAAATCAGAAATGAAAGAAGAGAAATCACAAATGATGCCACAAAATAAGAAAGAATCAAAAGAGATAACTATGAACAATTATGTGCCAACAAACTGGATAAGCTAGAAGAAATGAATAAATTCCTAGAAACATACAATCAACCGAGACTGGATTCTGAGGAAGCAGAAAGTCCGAACAGACCTATAACTAGTATAGATATTGAAATAGTTATTACAAAGCTCCCAGGAAGGAAAAGCCCAGTACCAGGTGGCTTCACTGGTGAAATTCTAACAAACGTTTAAAGAAAAATTTATACCATTTCTTCTAAAACTTTTCAAAAAAATTGAAGGGGAGAGGGAACATGTCCAAATTCATTACTCTGATACTAAAGTCAGACAAAAGCACCACAAGAAAACAAAACTATAGGCCAATATCCCTGAAGAATGAACATACAAATTCCTCTACTAAACCCCAGCAAACTGAATCCAAGAGCACATTAAGGGGATTATACACCATGACCAAATGGGATTTGTACTTGGGATGTTAGAATGGTTCAGTGTGTAAAAATTAACGTGAAATTCCACATTAACAAAATAAAGCATAAAAACATGTGATCATCTCAAGATGCAGAAAAAGGGTTTGACAAAATTTAACATCTTTTAATTAAAAACTCAAACTAGTAATAGATTATGTCAAATACAAATACAAATATTATATACCTCAACATAATAAAAGCCATATATTAAATGCCCATCACTAACGTCATACTCAATGGTGAAAAACCGAATGAAGGCTTTTCCTCTAAGATTAGAAACAAGACAAGGATGCCCACTTTCACTGCTTCTATTCAGCAGGATACTTGAAGCCCTATCTAGAGCAATTGGGTAAGAAAAAAAGTAAAAAGGCATTTAAATTGGGAAGGAAGAAATAAAATTTTCCCTGTTTGCAGGTAACATGATCCTATATATAGAGAAAACTCTGAAGATTCAATTAAGAAACTGTTAGAACTAACAAATGAATTTAGTGAAATTACAGAGTACAAAATCAACATACCAGAATCAGTTGCATTTCTATACACTAACAACAAACTATCTGAAAGGAAATTAAGAAAACAATGCCCATCTAAACTAGTGCCAAAAAGAATAAAATAATTTAGTAATACACCTAAACCTAACTAACAAGGTGAAAGATTTGTGTATTAAAAACTACAAAACATTGATGAAAGATACTAAGCAAATCAAAAGACATTGAATGTTCATGAACTAGAAGACTTAACATTGTTAAAATATCCATACTACCAAAAGAAATCTACAGATTCAATGCAATCCCTATCCAAATCTCAATGTCATTTTTTACAGAAAGTGAAAAAAAGCTCTAAAATTTATATGGAGCCATGAGTCAAGAAATAACCAAATCAATCTTGAAAAAAAGAATAAAGCTAGAGACATCACATTTCCTGATCTCTAGATATGTTGCAAAACCACAGAGATCAAAACAATATGATACTGGCATTAAAACAGACATATAGACCAATGGAACATAAGAGAATCCAGAAATAAATCTATGCATACTTGGTTGTTTTATTCTATTCGGGCTACTATAATAAAATACCATAAACTGGGTAGCTTATAACAACAGAAATATATTTCTCACAGTTCCAGAAGTTTGGAATTCCAAAATTGAGGCACAGGTACTGATGGACTGCTTCCTCATAGTTAGTGCCTTCTCACTGTGTCTCACATGGTGGAAAGGTGAAGCATTCCTCTCAGATGTCTTTTATTCATGAAGTCTCCACTTTTATGACCTAATCATCTCTGTAAGTCCCCGTCTCCTAATGCCATTCAACATATAGATTTAGGGAGACAAAGATTCAACATATGGATTTTGGGTGACACCAACATTCAGTCTATAGCAACAGTCAACTGACGTTTGATAAAGGTGTCAAGAATACACATAGAGATTGGAGAGTCTCTTCAACAAATGGTACTTGGAAAACTGGATATCCATATTAAGGAATGAAACTGGATGCTTGTCTTACATCATATGCAAAAATCAACTTGAAATGGCTTAAAGATTAAACATAGACCAAGACTATAAAACTACTAGAAGAAAACCTTCATGACATTGGTCTTGGCAATGGTTTCATGGATATGACATCAAAAGCACAGGCAACAAAAACAAAAGTAAACAAATAAGAATACATCAAACTAAAAAGCTTGTGGGTGAATTGTTTGAGCTCAGGAGTTCGAGGCCAGCCTGGGCAACATAGTGAAACCTTGTCTCTACAAAAAATTAAAGAAAAAATTAGCTGGATATGGTAGGCTCACACCTGTAGTACCAGCCACTTGGGAGGCTGAGGTAGGAGGATTGCTTGCACCTGGGAGGTGCCAGAGGTTGCAGTGAGCTGAAATTGGGCCACTGTACTCCAGCCTGAGTGACAGATCCAGACCCTATTGCAAATAATAGTAATAATAATAATTAATAAAATAATGATATGAATCAACAGAGTGAAAAGGACACTTACAGAATGGGGGGAATATTTGCAAACCGTATATCTGATAAAGGGTTAGTATCCAAAATATCTAAAATAAACCCCTTCAGGTTATTAGTTAAAATAAAAGAGAGAGAAAAATAAATAAATAAATAAATAACCTGATTTAAACATGGGCTATGGACTTGGATAGACATTTCTTCAAAGAAGACATACAAATGGCCAACAGATATTTTAAGAAATACTCAGTGTCACTAATCATCCAGGAAATGTGAATTAAAACTATAATGAAATATCACTTAACACCTACTATAGTAGAATGGCTACTGTTAAAAAAAACAGAAAATAGCAAGTGTTGACGAGGATGTACAGAAATTGGAACCCTTGCACACTGTTGGTGGAAATGCAATATGGTGCAGCTTTTGTGGGAAACAAATGAAGTTCCTCTAAACATTTAAAAATGCAATTACATGATCCAGCAATCCCACTTTGGGGTGTTTATTCAAAAGAATTGAAATCAGGATCTCAAAGATGTATTAGCACTCCTATATTCATTGTAGGATTATTCACAATAGTTAAGATTTAGAAACAACTTAAGTGTCTATTGACAGATGAATAGATGAGAAAATATGGTATATAAATAGTGGACTATTATTCAGCCTTAAAAAAGCAGGAACTATTGCCGTATGTGACAACAACATGGATGAAACTTAAAGACATTGTGCTAAGTGAAATACATGAGTCATAGAAAGACACATATTGCATGATTCCACTTATATGAGTTATCTAAAATAGTCAAATTCATAGAATCAAAGAGTTGGATTGTGGTTACCAGTGGGTGGAGGTAGAGAGAAGGTAGAGAGAAATGGGGAGTTACTAAACAATGGGCGTAAAGTTTCAGTCAAGAAAGATGAATAAGTTCTAGGGATCTGTTATACAACATTGTACCTATAGTCAACAATAATGTATTGTACACATATGCATTTGTTAAGAAAGTAGTTTTGTGTTTAATGTTTTTAGCACAATTTTTTAAAATAAAAAGACAGTGGTATTATAATTTTCCTTTCTTTTCTTAAACTCAATTAGAATTTCTAAATTTGGGGCATGTTCTTACATTTATAGGTAACAGTTCATTTATTATTTTGAGACATAGAGCAATTTATAAGGAAATTAAAGGGAAACTCCCTTTAATTCATCTTCCTTCCTGATATTCAAGAACATAGACTGAGCTTTCCTCTATCTCTTTCAGTTCTAGTTTATATTTGCAAAGGTGTGTCTGGGCCAGTCCAATCTTTCTTCCTACTGTTCTCATCTACCATATCAATTTACATTACAGATCACATGCCAAACTTTAGGGGAGAGGACAAATTACTGGGATTAACAATGAAAGATATAGAACTGCTCAGGATATTTTCTAGGTTTAGGAGACTTGAGGAAAATGAATAAGTGAAATGTAGACATATATGAATGAATATATCAAACATCAGAGGAGAAAATTTAGCTGTGTCCAGAGAGGACAGAGATGCTATCTTTCTATTGCTTGTTTTTGAACTTTCTTTCGTATTTTATTATTGTATTGTTAATAATCATTGAAGTAGTGTGAGAAATTTCAGAGAAGTAGAAGTAGAGCAGTTTCTCTGAAAAACTTATAGATGGTGACAGATGACCACATAATTGTGTGACAGTAAAATGCTGTATTGAGCTTCCTGCTGGATTATAGAAAAAACATATGAATAGATAAAAGCACAACAGTTTTCCTTTTCACTATGTCTCAGGAGAAAACAATGCACATCGGCATATATGGAAACAAATGAGATTAGTTAAAAGAAGGAATTTAAATTATGTAGACTAAGCCAGGGTAATGCTTACGAATGAGATGACTCATCTAATAAAAGCATCAAAGAGAAAAACTGTTGTTTCAGTTCAGATTTTCTTGGTCATTTTCCTGAGATGATGATGATGATGATGATGATGATGATGATGATAATTTGCTTTAGGAAGGAGCTGCACACTACAAAATGCAACAGAGTTGATAATGATAAGATTAGTTGAATTAAGTAATTCTAGACCCCAAATTGATTATTTCATTTCACTTTCTAGGTCAATAGTGTACCTTGTTGCAATGAACTGAGTTGGTTGTAAAAAGTCTACTATCTTATCAAAAGATTGTTCAAAAACATCTCCATGTACTAAATACTATCAAGCAAAAATATATTGTGTATAGGGAAATACAGTATTTAAAAAAATTGGTAGAATCTACAATGAACTCAAACAAATTTACAAGAAAAAAACAAACAACCCCATCAAAAAGTGGGCGAAGGATATGAACAGACACTTCTCAAAAGAAGACATTTATGCAGCCAAAAAACACATGAAAAAATGCTCATCATCACTGGCCGTCAGAGAAATGCAAATCAAAACCACAATGAGATACCATCTCACACCAGTTAGAATGGCGATCATTAAAAAGTCAGGAAACAACAGGTGCTGGAGAGGATGTGGAGAAATAGGAACACTTTTACACTGTTGGTGGGACTATAAACTAGTTCAACCATTGTGGAAGTCAGTGTGGTGATTCCTCAGGGATCTAGAACTAGAAATACCATTTGACCCTGCCATCCCATTACTGGGTATATACCCAAAGGATTATAAATCATGCTGCTATAAAGACACACGCACACGTATGTTTATAGCTGCACTATTCACAATAGCAAAGACTTGGAACCAATGTAAATGTCCAACAACGATAGACTGGATTAAGAAAATGTGGCACATATACACCATGGAATACTACGCAGCCATAAAACATGATGAGTTCATGTCCTTTGTAGGGACATGGATGAAACGAAACCATCATTCTGAGCAAGCTATCGCAAGGACAAAAAAGCAAACACGCATATTCTCACTCATAGGTGGGAATTGAACAATGAGAACACATGGACACAGGAAGGGGAACATCACACTCTGGGGACTGTTGTGGGGTCGGGGGAGCGGGGAGGGATAGCATTAGGAGATATACCTAATGCTAAATGATGAGTTAATGGGTACAGCATACCAGCATGGCACATGTATACATATGTAACTAACCTGCACATTGTACACATGTACCCTAAAACTTAGAGTATAATAATAATAATGATAATAAATTGGTAACTAGTTTAAGGTCATGTAACCTACTCACACAAATAATCACAATAAGATGTAATATAGAATGTGCATGTAAAACATAAATTTTATACATAAAATAAATAATAGATCATAGCCCTGATGCATGCGTGCACAAACACACACACACACACACACACACGACACACACACTTGCACTATATTTGCAATAGCCTAGCTACTAAGGAATCTGATTAAACATAGATTCTATCTTGCATATCCGATTTCTTAATAGCAGAATTAAGAGCTTCTTGGAAGAAAAGGCTTATACTCAAAATCTGCTTTTCTGAATCCTTTTGAGTTGAGCACAAAAGGAAACCAAAAAGACCCAAGAATAGCAATGCAATGTGTGTATTGAAGGTTTGTTAGGAATTATTCACTATTGTATTTCTTTTCTGTCCTACATTACAGCATAGGCTTTGCCTAGAGGCAAAAGAATTAAGAATTACTTGCAGTTCCTACTCTTTTGCAGTCAAGGCAGTAATAGGGTGATGGATAAGGTGTATAGAACAGCAGTTCTCACCAAATGCCCTTGAAAAATCAAGCAAATAGATGGCTTCACATTTCATTATCTAACCCCGATATGGCCTGACATTTATACTGGGAGCAGAGATGCCAATATAACTGAAGGGTTTTGAAATGGCCCTTTGAGGAAAGGTGATGAGGTATCCATTGATTTAATCTAAGAGGAGATGGAGAAATAATACAAGAGGGACTTGATTTCACATGCAACTTGTTTAGGAGACCGCATCTCAACAGTTTTTGAATGGCATATTTCTAGCTGTTCATGTGGCTTTATGCTGATAGTGTCAGTCAAATGAACAAGCTTGAAGTTTTTAATCAGAAAATATTACATTTTATAAGTGGAAGGGTGCAAAATAAGAAGATTGCAAAGTAGTGCTGCCTGCACCTATCATTAATGCTGTGTGGATTTTTTTCTAATTGAAAACAGCACAACGAGAGCTCTGAGTATGAGATGTAGTTATACAAAAAGGCATAAGATGCTAGACACCTTCAAATACTGGGTGTTCTCCTTACTAGCCATATGACCTTAAGCAATGTATTTAACCTATTCTTTGTTCTCATTTTCCTCATTCATAAAATATGCACAATAAAACTTACCTTATAGTTTTGTTTCAAATATAAAATGAATAAATATTGTTAAATTATTTCGAGCATTCTTTGGTACACAGTAAACCCTCCGTAAGTATTAACTTTTATGGATAAAAACTTTTAAAAAATGGAAATAGATTTATTATTTTTATCTGATTATGAAAATTATATGTGATTATTATTTAAAAGATTTTAAAGAAAGATGCAAAGAGAAAAAATTACTTAAAATCAATTTGTCCTCAGATAACTATAGTGAACATTTAGGTATCATAGTTCCAGGAAGACTTTTGTGTTCAAAAGATGCATAATGTATACAATTGTGTCATGGGCACATCTCCTCGGGCCAATCTATGGCTGACCCCTACTCCATCCTACCCCTAAAGTAAACATGCATTTTGACCTGTATCACTGTCATCTGTCAAAATCCATGCTCCTCAAAGGCAGTATCTTCTGTAAACCCTCAATCTTTTTATTACTATCTAGATTCTCAGGCTTAATTGTTCCAAATTATGCCAGCCATCACCTCCATGCAAATCTCACTTACCTACCTCTTTATCCATCAAAAATAATCTATTAAAATCAGTTATACTTACTTATTTAGCACTTAAATATTTTAGACTTTGTGCTAAGTGCCTCACATATAGCATTTTTACTCTTCCAGATAGCTTTCAAGGGAGCTTTCATAACAACCATTTTAGCATTGTTTCGATCTCATTCTCAATCTCCATCTCTTTCAAACTATAAACTAAATTTCTCCCTTGGCAAGGTTGGCCTACACCCAGGAACAAGCAAGGAAAGCCACCCTCTGAGGCTAGAAGCAAGATGGAGTCAGCCATGCTAGCCTTCTCTCATTGTTATAATCTTTGCAAAGCTGGTTTCATATTTTACTAATCTTTCTCTGTTAAATGGACAAACATCCTTCTTGATGCTACTTCCCACACCTTTTCCAACCTCTCTGTACTTGACACAATTAGACAAAGCATTTGCTCAATAAATATTTATAAAGTTAAGAAAGAATCACTTTATACCTAAGAGTGGATCCTAATGTTTACATAAATATATTCCTGTATTGAGGTTCTTCCTTTCTCCCCAATTACCAAATTCTTTCTTTCTTTTTCTTTCTCTTTTTCTTTCTTTCTTTCCTTCTTTCTTTCTTTCTTTCTTTCTTTCTTTCTTTCTTTCTTTCTTTCTTTCTTTCTTTCTTCTTTCTTTCTTTCTTTCTTCTTTAAGTTTTGGGATACATATACAGAACATGCAGGTTTCTTACACAGTATATGTGTGTCACGATGATTTGCTGCACCTATCAACCCATCACCTGGGTTTTAAGCCCTGCATGCATTAGCTATTTGTCTTGATGCTCTCCCTCCCCTCGTGCCCCCATGACCCAACAGGCCCTGGTGTGTGTTGTTCCCCTCCCTGTGTCCATGTGTTCCCATTGTTCAACTCCCACTTATGAGTAAGATGGATTTCTGTTTGCTTTTCTGATCCTGTGTTAGTTTGCTGTGAATGATGGCTTCCAGCTTCATCCATGTCCCTGCAAAGGACATGAACTCATTCCTATTTGTGGCTGTATAGTATTCTATGGTGTATATGTACCACATTTTCTTTATCCAGTCTATCATTGATGGGCATTTGGGTTGGTTCTATGTCTTTGCTATTGTAAATAATGCTGCAATAAACATACATATGCACGTGTCTTTATAATAGAATTATTTATATTCCTCTAGGTATTTATCCAGTAATGGGATTGCTGGGTCAAATGGTATTTCTGGTTCTAGATCCTTGAGGAGTTGCCACACTGTCTTCCACAATGGTTGAACTAATTTACATTCCCACCAACAATGAAAAAGTGTTCCTCTTTCTCCACAGCCTCTCTAGCATCTGTTGTTTCATGACTTCTTTTTAATAAGCGCCATTCTGACTGGTGTGAGATGGTATCTCATTGTGGTTTTGATTTGCATTTCTTTAATGATCAGTGATGTTGTGCTTTTTTTTCATATGTTTGTTGCCCACATGAATGTCTTCTTTTGAGAAGTGTCTGTTCATGTTTTTGCCCACTTTTTAATGGGTTTTCTTGTGTTTTTCTTGTAAATATGGTTAAGTTCCTTGTAAATTATGGATGGTAGCCCTTTGTCAGATGGGTAGATTGCAAAAATGTTCTCCCATTCTGTAGATTGCCTGTTCACTCTGATGACAGTTTCTTTTGCTGTGCAGAAGCTCTTTAATTAGATCCCATTTGTCAATTTTAGCTTTTGTTGTGATTGCTTTTGGTGATTCCATCATAAAATCTTTGCCCATGCCTATGTCGTGAATGGGATTGCCTAGGTTTTCTTCCAGGGTTTTTATGGTTTTGGGTTTTACATTTAAGTCTTTAATCCATCTTGAGTTGATTTTTGTATAAGGTGTAAGGAAGGGGTCCACTTTCAGTCTTCTGCATATAGCTAGCCAGTTTTCCCAGCATCATTTATTAAACAGGGAATCCTTTCCCCATTGCTTGTTTTTGTCAAGTTTGTTGAAGATCAGATGGTCTTATATCTGAGGTCTCTATTCTGTTCCATTGGTATATGTGTCTGTTTTGATACCTGTACCATGTTTTGGTTACTGTAGCCTTGCAGTATAGTTTGAAGTCAGGTAGTGTGATGCCTCCAGCTTTATTCTTTTTGCTTAGAATTGTTTTGGCTATACGGGCTCTTTTATGGCTCCATATGAATTTTAGAGTAGTTTTTTTCTAATTCTGTGAAGAAAGTCAATGGTAGTTTGATGAGAATAGCACTTAATCTATAAACTACTTTGGGCTGTATGGCCATTTTCATGATATTGATTCTTCCTATCCATGAGCATGGGATGTTTTTCCATTTGTTTGTGTCCTCTCTTATTTCCTTGAGCAGTGGTTTGTAGTTCTCCTTGAAGAGGTCCTTCATGTCCCTTGTTAGCTGTATTCCTAGGTGTTTTATTCTCTTTGTAACAATTGTGAATGGGAGTTCATTCATGATTTGGCTCTCTGCTTGTCTATTGTTAGTGTAAAGAAATGCTTGTGATTTTCACACACTGATTTTGTATCCTGAGACTTTGCTGAAGTTGCTTATCAGCTTAAGGAGATTTGGGGCTGAGACAATGGGGTTTTCTAAATATAGGATCAAGTTGTCTGCAAACAGAGACAATTTGACTTTCTCTTTTCCTATTTGAATACGCTTTATTTCTTTCTCTTGCCTGATTGCCCTGGCCAGAACATCCAATACTATGTTGAATAGGAGTGGAGAGAGAGGGCATCCTTGTCTTGGGCCAGTTTTCAAAGGGAATGCTTCTCGCTTTTGGCCATTCAGTATGATATTGGCTGTGGGTTTGTCAGAAGTAGCTCTTATTACTTTGGGAAATGTTCCATCAATATCTAGTTTATTGAGAGTTTTATCATGAAAGGATGTTGAATTTTTTCGAAGGTCTTTTCTGCATCTATCGAGATACCAATTACCAAATTCTAAGATTACATGGTGTTCTGCAGTGAATAGATCTATGCAAACCTACCCCCAAAGTTCAAGGAAGCTGAGAGGCTGAAGAGGCTGACATATCCAGCTTCTCAGGAAAAATGAAAAAACAAAAAACATTTAATAGCCAGGTCCCAGGTGGCTGCAAGAGGAGATGGTGGTTCACTGCAGTGTTAGCCCCAGACCTAGGAATTATTTGCTGTAGTGAAGGAACATGTAGGACAGTTGAAATCAACTCCTCAGGGAAAGGCAAGCATGCTATGTAAATCTGCCTAAGGGAAGGATTTATGGTTGAGGCTGTTTTGAACAAAGGGTAGAATTTATGGTAACAGTAGGTAAAGTATAAATCTTAGAGGCATTCCTGGAACTGGGGTAAATCAGATGTCAGTATGGTGGACTGACAATGAAGATGGAGTTGCTTTAGTCTCCACACATGGGAACAGATAGAAAAAGGTGTCTTTATAACCAAAATGTTGGCTTTTACAAAGCTCTGCTGTAATTCTAAATAGATGGAAGAGGATAAATCAAATAACTGAATTAACTTAAAAATTCCCTTTTTAGAGTAACTTCTTCAAATTTAAAAGAATTTTATCAAAGTAGTGTGGGCATATCTACTGGGGGATGGAGAAACATAGAGCAAGAGAGAGAGAACTTTGTGATGGAAATCAAGATTTTCTTAAATCTCTCATAGAATAATTATTAGAGTATTTATGAATTTTCTTCTCTTCTCCAAATTATCTTCACTTGGGGTTATTTTATCTTTATTTGTGTATCTTGGACTGTCTTTTTTCAAAGCAAGCTTTCTTTAGATGCCTGATGAGCTATGATTATAATTTTATTCAAGTTTAAGGAATGAAAAGCTGATTGGGCTCTGACTTGCACTTTGCTTTGGAGTCATGGGGCTATGAATTAACAGTTTTCCTGGGGGGGATCAGAACATGCCAGATGATGGAAGTCTTTTGTCTGGAGCTATTATTTTGATTTAGAAAGGTTTTATTTTAGTGAAGTTATAAAGAATCCTCAAATATTTCTCTAAGCTGGAGAGGCCTGTCTCCTGGGTGTCCTCTTTCCTGCAGGGTTGGATAGTGGCTATTTCTACCCATAGATACTTGTAATTGTCAGTTCCCCATGTCACTCCTGTACCCTTTCCTGTCTTCATTGCATGTGGTGTTTTGGAATTCTTAGCCTTTCTGGAAAGGCAATTTCTCTCTCTCAGTCTGTCATATTTATATCCCTTCTAGATAATCTAACCTGTGGTTGACTCTATTTCATGTGCTATCTCTTCTTTATCTGCTTTGTCATCTATACATCTGTTGACATATTTTGTATTCTCATGACTCTCTTTCAGTTCCTTACTACCATTAGGGTTTTGTACTTTTCTCCCCTTTAGTGACATCTAAGATGGGAAAGATTGTAAATACATATGACCAGATTCATCAGGGAAATATATGCTATTCTAGGTAGTTCACACAAGATATTATGTAATACAGGTAATTAAAAGGTTACATGGTCATTCTGAGAACTTGGAGTTAGGTGATTAGAGAAGTTGCTACTAGAATGCAAGAAACTGGGAAGTGGAAAGATCACAGACAGCTGCCAACAGTGTTCTCTGGTGCCAACAGCTTAAAACTTAGTTCTCAGGAAAATCTCCAGTGTGTTTTGGGTTTTGCCAATTACATTATATCATGTATCCACCATTACTGTATCATACAGAATGGAGAAATAACATGTTTATTGAATACAGACACACACACACACACACACACACACACACACATATGACAATGCCAAAAAAGATAGATAGAACTTCTAATTTCATTGATGTTTCTAGTTTCCTGAAGAAGCTAGAAAGAATGGTATGGATATCATTTTTCTGAATATATACATAAAGGTTGAAATTAATATAACTATTCAGAATTTTAAAACAATGAATAACTGTGATTTGGGATTTATTTTATTTTTAAAAAAATGAGGAAGATTTTCATGTTATGATGCTTTCATACGGTATCTCTCGTATGAGTGACAATACTGCCTTTTAATTTTTTCTCAAAATGTTATAGGGCAACAAGAGATTGGCAGTATGAGCTGTCTTTTTATTGTATTTTAATGGTAAACTTGTACATGATTATGGGGATATTCTAACTTTTATGATTTTTTAAACAACTCTCAGTTCCATCCCATAAAAGAGCTTTATGTAGAAATACTTTTAGCAGCTTTTAAGTTTATTTCATCTTCTCTTCCCCAGGAGACAAGGTAAAAGTAGAGATTACATTTTCTGGAGATATTACTTTCATTTATATCTTTATAAATATGGATAGACAATTTTATAATAACAGTGCTAACACTGAAAAGGAAAAGAGTAAGATTTTGTAATTTATAAATAATCCTTATGGGGATGTTATTATTTAACTCTGAAGATGTTGTTTCACTTTTCATTATTTTGGTTTCAGTCACTGCTTGCAGAATAGTAATCTCTTAGCATATGAAGTCAGCAGATCAAATGCAAGAAACAAAACAAAACAAAAAACTCAGAACAAAATCAAGAAGGCTCAAAGTTTAGCACACTATTTATTTCACTGTTTTTAATCATACTCAGGAAGGGTTTTAGTGAAGAAACAGGAGTGAGATTAATCAAAATAGCTCAAAATGCTCAAAACTTAAGTTATATATTCAGGAGGCTTTAAATTCCCACCATTTTAAAAAGTGTTCTTTAAACCTCAATTTCGGGTACCTTGCTGTTCCTTGGGTTTGACTGAGGATCAGTATTTTCTTGCCATTTATCACACTTAAACATAGAGCATCCAGAATCAATAAACTACAAAGCAGAAGATTTAGAGAATCTATCTTTCCAGAATAATAGTCATACTTTCCCAAACATGTTCTATACAATTTTAGGGGACTATAGACCTTTGGTATATATATCAGATGTTAAGCTTTTTGTTCCATTAACATTACTGTAGTCAGTTGTAATGCTATGTTGTTAATCTAGAGACAGGAATATATAACTTCTATTTTCTTCAAATGAAAAATGGCTTTGGTCATAAGTACCTATACCCAAATCTTATTTCAATATACTCTACATTAACAGCATGTTACAGATAGGAATCCAGTATTATATTTACATAAATTAGTTATTTATCTCGATATTTACAGAGTGCTAGGCATTGTGCAAGTCAAATAATACATATTCACTGTCCTCAAAAACTCAACACTAGCTAATGGGAGACCAGCATCAAAATAAAAAAATAAGAGCAATACAGTTTTCTATGTGCAAGACAGACACAGTTCTACAGGGCTGGGGACAGAAGGCACTGAAGAGGAATGGAGAAACTGAATGAGGAAAAACTTTGGAGAGGAGGTGTGGCTGGAGCTGAGTATTGAAATAGGAGAAATATTTGTTCAGATATTACTCTTTTTATTTTTTCATGACTGAATTCCAGGCATATGTACCTTCAAATACCTTATTGCAGATGACCTAGAAGGCTGCATGTAAAGATAAATACATCCTAACATTTGTATATTGTTGCTTCTCAAATTTCACAACTGTGATTACTTGCTGTGTTGGTTACTGATCTTTATTTTCATTTACTTAGCATCTTCATTGATAATCCTGATTGATGTAGTTTTACTTTCATCATCTAAATATCTCTAGTTTCTAATTTATTCTGTGTAGAGACTTTAGTTTCATCAAATATAAGTGGGCATGAAATTATATACCTGAGCCAATAGAAGAACTCAAGACTTTTATTTGCCTTAATGTAGGATTTAAAAACCAATTCAAAAACAATTGTTTATATATGTGGGAAAATTCCTTTAAGTTTCTGTTGATAGGTGTTGGAATAGGTTTCCTAGTAAGATATTAAATGTGTCATCCAAATAAATTTTTAGGTTACATAAACACTGATCTTGAATAAAATAGCTATAGTTCTACCTGGAGGTAGAGAGTCATAATAATATCAAATTAGAGCTCATGTTTGTGTGTGTATGTGTTTGCATACTTGTGCACGTGCTGGCTTTTATGTACAAAATGGTGATCATCAAAGGTAGTTGTCATCAAAAAGTCATAGATTATAAAAGCTAAAAAGGACACTGTATTTTAAAGATACGGAAACCTAGGCCCAGAAAAATTAGACAGGTTGCTTAAGACTGAGAGCAGAGCCCAGAACTTGGGCCTCTTGACTTCCCTTTGCAAATATATCATTGTGCTTTGAAATTATAGATATACGGAATCATAGAACAGGAAGAAACTGTATGATCATCCAGAGCTCATTGACAGCCCCTCCCTCCCCTCCACATATATGCTAATAAACCCTCTGCTGTCTCTCTTCCACTTAAATTTGCGGGGAAATCTAGTTAGCATAAAAACACTGATCCCTGTGGCTGGCTATGCTTTTTTTTTGACAGATTGTCCTGCTACTGCTGCTTCCCGTCTTCCTTCATCATTCACATTATGACAGACATTTGAGCAGAGTCTCAGTGAAAACTTGTTTGGGGGTTGGTGCCTCTGATTCTCAGTGCAGCCTGCCAGCCTCATTGGGAAAAGGTGTTTAATATAGGCAGCGATTTTCTGTATTATGAACTGAAATAGAAAATGCTGCGATGGGTTCATTCAAGGGAGACCCAATATCTTACTTACAATGAAGAAATCAGGCAATTTTGGGGAGTAGAAGTGGAAGTGTGACTCATACATATATTGGTATTTTCTTTTATGAGATTTTGATATGGCACTTAATGTTTTATGCTGAGAGGAGATGAAGATTTCTCATTTTCCTACAATTTCACTGAGAAAATCATACAGCAAGGACACAGAACTTCATGCAACTGCCTTCTTTTATTAGTACCTATATCTTGTCTTTCTTTCCTTTCTTCCCTTCCTTGCTTCTCCTTTCCCTTTTGGTTTCTTTGTTAAGCCTTTTCTTCCTTCCCTTTATCCCTCCTTATAATTGATTTTGCTTCTTTGTGTTACTACTTTCTTTCCATGGTTCCTCCAACCTGTAGTATGAAAGAGAGTGGATATGGTAGTGGTTAAGAGCATAGGCTCTAAAGTCAGACTGCCTGGCTTTGAATCCTCTCTACCACTTACTGACTGAGTGACCTTGGATTGAGTCACTGAACTTCACTTTTCAATTTTTTATGTCTTATTGGATAAGTTTCAATCAGAGTTGAGGATGAAGTGAGATATATGAAAGTGCTTAGTACAAAGCACATGTGTTGCTATCTTATAGTATGCAGTCACGACTTTCATATATATATTACATTTATGGTTATTCCAATATATACATTTTGTGTAGAAGGCTTAGTCTTTCAATTACAATAAGCTATTGGTATAGTTTAGCCATCTAATGCTAATGGAAAGGAGAATGGGCTCAATTGTTCTAAACAAATTTTATAACTTACTTATCTTGGGCTTTGAAGAAAGGTATGAGGAAATTAACCACAGAGATGTGTGCACACCTAAGAGACATTGACCCCACTTACTTTCTTTCCTTGCTCCTTGGCTAAGACTCCTATGTAAGTGCCATTGTTGCTAGAAGTTTGAAGCTTTTGTAAGGTTTTAGTTTTTGTGATTTTATATCTTTTTTCAGATATTTAATTAAATTTAATATATATTTGCAATCTATAACACCATATAAATAATCATGATAAATCAAAAGATATATTGTCTGGTCCCTGGTCTCTCGGAGCTGCCAAGGCTCCTAGCTGCTGGGAAAGCTGATGTATATGCAACTTGGAACATAAGGCAGTGTTTATTGATGCCATTGATCTTTGTAATGGGCTACATGATTGAACCTTTTTTTTATTTCTTCTCCTTAGTCTTTGATAATGACTTCACATCTGTAGTTATCTCTTTATATTCGTTGAGTTGCTTTTTGCTGCCTGCAGTATTCTAGACATTTTATAATTAGAGATAAAGCTTGGAATTTCCTATGCAACATGTTTTGTATTCAGCCTGCTTTCTTCTTCCCACAGTTTTGGTCTGGTTTTGTTTATTAGTTTGTTTTCTGCAGGTAGAAATACCTAGGAAAGACAACATCATTTGATAAAGTATAAAATATGCTTATTTAGGAGAGAATACTTTAAAAGGCTTATGAACTCTTGATGACTATCCTTTAGTTTATAATTAACTTATTTTTTTTTATTATACTTTAATTTCTGGGATACATGTGTAGAATGTGCAGGTTTGCTACATAGGTATAAACATACCTTGGTGGTTTGCCACACCAATCAACCCATCATCTACATTAGGTATTTCTCCTAATGCTATCCCTCCCCTAGTCTCCACCCACCGACAGGCCCTGGTGTGTGATGTTCCCCTCCCTGTGTCCATGTGTTCTCATTGTTCAAATCCCACTTATGAGTGAGAACATGCGGTGTTTGGTTTTCTGTTCCTGTGTTAGCTTGCTGAGAATGATGGTTTCCAGCTTCATCCATGTCCCTGCAAAGGACATGAACTCATCCTTTTTATGGCTGCATAGTATTCCATGGTATGTATGCCACATTTTCTTAATCCAGTCTATCGTTGATGGGCGTTTGGGTTGGTTCCAAGTCTTTGCACTGTAAACAGTTCTGCAATAAACATACATGTGCATGTGTCTTTACAGTAGAATGATTTATATTTCTTTGGGTATATATCCGGTAATGGGATTGCTGGGTCAAATGGTGTATCTGGTTCTAGATCCTTGAGGAATTGCCACACTATCTTCCACAATGGTTGAACTAATTTACACTCCCACCAACAGTGTAAAAGCATTCCTTTTTCTCCACGTCCTCTCCAGCATCTGTTGTTTCCAGACATTTTAATTATCACCATTCTAACTGGCATGAGATGGTATCTCATTGTGGTTTTGATTTGCATTTGTCTAATGACCAGTGGTAATGAGCTTTGTTTATATGTTTGTTGGCCGCATAAAAGTCTTCTTTTGAGAAGTGTCTGTTCATATCCTTCGCCCACTTTTTGATGGGTTTCTTTGTTTTTTTCTTATAAATTTGTGTAAGTTCCTTGTAGATTCTAGATGTTAGACCTTTGTCAGATGGATAGATGGCAAAAATGTTCCCTATTCTGTAGTTTGCCTGTTCACTCTGATGATAGTTTCTTCAGCTGTGAAGAAGCTCTTTGATTAGATTCCATTTGTCAATTTTGGCTTCTGTGGCCATTGCTTTTGGTGTTTTAGTCATGAAGTCTTTGGCCAGGCCTATGTCCATAATAGTATTGCCTAGGTTTTCTTCTAGGGTTTTTATGGTTTTAGGTCTTATGTTTAAGTCTTTAATCCATCTTGAGTTAATTTTTGTATAAGTTGTAAGGAAGGGGTCCAGTTTCAGTTTCCTGCATATGGTTAGCCAGTTTCCCCAACACCATTTATTAAATAGGGAATCCTTTCCCCATTGCTTGTTTTTGTCAGGTTTGTCAAAGATCAGATGTTTTTAGATGTGTGGCATTATTTCTGAGGTCTACATTCTGTTCCATTTGTCTATATATCTGTTTTGGTACCAGTACCATGCTGTTTTGGTTACTGTAGCCTTGCAGTATAGTTTGAAGTCAGGTAGCATGATGCCTCCAGCTTTGTTCTTTTTGCTTAGGATTGTCTTGGCAATGTGGGCTCTTTTTTGGTTCTGTATGAAATTTAAAGTAGCTTTTTTCTAATTCTGTGAAGAAAGTCAGTGGTAGCTTGATGGGGATAGCATTGAATCTATAAATTACTTTGGGTAGTATGGGCATTTTCATGATACTGATTCTTTTTATCAGTGAGCATGGAATGTTTTTCCATTTGTTTTTGTCCTCTCTTATTTCCTTGAGCAGTGGTTTGTAGTTCTCCTTGAAGAGGTCCTTCACATCCTTTGTAAGTTGTATTCCTAGGTATTTTATTCTCTTTGTAGCAATTGTAAATGGGAGTTTGCTCATGATTTGGCTCTCTGTTTGTCTATTACTGATGTATAGGAATGTTTGTGATTTTCACACATTGATTTTGTATCCTGAGACTTTGCTGAAGTTGCTTATCAGCTTAAGGAGATTTGGGCCTGAGACAATGGGGTTTTCTAAATATATGATCATGTCATCTGCAAACAGAGACAATTTGACTTCCTCTCTTTCTATCTGAATATCCTTTATTTCGTTCTCTTGCCTGATTGCCCTGGCCAGAACTTCCAATACTGTGTTGAATAGGAGTGGTGAGAGAGGACATCCTTGTCTTGTGCCTGTTTTCAAAGAGAATGCGTCCAGCTTTTGCCCATTTGGTATGATATTGGCTGTGGGTTTGTCATAAATAGCTCTTACTATTTTGAGATATGTTTCATCAATACCTAGTGTATTGAGAGTTTTTAGCATGAAGGGGTGTTGAATTTTATCAAAGGCCTTTTCTGCATCTATTGAGATAATCATGAGGTTTTTGTCATTGGTTCTGTTTATGTGATGGGTTATGTTTAATGATTTGCATATGTTGAACCAGCCTTGTATCCCAGGGATGAAGCTGACCTGATCATGGTGCGTAAGCTTTTTGATGTGCTGCTGGATTCTGTTTGCCAGTATTTTATTGAAGATTTTTGCATAGATATTCATCAGGGATATCGGCCTGAAATTTTTTCGTTGTTGTGTCTCTGCCAGGCTTTGGCTTCAGGATGATACTGGCTTCATAAAATGAGTTAGGGAGGACTCCCTCTTTTTCTATTGATTGGAGTAGTTTCAGAAGGAATGGTACCAGCTCCTCTTTGTACCTCTGGTAGAATTCAGTTGTGAATCTGTCTGGTCCTGGGCCTTTTATGATTGGTAAGCTATTAATTACTGCCTCAATTCAGAACTTTGTATTGGTCTATTTAGGGATTCAATTTCTTCCTGATTTAGTCTTGAAAGGGTGTATGTGTCCAGGAATTTATCCATTTCTTCTAGATTTTCTAGTTTATTTGCATAGAGCTGTTCATAGTATACTCTGATAGTAATTTGTATTTCTGCGGGATCAGTGGTGATATCCCCTTTATCATTTTTTATTGTGTCTATTTGATTCTTCTCTCTTTTCTTCTTTATTAGTCTGGCTAGTGGTCTATCTATTTTGTTAATCTTTTTTAAAAAAAAACAGCTCCTGGATTCATTGATTTTTTGAAGGGTTTTTCATGTCTGTATCTCCTTCAATTCTGCTCTGGTCTTAGTTGTTTCTTGTCTTCTGTTAGCTTTTGAATTTGTTTGCTCTTGCTTCTTTAGTTCTTTTAATTGTGACGTTAGGGTGTCGATTTTAGATCATTCCTGCTTTCTCCTGTGGGCATTTGGTCCTATAAATTTCCCTGTAAACAGTACTTTAGCTGTGTCCTAGAGATTCTGGTACATTGTATCTTTGTTCTCACTGGTTTCAAAGAACTTATTTATTTCTACCTTAATTTCATTATTTACCCAGTAGTCATTCAGGAGCAGGTTATTCAGTTTCCATGTAGTTGTGTGGTTTTGAGTGAGTTTCTTAATCCTGAGTTCTAATTTGCACTGTGGTCTGAGAGACTGTTTGTTATGATTTCTGTTCTTTTGCATTTGCTGAGGAGTGTTTTACTTCCAATTATGTGGTCAATTTTAGAATCAGTGTGACAAGGTGCTAAGAAGAATGTATATTCTGTTGATTTTGGGTGGAGAGTCCTGTAGATGCCTATTAAGTCTGCTTGGTCCAGAGCTGAGATCAAGTCCTGAATATCCTTGTTAATTTTCTGTCTCAATGATGTGTCTAATATTGACAGTGGGGTGTTAAAGTCTCCCAATATTATTGTGTGGGAGTCTAAAAGTCTCTTTGTAGTTCTCTACAAACTTGCTTTATGAATCTGAGTACTCCTGTATTGGGTACAAATATATTTAGGATAGTTAGCTCTTCTTGTTGCATTGATCCCTTTACCATTATGTAATGCCCTTCTTTGTCTTTTTTTGATCTTTGTTGGTTTAAAGTCTGTTTTATCAGAAATTAGGATGGCAACCTCTGCTTTTTTATTTGCTTTCCATTTGCTTGGTAAATATTCCTCCACCCCTTTGTTTTGAGCCTATGTGTGTTGTTGCACGTGAGATTGGTCTCCTGAATACAGCACAACAATGGATCTTGCCTCTTTATCCAATTTGCCAGTCTGTGTCTTTTAATTGGGGCATTTATCCCATTTACATTTAAAGTTAATATTGTTATGTGTGAATTTGATCCTGTCATTATGATGCTAGCTGGTTATTTTGCCCATTAGTTGATGCAGTTTCTTCATAGTGTTGATGGTCTTTACAGTTTGGTATGTTTTTGCAGTGGCTGTTACCGGTTGTTCCTTTCCAAATTTAGTGCTTTCTTCAGGAGCTCTTGTAAGGCAGGCCTGGTGGTGACAAAATCTCTCAGGATTGGGTTGTCTGTAAAGGATTTTATTTCTCCTTCACGTTTGAAGCTTAGTTTGGCTGGATATGAAATTCTGGGTTGAAAATTCTTTTCCTGGGGGAGGAGCCAAGATGGCCGAATAGGAACAGCTCTGGTCTACAACTCCCAGTGAGAGCGTCACAGAAGACGGGTGATTTCTGCATTTCCATCTGAGGTACTGGGTTCATCTCACTAGGGAGTGCCAGACAGTGGGCGCAGGTCAGTGGGTGCATGCACCATGCGCGAGCCGAAGCAGGGTGAGGCATTGCCTCACTCGGGAAGCACAAGGGGTCAGGGAGTTCCCTTTCCTAGTCAAAGAAAGGGGTGACAGACAGCACCGGGAAAATTGGGTCACTCCCACCTGAATACTGCGCTTTTCTGACGGCCTTAAAAAACGGCACCAGGAGATTATATCCTGCACCTGGCTTGGAGGGTCCTACGCCAACAGAGTCTCGCTGATTGCTAGCACAGCAGTCTGAGATCAAACTGCAAGGTGGCAGCGAGGCTGGGGGAGGGGCGCCCACCATTGCCCAGGCTTGCTTACGTAAACAAAGCAGCCAGGAAGCTCAAACTGGGTGGAGCCCACCACAGCTCAAGGAGGCCTGCCTGCCTCTGTAGGCTCCACCTCTGGGGGCAGGGCACAGACAAACAAAAAGACAGCAGTGACCTCTGCAGACTTAAATGTCCTTGTCTGACAGCTTTGAAGAGAGCAGTGGTTCTCCCAGCATGCAGCTGGAGATCTGAGAACGGGCAGACTGCCTCCTCAGATGGGTCCCTGACCCCTGACCCCTGAGCAGCCTAACTGGGAGGCACCTCCCAGCAGGGGCAGACTGACACCTCACACGGCTGGGTACTCCAACAGACCTGCAGCTGAGGGTCCTGTCTGTTAGAAGGAAAACTAACAAACAGAAAGGACATCCACACCAAAAACCCATCTGTACATCACCATCATCAAAGACCAATAGTAGATAAAACCACAAAAATGGGGAAAAAACAGAGCAGAAAAACTGGAAACTCTAAAAAGCAGAGTGCCTCTCCTCGTCCAAAGGAACGCAGTTCCTCACCAGCAACGGAACAGAGCTGGATGGAGAATGACTTTGATGAGCTGAGAGAAGAAGGCTTCAGACAATCAAATTACGCTGAGGTACTGGAGGACATTCAAACCAAAGGTAAAGAAGTTGAAAACTTTGAAAAAAATTGAGAAGAATGTATAACTAGAATAACCAATACAGAGAAGTGCTTAAAGGAGCTGATGGAGCTGAAAACCAAGGCTCGAGAACTACATGAAGAATGCAGAAGCCTCAGGAGCTGATGCAATCAACTGGAAGAAAAGGTATCAGCGATGGAAGATGAAATGAATGAAATGAAGTGAGAAGGGAAGTTTAGAGAAAAAAGAATAAAAAGAAACGGGCAAACCCTCCAAGAAATATGGGACTATGTGAAAAGACCAAATCTATGTCTGATTGGTGTACCTGAAAGTGACGGGGAGAATGGGACCAAGTTGGAAAACACTCTGCAGGATATTATCCAGGAGAACTTCCCCAATGTAGCAAGGCAGGCCAAAATTCAGATTCAGGAAATACAGAGAATGCCAAAAAGATACTCCTCGAGAAGAGCAACTCCAAGACACATAATTGTCAGATTCACCAAAGTTGAAATGAAGGAAAAAATGTTAAGGGCAGCCAGAGAGAAAGGTCGGGTTACCCTCAAAGGGAAGCCCATCAGACTAACAGCGGATCTCTCAGCAGAAACTCTACAAGCCAGAAGAGAGTGGGGGCCAATATTCAACATTCTTAAAGAAAAGAATTTTCAACCCAGAATTTCATATCCAGCCAAACTAAGCTTCATAAGTGAAGGAGAAATAAAATCCTTTACAGACAAGCAAATGCTGAGAGATTTTGTCACCACCAGGCATGCCCTAAAAGAGCTCCTGAAGGAAGCACTAAACATGGAGAGGAACAAATGGTACCAGCCACTGCAAAATCATGCCAAAATGTAAAGACCATCGAGACTAGGAAGAAACTGCATCGATTAACGAGCAAAATAGCCAGCTAACATCGTAATGACAGGACCAAATTCACACATAACAATATTAACTTTAAATGTAAATGGACTAAATGCTCCAATTAAAAGACACAGACTGGCAAATTGGATACAGAGTCAAGACCCATCAGTGTGCTGTAATCAGGAAAACCATCTCACGTGCAGAGACACACATAGGCTCAAAATAAAAGGATGGAGGAAGATCTACCAAGCAAATGGAAAACAAAAAAAGGCAGGGGTTGCAATCCTAGTCTCTGATAAAACAGACTTTAAACCAACAAAGATCAAAAGAGACAAAGAAGGCCATTACATAATGGTAAAGGGATCAATTCAACAAGAAGAGCTAACTATCCTAAATATATATGCACCCAATACAGGAGCACCCAGATGCATAAAGCAAGTCCTGAGAGACCTACAAAGAGACTTAGACTCCCACACATTAATAATGGGAGACTTTAACACCCCACTGTCAACATTAGACAGAGCAACGAGACACAAAGTCAACAAGGATACCCTGGAATTGAACTCAGCTCTGCACCAAGCAGACCTAATAGACATCTACAGAACTCTCCACCCCAAATCAACAGAATATACATTTTTTTCAGCACCACACCACACCTATTCCAAAATTGACCACATACTTGGAAGTAAAGCTCTCCTCAGCAAATGTAAAACAGAAATTATAACAAACTATCTCTCAGACCACAGTGCAATCAAACTAGAACTCAGGATTAAGAATCTCATTCAAAACCGCTCAACTACATGGAAACTGAACAACCTGCTCCTGAATGACTACTGGGTACATAACGAAATGAAGGCAGAAATTAAGATGTTCTTTGAAACCAATGAGAACAAAGACACAGCATACCAGAATCTCTGGGACGCATTCAAAGCAGTGTGTAGAGGGAAATTTATAGCACTAAATGCCCACAAGAGAAAGCAGGAAAGATCTAAAATGGACACCCTAACATCACAATTAAAAGAACTAGAAAAGCAAGAGCAAACACATTCAAAAGCTAGCAGAAGGCAAGAAATAACTAAAATCAGAGCAGAACTGAAGGAAATAGTGACACAAAAAACCCTTCAAAAAATTAATGAATCCAGGAGCTGGTTTTTTGAAAGGATCAACAAAATTGATAAACCGCTAGCAAGACTAATAAAGAAAAAAAGAGAGAAGAATCAAATAGACGCAATAAAAAATGATAAAGGGGATATCACCACCAATCCGACAGAAATACAAACTACCATCAGAGAATACTACAAACACCTCTACGCAAATAAACTAGAAAATCTAGAAGAAATGGATAAATTCCTGGACACACACACTCTCCCAAGACTAAACCAGGAAGAAGTTGAATCTCTGAATAGACCAATAACAGGCTCTGAAATTGAGGCAATAATTAATAGCTTACCAACCAAAAAGAGTCCAGGACCAGATGGATTCACAGCCGAATTCTACCAGAGGTACAAGGAGGAGCTGGTACCATTCCTTCTGAAACTATTCCAATCAATAGAAAAAGAGGGAATCCTCCCTAACTCATTTGATGAGGCCAGCATCATCCTGATACCAAAGCCAGGCAGAGACACAACCAAAAAAGAGAATTTTAGACCAATATCCTTGATGAACATTGATGCAAAAATCCTCAATAAAATACTGGCAAACCAAATCCAGCAGCACATCAAAAAGCTTATCCACCATGATCAAGTGGGCCTCATCCCTGGGATGCAAGGCTGGTTCAATATACGCAAATCAATAAATGTAATCCAGCATATAAACAGAACCAAAGACAAAAACCACATGATTATCTCAATAGATGCAGAAAAGGCCTTTGACAAAATTCAACAATGCTTCATGCTAAAAACTCTCAATAAATTAGGTATTGATGGGATGTATTTCAAAATAATAAGAGCTATCTATGACAAACCCACAGCCAATATCATACTGAATGGGCAAAAACTGGAAGCATTCCCTTTGAAAACTGGCACAAGACAGGGATGCCTTCTCTCACCCCTCCTATTCAACATAGTGTTGGAAGTTCTGACCAGAGCAATTAGGCAGGAGAAGGAAATAAAGGGTATTCAATTAGGAAAAGAGGAAGTCAAATTGTCCCTGTTTGCAGACGACATGATTGTATATCTAGAAAACCCCATTGTCTCAGCCCAAAATCTCCTTAAGCTGATAAGCAACTTCAGCAAATTCTCAGGATACAAAATCAATGTACAAAAATCACAAGCGTTCTTATACACCAACAACAGACAAACAGAGAGCCAAATCATGAGTGAACTACCATTCACAATTGCTTCAAAGAGAATAAAATACCTAGGAATCCAACTTAACAAGGGATGTGAAGGACCTCTTCAAGGAGAACTACAAACCACTGCTCAAGGAAATAAAAGAGGATACAAACAAATGGAAGAATATTCCATGCTCATGGGTAGGAAGAATCAATATCGTGAAAATGGCCATACTGCCCAAGGTAATTTAAAGATTCAGTGCCATCCCCATCAAGCTACCAATGACTTTCTTCACAGAATTGGAAAAAAAACTACTTTAAAGCTCATATGGAACCATAAAAGAGCCCGCATCACCAAGTCAATCCTAAGCCAAAAGAACAAAGCTGGAGGCATCACACTACTTGACTTCAAACTATACTACAAGGCTACAGTAATGAAAACAGCATGGTACTGGTACCAAAACAGACATATAGATCAATGGAACAGAACAGAGCCCTCAGAAATAATGCTGCATATCTACAACTATCTGATCTTTGTCAAACCTGAGAAAAACAAGCAATGGGGAGAGGATTCCCTATTTAATAAATGGTGCTGGGAAAACTGGCTAGCCATATGTAGAAAGCTGAAACTGGATCCCTTCCTTACACCTTATACAAAAATCAATTCAAGATGGATTAAAGACTTAAATGTTAGACCTAAAACCATAAAAACCCTAGGAGAAAACCTAGGCTTTACCATTCAGGACATAGGCATGGGCAAGGACTTCATGTCTAAAACACCAAAAGCCATGGCAACCAAAGCCAAAATTGACAAATAGGATCTAATTAAACTAAAGAGCTTCTGCACAGCAAAAGAAACTACCATCAGAGTGAACAGGCAACCTACAAAATGGGAGAAAATTTTCACAACCTACTCATCTGACAAAGGGCTAATATCCAGAATCTACAATGAACTCAAACAAATTTACAAGAAAAAAACAAACAACCCCATCAAAAAGTGGGTGGACATGAACAGACACTTCTCAAAAGATGACATTTATGCAGCCAAAAAACACATGAAAAAATGCTCACCATCACTGGCCATCAGAGAAATGCAAATCAAAACCACAATGAGATACCATCTCACACCAGTTAGAATGGTGATCATTAAAAAGTCAGGAAACAACAGGTGCTGGAGAGGATGTGGATAAATAGGAACACTTTCACACTGTTGGTGGGACTGTAAACTAGTTCAACCATTGTGGAAGTCAGTGTGGCGATTCCTCAGGGATCTAGAACTAGAAATACCATTTGACCCAGCCATGCCATTACTGGGTATATACCCAAAGGACTATAAATCATGCTGCTATAAAGACACATGCACACGTATGTTTATTGTGGCATTATTCACAATAGCAAAGACTTGGAACCAACCCAAATGTCCATCAATGATAGACTGGATTAAGAAAATGTGGCACATATACACCATGCAATACTATGCGGCCATAAAACATGATGAGTTCATGTCCTTTGTAGGGACATGGATGAAATTGGAAATCATCATTCTCAGTAAACTATCGCAAGAACAAAAAACCAAACACCGCATATTCTCACTCATAGGTGGGAATTGAACAATGAGAACACATGGACACAGGAAGGGGAATATCACACTCTGGGGACTATTGTGGGGTGGGGGTAGGGGGGAGGGATAGCAATGGGAGATATAGCTAATGCTAGATGACGAGTTAGTGGGTGCAGCACACCAGCATGGCACATGTATACATATGTAACTAACCTGCACATTGTGCACATGTACCCTAAAACTTAAAGTATAATATAAAAAAAAGGAAAAACTAGAGTATAAATGAAGTGTCAAAGATGTTAAGAAACAGGATCTTTTAAAAAATTGTTTTTAATTATTATGGGTACATAATAAGTGTATATATCTATGGGATACATGTGAAATTTTGATACATACAATATATAATAATCTTATTGGGGCAATTGGGGTGTCCATCACCTCAGGCATTTATCATGTCTTGTATTAGAAACAGTCCAATTCTCCTCTTTTAGCTATTTGAAAATATACAATAAATTATTGTTGAGTATAAAAAAAAAGTCCACACCTAGTCATATTATGTTCAAATCACAGAAAACTAAAGACAACCAGAAAACATGAAAGAAGCTACAGAAGAGAAGAAATTTACCTAAGGAGGGACAAGGATAAGAATTACATCAGAAATCTCATTGGCAACCATGCAAGAAAGAAGAAGGTAGCGTGAAATATTTAAAGTGTTTAAAGGATAAAACTAGAATTCTGGATACAGTGAAACTATCCTTCAAAAGCAAAGAAGAAATGCTTTCTCAGACAAAGGCTGAATCTGTCACCAGTAGACCTGCCTTGAAATAAATGTTGAAAGAAATTTTTCGGTCAGAAATGAAATGACATAGGTCAAAAACTGAAATCTACGTAAAGAAAAGAAGAGCTTTCAAGAAGGAATAAATGAGCATAAAATAAACTCTTTAATATTCCTTAACCTTAAAAAAAAAAAAAAGAAAATTCCTTCCTTTAAGAGTGGCCCCCTCTCTTTTCTGTCTTGTAGGGTTTCTGCAGAGAGATCCACTGTTAGTCTGATGTGCTTCCCTTTGTGAGTAACCTGAGCTTTCTCTCTGGCTGTCCTTAACATTTTTTCCTCCATTTCGACCTTGGTGAATCTGATGATTATGTGTCTTGGGGTTGCTCTTCTCGAGGAGTATCTTTGTGGTGTTCTCTGTATTTCCTGAATTTGAATGTTGGCCTGTCTTGCTGGGTTGGGGATATTCTACTGGATAATATCCTGAAGGGTGTTTTCCAACTTGGTTCCATTCTCCCATCACTTTGAGGTACACCAATCAAACGTAAGTTTGTTTTTTTCACATAGTCCCATATTTCTTGGAGGCTTTGTTCTTTCCCTTTCATTCTTTTTTCTCTAATCTTGTCTTCACCCTTTCTTTCATTAAATTGATCTTCAATCTCTGATATCCTTTCTTCTGCTTGATCAATTTGGCTATTGATACTTGTGTATGCTTCAGGAAGTTCTTGTGCTGGGTTTTTCAGCTCCATCAGGTCGTTTATATTCTTCTCTAAACTGATTATTCTAGTTAGCAATTCCTCTCACCTTTTTTCAGTGTTCTTAGCTTCTCTGCATTGGGTTAGAACATGCTTCTTTAGCTCGGAGCCATTTGTTGTTACCCACATTTTGAAGTCTACTTCTGTCAATTTGTCAAATTCATTCTCCATCCAGTTTTGTTCCCTTGCTGGTGAGGAGTTGTGATCCTTTGGAGAAGAGGCATTCTGATTTTTGTAATTTTAAGACTTTTTGCACTGGTTCCTCCCCATCTTCATGGATTTATCTACCTTTGGTCTTTGATGTTGGTGACCCTTGGATGGGGTTTCTGACTGGACATCCTTTTTGTTGACGTTGATGCTACTCCTTTCTGTTTGTTAGTTTTCCTTCTAACAGTCAGGCCTCTCTGCTGCAGGTCTGCTGGAGTTTGCTGGATGTCCACTCCAGACCCTCTTTGCCTGGGTATCACCAGCAGAGGCTGTAGAACAGCAAAGATTGCTGCCTGTTCTTTCCTCTGGAAGGTTTTTCCCAGAGGGGCACCCACCAGATGCCAGCTGGATCTCTCCTGTATGAGGTGTCTGTCGACCCCTGCTGGGAAGTATCTCCCAGTCAGGAGGCACGGGGGTGAGGGACCCATTTGAGGAAGCATTGTGTCCCTTAGCAGAGCTCAAGCACTGCGCTGGGAGATCCACTGCTCTCTTCAGAGCCAGCAGGCAGGAATGTTTGTCTGCTGAAGCAGCGCCTACAGGCACCCCTTCCCCCAGGTGCTCTGTCCCAGGGAGATGGGAATTTTATCTATAAGCCCCTGACTGGGGCTGCTGCCTTTCTTTCAGAAGTGCCCTGCCCAGAGAGGAGGAATCTAGGAAGGCAGTCTGGCTACAGTGGCTTTGTGGAGCTGAGCCCAGTTTGAACTTCCTGGTGGCTTTGTTTACACTGTGAGGAGAAAACCGCCTACTGAAGCCTCAGTAATAGCAGACACCCCTCCCCTCACCAAGCTCAAGTGTCCCAGGTCCACTTCAGACTGCTGTGCTGGCAACAAGAAATTTAAACTAGTGGATCTTAGCTTGCTGGGCTCCACAGGGGTGGGATCCGCTGAGCTAGACCACTTGGCTCCTTGGTTTCAGCCCCCTTTCCACAGTTGTGAATGGTTCTGTCTCACTGGCCTTCCAGGTGCCACTGTGGTATGAAAAAAAAAAAAATCCTGCAGCTAGCTCGGTGTCTGCCCAAACAGCCACCCAGTTGTGTGCTTAAAACCCAGGATCCTGGTGGTGTAGGAACCCAAGGGAATCTCCTGGTCTGCAGGTTGCAAAGACTGTGGGAAATGTGTAGTATCTGGGCCGGAATGCACCATTCCTCACAGCACAGTCCCTCATGGCTTCCCTTGGCTAGAGGAGGGAGTTCCCCAACCCCTTGAACTTCCCAGGTGAGTTGATGCCCAACCCTGCTTCAGCTCACACGCCGTGGTCTGTACCCACTGTCTAACCAGTCCCAATGAGATGAGCTGGGTATCTCCGTTAGAAATGCAGAAATCACCTGCCTTCTGCATTGGTCTCGCTGGGAGCTGCAGACCGGAGCTGTTCCTATTCGGCCATCTTGCCAGCCAGCCACTGTAATTCACTTATTTTCAAATGTTACCATTAGAACTGTATACCATATTACAAGTTTCAAACACTATCCTGCCAGGGCACAAAAGAGTTCCTAGTTGCCTTAAAGAATTAGCTATTGTTTCATCTGTGTGTGGCTTCGTCTCAGAGGGTGATTGAAACATGACAAGAAGTGATTTTTTTTTCTCAAGAGAAATGGAGGCTTTGGACATTAGTGTCATAGCAATGTCATGTAGAACATACATAGAGAATTCTATGAAGAAATCAGCCAAGCCGTGACTATCGACCAAAATTTTCAACTTTCAACAATGAGATGAATATACTATCTATATATCTAATAATCCAAAGCTTCATTTATGAACATATTGCTTCTCAAAATAAAAATTTGGAGCAGTTTGTGATTTAATGATGGAAATTTTTTATAAGAACTATAATGGCAGTTAAATTATAAAACTGAAGTTACTAATATGAATCAGTGAGCCTTTCATGAGCTTTTATTTTAACCAGCTAAAATACTAAAATACTTTTATTTTAATCAGCTAAAGCATTCAACTTATAGTGAGGAGAGTTTTGTTTTCAACACAGTTACGAAAGAATTCGGGCTCACTTAATTGTAAATAAAAATCTTAAAGAAGAAACCATTGTTTAAAATGTTACCTCATTGAGTTTTTCAGTAAATGGAACAAGAATTAACATTTAGGGTAATAATAGTTTATGTCTGTTTTTAATTATCGGACAGAATACTTAGGGAATGGACAGAGGCAGTAAAGAAAAATAGTTCATTATATTATAATGTATCATTAGTTTTGAATGTGCATACACCTAATATTAACTGTATGTATAGTACACAATTGGTCATTTTATTTTTAAAATATTACCTCATATCAATAATCCTAATTTAAATGGTTAAGAACATGGAAATAATTTCCATGAAGTATGCATTTCTGAGTAATGGTTGTATATAACCAAAATGAAAGCTAATTAATTCATTTGGTGAAAGTTATAGTGAGATAAAGCACAGACTGTAGACATATACAACATTAATTAGGACAATGTTATTCTACATCTACAGGTGGAATTTCCACCCAACCTGGAGGCTCATCAGCATTTACCTTTTATTCAAAGGGGAAATTGGTGAGAGAGTAGAGGCAGATAATCACAGCATCCCACTCTACTAGAAAAGCAAGCCACAGCTCCCATCCTGCTGGTGATGTGACAACACTGGTCTTTCTACACAGCAGCACACTAGTACCAAAAAAGAGGCTTTGCTTTTTCTGTGTGATGAGCTGTAAACCTTCATATTAGAAAAACTCAGAAAAGAATTTTGCTTAGACGCTAATCAAATACAAAAATTGTGGCTGATGGAAACTACACATAGATAAATTAGTCCAATATTCTTCTACTTGTGAAATTTAAATAACTTCATCTTAAGAAATAAAGGTAATTGGGAAAATTGAAAAGGAAGTGTTTCCAGTTTTGATAGAGTGAATGGGGCATTCAAAATATATTTCTAAATGAATGATAAAAATAAAATACTTGCAATATTATCAGAATTTATTTCCACAATAAATATGTTCAGGAATGTTAAGTGGGGAAGCCTGGGCAGCCATTGTGCTGTAACTGGCTCTGTTTATTTTTTGCTCTTCAAAAGAGAAAGAAAGGAACCTTAGCACAATAGCAGAATTTCCTGATGGTGGCTATTACAATTTTACCACTGAGGAAAGGACATCTATGGGTCTTTGAAAAGCTAGGAAACATCTTGAATATCAGAAATTGTAAATGAATACTACTTGGTGTAGATTAAACTAAAGACATGGGATTATATGGTCTCAAAGCCACAGATGTAGTTGGGTCCTAAGAACCTTGTCATATATATCTATATTTTTTATTTTTTTTATTTTTTTTCTTTTATTATTATTATAGTTTAAGTTTTAGGGTACATGTGCACAATGTGCAGGTTAGTTACATGTGTATACATGTGCCATGCTGGTGTGCTGCACCCATTAACTTGTCATTTAGCATTAGGTATATCTCCTAAAGCTATCCCTCCCCCCTCCCACCACCCCACAACAGTCCCCAGTGTGTGATGTTCCCCTTCCTGTGTCCATGTGTTCTCATTGTTCAATTCCCACCTATGAGTGAGAATATGCGGTGTTTGGTTTTTTGTTCTTG
This sequence comes from Homo sapiens, assembly GCF_000001405.40. Classification (NCBI taxonomy): domain Eukaryota; kingdom Metazoa; phylum Chordata; class Mammalia; order Primates; family Hominidae; genus Homo; species Homo sapiens. The sequence continues at coordinate 60,039,329 of NC_000005.10, read as the reverse complement.
TGATAGTTTACTGAGAATGATGATTTCCAATTTCATCCATGTCCCTACAAAGGACATGAACTCATTTTTTTATGGCTGCATAGTATTGCATGGTGTATATGTGCCACATTTTCTTAATCCAGTCTATCATTCTTGGACATTTGGGTTGGTTCCAAGTCTTTGCTATTGTGAATAGTGCCACAATAAACATACATGTGCATGTGTCTTTATAGCAGCATGATTTATAGTCCTTTGGGTATATACCCAGTAATGGCATGGCTGGGTCAAATGGTATTTCTAGTTCTAGATCCCTGAGGAATCGCCACACTGACTTCCACAATGGTTGAACTAGTTTACAGTCCCACCAACAGTGTAAAAGTGTTCCTATTTCTCCACATCCTCTCCAGCACCTGTTGTTTCCTGACTTTTTAATGATCACCATTCTAACTGGTGTGAGATGGTATCTCATTGTGGTTTTGATTTGCATTTCTCTGATGGCCAGTGATGGTGAGCATTTTTTCATGTGTTTTTTGGCTGCATAAATGTCTTCTTTTGAGAAGTGTCTGTTCATGTCCTTCACTCACTTTTTGATGGGGTTGTTTGTTTTTTTTTTGTAAATTTGTTTGAGTTCATTGTAGATTCTGGATATTAGCCCTTTGTCAGATGAGTAGGTTGCGACAATTTTCTCCCATTTTGTAGGTTGCCTGTTCACTCTGATGGTAGTTTCTTTTGCTGTGTATATGGAACTAAAAAAGAGCCTGCATAAGCCAAAAGAACAAAGCTGGAGGCATCACACTACCTGACTTCAAACTATACTACAAGGCTACAGTAACCAAAACAGCATGGTACTGGTACCAAAACAGAGATATAGATCAGTGGAACAGAACAGAGCCCTCAGAAATAACGCCGCATATCTACAACTATCTGATCTTTGACGAACCTGAGAAAAAGAAGCAATGGGGAAAGGATTCCCTATTTAATAAATGGTGCTGGGAAAACTGGCTAGCCATATGTAGAAAGCTGAAACTGGATCCCTTCCTTACACCTTATACAAAAATCAATTCAAGATGGATTACAGACTTAAACATTAGACCTAAAACCGTAAAAACCCTAGAAGAAAACCTAGACATTACCATTCAGGACATAGGCATGGGCAAGGACTTCATGTCTAAAACACCAAAAGCAATGGCAACCAAAGCCAAAATTGACAAATAGGATCTAATTAAACTAAAGAGCTTCTGCACAGCAAAAGAAACTACCATCAGAGTGAACAGGCAACCTACAAAATGGGAGAAAATTTTCGCGACCTACTCATCTATATTTTTTAATGGATTTAACCAGCAAGAAAGACCATGGAGCCACCTAAATTTTTCCAAAATCTGCAAAATGAAGGTGATATAAATATGTCACTTAGACAATATTTCATTTTTGATATAAAATTTTATTTTTTATCAGTTTGATAATATGCATAGGACTAAAAAATGCAGTTGTCTTAAAATATTTTAGGGTTGCTTAGGAAATCACTTTAAAAATAAAAAGTGTCAGAATAAAAGTTGTCTGCTTATGTTCCATATTTCAGAACTACCTTTGATTTCTTTAGCTAAACAATATTGCACATAAATAGGTTAGGAATTATAGACTTTCAGATGTGCTACCTGTCTCCCTTCAAAACACTCATTTAGGTAATGTATTAATTATTTTTAGAATCACCTGTCTTCTCTGCTTCAGCAAAAACCCCACCAGGGCAGAGATCACTCTCCCTCTTGTTTGCTTTGAATTTTTATGACTTAGCACAGTGATTGGCACATAAACATTATTAAAACCAATGAATGAGGAAAGCAACGAATAAGTAAACAAATGGGCCCAGACTAAAAAGTAAGTTATATGTATTAGTGAGAGTCAATAATAAATTAATGAAATAATCTTTTATTTGAAACTGAAGCAAATTAAGGGAAATTTATGAACCTTAAATCTTTTTGTAAAGATCTAGTACCAATAAGATAAAAAAAATGCTCATCCTTTTTTCCATTGAAATGTTATGTTCAAATGAGCTTTGTTTCTATACTTTATACATCAATTAAGCTGAATTCATAGGTGCTAAGCATTTTAACATATTGTATTGCATGTAATATTCCCTAATGCCCCAAACTTCAAGATTATATAATGGCTTACTCTCTCCCTGTCCCTACCCACCAGATAGTGTTATCCACATACATTCTCATCTAGTTTTGTTCTGTGATGAAAAACCATATGCGTATCCTATTCCTATGTGAATTAACCTGGCATGCAGGTAACTGAAGTGCATGTGATCTGGTCTCTGCTGACATATCACAATGGGCCCCCCTCCTTGCATGGAGGTAGCGTTTTTTATAAGACAAAATGTTTTTAAATAGAACACATTTCAGATTTCAGATTTTATATGTATTTTGTGTTTTTCCTCCCTCTACCCCTTTCCAAAATTATGAATGAAATTCTAGGACCATTTATAGACAAAGCACAGTTTAGTCCGAGTAAACCAATGGACCCTGAAGTGTCCAAGTCAGAGTTTATTTGCAGAATTTAATTCATTCCCACAGAGATAGGCAACCCAGGCCTGTGAGGACACGAGGGTAACTAGGCAACAAAGTGCCGTAGTCAGGCTTGTGTTTGCTTTTTGGTAAGAGGACAACATTGACTTCAGTGTCAGGGCATAAAGGAGACTCAGGACTTATTAATTTTTTTCCCCATAATTCTGTGAACTTTGTGAATTCCCTAATATTCTTTTAACAAGAGTTCGGAGACATGAGTTTATGTGCCTTCTTGGATATATTCACGGGAGTTTGCAGAGAAAGTTGAATAAATTATTAGGTTAATGGCCTGTGTAAATTCACCAACACCTTTTCACTATCTCATCAATCATCCTGTTTGAGTTATTGTGATTCACTCTGCTGATGAGCTCACACCCTTTTTTCCTGATACAGGAATTATTGTAAACCAGGGGACTGGATTTTAAACAAAACGTATTCCTTAGAATAACTTGAACAATGGATTGGTGGGTCCTTACACTATTATGTGCTGTGTAGCTGTACAAGTGTGTCTGCATGAGCTTTAGGACATTATTTGAGATATTTTAAGCTATGTGTACCTCATGAACTTGTAGCTGATTTTCCTTAGTTCTTTTAAAATATTTTCTCAGAAAACCAACAGTAAAATCTATCAGGTTCACATGAATACATTCATTTGTGTCATATCAACCCAAAATGAATATGATCTTCCAGGTAATGATGAAGGATGATAACTATAATATTTCCAGCCAAACTTTATTTTGAAACATCACTCAGTGTTTCACATGTTTAGTGGCTGTTAAATTCTATATGTCTAAGCAAACTGTGAAGAGCATAATTAACTTATTTGGTTGTTGTGTATCTTTTAAAATCACAGTTTGAATCTGCTGGGAATGTTATAGTGGCACTAGTAGCAAAGGAATGGCAAGGATGTTAAGACTTTCTCATGCTAAGACCCCAGCTTGGTATTGAGTTTTTAGGAGGGGCCCGCATGACATCTCTAATTGCTTTGGCAATCCAATTATTGAGACAAGTAAGTGAGCCCATCGGGTGCCTCCCAAGGAATTAACTTGGTCATTTGATATAATGTTGCACTCTCCCTATTTGGGAGGAGGGGTGGCCACCCTCACCTCTGCCATTGAAGATTAACCCACTACAAATTTTCAAAAATATAATATCTAATTTATTACACAGACTATCATATGGGTTTCATAATCCTTAAGTATCTCTAAATTTTATTATTATTTTAGATTTTTAAATAAGACTCCGCCTAACTTGATGGAAGGAAAAGGGGGTCTAGAAGCATACAGAGTTTGGCTCTTGGTTCTCAGAGTGACTCGCCATGTGAACATGGGCAAGTTATTTAACTTCTTTGAGCCTTTTGAATTTTAATCTGTAAAACAGAGACAAAAATGCCTTCCTCAGAGGGTGAAAATAAGGATTAAGTACAATAATGAATGCAAAATACCTGGCAGAGGACCTACCTTGATGTGCTATTCTCAACATTGATATTTAATCAGTATACACAAGTATGCCCTTTTTTTTTTTTTTTGAGACGGAGTCTCGCTCTGTTGCCCAGGCTGGTGTGCAGTGGCGCCATTTCAACTCACTGCCACCTCCGCCTCCTGGGTTCAAGCAATTCTCCTGCCTCAGCCTCCCGAGTAGCTGGGACTACAGGCATACGTCACCATGCCCGGCTAATTTTTGTATTTTTAATAGAGACTGGGTTTCGCCATGTTGGCCAGGCTGGTCTCGAACTCCTGACTTCAGGTGATCCTCCCGCCTCAGCCTCCCAAAGTGCTGGGATTACAGGTGTGAGCCACCGCACCCTGCTGCATGCACATTTTGCCTGGATGATCTTCCAGGCTACCATGTGGATCTCTCTCATACAGCAGAGGGAGAGTTGTACAGCAATGAGGGCTTCAGAACTGTGTCTGACCCATGCTGATTGCTCAGTGCCCCTGAGCACAAGTTTTTAAACATTTTGAATCTCACCCATAATATTTCTCATCTTGCAGAGACAGAGAGCATTGTGGCTATATAATGCAGGTAAAGTACCTAGTGTAACGAATAACATGCGGAAATGATAAATATCATAAGTTGTATTACTGCCTGTGGTAGTCTGAATAATGGTCCTCAAAAGATATCCAAGTCGTAATTTCCATAACCTGTGAATATGTAACCTTATATGTCAAAAGGAACTTTGCAGATGTGGTTAATTTAAGGATCTTGAGATGGGGGGATTTTCCTTGATGATCCAGGCAGGCCCTAAATGTAATTATAAAGGGGCCTTTTAAGAGAGAGGCAGGAAGGTCAAAGGCAGAAGAAGGCAATGTGACAGCAGAAGTAGAAATTGGTGTGAAGCCGCAAGCCAAGGCATGCAATGCTGAAAGCCTCTAGAAGCTGGAAGAAGAAAGGGATGAATCCCCCATTGGCATCTCCAGAAGCAATTAATCCCACTGACATCCTGATTTTAGCTTAGCTCTGTAAGACTAATTCAGGACTTCTGACTTATTTGTGGTGTTTTAAACCACTCAGTTTGTGTTAATTTGTTGTAAGGGCAATGGGAAATGAATGCACTTCCCATCCATAACCCTGTCTCTAGCTATGTTGAAGTCTTTACCATCCCCCAAATCTGACTTTTACTTGCATGCTTCTTGCCTTTACATATCTGCTTTTCCTTCCTGCTTCTTCCTATCTCCCACATCATTGCCTTTCTCACAACTTCTCTACTCAGCAAATTCCTGCTTATCCTCTGAGAGGGAGGACAAGATCATCTCAGATATAGTTTGCTAGCTAAGAAAAGAGTCCTGAGACTGCTTTGAAATCTTGTGGTCCTTTATCCATAGCTCATGTAAATAACTCTGAGCTAGCAGTGTATATTATTTTTATTTCATCCTGGAACTATGTCTTAGCAATATTTTTATTGGAGAAAAAACTGAGAGCAAACTCTCTGTTTCCCACATGCCTATTGCCAAATTTCTCTGGGTGCTTTACTTTCACTGCACTGATTCTAGAAATTGTATTGACAACTGTGTTCTAAGATGACCCTTTGATTCATCCAGATGGTGTGAAAATGTTCCTCTTCAAAAACCCCACACTGCTTTTCAACATCCTAATGGGTAGAATCTCTAAATCCTTAGGGTGTCAACAAAAGCAAAGGGCATATTTACACTTCAGTTGGGTGAAATTAATTAGCATGGAAGTTAATATTTACAATTAATGGAGATTACCTGACTTTAATAGTGAGATTGTGTAGCTACTTTGTATCACTCACTCTTTTTTTGTTGTTGTTTTAGAAATTGTGGCAAAAAATGGATAAAATAAAATTCACCCTTTTAAAACATTTTTTGAATTCCTGGAGTGTAAAAGTGGTAGGATAACCAAAACATCCTCTTTCTTGTTGAACCATCAACAATTGTCTTTTGAAAAGAGGTTTGAATATCTTTTCTTTGAAAATCCTCGTGCAAAACTTCACACCATGATCATTTATGAGGTAGTTATCAGACACTGGAGATGAATTACTGGGGATTTTTGTGTTCTGGTTCTCAGTATACAACCAAAGGTAGAATATTGACATTGAAAATAAATGTCACTCGTTTCTCAAGGAAAATTTGTAGTTTACCGAACAACAGCACAAATGAAAGCTGAGATACTTTACCAGTGATATTGTAGGTCTCAGTGAGTAAAAACTCAATTAAAAGTATATTGGGGTGGCGGGGGCACTGTGTATAGATAGACCTGGACATGATCTCTAATCACAAATGCTACTTTTAGAAGGGCCAGATTCTTGATACAGAGACATTTTATTTGGTGGCAATAACCATGGCTTGTCCACAGAATGATGCCGTATTATTCTCCTGACCTAACTTCAAAGAAATAAAGAGTTTGCAAGAAGAACTGCAGTTCTTCAAAGTACGCAATATGGATTTCCAAGATGAATGTAGTTTCTCTCTCTGAGGAATTCTGAACAGTGGTAAAGTTTCACAAGTTTATGCATATCTTTTGCTCTACATCCTTCCCTAAAAGAACTTGTGACAACAAACAAAGGGAAAGAAATAACATTTTTTAATAACTATGTGGAAAGCTCTATAGTAAGTGCTTCACATGTTACCTCATTTAATTCTTACAACTACCTTATCTAGTAAATTATCTCCCATTTGACACTTTAAGGAAGCAGCTAAGAGATGTTTCATAACTTTCCTAGAAAAGGTAGGATTTGAATGCAGGTTTGTATTATTCCAAAGCTCACAATGTGCTTTACGCAACATCAAAGTAACATATTGCGGGAATGAGTACCTTTCCCATTTAAAACAAATGAGTCCTGGAAACTCTTACCCTGTTTAGTTATGGAATGGCTCAGAAAATAGAAAGTGTTGAGATCATCAAAGAGAGAAGTTAACAAAGAGCATTGTAATCCAGAAATAAGAACGCAATAGAGAAGTAGAAGTTGTATGGCTAATTTTACCAAACTAAATAGCCTGAATTATTCAGTGTGACTATACACATTGATCAAATTAAATGAGCATACCATAGTCTAAAGGGGACGAGATTTATATTCTATCCAAGAAGTCATTAATTATGTTTGTACTATCTTCATCATGGTTATCATTTTTCTTAGACATAGCCTAATCTATAAGATTTTACTGTATTTCCCTGAATTACTAAATTCTTCTATTTTTGAAGTTTTACTAAGATTTTATTGTATTTCCCTGAATTACTAAATTCTTCTGTTTTTGAAGTTTTACTAAATACTTCAGAAGCTTTACTAATTAAAAAGGTAATTTATAATGTTTATCACTAACCAGTTGATAATAAAGCGCTTCCTTATAGCTTCTTAAGATAATAGCTAGAAAACAAAGCTGATTTTAATTATTCTTGTAATTTGCTTCAACTTCACTGACAGTCTGTTGTATATTTTCTGCATATGTAATTACATCAGGTTTTGACTATTTTCTCTGAGGTAAATAATTCCAATTACTTTAACCTGTCATTGTTTCTCTTTCTCTCTCATTTCTTTCTCTCTCCCTCCCTCTCTCTTTCTCTTATTATAAGACATATTATTTGTTTAATTTTAATAGCTATTCCAGCAGTTAAATATTCTTATCATAAATTTCTTGCAATTTTTAAATGTGGAATTCCAGTAAAAAACTTTGGTTTAGCAGTAGGTAAAAAGATAGATTGAAATTTATGTAAACATATTATTCTTCATCAGGCAGGGCTAGCTGACTGACATCTGCTTTGGTTTGGATTCAAATACAGATTTAAAGGGAGGCTATACATGGAAATTATCCCCAGGCTCCTCCCCGCTGCTGTTCCCAATTTCTGCAGCAGCCTGCATGCTTGTATTTAGGATTCACCAATTTTTTTGGCCCTTGTGTGTGCTTGGCTTTTGTTTTGATTTACTCTACAATGGCAGGATGTTCTGGGAACTGATGTGATGAAGTAAAGGAAAGCAAATAGCCTTTGTCATGTTTAATTTCCCTTAAAATCTATTTGCCAGTGAAAGGCCTTTAAAATTTTTCATTATAATTAAATGTTTGTTAAAGCAAAAAGCCTCTTCTTGTATCTATAGACTAAATCAGGGTTTCTTTAATCATAGGTGGTTAATCCTCACTACTCCTTTACCCAAATACATTTCATAAGATGCTAAAGATGTCAAGGAAAATTCATATCTCTGACTAACAGAAAATATTCTTTCACAAATAAAATGTGAAGTGTTCTTAGTTGTCCACTATTCTTTTAGGTCCTACATTATTCTATATCTATTTTCAACAAAAGCATAAATTATGGGAACATTGAATTAAAATAACATGAAGGTCCATACCATGTCCCTGGATCAGAAGTCTCCAAATCATAAAAATTGCAGTGGTCCATCAACTGATCTGTAGATTTGATATAATTTAAGTCAAAATACTGACTTGTTTATTTTGGGGGAACTTGCCAATCTGGGTCTAAAACTTACACGGAAAAGCAAAAATTAATAGGCCACTGTAGATTTTCCTTACGAGGTAGTGTGAGTTTTTAAATTCATTTATTTATTTATTTTTGAACATTTAATTTAGGTTTGGGGTATATGTGCAATTTTGTTATAAAGGTAAACTCGTGTCACAAAAGCATTGAATTTTATGCCATGTTATCTATGGTTGAAATATAATAGGGAGCGAGTTTATTTTAAAATCATGTGTCTTTTTAAGATTTGATTTATGCTGACTTCAGAATGTGACGAGTTTTAGAAATCTGAGTGTAGGAATGAATGTTCTATTGGAAGTATCTAGTTTATTGCTTTCAGCTCTACTGATCATGGATATTAACCAACTCTTGTTTTTGTTTTTTGTTTTTTTGTTTTTTGAGACGGAGTCTCGCTCTGTCGCCCAGGCCGGACTGCGGACTGCAGTGGCGCAATCTCGGCTCACTGCAAGCTCCGCTTCCCGGGTTCACGCCATTCTCCTGCCTCAGCCTCCCGAGTAGCTGGGACTACAGGTGCCCGCCACCGCGCCCGGCTAATTTTTTGTATTTTTAGTAGAGACGGGGTTTCACCTTGTTAGCCAGGATGGTCTCGATCTCCTGACCTCATGATCCACCCGCCTCGGCCTCCCAAAGTGCTGGGATTACAGGCGTGAGCCACCGCGCCCGGCCTTAACCAACTCTTTAAGCAGTGTTTGGCTCATGGACATTGGGGTTAAGTCTGTGTAATTAGGGCTTTAGGATATTGGGATTAATTAAACCAGTTGCTGCTTTAATCCAGCATTTTAGGCATCAATGGTTGATGATGGGAATGATTCTGTAACTTGCATTTATGGTCTAAGAGCTCACTGGTGTATATACCTGGGTTAATTGGGGATTTTAGGTAGCCAGAATTGGAAAATAGAATGCACAGTATGAGAAATTCCCCCGTCTCTGAGGATGGGGGATGCTGGGGCCCCCGTACCATCAAGTAGCACATCCACAACTCACTCCATTTACCACATCATCACCATCACCACCACCAACAAGCACTTGACCTCCATCCTAACTTCAACAATCACCTTCAGTCTGCCTAACTGATGCTATGGAAGAACAAACAGAGACTCAGAAGGGTAAGAGGGTGGTGGTGGCGGGTGGTAGATGATGAAAGATTACTTACTGGTGTGAACCTTCAAGATTTGAGACAAGTCTTAGTTAATTTGGAAAGTTTATTTTGCCAAGATGGCATTGAGGATGTGCACCCCTAACAGCCTCAGGAAGTCCTGACAATATATACCCAAGGTGGTTAGGGCATAGCTTAGTTTTATACATTTTAGAGAGACATGAGACATCAATCAATGTATGTAAGAAGTGCACTGATTCAGTCTGGAAAGGCGGGACAACTTGAAGCAAAGGCAGGAAGACTGGAAGCGGGAACTTACAGGTCACAGATAAGTGAGATGAATGGTTGCATTATTTTGAGTTTCTGATTAGCCTTTTTAAAGGAGGCAATCAGATATGCATCTATCTCAGTGAGCAGAGGGGTGACTTTGAATAGAATGGGAGGCAGGTTGGCCCTAAACAGTTCCCAGCTTGACTTTTCCTTTTAGCTTAGTGATTTGGGGGCCCCAAGATTTATTTTCCTTTCACACTGGGTATAAGGTACATGATTTGAGTGATGGATACCCTAAAAGCCCTGACTTCACTGCTATGCAATCTATGCATGTAACAAAATTATACTTGTACCCCATACATTTATACAAGTAAAAATAAATAAATAACAAAAACAAAACAAAAATAACAATGGCCCTAGCCATAAAGCAATTTTTAATTTAGCGGGGAGGACAGATATGTATCTAACCAGTTATACTGGAAAGTGGAGTGAGCTCAATATGCTAAAATAGAATTATTGTGCATCATAAATGTTTAAGAGGAGGGAAAGGGTAATCTGACTGGAGGGATTGAGGAAGATTAGAGAAGTTGTCATTGACTTGGCCTTGAGGCAAAACAGGGGTTTATTTATTCAGCAAATCAATATGTATTGAGTGCCTAGAATTTAGGAATCATTGGAAGGGCATACTGGGAAGAGATTATATTGAGATCAAAGATCAAAAGAGAAAAAAATGCAAGGAAGTTTTTAGAATGTTGAGTCACAGAAGGGTCTTAAAGCAAAGAACTATAGGAGGAAAGAGGCAGTTGAGGAATGTAAACTAGGAATATGGATCAGGGGCATTTCATGGATTTTACTCATTTTTATACAAGTAATTGGGATACTTCCTTCAGTCAGCGGCAACCATGAAAGGTTTTGAGTTGAGTGAAATGAACAGAGCATGATTTATTGGTGGATATGTTGGAGGGAAGGAAAAATTATACTGAGGAAGACCAATTAGAAAAATTTCACAATAGTTTAGGCAAACAATGAGGGCAGACAGACCCAGGATAGTGGCTGTAGAAACAAAGGAACAGATGTGAAGAATTTTATACAGATGTGTGTTGAGATTGCACAGTGGTGAAGGCAGGGCTTTGGGGGCACCCATTACTCAAATAATGTACATTGTATCCAGTGTGAAAGGAAAATAAATCTTGGGGCCCCCAAAACATGAAGCTAAAGGAAAAAGTCAAGTTGAGAGACAGAAAAGATAGAAGAAAAAGGCAAAGAGAGCTCAAAGGTTATCAGCCTGACAGTGATAAGTGATTAACAGAGGAAGAGTGTCTGGGTCCATGAAATAGTGATGTATTTGGGCAAATAGAGTCTATGTTGTCTGGGGTGTAAGCTAAAAGAATCATTTAGCAAATGGAGAAGTGAAATAAGAGAGAAGTATTTCAGGGTCCTCTGTTTGGAGGTGAATGACAGTTGAGGCCATAAGAGGACATGATCGTATCAGGCATAGAATATAGAACAGAGATTCTCAGAATTTTCCAACTCATTCACAATACCCAGAACAGCAGAGGACACGAAAGTTTTAACTCAAGTTATTTGATGGCACAGTTCAAAATGCAACATTTCTTTAGTATCATGTGTTTTGCTTTAAAAATATGGATAGATTCTTTATTCCACTGCATGATGTAGTCACACATTTCTTCCTGATTCCAGCACTAATGGACAAGGTTTTGCTGTATTGAGATTCATTTATTTAATCAACAAATCTTTATTGAGTGTCCAGCATGCATCAGACACCATTCCAGGCCCTGGGGATATGCCTGTGACTGAAACTGGCAAAGCCTGTGATGACGCTTACAGTGTTGTGAGAGGGAGACAGACAAGAGACCAGTAATGGATGAGATATTTCAGAAAACAAGTACTATGATGGAAGTAAAACATAGTGATGAGATGATGAGTGGTGGGGGGCAACAGCAAAGACATGGAGTCAATCTAGGTGCCTATTGACACCTAGGTACATATACACCATGTGGTAAATATATACCATGGAATATTATGCAATCATAAAAAAGAACAAAGTCATGTCCTTTCAGCAACATGGATGTAGCTAGTGGCCATTATCCTAAGTGAATTAAAGCAGGAACAGAAAACCAAATACCTCATGTTCTCACTTATAATGGGAGCTAAACCCTGGTTATACACAGATATAAAGATGGAAACAATAGACACTAGAGACTCCAAGAGGGAAGAGGGAGGGAGTGGAGCAAGGGTTAAGAAACTATCTATTGGGTACAATGTTCACTATTTAGGTGACAGGTTCAATAGAAGAGCAAACCTCAACATCATGCAACATATCCATGTAACAAACCTACACATGTGCCTCCTGAATCTAAAATTAAAAAGAAAAAAAGAGAGAAGGAAAAAAATGGCGGGGGAATGAGAGGGTATGACTAAACTTCTCTGAAGAGGTAACCTTTGAACTGAGCCCTGAATAACAACGAGGATACAGTTATACTTTGGGACAAGTCACCTGGACAGAAAAAATTTGCGTGTGTAAAGGCTTTTAGGTGTGAGAAGCTCATTAGTATGGAGAAAAAAGAAGTCTACAGAAACATGAAGCAGAATGAAATTGAAGAGTGAGCACGGTTCTGGGATACCATGCTGAGAAGTAGATTTTATTTTAAATGCCACGGCAAATCATTGAGGGTTTTCAGCAAGAAGATTAAACGATCTGATTTAAGTTTGTAAATGATTCCTCTGCCTAGGGTGTGGAAAATGTGTTGCATGGGGCTAGAAGTGAAAACTGGGAAAACAGCTGAGGGGATGGCTAATGGACTTATCATGGTGTTGAAAGTGATGAGCAAAAGACTAACCCCTAAATATTATTCATCGAGTTTATCATTTTCCTGTATAATTGGACTGAGTTAAAGACAGCTAATCACATACATTCGGTTCAGTATCACTACACTTTTTCTTGTCTTGGTGTTTCCTCATTCTCAGGACTCAAATTAATTAAGTACATGTGAGCACTTTAAAGATTTTATGATCTGTGCATGAGGAATGATGTGTGAAGATAAGGCCAGAATCATAAATGGAAGGATGATGCCATGTTGTCAGGCTGCTCTTGCCAAAAATGTGAATGTGTCTATCTTACTGCTGAGTCATTGGAGCACTTGTCTACTTGTCTGGGTGGACTAAAAGAGTCTCTAGTCCACTGTTTTTGTTGCTGTTGTTGTTGTTTTGTTTTAAACATTCCCATGGAAATATTTAGCAAGGACATTTTCAATGAAGAAATATGAATAGTGATCTTTGTTTCGTGACTAATGCTGTAATTTTTGCACATGTAAATGAACTGAGCCTCAAATTATTCACATTCTGATATATCTCTATTCAACTCTCAAACTATCATTTCATGTTATAATTTTGCTACCATTTATAAAAACCATCACCACATTACCTTTTTAATAGTTGAATGAGAGTGTTCTGACTTTGAGGGAAAAATCTGCTAACTAGACAATCCCATGTGACCCACAATTTGTTGTTAAGTATAAAAAATAAATTAACTCATAATATTTAGGATTTGTTTGTTTGTTGTTTCTGAGACAGGGTCTCACTGTATTGCCCAGGCTGGAGTGTAGTGGTGCAATCTTGTCTCACTGGGTTCAACTGATTGAATGCAGTGAGACTCCACCTCCTGGGTTTAAGTGATTAATATTTAGGGTTTTTTTTAAATCATGATGTCTTTGTTACTTACATGGAAATAAACTAATTTATGGTTGAATTAGAAAATTCTAACCATGAGTACTATTTATATTTTTCAGGAAGAATACATCTAGTAGTGGCACAAGCTTTCTAAGTCTCTTCTCATTATATTAGAATTTTACCTAAAATAATAAATATTAAAAATATGGTATATTGTAAAATTTTCTAGCTTTACTAAATCATTTTACATGCTGAGAAAAATCAAGAAAAAAAGTTGTTTTGAGTGGTCTCTTGGTAAATGCAAAACACTTTAAAGTTAAGACTATGTCTGCTTTACTTGGAGTTGAATCCCCAGGATCTAGCATAGTGGTTGGTATTCAAGAAGCTCAAAACTTTGGGATGAATAAATAAAATCATTAGTTGCTGGAGTAGTCGGGGGCATAATGTCTTTGATTCAAACTATTGCTTCCAAAGGTTTGCTTAACATAGATGTGAGTCTAACATTTTTCTTCTAATGCTCACATCTTGCTGCAAACGTTTTCATAAGTTCTACTTTCAAGTTCTTTGGCAATATCTTGACAGACTACTTTATAAGTGAGGCCAACTAATAAAGTAGTTACATCATTTACATCTGTATCTTCAGTCTAATAATTGGTATAAATCCAATTTATCTTCATATTCTTGATTATTCAACAATGCTTTGTCCTGTAAAAATACACCTCAAAAATACATCTCAAGTGCCTCTTTTTGAATCAGAACAAATCTAATCTAACTTGCCCACACAGAGCTCCACCAAACTATCCCTTGCCAGGAGTTCTACCTTCCTTGCTGCTTTTGAAACAAACAAACCTTGATGATACTTCAAGCAGTTTTTTTTTTTCTCTGCTTGTTTGTGCGTTTGAAGCATTGCTCATAACCAAGATTTTGCTCTCTTGCCTTTTAACTTCAAACTGTTTTTCCAAATTGATTTATATGTTATATATTCAATGGATGTTTCCGTGGAACAATTTTTCAGAGTTTTCCACTGAACAGCTAAATAAGGCTCATTTTGTATCTCCACCGTGATTTAAAAACCTCTGTTTTAAATGAACATCAAAATATGACTTACAAATTTGTGGCCAACTGCAGTGCTCATTTGGAGTTCCATAATTGTGCTTGGGGACTGTTACATGATGCCTTAAATCACCAAATGCCCTGTGATGTACCCCATGCTTCAAGGTTGTTCTGAATTCATCTCAGTATCTTTTCCATTTTTACCACTTACAAGCTTTTGCTCCAAACATAACTGCTTGTGACCACCTCTGTAAATTTCTAATTGAAACTGTAATTTTAAATAAATACATCTTTGAAACAATAAATACAGAGTGACAGTTCTCTAAAGTTAGAATCTCTAGACTTATTGCTATTTTCAGACTAGCTTCAACAAGAAATGCAACTAAGCATAGTTTCATGTCTGTACACAGAACTTTTGTTTAAGTACATTTGTGGTACTTGAACCACATGTGGTTGAACCAGTGGTTATGTGTGTGCATGTTCAATCAAAAATAAAATAAACAATTATGGTTTGTAAGAAGACACACTGTTTTATAAATTCTCTCTCTCTTTCTCTCTCCCTCTCACTTATAGTTGAATTAGAAAATTCTAACCATGAATACTATTTATTTTTTAAGGAAAAATCCATCTAGGTAGTAGTATAAGTTTTCTTAGTCTTTTCTCATTATATTACAGTTTTAGCTAAAATAGTGAATATTAAAAATATTGTATTTTGTAAAATTTTTTAGTTTTACTAAGACATTGTACATGTTGAGGAAAATCAAGAGCAAAATTCTCTGACCCATTTTTTAGAGAAATACTAGCCCTATGGTTGGGAATTATTAGTGATATCTGTGGTCACAGTCGTGCATACGTTCACTTTGATTTGATTACAGTGTTAGTGACACTTGCTTCCCCAACAACTCTGATGTACCATATTTTCCAGTCACTCATTATATGTGAATATTTTCTACTTACAGGACTTAAAACATGAAGTTTGCTGACCTGGAATAGTATGAATTATTCTGCTTCTAAGGTTGTTTCAGCCAGCCTTATAATGCAACTAGTGTGAGAAGCAGTGACACAAAAAAGAATAGAGCCAAACTTCAGGTAACACCCTTTTAGGAGTGGAGAGAAGGGGACCTGTAGAAGTAGAGAAAGAAATCTGAAAAGGGGAAAACTAGGAGCATCAGGGTGATTGATGCATGTGAAGCAGGAAGAAAGGCTTAAAAGACATTGTTAGTGGGGAAATGAAGACAGATAAGAAAAGAAACAGGCCTTTGGAGCTGAGGTCTAGGAAATTATTGGTGGGGGGAATGCAACTGAAATTGCTAGGAGTTGAGTCAGGCAGCTATGAGCAAGTTCAATGGTAGGTATAAACCATGCTTTCAAACAAAAAAGTTGAAATAAGAAAACAAGAGCCCAGATGCTAAGGACATGGGGAAATTAAGAAAACAGTTGAGGTAGAGAAAGAATTTAAGGAGGGCTGAATGCTATAATAGCTGCCATTATTTGACTGCTTATTATGCACCGTGGAGAGTTCTAAATGCTTTAGCTAATTTAATCTTCATGAGACACCTAAGAGATAAATCCTGCTATTATTATTCATATTTTGGATAGGAGATTAAGGCACAGAGAGGTCGTACAAACAAGTGAGTGTCAGGATTCAAAGAAGGAGGTTTTGCTCCAGAGGCCTCCTGAATTTAACCACTGTGCTAGAGACACAGGGACATTCAATGGAGCATTAATGTCCCGAGCTGGTGACAGGTCGAGCTGAGGCTATAGATGTGTTGAGGAGTCAGCATCAGTGGAGGAGGAAAGAGATGCGGATGGAGGGAGACTCGGTGTCTTTGAAATAGATAAGAGAGAGAGACAATGTAATGGTTTCCACTTGGCACAGAAAGAAATGCCTTACTAATTAGAGGACCAGGGAGACACAAGAGGAGCCTAAGAAGAATGGAATGAATTAGAATCATCACTGTGGAGTCTGTGATAGGGAGTCAACTAAAGTGGAAATAAGTAATTACCAAATAACAATGAGGGGTCAGCATCGGCAAAGGAATATGTTTGTAATAGAGGCTTCGCAGCTGTATCTGGAGCCTGGGAGCGCAGGCTGAGAGGGACATTGAGATGTAATGAGGGATGTGACATCTTAGACAGAGAGAGAGCTGGGATGCTCTCAAGAACTTCATTGATATCCCTGTCTGTAATAGAAAGAGGTAAGTATAGCAAAAAAGTTAGAGCCATAATTGGTTTTCACATTTTAAAAATTGGATTATGATTAAAGGAAAACATTTAAAGACCTTGTCTAAAGGAATATAAAATTCTTGAGTCTAGGCACTCTCCATAACTTAAATTAACTTCCCCATTTCTTCTACAGGAATACTCCTCTGTTATAAGGATTCAATAAATATGGTGACTTTATTGTTATTCGAAAGATTATAGGGAACTTTAGGAGGTGGTATGGGTACAGAGGAGTCCATCTACAAAAACGTTTTTAGCCCATCTTCTAAGCTAAGCTGATTTTGGAAAAGGAGCTCTTTTAAGGAGAATAAAGCTACAAAAAATGACCTTTAAAACTGTCCTATCCAGACTCTGGCTCTCTAAATTGGAATCTTTGACAAAACCACAGCTGGAAGACAGCAGCCAGTAATACAGCAGCCATTAATACAGCTCCATGTCCAAAGAGGAGGGATGTTTGTTTCTACTAATTACACAAAAACATGCAATATTCAGCCAGGTGTGATGGCTCACACCTGCAATCCTTGCACTTTGGGAGATCAAGTCAGAAGAATCACTTGGGCCTAGGAGTTTGAGATTAGCCTACACAATGTAGCAAGGCTCCATCTCTTTTAAAAAATAAAATTAAGGTAAAAATAAAATAAAAATGCAATATTTACTGCTAAGATGTGCTTCTTGAGGATGGACTTGAAATGGTCCACCACCAGGACATTAAAGACAGGGTCTGCTCCTGCTTTCTCCTGAGAGAGGAAGAACACTGGTTAGATTTACAGAAGTATCAATACCAATATTCTTAGTGTATTTAGTATTCCTGCATTTATAACAGAGCATCCGGTAATTGACTTGAAATTTGACCTCAGCTTTTCATCCAGTATGCTAATGATGGTATAAAATTTACACTCCTTACATAAATAAATGTACCCTCAAATGTGTCATTTTCCTGCATTGACAGATGGATCCCATGCTTAAAATTACCACAAATTCTTATTCTGAGCAGCTTTGCACAGCACTCTGCATCCACTTTTGTTGTTTGCCACGTTATAGCACTGCTTGTGCCCTGAGCTTGCGTCTCAAGGTGGCTACAGCGTGACATTTTCCTTGAAGAGCGATAGGCAGAATTTAATTGATTTCATTTTGCTTGGATTCTCAAAGGCTTCTGTGGCTATGCCTATTACCTAACACTGCTCTCAGGAGGTATAAAGCTGTGTCCAGTTGTTCTTGTTGCATGTCATTGAGTGACTTGGTGCCACTTGCAGCAGCCCTTCTTGCATTCCAATGACTGCATTCCTGAATCTATTATGACATAGAGACTCTAGGGACCAATGAGGTTTTGTGTAGGAGGGCTAACTTTTATTTTCCCCTTATAGTTCCTTTGTCTGGATTTTCCCCCTTTCCTATCTATCTTTATAAAGAGACCTTAAATGAAGGCTACAGCTATAAGATGAACAAATAGCTGGCTATTAAAAATCTCCAAATTGTCATATAAATGCAAACATGATCCCAAATGATTGGTTTGAATAAAATTCAGACTTTACTGATTGGAGGTGGGCAATTCCCAGTTATAGGCTGACCTTCCACTTCCTTCAGAGCTAACCCTCTAAACAAGATTAAGCTTATGTCTAGGATGGGAGAGAGAATGGCTGGAAGAAAAGAAGATGTTTCACTTCCTTATGTTGTGGCTTAATGTAATGGCTTAAGAACAATAATTATTTTTTTTCCTCACAATTTGTTAGGCCAGATCAGGTATTGGCTTGGTGATTCTTCTCTTCATGTGGCATCAACCTAGCTGCATTCAACTGGTGACAGGACTGGGCTGAGCTGGGCTGGGCTGGGTTGGTCTGGGCTGGAAATTCCAGGAAGCCTTCACTCCTATCTGTGGTGCCTCAGGGCTCCTCTGTATATTATCTTTTTTCTTTCACTGTCATAGTGTTCTCTAGAGAAATAGAACCAATAGGCTGTGTGTGTGTATATGTATACATACAGCCTGTATGTTTGTGTGTGTATGTGTGTATACATAAACATACAAATGAGGCATGCCTCATTTTATTGTGTTTTGCTTTATGGTGCTTGACAGATATTTTATTTTTTCACCAATTGAAGGTTTGTGAAAACTCTACATCTAACAAGTGTATTGATGCCATTTTTCCACAGCATGTGCTCACTTTGTGTCTCATTTTGGTAATTCTCACAATATTTCAAACTTTTTCATTATCATTATATTTGTTACGGTGTTATGTGTGACCAATGATCTTTGTTGTTACTATCATAATTGTGTTAGGGTTTCAAAAACCATGCCTATATAAGATTGTGAACTTAAGTGATAGATTGTGTGTTTTCTGACTGCTCCACCAACCATCCATTTAGTCCATTTATTATCTCTCTGTCTCTCCTCAAACCTCCCTATTCTCTGAGACACAACAATATTAAAATTAGGCCAGTTAATAATCCTACAATGGCCTCTACATGTTCAAGAGTTTTCAATCTTTTTCTTTAAATTAAAAGCTAGAAATGATTAATCTTAGTGAGGAAGGCACGTTGAAAGCTGAAATAGGCTGGAAGCTAAGCCTCTTGTGCCAAGCAGCTATCCAAGTTGTGAATGCAAAAAAAAAAAATAAAAGTTCTTGAAGTTCTGAATTCTTGAAGCAAAGAAGTTCTTGAAGGAAATTGAAAAATACCACTCCAGTGAACACATGAGTGGTAAGAAAGCGAATAGCCTTCTTGCTCATATAGAGAAAGTTTTAGTGGTCTGGACAGAAGGTTCAAACCAGCCACAACATTCCCTTAAACCAAAGCCTAATCTCAAGCAAGCGCCAAACTCTCCTTATTTCTATGAAGGCTGAGAGAGGTGAGGAAGCTGAAGGAGAAAAGTCAGATGCTAGGAGAGGTTGGTGCATGAGGTTTAAAGGAGAGAAGCCATCTCCATAACATCAAAGTAAAAGGTGAAGCAGCAAATGATGTAGAAGCTGCATCAAGTTACCCAGACCTAGCTAATGCCATTGATCACAGTGGCTACACTAAATAACAGATTTCAATGTGGAGGAAACAGCCTTACATTGGAAGAGATGTCACCTAGGACTTTCATAGTTAGAGTGGAGAAGTCAGTGCCTAGCTTCAAAGGACAGGTTGACTCTACTCTTAGGGCTAATGCAGCTGGCGACTTTAAATTAAAGCCAGTGCTCATTTAGCATTTCAAAAATCCTAGGGCTCTTAAGAATTATGCTCACTGGTTTCAAAGAACTTCTTGACTACTGCCTTAATTTCATTATTTGCCCAGGAGTTATTCAGGAGCAGGTTGTTCAGTTTCCATGTAGTTGTGTGGTTTTGAATGAGTTTCTTAATCTTGAGTTCCAGTTTGACTGTGATGTGGTCTGAGAGACTGTTATGATTTCAGTTCATTTGCATTTGCTGAGGAGTGTTTTACTTCCAATTATGTGATTGATTTTAGAGTAAGTTGTCTTGTGGCACCAAGAAGAATGTATATTCTATTGTTTTTGGGTGGAGAGTTCTGCAGATACCTATCAGGTTCACTTGACCTAGAGCTGAGTTCAGGTCCTGAATATCCTTGTTAATTTTCTGTCTTGATTATCTGCCTAATATTGACAGTAGGGTGTTTAAGTCTACCACTGTTATTGTGTCTAAGTCTCTTGGTAGGTCTCTAAGAACTTGTTCTATGAATCTGGCTGTTCATGTATTGGGTGCATATATATTTAGGATAGTTAGCCCTTCTTGTTGAATTAATCCCTTTACCATTATGTAATGTCCTTCTTTGTCTCTTTTGATCTTTGTTGGTTTAAAATCTGTTTTGTCAGAAACTAGGATTGCAACCCCTGCTTTTTTCCGCTTTCTATTTTCTTGGTAAATTATCCTCCATCCCTTTATTTTGAGCCTTTGTGTATCTTTGCACATGAGATGAGTCCCTTGAATACAGCACACTGATGTGTCTTGATTCTTTATCCAGCTTGCCATTCTGTGTCTTTTAATTGGGGCATTTAACTCATTTACATTTAAAGTTAATATTGTTATGTGTAAATTTGATCCTGTCATCATGATGCTAGCTGGTTATTTTGCAGACTTGTTGATGCAGTTGCTATATAGTGTCCTTGGTCTTTATATTTTGGTATGGTTTTGCAGTGGTTTGTAATGGTTTCTCCTTTACATAGTGCTTCCTTCAGGAGCTCTTGCAAGGCAGGCCTGGTGGTGACTAATTCCCTCATCATTTGCTTGTTTAAAAAGGATTTTATTTCTCCTTTGCTTATGAAGTTTAGTTTGGCTGCTTTGAAATTCTGGGTTTGAAATTCTTTTTTTTTTTTAAGAATGTTGAATCTTGGCCCCCAATCTCTTCTAGCTTGTAGGGTTTCTTCTGAAAGGTCTGCTGTTAATCTGATGGACATGAACAGACACTTCTCAAAAGTAGACATACATACAGCCAACAGACACATGAGAAAAAGCTCAACATCATTGATCATTACAGAAATGCAAATCAAAACCACAATGAGATACCATCTCATGCCGGTCAGAATTGCGATTATTAAAAGGTCAAGAAACAACAGATACTGTTGAGGCTGTGGAGAAATAGGAACGCTTTTACACTGTGGCTGGGAATGTAAATTAGTTCAACCATTGTGGAAGACAGTGTGGCAATTCCTCAAAGACCTAGAACCAGAAATACCATTTGACTCAGCAATCCCATTACTGGGTATATGCCCAAAGGAATATAAATCATTCTATTATAAAAATACATGCACATGTATGTTCATTGCAGCACTATTCACAATAGCAAAGGCATGGAATCAACCCAAATGCCCACCAATGATAGACTGCATAAAGAAAATATGGTACATATACACCATGGAACACTATGCAGTCATAAAAAAAATGAGATTATATTCTTTGCAGGGACATGGATGGAGCTGGAAGCCATTATTCTCAGCAAACTAACTCAGGAACAGAAAACGAAACACCACATGTTCTCACTTATAAGTGGGAGCTGAACAATGAGAACACATGGACAAAGGGAGGGGAACAACACACACTGGGGCCCATTCAGGGGGTGCTAGGGGAGGGAGAGCATCAGGATAAATAGCTAATGCATGTGGGGCTTAAGTCCTAGGTGATGAGTTGATAGGTGCAACAAACCACCAGGACACACATTTATCTATGTGACAAACCTGCATGTCCTGCACGTGTATCCAACAACTTAAAATTAAATTAAATTAAATATGCTAAATCTACTCTCTTTGTGCTCTATAAATGGAACAACAAAGCCTGTATTACCGTATTTCTGTCTGCAGCATGATATACTGAATATTTTAAGCCCACTATTGAGACCTACTGCTTAGGAAAAAGAGATTTATTTCAAAATATTACTGCTCATTGACAACGCACCTGATCACTCAAGAACTCTGATGAAGGTATACAAGAAGATGAATGTTTCTCTCATGCCTGCAAAAACAACATTCATTCTGCAATCAATGGATCTAGGAGTCATTTTGACTTTCAAGTCATACTATTTAAGAAACACATTTCATACAGCTGTAGCTGCTATAGATAGTGATTTCTCTAAAGGATCTGGGCAAAGTAAATTTTAAAACTTCTGGAAAGTATTTACTACTCTAGATACAATTAAGAACATTTATGACTCTCAGGAAGAGGTCAAGATATCAACATTTACCGGCATTTGGAAGAAGTTGATGCTAACCCTCATGATGACTTTGAAAGTTTCAAGGTTGCAGTAGAGGAAGTAACTGCAGAAGTGGCTGAATTGCTGCAATTTCATGATAAAACTTGAAGAGATGAGGAGCTACTTCTTATGGGAGCCAAGAAAGTGATTTCTTGAAATGGAATCTACATCTGATGAAGACGCTGTGAACATTGTTGAAATAGCAGCAAAGGTTTTAGAATATAATATAAACTTACTTGATAAAGCAGTGGCAGGGCTTGAGAGAACTGACTTCTATTTTGAAAGAAGATATACTGAGGGAAAAATGTTATCAAACAGCACCACATGCTACAGAGAAATCTTTCATGAAAGGAAGAGTCAATGGATGTGGCAAACTTCATTGTTGTATTATTTTAAGAAATTGACATAGCCACCCCAACCTTCACAACCCCCACTCTGATCAGTCATCAGCTACCACCATTTAGGCAAGACCCTCTGTCAGCAAAAAGAGTACAAGTTGCTGAAGGCTCAGGTGATCGTTAGCATTTTCTAGTATAAAGTATTTTTAACTAAAGTGTGTACACTTTTTAGTTACAATGCCATTACACACCTAATAGACTGCAGGATAGTGCAATGTAAACATAACTTTTATATTCACTGAGAAACAAAAAAATTCATGTGAGTTACTGTATTACAATATTTGCTTTATTGCAGTGGTCTGAAACTGTACCTGCTATATCTTTGAGGTATGCCTGTGTGTATGTGTATATATATGTATGTATACACACACACAAACACACACACACACACACACACACACAGAGAGAGAGAGAGAACAGAGATTATTTTAAGAATGGCGTGAACCCAGGAGGCAGAGCTTGCAGTGAGCCGAGATCGTGCCACTGCACTCCAGCCTGGGTGACTGAGTAAGACTCTGTCTCAAAAAAAAAAAAAAAAGAATTGGTTCATTTGGTCATGGAAGTTGGTGAGTCCAAAACGTGCAGGATGGTCCAGCAGACTGAAGACCCAAGGAGTGGATTTTGCAACTCAAATCCGAAGGCTATCAACTGGCAGATTTCCCTCTTCCTTTGAGAACATCAGTTGTTTTTGTTATTGTTGCTCTTAAGGCCTTCAATTCTTTGAGTGAGGCCCATCCACATTATGGAGGGTACTCTATTTTACTCATTTACTGATTAATCTCATCTAAAAAATAGTTTCACGGCAATATAGATATGTTTGACCAAATATCCAAGTACCATGGGCTAGCCAAGCTGACATATAAAGTTAATCATCATACTCTCTGTGTAGTGTCTCATCATTTAGCCCAAAGAAGCTTGGGCTTCTTTACAGCATAGCAGCTGGCTTCCCAGGGAGAGCAAGTGGGTCTGTCAGACCTGAGCTCAGGAGTCCCGGGATATCATTACTGTTGCATTCTATTGGTGAAAGAAAGTCACAGGTCTAGCTCATAGCTAAGGGGAAGAAAACTACAACCTACTTCATGGTGTGAGGAATAGCATATGTGGGCAGGGATGAGGGGAATAGTTGGAGACTAGCTATCACAATCTTCCCTCTGGCCACAGCACTTCTTGTCCCTTTTCAGAAAGTCTCATCACATTACAGTGCTGGGCCCAGCTTCAAGGTCCAAAATCACATAATCTAAATTGGGTATATTTAAAGTTGATGTTCCCTCTTTATCTAGATACTTGTACCTAAAATGATACCTTCTGTGTAATCCCCCTTCCCTGCAACATACATTGATGAGACAGGGATTGTTGTATCGCTAGCAAGAAAGTCAGCCATTCAAAAGGAGGGAAATGAGAGGCACATAGCAATCGGTGCTTCATAAAAATTCTGAGATCCAGCTGGGAACATGTTACCAATTCCCTCAAATCTAGGTTTCCTGAAAAGGATCCTGTTCTCTGGATGTGGATTTCTATTCCATTGTTTTCAGTGCCTGTTGACTCTCTCCTCTAAGTTAACCTTCCTTTTCTGTAAGAAATGGCCCTCATTCGCAAACGGAGTCACTTTGTGAGACTATTTATTCCATTAAAGGTTTGGAGGCCTAAAATCTTCTTTTCATTTTGTCCTGTCACTCTCCCTTTTCTTCCAAGGTGGCACAGCTTCTTTTTAAACTTTGTAATTTTCTAATGTATCCAGTTATATTCCATTCCATTGGGCGAAAGCTATTTCCCCAAGTCTCTTTAAGACAGACACTTTTCTTCTTTAGACTGAGAGTCAGAATCCTGTGCAGTAACGTTTTTAAGAGTTTAATCACCCTTGTCTCCTAGCAGAGTGGAACTTATAAGGGTTTTAAGAGGTATCTTACTACCACATTCTTGACTTGATATTTACCCTGAGGCCACATTGTACTAGCAGTACTTGATTTGATCAGAGACCATTTTTTACTCTGAAAACCTTCTGCCATCTGGAGGGGTTGAGAATGAGAAATAATATTATTTTCTAAGCCAGCAAGTCCTGAGTTGGACTTTGTGGATTAAAATAACAGTTTCCTATTTCTGATGGGTAGGATTTTCCTGAGTATGTCTTCTGCTCCATGTGGTATTGATTAGGTAGGTCACTTACGTGGCTACATTTAGTCAATAGCTGGTCTGGGCTGGATGGTCCAAGAAAGTTTCAGTCATATACCTGGCACCTCTGAGCTTTTCCATATGGCCTCTATGTGGAATCATCTTGGGCTTCCTAATAGTATGGCTGATTCAGACTGGTCAGACTTTTTTTTTTTTTTTTTTTTTTTAAGGTGGAGTCTTGCTCTGTTGCCAGGCTGGAGTGCAGTGGCATGATCTCGGCTCACGGCAACCTCCGCCTCCTGGGTTCAAGCAATTCTCCTGCCTCAGCCTCCTGAGTAGCTGGGACTACAGGTGTGCACCACCATGCCCAGCTAATTTTTGTATTTTTTAGCAGAGATGGGGTTTCACCATGTTGGCCAGGATGGTCTCGGTCTCTTGCAGGCTGGTCAGATTTTTTATATGGAGGCTGACTCCAAGGGAAGGTGTTTTAAAGGAACAGGCCTGCCCAATGTGCAAGCACTTATCTAGCATTTGCTTGCATAATTTTTCTAATGTGCCAAAGTAAGTCATATGGCAAGGCCAGGATCAACATGGGAGAAACTACATGAAGTGGCAGTGCCAAGAGGTAGCATTTATTATGGGTCACCCATATAACAATCTCTCACACAGAGTAGTTTGGTAGCTGGACAGAAATAAATTTGTCAACTTCTTGTACCTTTTACTAGTAGTATAACTTAGGGCAAATTGCTGTGCTTCTGGGATTCTTATTTGCTGCTTGTAAAATAGAAAACATGACACAGATGCTACTAGATCTTTGTGACAACTGTACACACATATGCATACACACACACACGAGGTACTCACAGTGGTACTTAACAATGGCTACTATGTTTTAATGGTGTACTTGGCAGACCAGCAGTTAGGTTTTGAATGGACTAACTGTGGTTTTATCATATCAGGACCAGGTTGTAATCAGAAATCAGCGCTTGCATAGCTCAAGGTGATTAAAGGTAAAAAGGTTAAAAGTTGAGAAGAAAGGTTGGTGTTAGATACTATTAGTTCTTGGCCAAAAGCTGTTGGCCTTGGGAGAGGTGGAAGTTTGAGATCAGGGATCACAGTTATATGAGAACACACAGTGATGGTGAAGTTTGGAACCAGAAAATAAGTCAGGATTATACGGGGTCCAAAAAAGCGGAGTCAGGGCACTCATGAATCTAAACCAGATATAGAAGCTTATGGAGTCAGAGAGCAGAAATCAGGGACACAGGCAAGAAATCCAGGAAAACAAGAATTAGATATACCCAGTATGTTGAGACAAATAGCTATGGGGCGCAGAGGCAAGAGAAAAATTTGGTAGTTTGGAGCCATTGTCTCCAAACATAATTATAGCCAAAAGTAAAACTTGTTCACAGCATGTGGGCAGATCTTGAGCCATAGGTGGAAAAAGACATCTGGTTAGAATACGATGGCAGCAAATTGGTAGCTCCTGACATGCATCAGAACCCCTTTAAATTTTCATGGGATTCAGGTTGTTCCTTCAATTATTTCAATGATCTAATCTTTAACTTCTTGAGAATATGATGTTTTCCTAAAAAGGGGACTCCCACACAGAAACTGTCAGGCTATGAAGCTGTCGATGGCATTTGTAGTACTCACACAGTTCAAAAAAATGATGCTATCTCTGCCATCTTTTGTTCCATCTGTAGAATAGTCCATTTTTTTTGGTTATAGCAGTCGTCTTCCTTGAATGGTTCCTACCCAGAGGGAAATCGGAATTGCCGGTACTCCTATGTCTCAGTTGCAGAAGTCAGGATTTTTTCTGAATCATTCTGAGCATCTTATCTTTCCTCATGCTGATTATTATTTCAGTCTGAAAGCTTATGCTCTCTTATAAAGTCACATTGTACTTTCGTTTTCCATTGAAAATTCTGAATAGAATAAAATGAAATCATTTAAAGTCATGTTTAAGAAAAGTAGAGTTTCTTGATTAAAAAGGAGAAATTTAGAGTGGCATTCAAAAGAAATACATTAAAAGGAAAAAGTAGCATGCACTCATGCAGTTCTTGTTGGGAGGATAGTTTCTTTTCCTTCTCATTCGGCCCATTAAAAAGTTCAATTAATTTCTTTTAAAGATTTCAATTATGAATGTATCTTAGGCATTGATAGGGAGTAATTTTTAGATCTGACTTATTTTTATATATTATTGTTCATTTTTATAGCTTTTCTGAGATTCTTGGCAGTGAGTCAGCACACAGCATTTCTACCTATAGTCCAATTTATATGAGTCCTACTTTCATGCACCACTGTGATAGTGATGTCTCGGTTAGTGGCTGTCATGGTCAGTAGCCTGAAGATCTATAGCATCTACATATTTAGAATGGATTTTTAATGTCTATGAGAGCCTTTATTTCTCCACTACCCGGTTCCTTTGTGGATCCTGAGTCTGAGGAGAACATAACTGTCAATTAGAACCACTTTTTAAGAATTGCTGTAATTAAGATTTTTGATGACCGAGTTATTAATTAGGAAACAGGGTCTCCATATTTTGCTCTGCTGCTTCTTTATGTCCTAGAGCAAGGGTCAGCATACTTTTACTGTAAATGGCCTGGTAGTAAATATTTCCAGCTTTGTGGGCCACATCATTTCTGCTACAAATACTAAACTGCCATGTGGTACAACAGCAGAAAAGGACCTATGCATAGACTGCTGTTTTTAATGTCAATATAGTATCAGTAGAAAAGACAGGGCTTAATAAAAACTTTGTGTAATATGGTCTCTTTGGCATAAAATTAAGAAATGTATAGAAGTAAACGTTGTTACAAAAACTTTTGCAAATGTGTGTCGCTTTTCCCAGCACTCACGAATAACAGTCATTTTTAACCAGACTTCTCGTTTTTGCCAAGTATTATTTGTTCTCATCTAGTAACAGTCTAGGACAGGTGTCAGCAAACTACTGCCACAGGCTAAATCCTGCACCTTGTCTTTTCCTCTCATGCCACATAGATATTCAAATGAGGAATCTATGCATAGGTCTTTGACCCACCCATCAGCAGAACATGCCCTTTCTGGAGCTCCATTTCTCACTCTCAATAGTGCTGACCACTTAGGAGGAGCTGTCCATGTTCTTTTGTTTGAAATTCTCTATGAAAAATGACATCTTTTCTGAAGTGATTGCTGGAACTAATGGGGCCTTTTGTGTTTGCAGACCTGTTTTCCTCAGTGAAGCTGGCAGGGACTGGTAAGGAATCAGAATTACAATCTTGTCTTTATTAGCACTGTGTTTGCATCAGTCCTCTCCTGAGAAACAGTGCAGGTTGAGATAAATTTCTCCTGTGAAGTGATACAATTCATTTTCATCTCACATATGCATGGCCTTTGTGCCATGCAGAACACACTTTTTACTGTTGTTGATGTAAGTGAGAAGTTATTAAGAGGTTTTAGTTTGAGTTTATTTTAGATAATACCAATAACTGAATGCTTTACTAGTGTTTACTACAAAGGTTTAAAAAATCATTACTACCTATAAAATTGAGTAAAATAAAAATGATTTAGAACTAAAGATAATCTCAAAATTGCACATTAGATAGCTATCCTATGTTGTAGAAGATATTCAGTCTGCATCATAATATTTGAAACAAATACAACATTTCACCATAAGACAAGAGCAAAATGCACAAAGAATCGAGTGTTCCATGCAATAGGCTTTATGAACACAAAGCCTGTGGCCAAAATGAGGCAAGAGGAAGTATGAGGGGTACACAGATGTCATGTGCAGTACCACATACCACCCCTGGGGAGTGATAAACTTTTTTGTGTATTTGCATTTGACTGATTTTTACTTTGTGAAAACATAATGTGCTGGGGAAAATCACATCTGAATCCACAAAATGTCCATGGTATATTGACATGTACCCCTAATTTATCAATTTTGTATGAATGTATTTGCATTAGAGAAACATGTTTCAGAATACATTGTGCTTTGCAAGTGTTTGCACTGTTGCAAACTATGTGCTTTATCTCACTGAATCTTCACAATTACTGCATGCGGTGGGCACTATTTTCATGCCTGTTCTACAAATGAGTAGACATATAAAAGTTAAATAACTTGCCAGTGGCTTTGAGGAAATACGTAACAGTATATTAGAGATGGGATTGAGTTATTCTAATTTTCAGGAAGAAGAGGAAAGTGAATTCTCCCCACTTATGTCCTTAGGGAGTAGGACATTAATTGTATTTCTTTTAGTTCTTTTTGCAAATGTTACTTTCACAGAGGCTTCTCATGGATCCCTATCTAAAATTACTCCCCATTCTATAGACTTTTGTTTAAAAAAAATAGAGGCCACAATGTACATACTCCAAGACCAACTGCCATTAGCCACATAACCAAAATTTAAATTATCTCAATTTTCTCCAAAATACTAGGTCTAACCATAAACAAAACGTGAAATGTGAGCTTTTCATCCTTGTCAACATGACTCAGTAAAATTAAACCAATCAGCTGCAGACAAATCAGCTTAAACAGTTTTACTTGTCCTAAAAGGAATATAAGTTTATGATAGCCAACCACAGCGAAGACAGATGCAGTTCCTTAATTATGCTTTATAAGCTGCATTTTAAATGCTGTGAACAGAGCTTCTTACCACTTTTGATTTGAGGTCCCTGGTTTGCAAACTGTCCTTTTGTATGCTCAATAAACTTTAAAAAATTTTTCTAACTTGATCTGATTTTAACACATTCTATCTACTTTAGTGCTTTTTATATCCTAAACACATGACGCTAACATTCTATATAGCTCACTTGTTTATACTGTTTATTTTCTCTTCCCCTACACTAGTGAAATTCTATGAAGGCAGGAATGTTTGTCATTGTCACACTACTGTATTTCCAGTGCCTAATATAGGCACTCGATAAATAATTATTGAATGAATGAATCAATCAATTGATTAATCTTAGGAAAAGTTCTTCAATGGATCTTAAAAAAAAATCTTGTGAGCCTTTAGAAAGGAAAGTGATGATCACCTGGAGCTTGTATTAGGTCACTAATAGTAAAGCATATCAGATTAAATAACTTACTTTTCCCATAAGACCAGTGTATCTGAGGAGTGCTGCTCCCCCTGTCTATCTGAATTTCAACGTTTGATAAAAACCTTCCATGATGAACTTATGCTTAAGATGTAGGAAGGCAGTTGATGATACTGTTAGGCAGAGTAACAGCTGAATGCCTGTATTCATGAATCAATGTTTAGAGAGAGACCTCTAGTAATTGGCTGAAGGATTTGGTCTTCACATTTCCTGTTCACCATTTTCATTGTTAATTTTGAGGGTGGTATTAATGGCATAAGGAGCTAATCCACAGATGAAATAAAAATGGCAGGAACCACTAATATGGCTGTTAACAAAATCAGCATACAAAATTACTTGACAGACTAAATGGGAGAGGTAAATATAATAAGACAAAATACTAAAATGAAAATATAAAGTCTAAAACACCAGAGAGAAGTAGGAACTAATGTTGTTTGAGGAGCAATAGGAGCAAAGGTGAGACATAGTTTAATAACAACTGTAGGTTTAGGTGGTAGTTACAGAAGCATAAATCAATAATATGACATTATTTCCCCCAAATATTCATTCATTCTTGGGTTTCATGAATAGAACTGGGTTTAGAATAGAAAAGGTAATGATTTGGCTGTAAATTTATGTTGCTTCTCCCATAGCTAGAGCTATGACCCCAATCCTGGGCAATTCACTTTAAGAACTTTGAGAAGTAGTGTACACCTAAAACTTGCAATCCTCATGGAAAGATGAGTCCAAACTGTGTCACGTGAAGAATACCTAAAGCTGTGGTTCCAAACTTATGGCCTTCAGATGTGTTCTAAATGGCCCATATGGGGTTTTTAGAAATTTGAATTTGCGGCAGATGTTTCAAAATTAGTAGATGTCTCATTAAATATAGATTTCTGGGATTTACTCTTGCTACTGTGAGGGTGTGTGATCCTGTGTTTGTGTTCCTCTCAGACCACTTTACTCATTTACTTTAAATTTCTGGTGCCTATAGCAATCGGGGTGCTAACACCCGGGGGGATAAAAAAGGACTGGGGAATTCATGGCCTGTAAAACAAGGTTGGGGTTGGAGAGATATAAATATATCTGGAGAGCTTTCATAGGGCAGAGCAATTAGACCCAATCTTTGTGTCCCCAAAATGTTAAACACTGGTATTAATAATAAGAAAACATATTTCCATTAACCATATAGAATAACTATCTTATAGTGACTTGAGACTGGCTATTTTATTCATCTTTTGTTCATCAGTACCGAGAAGAGTTTCTGACAATGTTTGTACTCAGCCACTCTTAACTGAATAAATGTGGCAAAACAGGTTGCGAGTGGTGAATTCCATTCCAGGAGCAGCTAGAATATATGCTCTTTGAGAGCAGAGATCTTTGTCAATTTTGTTTACAGCTATATCAGAGCACCTAAATCAGTGCCTGCCATGTAGTAGGAGCTAATTAAATATTTGTAGATTTCATAATTGGAGATATTCAAACATAGAATCATGGTCTACTTGTCAGTGCTGTAGGAAAAAGTAATTAACAATATAAGTAGAGGGTCATGAAACAAGGGAAATACTGAAGTAGATGACATTTAAAGTTACTGCCAACCCTGAAAGCCTATCAGACAGTGACATAGAATGGGATTATGTATTTTACATTAAATATTAAGCATAGTAAAGTTAAAGTAGTGTAGGTATGTGTGGTAACAAAACTGAGAAAGCAGTTTGCCAGTTATTTATTTATGGTATGGACAGGAAATTATTGGCTAGATTTTTAAATGAAAATATCCAATAGTTGAGATTTTTCTGATATTTAACTATATCTTATATCTTATGTCCATATTGATGACAGTGATTATTCCATTTTCAATCGTTTTGTGTCATCTAAGCAGCAGTTAATCATTCCTACGTGATGCAAATATACTTTTATTCCCTGGTATTTGTAATTTAACTTACAAAACACACGTTGCCTTGAGGTTTGGCATGATTTGTTATTCTATCCTTCAAGAAGACCCATGATAACAAATCAAATCATTGAGAACTGATTTCAGTTTTCATTGTTTGGGGTGGTAACTGAAGGTGACGTTTTGAAAAATCATACTATAACTAACCTAGAAAATAATGTTCAGAGGCCAACATGTGGCAAAGGAACACATAGTTAAGTATATAGTTTTTAATAGAAATTCTATGCACCTTTTATTGTGAAGGTCTAGCATTTTAATATTTTCAAAATCCAGAAAGATGAAAAATTTCTTTATAAACTTGAAGGGAAAATAAAAAGTCTAAAGCCCTGAATTTGAGTTCTAGAAATGAATGTATTTAAAATGCAGTCCTGAGGTGCTGTATGCTAACTATGTAAAGCAATAGCTTATTAAATTCTTGGAAACTTGCTGTTTATTTGAAATTGGATATGGTAATAGATTTTTGTTAAATGTTATTTTATAAGGGATAACATTTTCTCCTGCTTAGTTTCAGGAAAAAAGAAAAGAAGCACTTAATTTTTAAAAGGTTAATGGATACTTAATGGTTGGATTAGACCTATGCATCATCATGTTTACAGCACAGAACAATGGGAAAAATTTCTATTATGGAGCAGTGCCACATAACCTTAATATCCTGTATCATCATTATCATCATTATTATGTGTTGAGTATACAAGCGTCTATCTCTGAGGAATACTTAGCAATTTATGAATTTGTTTTAATTAGTTTTCTCAGCCTTCTCATAGGGCATGGGGGACATATTGCTTAACCCTAGTTTTAGAGCCAGCCTTAGGTAAAATGGTGATGCAAACACTGTTTTACTTTGGTGACTCTTCTGCTTGCAGGGATACCTCCTTTTTGCACAGCACCTTATTTCTCCTTCTGTAAACTAAAGGAGAAAATTATTATACATTTTTATACTTAAAAATACGTAGTTGAGAATTTCAAATATATGCAAAAGTACAGAGAATAGTAATTGGTTGGCGCGAAAGTAATTGTGTTTTTTTGCCATTTAATGGCAAAAACCACAATTGCTTTCGCCCAACCTAATATAATGCATCTTAAATACTCATCACCCAGTTTTAACAATTCTCGATATACAACTAGTTCTTGTTTCATCTGTACCTTTACCCATATTTCCTTCCTCTACAATTATTTTCAAATTCAATACACAATATTTCTTCATCTGTAAGTCCTTTAGTATGTATCTAAAAATAGTCTTTTAAAAATTACCTCAATAACATTAAGATGCTTGTAAATTTTCCTAAAAAATTTCCTAATAATTTCTTATTATCAAATGTAGCTGATTTTTAAAACAATTTTATTAAATAATTTTAATTTTTGGTATGAAATGGTAGCAACTAAGGTTAACAGATCGAAATCATTATGTGTCTGAATTCTCTTTTACACTATAAATTTCCTCTTTCTATCCTTTCTCTCTGCACCCTTTTAAAAAAACTGGGTCATACATCTTACAGAGTTTCTCATAGGTTCAATTTTGCTGATTGTATCTCTATTGTGTTGTTCAACCTGTCCTTTGAATTTTCTATAATTATTAGTTAAATCTAAAGGCTTGATAAATGACTAATGTTTTATTATTTTGAGAGGATAAGCATATTTTGTTTTTTGTTTCCCCAGCTTTATTAAGGTATAAATAATAAATAAAAATTGTATATATTTGAGGTAGACATGTGATGACTTGATATAGGTATACATTGTATAATGATTACCACAATAAATTAATCAATGCATCCATCCCTATAAATGGTTACCTTATTCTATGTATGTATGTGTGTGTATATGTGTGTGTGTGTGTGGTAAGGATTAAGTATTAAGGATACTTAACATTTACTCTCTTAGCAAACTTAAACAATACAGTATTATTATCTATTGTCACCAAGCTGCAATATTAAATCCCCATAATGTATTTGTCTTATAACTGAAAGTTAGTATGCTGTGTCCAACATTACCCCATTTCTACCATGTCCCAGATTCTGGCAACCACCATTCTACTCTCTGTTCCTATGAGTTCAACTATGTTAGATTACACATATAAGCAAGATCATACAGCATCTGGCTGTCTGTGTCTGGTTTATTTCAGTTAGCATAATGTCCTCCAGGTTTATCCATGTTTTCTCAAATGGCAGGATTTGTTTTTCTTTTTACTGTTGAATAATATTCCATTGTATATACACCACAGTTTCTCTATTAATTCATTTGTCAATGGACACTTAGGTTGGTTCCATACCTTGGCTATTGTCAATAATGCTGCAATGAAGACGACAGTGCAGACATCTCTTCAGCATGCTCCTTTCATTTCCTTTGGATATATACCCAAACATTAGAGTGCTGGATCATATGGTATCTCTATTTTTAATTTTTTGAGGAATCTTCATACTGTTTTCCATAATGGAGTTACCAATTTACGTTTTCACCGCAGTGCTACAAGCGTTCCCAATTCTCCACATAGTCACCAACACTTTTTATGACCATCCTAATGGGTGTGAGAAGATACCGCATTGTGGTTTTGATGTACATTTCCCTGGTGATTAATGATGGTGAACACCATTTTATATACCTTTTGGCCATTTGTATGTCATCTTTGGAGAAATGTCTATTCAAGTCCCTTGCCTATTTTTAAAATGGGTTATTGGAGTGTTTGCTATTGAGTTGTAGGATTTTTTTGTGTATTTTGAACATATCAGGTACACTCAGCCCTTTGTATCTGTGGGTTATGCATCAAGGGATTCAATTATCTGAGAATCAAAAATATTTGAAAAAACATAATAAAACAATAAAAATAATTAAAAAGTAATATAGTATAATTATTTACATAGTGTTTACATAGTATTAGTATTATAAATAACATAGAGATGATTTAAAGTATGCAGGAGGATGTATGTAGGTTATATGCAAATACTATGCTATTTTATATGCAGGACTTGAGCATCTGAAGATTTTGGTTTCTGCAGAGGGTGGGAAAGGTTGAACCAATCCCCCATGGATACCAAGGTAAAACTATGTATGGTTTGCAAATATTTTCTATCATCCATATGTAGAAAATATTTCATTTTGCTGATTGTTTCCTTTGCTGTGCAAAAGCTTTTAAGTCTGATGTAGTCCCATTTATTTTTTATTTTGTTGCCTACACTTTTGGTATCATATTAAAATAATAATCACCAAGACCAGTGTCAAGAAGCTTTCCACCTGTTTTCTTCCAGGAGTTTTGTGGTTTAATGTTTTAATTTCTTTTAAGCACATTTTTGTATTGTATGTAATAAAATATGGATACAATTTCATTCTTTTGCATATGAACATCCAGTTTTCCCAGGAACATTTATTGAAGAGACTATTATTTCCCCATTGTATATTATTCATGCCCTTGTCAAAGACTAACTGATTATATATGCAGGGTTTATTTCTGGGATCTCTATTCTGTTCCATTGTTCTGTGTGTCTGTTTTTATGCCAGTACCTCACTGTTTTGATTACTATAGCTTTGTAATATAGTTTGGAATTAGGGAGTATGACGCTTCCAACTTTGTTCTTCTTCTTCTTCTTTTTTTTTTTTTTTTTTTTAGATGGAGTCTCGCTCTGTTGCCCAGGCTGGAGTGCAGTGGCATGATCTTGGCTCACTGCAACCTCTGCCTCCCAGGTTCAAGCAATTCTCTGCCTCAGCCTCTCTAGTAGCTGGGATTACAAGCACCTGCCACCACGTTCGGCTAATTTTTGTATTTTTAGTAGAGATAGGATTTCACCATCTTGGCCAGGCTGGTCTTGAACTCCTGACCTCATGATCCACCCACCTAGGCCTCCCAAAGTGCTGGGATTACAGGCGTGAGTCACCACGCCCAGCCATTCTTCTTTCTTAGGACTGCTTTGGGTATTCAGGGTCTTTTTTGGTTTCATATGAATTTTACAATGGTTTTCTCTATTTCTGTGAAAAATTCCATTGAAATTTTGATAAGGATTGCATTTAATATGTAGATCCCATATGGACATTTTAACAATATGAAATCTTTCAATCCATAAATATGGGATATATTTTCATTTTCATTAATGTCTTTAAGTGTAGAGATCTTTCACCTCCTTGGGTAAATTCATTCCTAAGTATTTTGTTCTTTTAGATATTATTAAATGGGATTGTTTTTCTTAATTTATTTTACAGATAGTTTATTGTTAGTATATAGAAGTGCAACTAGTTGCTGTATGTTGATTTTATATCTTGTAAATTTGCTGAATTATTTTCTTAATTATGACAGTTTTTTAGTGAAGTCTTTAGAGTTTTTTTTTAAATATAGAAAATGTCATCTGCAAATCTAATTTGGATGCCTTTTATTTCTTTTTCTTGCCTAATTGCTCTGGCTAGGGCTTTCATTACTGTGTTGAACACAAATGGCAAGAGTAAGCATTCTTGTTTTGTTTCAGATTTTAGAGAAGCAGCTTTCAGTTTTCCACCATTTAGTGTGATGTTAGCTGTGGGCTTCTCAAATATGGCGTTTATTGTCTTGAGGTTCATTCCTTCTATTCCTAATTTGTTGAGAGTTTTTGTCATGAAAGGATGTTGGATTTTGTCAAACACTGTTTCTGCCTCTATGGAGATGATTATAGATCATATGATCTTTATCTTTCATTGTGTTCATTCGGTATATTACATTTTTTGATTTGTGTATATTGGATCATACTTGCAAATCTAGGATAAATTCCACTTAATCATGGTGAATTATATTTTTAATGTATTGTCAAATTCAGTTTGCTAGTATTTTGTTTAGGACTTTTGCATTTATGTTCACCAGGGATACTGCCCTGTAATTTTTTTTCTTATAGGGTCCTTATCTGATTCTGGTCTGTTGGTAATGCTGGCCTCATAAAATGAATTTGGAAGTGTTCCCTTCTCTTCACTTTTTTTGGAAGAGTTTGAGAAGCATTTGTATTAATTCTTAAAATGCTTGCTACAATTCACCCTTGTTGCCACATGGTCCTGTGCTTTTCTTTGTTAGGAGTTTTTTTTTTTAATTATGGATTCAATCTTCTTACTTGCTATTGGTCTGTTGAGGTTCATGTAATATATTTCCCTATCCCTTTGCTTTCAGCCTATGTGTATCCTTAAGGCTTAAGTGAGTCTCTTATTGTCCCAATATGAGACAGCATTTTGTTGGATTTTTTTTAATTCATTCAGCCACTTTGTGTCTTTTGATTGAATAATTTAATCCATTTATATCCAAGATTATTATTTATAGGTAAGGAGTTATTACTGCCATTTAAAAAATTGCTTTCTGATGGGTTTGTGGTTCTTGTGCTTTTTTTTGTTGTTGCTGTCTTGTGATTTGTTGATATTTTGTAGTGGTGTGCTTTGATTCCTTGTTGTCTTTTCTGGATCTATTAGAG
Organism: Homo sapiens; assembly: GCF_000001405.40. Lineage (NCBI taxonomy): Eukaryota > Metazoa > Chordata > Mammalia > Primates > Hominidae > Homo > Homo sapiens. The sequence goes on along the minus strand of NC_000005.10, from coordinate 60,001,898 downwards.
TTTTTTTTTTTTTTTCCTTTGTAATTACTATGGGACTTTCAAAAAACATCTTGTAGCATCTTTTAATTATAATATTTTATTTTAAGCTGATGACAAGTTAATTTCAATCACATACAAAAACTCTACACTTTTACTTTCCCCCGTCATTTTGTGCTACTGATGTCATGCTTTGCATCTTTTTGTATTGCATATCCATTAACAAATTACTGTAACTATGGTTTATTTTTAATTATTTTACCTTTTAACTTTTATTCTAAATTTAGAAATAATTTATACATCACCATTACCACATGCAAGTATACAGAATTTAATTATGTATTTACCTTTTCCAGTGAGTTGTATACTTATATATGTATTTATGTTGTTATTTAGCAGCTTTTCATTCCAACTTGAAGAATCACATTAGTATTTCTTATAAGGCAGGTCTTGTGGTAATGAACATCCTCAGTTTTTGTTTGTCTGGGAATGTCTTTACCTCTCCATTTCTGAAGGCTAACTTTGCAGGGTACAGTATTCTTATTTGACAGGCTTTTTTCTTTCAATGTTTTGAATATATTATTCCATATTATTTATTTGTTATCCATGTAGGCTTGCATTGGTGTCTGTGAATTTGAAGAAGCAAACAGTCTTTCGGTCTTTACAGGCTGATTTTAACAACCTTCTCTTCCACCAATGGCAGACCTGTTATTAGGTATGCAGATAGGCGTGGTTCCCTCTGGGTTTCTGGAGGACTCCCCCTGGCTCTCTGAGTATGTCTATGGGTAGGGAGAACCGTCCCCAGATCAACATGAGAGAGCTTGGAACTAAGTCACTGCTGCTTCAGGGTCCACATCTGAGAGGACTTGCCTCCAGGGAGTTGGATGGGCATACATCTCTGGGGACAAGATTGACCTTGGGCCAAGTCTAAGTGGGAATGGAGCAAAGTTATAGGGCCATCTCAGAATCTGCTGTGGAACCAAGTTTGGCAAGCCTGTCTCCGAGAACATGGATGGGAATGAGTCCTGACAGGTCGCTAAGTGGAGACAGGACTGCTCTCAGGCCACAGTTTCAGTTTTAGGATATCATAGTTAGCAGACAGCTCTATACAAAACTCTACTCCTTTATATCTCTGCCCATTTATGTTATCAATGTCACATATTACAGCTTTTTATATTTTGCATTTGTTAACATAGTTTTATATTTATATTTTATAATTAAGTTCTATACCAGAGTTAAAAATAATTTATGCACCACCATTGCAATATTATACGATTTTTATTTGTCTAAATATTTACCTTTTCCTTTGTGTTGCTGTCTAGCATACTTTGTCTCAACTCAAAGGACTCCTTTTAGCAATTCTTGTAAGTCAAGTCTAGTGCTAAAGAACTACCTTAGCCATTGTTTATCTTTATTTCTCCTCCATTTTCAAAATACAGTTTTGCCAGAAAGAGTATGCTTGGTTGACAGACTTTTTCTTTCAGCACTTTGAATATATTGTCCCACTCCCTTCTGGCCTATAATGTTTCTCCTGAGAAATCTGCTAATGTCATTGAAGGTCGCTTGCACATGATGAGCCATTTTCTCTTCCTGCTTTCAGGATTCCCTTTTTGTCTTTGATATTTGACAGTTTGATTATAATTTATGTTGGTATGTTGGTTTTTCCACGTTTGAGTTTTATCAGTGTCTTGAATTTGGTTGTTCATTTCCTTCCTCAGATTTGGCAAGTATCTAGCCATTGTTTTTTTCAAATAAGCTTTCTGTCCTTCTCTCTTTCTATCATCTCCTTCTCAGATTTGCATTATGTGTATGTTGGAACACTTGATGGTGTCCCATATGTTTCTTAGTCTTTCTTCACTTTTCTTCATTCTTCTTTTTTTCCTCTTTGTATCTCTGGCTTCATAATTTTAAGTGGCCTCTCTTTGAGTTCATTTATTCTTTCTTCTGCTTGATGGAGTCATCTGTTGAAATGCTCTAGTGAACTTTTCAACTCAATTACTGTATTCATCTCCATGAATGTTTGTTTTCTTTTTGAAGTTTGTTGATATTCTCATTTTGTTCCTGCATCATTTTCCTAATTTCATTTAGTTTTCTGTCTGTGCTCTCTTCTAGCACATTGAACTTCTTTAATATTATTTTTAATTATTTGCCAAGTAACATAAATTTTTATTTCTTTCTGGTTGGTACCTGGAGGTGTATTTTGTTCCTTTGATTGTGTCATGTTTCCCTGTTTCTTTGTGTGCCTAGTTATTTTTTTCTGTGATTTGTGCATTTGAAAAAGCAGCCACCTCTTCAGTCCTTATAAATTGGCTTCATACAGGGGAAGACTTTTACCAATTAGCCCACATAGAGATTTTGGGAGCCTCTCCAGTTTTGTTTTGTTTTTTTTTTTTTTTACCACGGGATACATCTTCTTTGAATTTGTGTGTGTTCTTTCCCAGTTAGAGTGATTTGCTTCTTTTTCTTCCAAGAGCTTTTAATCTCCTTCTCCGTCTGGTGTCTGTCTGTACCACTGCAGGTTCTGTGGCATTGCAATAAGCCACTGAGTTACCTTTTGCTCTCTGCAGACCCCAGGCATCCAAAGTATGTAGATTCCATTAGTGCTCTGAATCAGGCAAGACAGAAACCAGTCTCTCAGACAACACTCTGAAAAACCAGAACATTGGACATACATTCCACTCTTCTCTTTCTCTCCTAAGGGAGAAGTCATAAGGTGTGATTTATTTTTCCTGATGACACCAAGCTGTGCTGGCTTGGAGGAAGGGCTGTCATGGTTGACGTGAAATGCCTTTTCTCATCTGTTTCAATGAGACTATTATTTTCTTTAAGTTTGCCTCAGGCACTGCAACTTCTTGACTGGTTTCTAGACTTTTCATAAAACTTTTTGGATCATATATTATTGCTAAGTTGGCGTCTCTGGTGGAGAATTAGCTCTCTCGCTGATGAAACTCTACAGAATACTTTTACAGTATTTAATATTGCTCTTATTTCATCTCACACGTACATAGTCACTTTCCTAACACTTATATAATTGTTCTCTTCCCAATAGCTAGTAGTGTTTCCTGTAACACATATTGACACATACTAAGTTCTTATATAAGAAAATATTTAAGGGAATTTTGTATTTTTCCACTAAACTTTCTGTTGATTATTTGAAGGTACCACACTTTTGGTTGTTATTGTGGCTTCATGGTAAAATTTTATATGTATTAGAGCAAGACCGTAACCATGTTATATTTTATAACATGGCCTAATTCCTCCAAAAAGTAAAATAAAAAACTAAAAAAGAGATGATTTTCTTGCAATAACATTAAACTTAGAAAATTATTCAAAGGAACATCAGTCTTGATTATATAAGTCTTGGAAAAGTTGTATAGATTTCTTAATCTAAGTTCTACTTATTTCTTTCTGAGCTTATTTTTAAACATTTTGGTTTTGTTTGTTTTTATAAATGAGATGTTGGTGTGGTAATTTTAACAACTGGTCTTTGATTTTATAAATAAAAGCCTTTTGCATATTTTACTTTAAAACTGGACAAACTTACCTGACTATTCTTATTTTCAATTATTTTTCAGTTGATTTTTCTGGGTTTCCTACATTAAACTAGGTTGTAATCAAATAAGGATAAAGTTGCCTTCACTTTTCTTATAGTTTTATGCCTCCTATTTCTATTCCTCACATTGGGTTACTGAATTTGTTAGAGGTTTTTGAAAAATGGGGGCAATGTTACATTTGGGCTAAAACTATGAACATTGATATCAGCTAAACCTGGTCTCAAAACTCTGAAGGATCCTCAGTTAGAACTGAGAGGTCTTAAAAGACGAGGTGGCTAGAGGGAGGTCTGCACACACATTGCCATGAGTCCTCAGACCACATGAGACATTCTTTTTTGTCTGAAGCAAGGCTGGAGCCAGGCCTAGATGGCCTGTGGAAAGCTCCCATGGAACCAGCCTGCTGTTCTCATTCCAGGCAAACTAACCTCTGTACAGTTGATAGTGTCACTATGGACAAACTAACCTGTTTAAGCTTCATTTCCAAATCTGTATCATGGGAATAGTAACAGTTTTTTGTACAGTTTTTATAAGAATCAAGTAGCTACCTATACAATATATGTAATACAATAAATATTACTAAGTTTCTATTATTATCCTGATCTTAAGCATGAACCTATGCTTTACCAGTAGCTATAATGTTAAATATAAGTTTAATATAAACATTCTTTTGATCCATAGTTTGTTTATCAAGGGGATATTTTGTAGTTATCTGAATATCAAAGCCAAAAGCAAAGCAACATTTCTGGCTCTCTGCATGTGGAAAGGGAACTTAGCTTTACTTTGTCTCCCCTTTCCTCCCACAGCCCAATATTTGTTAGTTTATTCTAGATTTACATACCCAGTTTATCATTATAAATATATCATCACTTAAATGATGGTTTTAGGTTTTTCTTTCATGTTTATACACATAGTTTTGATTGGTATTGGTATTTAAATAAAACTTGAGAATGAAGACAATAGATCCTTTGTATTTCTTTTAAGGTTGTGATTTGACCCCTGGTTCCTCAAGTGAGAAACTTTTCAAAACACTTGAGAGAGTAAACTGGCTGAGTTTTACCTATACTTACTGTAAGACATAATTTTTAGCTGCTAAAAAAACAATGTTAGTTTCTTTTCTACACTTGGGATTCTATTACTGTATGTAACTGTGAAGGAAATAATTGACAGAACTCATGTTTTTCCTTATTTTTTTTCCTTCCTCTACTAACAAAATAGAATTGACTTTATTTTTTAAAGTCAGCCAGGAAATGTACAATGCTATTTACAAAAGGTTAATTGAATCCTAGAGTTGCAGATCGAGTTTCTTGTTGATGAGAATATACAGTAGAATATTACTGAATGAGAGATTTTTCTATTCCTTTTTTGGAAACTTTTTGGAAGTTTTGATGACTGAGTTATAGGAAATTGGCTTTAGAAGGACTTCAGTGATTTCTGTCTCTTCTAATCAGTATGAAATCACAGCCTATATTTGGATTATGCTCTGTGAATGTTTGAAACCTATCTGTTATCTTTGTGTTAACCTGAGGTAGAAATTTTCATTTTTATATAGAATTAGTTTTGCAAGAGTATCTTTTCTATATACAAATATCCATTTGAAAATTGATTGTGTTAAGTCGATACAATGCCCTTTTCTATATTAAAGGACAGGATGTTTATTGCCTTGACTTGTTTGTTTCCTGTAAAGTTATTTGGGCAATAATAGCATTCAGTTTTAAGATAAAACATACATAATAAGTAATGAGACAAGAGGAAAAACATTTGGCATAAGGCTTAGAGAAATTTAAGGCTCATTTTCCATTATTGCTTTAGTGCATTATTAACAATTTCATGGGGACATGAAAGACTAATATATGGAGAAAATGTCTGCTATTGGCATATAATATGTTAAGATTGCAAATATGACTTTTAATCCACTGTGATAATAGCCTATTAAATTGTATCCTAGTCCTTGAAGAGTCACTAACATTATCTTGTTTATACTACAAAATTAGGTACAGGGAAACTTTACTTTTACAGAACTTAATGTTGCATCAAACTAACTGGACAGGAAAAAAAAGGAATGTGGCATTGGAAGTGATAAAACAAAACACATCCTCTGCCTATGACTGTCTTCTTCCTGGACCTATCTGACTATTTAACATGCTGACCTTTACAATGCTCTGCATAGTGTAGGCTCACTGAAAGCACTGAGTGTCTGAAATCCTTCATTCTTATTTAAAACAAAATAGGTGAAAATACTTAATCATGATGTCTATATATTTGAAAGAATATTTGAACATGGGGAGAGACCCAACCAGTTTGAGTGGCTGAAGTTTTGGAATTTTTATAGAAATTCCCTATTATGTGTTTCAACTTTATGCCTGACTTATAATAATAGTTACAAATACTACATTGCTAGTAACACCAATATCTAATACCATTTCCTCTTTCCTAATTTCTTGCAGTTGAAGAAATGGAGATGAGTATGTCTATATGCTTCACTCTTTCCTCAGCAAGATTTATTTAGCATATGTTTTGTTCCAGGCACTGGCTAAGTGCTAGGGGTACAAAAGTTGTTTTGTCTCCCTTCCTTCCAGATGTGTCCATGTGTCCAGGCTAACAGAGTGAGTAGTCACACAGGCAAATCATTCTCCTACAGTTGTCAGGCTGAAGGCTGACTTGGTGTCATAAATAAAAAGGCAGAAGATATTTGTATTCATTGTCTTGGATGATATTTTCAACTTGAGTAGGCAGATTGAAAAGAAAAATGCGGCCGGGTGCAGTGGCTCACACCTGTAATCCCAGCACTTTGGGAGGCCGAGGCGGTGGATCACCTGAGGTCAAGAGTTTGAGACCAGCCTGGCCAACATGATGAAACTCCGTCTCTACTAAAAATACAAAAAATTAGCTGGGTGTGGTGGCAGGTGCCTGTAATCCCAGCTACTTGGGAGGCTGAGGCAGAAGAATCACTTGAACTTGGAAGGCGAGGGTTGCAGTGAGCTGAGATCATGCCATTGCAATCCAGCCTGGGCAACAAGAGCAAAACTCCATCTCAAAAAAAAAAAAAAGAAAGAAAGAAAGAAAAGAAAAGAGAAATGGTTGAAGGATAGCAGCTTGGACAATGCCTAGGTTTTAAAGACAGTTAATTGAGGAGCCAGCAATGAGACTAAATGAAAATGACTGGAGAAGCAGATAGACAGAAAGCAAAAATAAATGTCCAATTTATGGGGTGATCTACATCTTTTTTTGTCTGCAACAGTCCAGGTGTTCTCTTTTTGTCGATGTCACAACTGGCTAGCACTTTCTTTCAACTTGCAAAAGTGTTATGTACTCCAGTAAACCCTAAGTTCTCTGTTACAGCTTTGATCATATACTGGTGATTATCTGTCTATTATATTTTTCCTCAAATGAACTGTAAGTGCTTAAGCAAAAGGAGGTGCCTAATTCATCTCTGCATTTTCAGTACCCGACACAAGCATCAAAGGTAGTAGGTGCTCAATAAATGATTAATTGGGAAATTAATAGGAATGGAAACACAATTAAGATAGGTTGAACTCCTTTAGAGATATACACATAAAATAGTACTACCTGTAACAAGAAAATGCTAAATTTTTGTGGATTACCCCAACAGAAGATTATCTGTGGCTCGTGTACCCCAAATTAAGTGTTTCTGATTGGCAAGTGTCTCTCATGTAAATAATGATTAAGAAACCATGGCTTCTTCCATCTTGTGACTCTACCATCTTCAACACATGGTGAGGGGCTACAGAGGGGAAGAGAAATAGGGGGTTGTACTCACAAAATTTTTATGTGGCAGGCCTGAAAGTGGCACATACACAGACCCATACACATTTCCTTAACTTATAATCAATGAGCATGTAATGTAACACTCACTGACATCTCTATAGCTACCTGTAAGGGAGTCTGGAGATGTGGTCTCACTGCATGCCAAGAAAGAAACATTCTTTCCTGCAATGCCTATATATGTATATGTATAAATATATATATGTATATACATGTTTACATATGTATGTATATATATATGTGTGTATACATATACTGTATGTGTGTATATGTATATATACACACACACACACATCTTAAGGGGATTTTCTTATAGAAATTTTATTTCTCCCCCCTCTCTATATATATATGAAATAAATATCAGAGACTGTGAGATTATTAAGAACCACAGAAATTTATTTAACCCTAGTAATGTGCATGCCTGTGTTTTAAAGGCCATTAAGTAGTTTATTGTCTACTTTTGAAAGAAAAAAAATTAAACAAAGAAATTAATTAAATATCTTGGATAAAAACTGAAACAAACAAAAAGGAAAATAATAATAATAAATTTAACATTCATCCATTGTAAGTGTCAATTATTATGGAATTGCTTACTTTAGGCATGTATTTCAGAAAGAATTTTATGCAGTAAAAAGCATAACATTAAAGTTATTTGTCTGTCAATTATTCCATATAAGTTGGCTAATTTTTGAATATAATTTTATTTTACTACAAGGTAGCAGGTTCATATTACAGTTATTTCAATATGTGAGCATTTCTTTTATTTTGATATTGCATATCTTGAAGCCGAATATATTTCTAAGTCCCATCAATAGCAAGGTGAATGTTGTATCATTTTATTATTATGACTTTTATTATACTTTTAAAATTGAAAAACAAGACATCTTTATTATAGGGAATACAGAAGCTCATAATTAATAAAGATACTAAAACAAAATTATTACCAATATTGCACAGGAGAGCCATTTTAGAGAATTAGGATACATCCTTAAACAATTGTTTTATGAATATAATATGTGACTTTTTTGTTTTGTTTTGATATTATTGTTTTATAAAAATGGGAGCACTCTATAATCTGTTCTTCCCACTCAACATTGTGTCATTAACATGATTACGTATTCTTCTACATTATTTTAACAGCCTCATAGTATTTCATCATATGATGTATCAACATTTACTAAGCCAATCCTTCAGTACAGCAATTAGATTACATCCAGTTATTTGCTATTATAAATGAGCTGCAGTGAACATCTTTGTGCCTGGATATTTGCCAAACAGTTTTATTAAACTATGTCTAAAATGTCAAAACCATTAGTTCTCAAACTTTAATATGCACTGGAATGATACTGGTGACTTATTCAGACTCATAAGCCCTACTCATAGAGATTGTGTTTAGGAAGATCTGGAATAAGACCCGGGAGTCTGAATTTTAGCAAGCACCATCTATGATTCTAATGCAGAGGGTTTGAATGTCACATTTTGAGAAATAATGACTTGGAGACATTAGAAATACTATCTTTTTTCCATCTTCTCCCTGCCATAATGCCATTTTCTAACAATAACATAAGATACTTATTGCTCTGGTGATTAGTTTTACATCTCTCTCCAAAATAAAGGCATTTAACCTCTTACCTTCTACCTGATAAGGTTGTTCTTTTTATTTCTGAACCATAACTGATACACATTGATCTAGAGTGTGAAAAAAGCCTCTTATACTGTTTTGGAATGGAAAATGTTAGAATATAGCCCTCTAGTGCTTTATCATTTTTATTGTAAAGATAAAAGTATTTATAGAAAGTGGGTTTAAACTAACAGAGTATAAGCATGAGTGTAAACTTCATTTTTAGTAGAGATAATTATCTCAAAAAAGTTACGTCTTGAGGCAGTTTTATCTAAAAAAGAATGTCAAAAACATTAAGTCATTCAACAGATAACCTCAGTTATATAAAGCATTTTTGCAATTGCAATGCTAACACCCAGAGTAGGCAGCTAAATGCTTATAAAAAGATGTTAACTTTGGCCAGCTATATTTAGTGCTACTGAAGCTTTGCTAGACTCATCCTTTGTTCTTCTTTTCTATGTTCATCCAGAAGAAGAGTATTTACACATGTATTAGTCAGGGTTCTCTAGAGGGACAGAACTAATAGGATACATGTATATGTGAAAGGGAGTTTGTTAAGGAGTATTGACTCACACGATCACAAGGTGAAGTCCCACAATAGGCGGTCTGTAAGCTGAGGAGCAAGGAAGCCAATTCGAGTCCCAAAACTTCAAAAGTAAGTAAAGTGGCAGTGCAAGGATCCAAAAACCCATCACTCTGTAGAAGCATGTTGTAACATTTGATGATTCTATAATTCTCATCACACTCAAAAGTAGGAAAGCTGTTTTCAGTCTGTGGCTCAAGGCCCAAGAGTCCCTGGAAAACCACTTGTGTAGGTCCAAGAGTCCACCTGTTTAAGAACAGGAGTCTGATGATCGAGAGCAGGAAACATCCAGCACAGAAGAAAGATGCAGGCCAGAAGACTCCGGCATTCCAGTCCTTCCATGTTTCTCTGCCTGCTTTTAACCCAGCTGTGCTTGCAGCTGATTAGATGGTGCCTACCCACATGGAGGGTGGGTCTGACTCTCCCTGTACACTGACTGAAATGTTAATCTTCTTTGGTAACACCCTCACAGACACACCCAGGAACAATACTTTGTATCCTTCAATCCAATCAAGTTGACACTCAGTATTAACCATCACAACACATAAGTCATTAACTTAATCATGACCTGTTTCCAATCCAGGAATGAAGTTCTGTTCTTAGAGGAACTTCCTAAGTACATAAGTACACAGAGGCTCACTTTCCCAATCTAAAAGCTAAGACTGTTCCAAGTGCATATGCTTTCTGTTTTTTTCTATATTTGTTATCTCACAGAAACATTGATTTGCCATTGGTTCTTGCAAAATCAGTATTTTATAACTGGAGGTGGTGTTAAGGTTTATTTTGTATAACCTTTTGATTTTATCCCTATGGAGACTAAAGACCAGCAAGGTTAAGACCAGCAGATCTGGAACAGGTTATTATAGAAATTTGTATATTATGTTGTTGCTAGCAAATGGAATTATTGCAAGGAGATGATGGAAAAGATAGTATTTCTGATATCTCCAAGCCATTGTTTTTCAAAATGTGTTGTTCAAACCCTCCGCATTGGGATCAGAGGTGGTGCATACTAAAATTCAGACTCCCAGGTCCTATTCCAGATCTGCTGGTCTTAGCCTTGCTTGTCTTTAGTCTCTGCAGACAAAAAATCAAGACATTATACAAAATAAACCTTAAGACCCCTTCCAGTTATGAAGTACTCTGATTTTGTAACAACCAATGGCACCTCTTAAGACCACCTGAGTAATTACTGGCAGAGCAGGGGATAAAATTTCTATCCTCTCATTTAATGACAGATTGTCATTCATTTCTAATGTTTATGTAGGGCTGCTCTCATCTCAGTTCTGTTTAATTTTTCAAATGAAAATGTGAAGCTTATTGAGTTATGATCAATTAGTGTGTGTTCTGTTATTTTCTACTAATACTCACTCTGCCAGTGACTATACTTGTTAAGGTAGTGCAGCATGGTGGCTTTTAGCTCCAGTTTTAACTAGAAGAGATTTGGGTTTGGATCCTGACATGTAGGGTGATCAATCATCCTGGTTTCCTTGGGACTGTGGGGTTTCCCTGGACATAGGACTTTGAGTGCTAAAATCAAAAGGTCCCAGGCGAAGTAAGATGATTAATCACCCCACTAGCCATGTGGCTCTGTCATGATAGGTCTCTGGGTTTTTTAATGGGTAAAATTGGAAAAGCAAGAAGAAGTAACTCATAGGATTTTAGTAAAAATTAAATGAGACAGTATATGTAAAACACGGCACTACTTAATAAAGACTCAGTAAGTATTAGTCATTATTATTGATGTTTTATAAAGCAAGTAGATTCCTCAAAGCACAGATTCTCAGAATTTAGGATTTGAAATAAATGAACTTTCTTTTTAGCTTTGACCTCTTTTTTTTTGTTTGTTTTTTAAATCTTCTCAGTACCCTTCTGTCGTCTTGTCTATACAACTGGACAATACAACCCAAGGTTGGATAGAGTCCACCATCTCACATCCTTTTACCTTTTTTCAAGATATAAATCAGGAAGACAAAAATTTTCTATTTGGGAATCAATGTGAAGAGTGAGCATCAAAGACAGCATAGAGCTATGGAGAAAGGGGAAATTAGCCTGGATTATAATAACAGCTGCCATTTTGTTGAGTGCAAACTCTTTGCCAGATATTGGTGCTTCAAATACTTTATATATTTGGTCCACACAATGACTCCGAGAGGTAAATATTATTATCTCAGTCTTCAGATGGAGAAACAACCTCAATGAGCCTAAGTGACTTGCCCAAAGATAGTTGTATAGTAAGGAGTGTAATAAATGAGGTCTGGATGTTCCAAGCTCGATGAATGTCCAACTTTCAGCCAGCTGGTTAATTTTGAGAAATATAAACTTCTTCACCTGTAAAACTCAGAAGGGAAGGAAATTGCCATATATGAGTGCTAATCCCAATGCAAGTAATGAACTATGCACATCATATGCATGATCTCATTTAATTCTTGTATGTAAATATTAGTCCCATTTTTATAATAAAGAAACAGAAGCCTTAGAGAGACTAAGCAACACACTATCAATACAAATAGTAAAGTGGCAGTGCAAAGATTCAAAAACCCAACACTCTATAGAAGCATGTTATAACATTTGGTGATTCTATAATTCTCAGTATGTGGATATAATAAATATTGCTAGAGTAGACTTTCCAGCCATTTGGAAATAATTATTGCTCATGTGATAGTATATTTTTCTCAACTAGAATCAAAATATTAACTTTTGACCTGGGTTTACCTTTGCATGTGGATAACATGGATCAAATTTGCAAAATTCTGCTGAGCTGTGACTTAAATACAGTTCTACTGGGTCCTCAAGTTTCTTTTAAAGTCTTTTTTTTCTTACTACCCTCTCAGTCTTATAAAAATTGGCAAGAGTATATCTGAGTAAATGTGACATATGAAAACATATGTTTCAAATATGGCCTTAAATATGCAGAAAAAATAGGACTTTTCTTCCTCTCTCTTCATGGGCATGCATGTAAGAAAGATATATATAAATATACAGTCATGTGCTATATAACATTTTAGTCAACTATGGACCATACATACCATGGTGGCCATAAGATTATAATACTGTATTTTTACTGTATCTTTCCTATGTTTAGATATACTTAGATACACAAATATTTCCCATTGTGTTATAATTGCCTACAGTATTTATTACAGTAACAATGTACCATCTAGGTTTGTTTAAATACACTGTGATGTTCACACAAGGAAATTTCCTAATGATGCATTTCTCAGAATGGATCATTATCAAGTGATGCATAACTGTATGTGTGTGTGTGTATATATATATATATATATATATATATATGACACATGCATATGTCAATGTATATATTTAATGATGTTTGCAATTCATTTCATAGAAGTTATAAAAACATTTTGATTTATCCTTGATTTTATAGAATTCACACACAAAGCTAATAAATTCTAAGATTACTGAAGATGTTAGTTAACTGTTTTAACCAAGCCACACCTGGTGAACAAATTTGCTATTTTAAAAATAAATTTAGATTTTAGTTAATCAAATATTGTTCAGTTAATGTCACTGTTTTCTAGATAGCATTTTTCATGTATACATTTTACTTAATTTCTTTCCCAGGAAAGTATTAAGCCATTATGTAATGATAAACAGTGTGATTTTTGTTGATTATATGTACTTTCTTGAATTATTACCTCAGGCCTCTGAGGAAACACTACATTCCAGTAATGAAGAGGAAGACCCTTTCCGCGGAATGGAACCCTATCTTGTCCGGAGACTTTCATGTCGCAATATTCAGCTTCCCCCTCTCGCCTTCAGACAGTTGGAACAAGCTGACTTGAAAAGTGAATCAGAGAACATTCAACGACCAACCAGCCTCCCCCTGAAGATTCTGCCGCTGATTGCTATCACTTCTGCAGAATCCAGTGGGTGAGTGCCCTCAGATGTCATTTCCCCATTTTATATTTTAGATGGTGATTGTTGTCTGTGGTCTTTTGAGTTTTTGTGGCTCATTGCTTGATTTGAGTGGGAGAACAATGGGGTTTCTAGAGTCAAAAAAAAAAGGATGAATTTCTCAGGTGACATTTCTATATCTGCAGGAGAAGACATTTTAGTGAAATTGTTTTACATGGAAGAGCTGAAAATGTATTGGTGAATGCTAATAAACATTTGCCAAAGGGCAGTTGTACTTGGAAAATTAATATTGGCCATATGTGACTTGATAGAAGACATTTTAACAAATGAGAACTAATGGACAAATTACCATGTAGTGATACATGTCTAGAAACAATAGGAAATGTTCACTGATGCAAAATGAATTTGGAATCAAGAATAAATTGTATTGTAATTAGAATCAAAAGAAATATGCAATGGTATTCATGAGTCTAAAAATTTTGCCTTTGACATTTTGAGGTATTGCTTACCAGAATACTATTTCAGCTCCCAGTATAAGGTGATTTTATTTAGCATTAGTACTTATAGAGGAGTCAGCCACAGCCACGTCTCCATCATGTAACATTTTTATTTCCTACTTTGCAGGGTATAATTTTTGTTTTTATTCTTTTTCGTGTTGTTTACCAATGGAGTTTTACACTTTAAAGCAATGTCACCAGTTTAAAAATTGTGAAAGAAAGTAAGGATATTGGGCACATCAATTATTTGTTCTTGTGACCAGCTGCATTTTTAAGAAGCCTGGATAGAAAGGAAAGAGGATGAAGCCAGTGGGCCATACATAGATAGACTCTTGAACATTTGCTAAAACTACAAGAACAAAACAATTACTATGCTACAAATGTGATGGTCCCACATTCTCTGCCAAGTTAAAGGCATCTCTGGGGAAAATGTCTTTTGGATCTTGTTAAAGTTAGGAAGGTTGTGCTCAGAGGAAATTTGGCTAGTAACTCAACTCAAAGATACTGAATTTAGCTGTTTTACTTGTTATTGACCAGTCTAAGGGACCTGTGTTAGAAAAAGGTATGAGGAAAATACTACTAGATAAATAATAAGAAAACAAATATTCACCTTGAAGCAATGAAAAGAGGAAATATATTTTGTTTCTGTTGTTGTAATTGAACTATGTGTTTAAAGAAGAATGCACACACATTGATCAGACTCATACTAAAGCAGATGGGAATTTTATATGACAGCTTGACCTGAACATTTTTTGAAAAATGCTGTTCCCCTGAAACTATTTCTCCTTTCTTTGGAAATAACATTGCTGCCGTTCATTCTGTGTAGAAGAGATTCACAGATATCAGGTGTATCCAGGGATCCCAAGATCACCCTCGGGTTCAATGATTTGCTAGCAGAGCTCTCATAATTCAGCAAATAGTCATATTCATGGCTCTGATGTGTTATAGCAAAAGGATTCAATGCAAAATAAGCAAAGGGAAAGGTAGATGGAACAAAATCTGGAGGAAACCAAACATAAGCTTCCAAGAGTCCCCAAGTGAAGTAAGACAAGATACACTTAATTCCTCCAGTAATGAGTTGAGACAACACTTGTGAAATGTGTTCACCAGGGATGCCTTTACCAGGGAAGCCTATTAAAGACTCAGTACCTAGAGTTTTTACTGGAGGCCAGTCACTTAGGTACCCTCTGCCTAGGATATACAAACTTCCAGATTTCCAGAAGGAAAGTGGATATGCAGCATAAACCACATTATTTGCACAGACAGTTTAGGCAAATTGAGCCAGTCTTACCATTTAGAGAATGGTGGATCACTCCTGAAAGTCAGGTCTGCTAAAGGCCAATGTTTCAAACAGGTCTTCCTATATTTAATTGACACAGTCCTGATTAACTGTTTACTACACACCAGGTTATCTTAGAATAGTTATCTTACTTTCTTCACACTTGTGGAAGAAGAGATTATAATTAAAATTAAAATGCACTAATTTAAAGCCCTGATATATTCAATTAGCTTTGGTATCTCAAAAATTTTGGTTGCTAACCATGATTTCTCATTTTGAGTTGGTGTTATATCATGTGCCCTTAAAATAAAATGATGCAATATACCTAATATATCTCTATGTAGTTGGATATTGTGTGTAATCTAAAATCTTGAGCTGGGCGCAGTGGCTCATGCCTGTAATCCCAGCACTTTGGGAGGCCGAGGCAGGGATTGATTGACCTCATGAATTTGAGGCAAGCCTGGGCAACATGGCAAGACCTTGTCTCTATCAAAAACACAAATAAATAACTGGGTGTAGTGGCATGCGCCTGTGGTCCCAGCTACTCAGCAGGCTGATGCAGGAGGATCGCTTCAGCCTGCTTGAAGGCAGAGGTTGCAGTGAGTCAAGATCCTGCCACTGCACCCTGGCCTGGGTGTCAGAGAGAGAATGTATTGCTAAAAACAGTTTCCAAGTGCCAAGGAACTTCAGGGTTCCGAATTGTCTATGTCCCAGCATTTCTGTTGATTCACATTCATTTCCATCTTCATTAAGATTTAAGAATCAAGTACAATTGACCCTTGAACAATACAGGTTTGAACTGCACAGGTTCCTTTATATGAGGATTCTTTTCAACCAAACACAAATGGAAAATATAGTATTCCTGGGATGTGAAACTCATGTATACAGATGGGCTGACTTTTCATATATGTGGGTTCCACAGGGCCAATTGCAAGAATTGAGTATGCATGAATTTTGGTACATGTGGTAGACCCGAAACCAATCCCCTACATATACCAAGGAATGACTATGTAAGCAATGTCATGCTTACTATTTACAAATTTATCCAATATTATGAAGAAAATAATTTTTCTTTTTGAAAGATGGAACAAGGGTTTCATTTCAAAAGAAACAATAGACAATAATGGCCAATCAACAAGAACCAAACTAAGTAGATATTAAAGGTATTGTTATTACATTTGGAAGCCAGAACAATTTGCGAATTGAATATTGAGGACTAGAAAATTCAGGAGTATAACTTTCTGGAATGTCGAAGCTTTGGAGGAGAAGTAGAAGGTAAAGTGCGGGGCCAGGTGCAGTGGCTCACGCCTGTAATCCCAGCACTTTGGGAGGCTGAGGCGGGCAGATCACAAGGTGAGGAGATCAAGACCATCCTGGCTAACACGGTGAAACCCAGTCTGTACGAAAAATACAAAAAAAAATTAGCCGGGCTTGGCAGTGTGTGCCTGCAGTCCCAGCTACTCAGGAGGCTGAGGCAAGAGGATGGCGTGAACCCGGGAGGCAGAGGTTGCAGTGAGCCGAGATTACGCCACTGCACTCCAGCCTGGGCGACAGAGTGAGACTCTGTCTCAAAATAAAAAACAAAAAACAAAAAACAAAAAACGAAAGGTGAAGTTCGGGCTTATATTCTGTAGCCATTTTAGTTAACCAGGAGCCCCAGATTCCTTTACAGCTGTCAGAAAGAGCTAATGGGAAATTTAGCCTATTTTAACTGAGTTGTCTCCAGCCCATTGCCTCATTATTAAAGGTTAGTATGCCTTTAAGTCCCATTGCCAACCTATACTGAGACCATACCTTAGCAATTGCAAATCTTTGATGGTCAAGGCGACTTTTCATGCCCTCCAGATTTATTTTCCTTTCTTTCTTAACATCATAGCCTTTTGCTCTTTCTTCTGGCATATCAGTATGCCAGATACTTTCTTTGTCAAGTGTCAGGCAGTGGGTCTAGAGACTTGTACCACCCCTTTAGAAAGCCACAGTATGGCCCTGAGAATCATTAGTTTCTGAAAAAGAACTTTGATGTGCAGAAATAAGTGTCGTAGATGACAGCTATTAGCTTCCTCATGAAGTACTTGGGTCAAGAGACTGAGTTCAAAAGGACTTTTAGTTATTCACACTTCCATATTTCTACTTTGACTTTTTTTCCCAAGCAATGCGAATGTGTTCAAATGTACACTTTTTAACAATTTCTTTTGAGTATGCCCAAACTGTTAGGTTGTGTGTATGCTGTGATTTAGCAAACTTAAGAAACTGTAAATGAACAGAAAACAGAATTATTAAGACCTGGGATGCCTATAACCCTGAATTCATCTGCCAGTTAACTTTCTGTACAGGGTAGGCGAATTCAGGCTTCATGGCTGTTTACTGACCTTCCTCGAAGTAAGAGAGACAGCTATTAATGACTTGAAATGTTATGAACGTGGCATAGAAGTAATTTGGAAAGTCAGTTTTTCATATTTTCCTCCTAAATAATTTTCTATTACCTTTCATAAAATCTTTTTATTAAGGTATAATTTACATGCATTATACATCTTGAATTAATATGTATTTATACTGTCATGTAATCACCATCCTATTTCTCAACTGATCACTAAAGGTTATTTTGCCTCCTCTTGGACTTCACATAAATGGAATTGTACTGTATGTACTTGTTGTGTCTGGCTTCTATTAGTCAAAATTTTTTTTTGATATCCATGTTTGTGTATATCTCAGCAGCTTGTTTTTATTGCATAAATATAGCATAATGTATTTATTTTTACTCTCTTACTAATGAACCTTTGGGTTGTTTCTAGTTTGAGGGGATTATGAATGAAGCTGCTATGTACACTTATACCAGTCTTTTTGTGAATATATGCACTCATTTCTTTTGGGTATATTCCCAGGAGTAGCATTTCTGAGTCATAAGGAGGCAAATATTTATTTTCATTACTGCCCAACAGTTTTCTAAAGTGTTGTACTCTTTTACCCTCCCACCAGCAATACGTAGTAGGTACAGTTGTTCTACATTCTCACCAACACTTAGTATTTTCAGTCTTTTTCATTTTGGTCATTCTGGTGAATGTGTAGTGGTATACTACTGTGGTTTTAATTTACATTTCCCCGATGAGTAGGAATATTGCTTACCTTTTGATGTGTTTATTGAACATTTGGATATCTTCTTTGTGTTATGACCATTCAGACATTTGTTCAGTTTTTATTTTACTTATTGATTTCTGAGGGCTCTTTGTATATTCTAGACATGAGTATTTTGTTAGACATGTGTATTATAAAGTGAATATTTTGTTCTAAACAGTGTCTTGAATTTTTACTTTATGTTTACTTTGAATATGTTGGTAATCCTAGGGACCTGTGAAATATGAGGGAAGTGTGCAGCAGGGAGAGGAAACTGTAAGGCAAGAAGTGGACCCACCTTAATAAGGGGAAAACAAGAATGACATTTAACCTGCAGAGCAATTTCACTTGGAGACAAGGACAGCTGGTCCCTTGAATATTGGATGGTGGCAAATAAGACATCCAAGCACTAAGAGGGCAGGCAGAGAAGAGTTGAGAATGAAGCAACAGCATGCTTATGGTGGCTGATGGCCGGGTAGTGAGTAGACAAGAGTGGGGCTCTGGACATAGATGGTCTGAATTTGAGTCCTGTCTCCCACCTACTACCATCTTGTGAAGGTACTTAACCACTCCAAGTTCCTAATTTTAAAAAAGCAAAAGTAGGAATAATGCGAGCACCTACTTCATGGGTTTGTTCTAATGGTATACTACCTATCCCCATTTTTCACATATTGTGAATACTTAATATATAACATCAAAAACTGCAACTCCTATGCTGGGAAAATATTAGAACAAATAATGTTTGTTGTTGTTAATATTTGTTTACTTATTGGAATTGGCTTCAGAGATACTCTACAAATAACTCTTGGGGTAGAGATGGATGTTCTAGCAGATTTGGGAGTCAATCAGAAATTGGCTCCTGTTTCAGAAAGTTACAGTTATTATGGACTTGTGACATTTCTGTTCAGAAGTCTGTATCTGGCATCTTCCCGCACACATGTCTTGCTTTCAAGTGCTGTTCAGTTATGTTTGGAATGAGAATGGTGGTCTCCCTACTTCTGCTTCACTTCTTCCACAACCTTGCTGACTTCTAAATAGTTTCCTGCTTAGAATCCTTAGGAGGAATTAGGATCTCCTTTCAGCCCTATCTTGGGCACTGACTTACATTCCCACATGTGGTCCATGTGCCCCTAGACAATCTAAGGAGAGTCTAGCTTGCCACACATGTGGAAATCATTCCCAGTTCACAGGTGGGAAGTTATGGGAATGAAGAAAATGTGGGGGAGGTAGCAATAAAACTCTCTACTTACATTTCATTGCTGCATCTGCTATAATAAAATGAGAGCCAAGAGCAACTTATTCCCTTGTGACATGATGACACACCTCTGGATAGATGTATATTCAGGGATATGGGTGGGTGGAGAATGTTACAAACACTTTCTCATCCCTAGTATCCTATTACCTGTCTGAAGAAGTACACTGTGTACCTTCGTATCACTATGTCCTATAAAAAAAGAAAATGAAAAGAATGTAAAAGAAGACATGGTCACTTTTGGGGATAAATTTAACTACCCAACAGAGAGAGAAGAATTACTTTATTCATATAAGGGTTCATTTTACAAGGATCTTCCAGAAATATTTCCTTGATTTGTGTGCTATTCACAGAGGGACTGGTCACAGATGCCAGTTAGACATTGGATTCTTTGACTAACCACTCTTCATCTTGTGCTCTTGAGTACAAACAGTACGTTAGAGAGAACATTAAAAAAAAGATTGTTTTCAGCAATTTATTCCTGAATCAAAATCCAAACAGAAAATAAAAAAGGAAAAACAGAAGGCTGGATCAGACACATCTGATCTTTCAAATTTGGCCTTTTAAACTTAAGAAGGTATTAATGGGCATTTCATATTTTAAATAATTTGGATATAAGGGTGTTTATAAAGCTAGAGATTGTATTTCACAGTCTACCATGAAGCCTGTACCTTCATGTTTGATGTATGTTCAAGCTTTAAGTGATTTATCTAAGTTCTTATTGAATGTTATATGGAAGATCTATAACCCACTAGGCAAAGCTTCCCAAAATTGAAAATAAAACACATAATCATGATTGTGAAACATTCTGTAGAAATATAGTATTCTTGAGCTAGATGAAATTTTAAAAGTAATCAATGCCAAAAATTGGGAAACAATACTTCCAATAATCTTGAAGATGCATACTAAGCAGACAAAATTGGATTCTTTTGGTTTTGATTGATTTACATGCAATTTATGATTGTAGTGTTTATCTAAACTTCTCAGGATACTCACAAAATATCACAAGCCTTTTATTTTAAAGCATTGTTCTGATTTAATCTTATCTGTCTTTGCCTTAAACTTTGTAAATTTGTGATTATTTTTGTTTTGTTTTGTTTTGTTTTGTTTTTGAAACGGAGTCTTGCTGTGTCACCCAGGCTGGAGTGAAATGGCGTGATCTCGGCTCACTGCAACCTCCGCCCCCCAGGTTCAAGCGATTCTCCTGCCTCAGCCTCCCAAGTAGCTGAGACGACAGGCATGTCCCACCACACCAGGCTAATTTTTGTATTTTTAGTAGAAATGGGGTTTTGCCATGTTGGCCAGGCTGTTCTCAAACTCCTGGCCTTATGAAATCTTCCTGCCTCAGCCTCCCAAAGTGCTGGGACTACAGGCGTGAGCCATCATGCCTGGCCCCAAATTTGTGATTTTCAAGATTAAAATTAGATTCTAAGAGTGATGGAGCACTTTAAAATATCTGGATAAAAATCATCTTATTTCCAGAATCAGGGCAATTCTTGAATCTAATCTAAAATAAGCAATGTAAAAATGCTGACTTTTTTCTCACCTATCATAGACTCTCTAAAAGGTTTATGCTATATCTGCCATGCCTTCAATTTACAAAATAATATGATCATGATTAAACTCCAGTGTCTTTTTCAGGTTATCACAGTACCTTTTCATTATTGTAGTACATTCTGGTGTCCCCATTAAGGATATGCTGAATGGACTGATACTATACCACAGTATTTTACTTTATATCTGTGTGTCAGTAAAGCAGCATGTACCAGGGGAAGGTTTACCTTTAGAAATCAAAGGCTTCTATTTCACCAGGCTCCCACGTTGTTAAAAACACTAAAGAGGGTGACAACTTCTGCGTTCACCAACATCAGAGCATCTAGTCCCTATTTTCAAAACTTTCTTGTGCCAATATGACTTGTTTTAGTAATAGAGATTGGTTGGGGAATCCCATATTTTTTAAGGCAAACCCAAGGAAGCATTTATTTTACCGTGAAAAGTGCTAGGGCACAATACTATATTAAGCACAAGGCAGAACTCAACAAAGCCCTTTCCTTTGATTATTTCCATCACTCAATAATAATTGTTCCACTCCATAGATAGTTTCTTTGCAACAAACACTGCCCTGGCTGACCATCCTTCTGTAATGCAGAACTGTGAATCACTGAAGTGTTTAAGGAGAGCTTATAATTCTTTAAAAGCCTTTTTATTCTGTTTTACAGTATTTGTGTTTATGAAAAAAATGCAGGTAAAAATATTCTGACCAAATTGTATTTGTTTAATTATTATGTATTGCATAATGTATAATACTGATTCAAACTTAACATGACCAGAGTGCATTGCTTGGAGAAATCCAAAATGAAAAATATATTTTCAGTTGAAATTCATTAAAGGATGAAGTAATCAAACTTTTTTTCTCTACAAATGAGCACTACAAAATGGCAAAAGTTTTCTTTTAAAAAATCTGTATATAGAAAAAAACTATAGAAAAAATATATCACTTCTTGGGTTAAACACACTTCCCCCCAACCAAAAAAAAATTCTAGGTACTTAGAATTCTTTCTAGAACTTAGAATTTCCATATTATTTTTCATCCCATTTCTCTCATTCATTTAGAATCTGCCCTCCAGTTGAAAGGAAGTAGATGGAGCCGGGCACTTTTAGATTATTTCAAATCTGAGGAATTCAACAAAAATAAATGCTATTTAGTTATGTTGTTTGAAGTCATGTATGCAACATATCTGGATGATGGGTCAACTTTGTTTAATAGATTAGCATCATTTACACTGAAGTTCGTGGCTCTGAGCTTCGTTAAAGTGAGACCTTTGTCCACATTCCCAGGAGGGCTTTTTCTCAGGGGGTTCTGAATTTTACCATGACGTAATTCCTAAACAGTTGTGATTAGTGCTAAATGTTATCATAAACACACACACACACACACACACCCCTTGCTGTGTGAAAGCTAGATATAGATATTAAAAACTTTAGAATACTTGTTTTTTAAATATGTAATTTATAATATATAAATAATATTTAGAATATAAAGTTTATAATACATAAATACTATACTTCTTTACCATTCACTTTCTAGAACTTTCCCAGCTTTTGATCACATATTTCAAGGGTGGTCTCCCTCTTTACTCCTCTACTAACTCTTCTGTGTCTCAGTTAACATGTGATTTTGGCTTTCTTATTTCTCCAACATTATTTAATTCAGACTAACTTTATTTCTTGAAGGTATATACCAGACATACCTCGGAGATATTGTGGGTTCAGATCCAGGCCACTGCAATAAAGCAAATATCACAATAAAGCAAGTCACACATACTTTTTGGCTTTCCAGTGCATATAAAACTTATGTTTACACTATATTGTAGTGTGTAATAGCATTGTCTCTAAGAAAACAATGTACATGCCTTAAGTAAGAAATACTTAATTGCTAAAAAAAAAAATGCTAACAACCATTAGAGCCTTCAGCAAGTCAGAAACATTTTGCTGGTGGAGAGTCTTGCCTCAATGTTCATGACTGCTGACTGATCAAGGTGGTGGTTGCTGAAGATTGGGGTGGCTGTGACAATTTCTTAGAATAACACTACAGTGAAAATTGCCACATCCATTGATTCCTCCTTTCATGAACAATTTCTCTGTAGCATGCAATGGTGTTTGACAGCATTTTACCCATAGTAGAACTTCTTTCAAAATTGGAGTCAATCCTCTTAAACGCTGCTGCTGGTTTATCTACTAAGTTTATATAATATTTTAAATCCTTTGTTGCCATTTCAACAATGTTCACAGCATCTTTACCAGAAGTAGATTCTGTCTCAAGAAACCATTTTCTTTGCTTCATCCAAGAAACAACTCCTCATTCTTTCAAGTTTTATCATAAGATTGCAGTAATTTCATTACAACTTCAGGTTCCATTTCTAATTCTAGTTCTCTTGCAATTTCCAGCACATCTGCAGTTACTTTCTCCACTTGAACCCCTCAGAGTCATCCATGAGGGTTGGAATCAATTTCTTCCAAACTCTTGTTAATGTTGATATTTTGACCTATGCCTATGGATCACAAATATTCTTAATGGCATCTAGAATGGTGAATCCTGTCCAGAAAGTTTTCGACTTACTTTGCCCTGATCCATCAGAGAAATAAGTGTCTATCATAGCGATAGCCCTATGAAATGTATTTCTTAAATAATAAGGCTTAAAAGTTGAAATGACTCCTTGGAACATGGGCTTCAGAATGAATGTTGTGGTAGCAGGCATGATAACATTAACCTCCTTGTGCATCTCCAGCAAAGCTCTTGAGTGACTAGGTGCATTGTCAATGAACAGTCATATTTTGAAAAGAATCTTTTTTTCTGAGCAGTATGTCTCAACAGTGGGCTCAAAATATTTAGTAAACCATGCTGTAAACAGATACACTGTCATCCAGTCCTTATTTTTTTATTTATAAAGCACAGGCAAAGTAGATTTAGCACAATTCTCAAAGGCCCTAGAATTATTGGAATATTAAATGAACATTGTCTTCAACTTAAAGTTACCATCTGCATTAGCTCCTACCAGGAGAGTCAGATTTTCCTTTGAAGCTTTGAAGCCAGGCATTGACTTTTCCTCTCTAGCTATGAAAGTTGTAGATGGTATCTTCTCCCAATAGAAGGCTATTTTGTCTCCACTGAAAATCTGTTGTTTAGTGTAGTGCCTTCATCATTGATCTTAGTTAGACTTTCTGGATAACTTGTCACAGTTTATACATCAGCACTTGCTGCTTCACTTCACACTCCTTTTTTTTTCCAGCTTTTATTTTAGGTTCAGAGGGTATTTATGCAGCTTTGTTAAATGGGTAGCTTGTGCACCCTGTACTTTTATGTATTGGAGATGGCTTCTTTTCTTTAAACATCATGAACCACCCTCTGCTGGCATCCAACTTTTCGTCTGCAGTCCTTAACTCTCTCAGACTTCATTGAATTAAAGAGAGTTAGGGCCTTGTTTGGGATTAGGCTTTGGCTTAAGGGAATGTTGCGGCTGGTTTGATCTTCTATCCAGACCACTGAAGTTTTCTCCACATTATCAATAAGGCTGTTTGGCTTTCTTGTCATTTCTGTGTTCACCAGAGTAGTACTTTTAATTTCCTTCAAAAGCTTTTTCTTTGTATTCACAACTTGGCTAACTGGTACAAAAGGCCTGGCTTTCAGCCTGTCTTGGCTTTTGACATGTCTTCCTCACTAAGCCTTATTATGTCTAGCTTTTGACTTAATGCGAGAGACCTGTAACTCTTCCTTTCACTTGAACACTTATAGGCCATTGTAAGGTTATTAATTGGCCTAATTTCAATATTATTGTGTGTCAGGGAATAGGGAGACCTGAGGAAAAGAGAGAAATTGGGGAATGGCCAGTCAGTGAAGCAGTGAGAATACATGCAACATTAATCCATTAAGTTTACTGTCTTACATGGGCATGGTTTGTGGCACCCCAAAAATTAAAATAGTAACATCCAAGACCACTGATCACAGATCACCCTAGCAGATATAATAATAATGAAAAAGTTCATAATATTCTGAGAATACCAAAATATGACATAGAAACACAAAGTGAGTACATGTTATTGGAAAAAATGGTGCCAATAGACTTGCTTGATGCAGCATTGCCACAATATTCAATTGGTAAAAGCACAATATTGTGAAGTGTGATAAAGCAATGTGTTAGTCTGTTTTGCATGGCTATAAAGGAATACGTGTGACTGGCTAATTTACAAAGAAAAGAGATTTATTTGGCTCATTGTTTAGCAGGGTGTCTGGGCAAGGCACCAGCATCTGCTTGGCTTTTGTGAGGCTTCAGGAAGCTTTTATTCATGGCAGAAGGTGAAGGGGGAGCAGCTTTGTCAGATGACAAGAGAGGGAATAAGAGAGGGGGCAGGTGCCATATTCTTTAAACAATTAGATCTCACAATAACTCATGACCACAGGGAGGGCACCAAGCCATTTATGAGGGCTCTGACCCCATGACCCAAGCATCTCCCACTAGGCCCACCATCAACATTGGGAATCAAATCTCAACATGAGATTTGGAGGGTATAAATACCCAAACCATATCAAGCAAAGCACAATAAAACAAGTATGCCTGTATTTATACACATATTACAAAACAGAATTAAAAACAATAAAATCATACATGCAAGGGATTCTGGTAAATATACTGATCCCCTCAATCATGCATTAGTCATATATTAATGTATTCACTTTATATTCAACCAACAAATAGTGAGAGTCTGATATTTGCTGTATACTGAGGTATGCACTGGCGACCCAAGGCTCAACAAGACAAAACACAGCCTTTTCTTTCACAGGGGATTGAATCAAGTAGGGCACGTGCAAGAAAATAGACCACTATAATCTTGTTTGTTTCATATAATGTACAAATATGACTGCAGACAAATGGAGAAATATGAAATCTCACTGGGGAGCAAACTCACTTTGGCTTGTGAGGAACTAACACCTAACCTGAGACCAAAATAAGATGGTTCCAGGAAGAGAGAACAGCAGGTCAAAGTCCAGGGATGAGATTAAAGTAGAGTGTCTGCACTTAGCTAAATAAAAACTGCTAAAACATGGCTAGACCAGAATGCCAATTGAAGGTACAGTTGATAAAACTTACCATTAACTTTTCATGTAACCAATATGTGAGGTTTTGTAATATTTTCCAGTATGCTAAGCAGCTATGATATAAACACTGAAAAGGCAAACAGTTGGATTATTCCAAAATTGGAAAGCAGGTGCAATATAAGAAAAATAGGGCAAGGGATTTGAAGGTATTTGAAAGAAAGTGATAGAAATGATGAATTGTGGCAACTTAGCTGGTTATGGAAATGAGTGAATATAAGAAGATACTGATATAGAAAGTATTCAAGGTCTCTAGAAATCTCTATGATGTCAAACAGGTGAATTAGAATAACTGAGCAAACAAAAGATAGATCATATTTGGAGGACAGAATGAACTTTAAGATGTAAGTGCTAGAGGTAATTTAAGGTATGTTCAAGACATAGAAGGGTGTCAGGGAAGAGGGTGACTGCCTTGGAAAAGATGTAGCTGAGGAACTGAGAGATCGGGGCATGAGGTGATGCCTCCACATCAACATCAAAGTCACCCAGGACTGCAGCAGGATTCAAGCTGTCAAGATGACAAAAAGGTGGGCAGTTTTCAGTGAATGAGAAACTGACCAAAGGGACTGGCAGAAGTCAGAGACAAGGAAGTAGAGTTGATTGGCATAGATGTCAAACGAGAAGTTTTTACAAGAAGGTGGAGGAGTAAGTAAAAGTGAGTAACCAGGAGAGCACCCATTTCATCTTGGGACCCAGAGAGGGCATTGAGAACCAGAGTACCTTACCCTGAATCCACCACAGGGAAGTGACATCTTTAGCGAAGAGTCAAATTTGAGAGAGGTTAGGATCTGGGATGACTTTTTGGTGGCAAGGCTGAGGATGAAGTGAAGTCTGTTTGCCATGGGAAAAGGGATCCAGAGAAACTGATTGAATAATATGGAAAGAATGAGAATGGGAGGATAGACAGGGGAGAGAAATCACAGTGCAACATGGGGATAAGAAGTTGAAAGAACACAGGGAGAGGAAGAAGCTCTGTATCAGGTGGTTGTCTGAGATATGATTATGAAACAGCATTCCAAAATATTTTCAATAATTGGTCCACCTGTCCTCTGACTGATGGGTGTTAAACCAGGGAACAAGAAGTTGAGCATAGCTAGTAGGTCTTTTGGAAAGACCATAACGTTTGTCCTAGTCCCAGTAAGTAGGTCTGCAATGGTGTCCTTGGGTTCCTAGTACATTTCAGCATCTATTGGAGAATAGGAGCTTCTGGTGTTTCAGTACTTCTGCATCTTCCAGATTACTCAGCTGTTTCCCAGATTTATTACAGTCTCTGGAGTATGGAGAAGGATCTGATTTTTTAAAAAATATGAATTATCATTTTCAAAGTATTAGTTTATTTTAAATAATTTTTATATCTAACTCTAATATTTTGCCAGCAATAATAACATCTTAGGTATTTTGAATTAGCATTTGAGTTTGCTTTTGAGAATTTTAGTTCTTAGAAATAATAATTGAATTAAACACTATTGCTTTCTTATATATTCTTAAATACTATTTCTGGCATTCAAGCATTATTCCAGTTCGTCATGCTGCCAATTTTAGCAATAAAATAAAGAATAAAATTGAATTCAATGTGGAAAAATTCTATTTGTAGAAAACATTCGTCTGTAAACGGGGTTACTGTTGTGACCTTAGTGAAACAACAGAAAGGCACGTGCATACGGTTTTGCCCTTAGCTTGGATGTAACATATTATTTGCAGACTTTAAGTCATAGCAACCTATGATCATGCTAATTTTTATTTAAGGCTATTTGATAGAGTTGTATGATTGAGACCTGGAACCAAGATCCTTGATGTAATACATATGTGCACACAATTTTTTTATTCTCTTCTCTTTGGTGACCTTGTCTGGGTCATTTTTTTGTTTGTTTGTTTAATTTACACTGTTTGAAACAGTATCTGTGACTAGAATTTGGCAACTGTAGAGTATATCATATGTACACAGTGCCTTAGCAAAGGGTTTTAATTAAACTCAGTGGAGGAGACCCAAGCAGAGGAGCCTTCATTTGTCTTAAGAAGAAATGTCAAGGTTAATTGATTTTCAGAGGATTATCTGCAACAAATAAAGACCAAGACTCATATCTTCTTATTTTGGCTTATAAATTCTGGTATGTTCTGTTCAATATCCACTGAAAAAAACTGAGATGAGAGTGTTTCTATAAAACTCTATATGTCAAAGCATCCTTTGCAGTTGGCAAAACTGAATGAATGACAGTGAAAATGTATACTTATGGATTATGATATAGTCATTAAAATGATTATTATGATAAGTATATGGTAACATGGAAGTATTTAGAATGTTTTGAGGAGAAAAGCAAAATATACAAGTATATCCAGGTTAAAGTTAAAACACTGCAAAATATATGCCTGCATGTGGCTGAGAACTGGAAAACAATGTGAAAATAATTTGAATTTTTTGATTTACAAAATTGTGGTTTTTTATTTTTCTCACATTGATTTCTATTAATGAAAATAAGTGTTTATCCAATCAATAAAATTACATTAAAATTTATTATTTATTTACAATTTCATTCATACAAATTCATCTATTGTGTCTTAGTATATGACAGACACAGTTTGAGGTACTGGGAATATTTTATATGTAGATTTTAAAAATTCATGAACTTTTGTTTTTCACAGGCAATCCAATAGGAAGTTTTGGCAACTATGGTGGGAGGTAGGGATACTTGGGCCTTTCAGAATTCTCCAGATCACTTTGTATAACCATTCCTCTGTTGGTGACCGACTCCCCAAAAAAGATCACCAGCAGAACCAAGTGAAACTAAGTATTCATCTCAGTGAAATAAGGGAGGACATCACCTTTAAAATTAGTAGTATTTTGGAAAGGGGAAGTAAAGGGAAGATATTTGTAGAGTTTTATAGCCAGGTCTGGGAGCCTGATCTTGCAAGGTGGAAAAATGGCTGGCATTAGGCAGAATTTAGAGCCTAGCAGTTCTGGATTAGTGGGGTCTCTAAGAGCAGTGAGGTTCTCAAAGTGAACCTTGATAAGTGAACTGTTAGTCTTATTGAATAAGCTGGTTCAGGCCATTTACAGCCTTATTTTCCAAAAGCAAACATTTCCTGGAGCAAGTACCTAAGTTATTTTTGCTTGGTCTCCATGTGCTCAGCATTAAAACAGGCATTTAAACTTTGACTCCAAATTGTTTAGCACTGGGACAGAAAAGTATTTTGGTTTCAGTTTTTACCTTCTTTGTGAGCGACCTAGGTTTGATCAACTCATTTGGCTGACAAGCCGGATCCTTTGTCCCTTATTTTATTTTTTTAGACTTATATTATTGTCACCTATATTGCTTGGAAATTTAGGAAACACAGTCCTTGGGATAGCTGGGGGGATGAGAAGTCAAGAGAGGTAAGGTCTTAGGGTAGACAACTGGGTAGATACTGGGCTACTCAGTATCCAATCCTCTTCTGTTTTGGGGGAGTTTCAGAATAGGTGAGAGAAAGGACCTAGCCTTCCACTAGGGGAGTAGGAATATGCATTCCCTCTGCATGCCCCTCTGGCAGACAGAGGGAGGGTCTATAACCTCAATGTAGTCAATCTGATGTTCCTAGCCAGGACTTTGAATCTTGAGGGGATGGCTCAGACCATCACATATGCCACTATCGAGTGGAAGGGCCAGTGGCATCTGTTGTAGCTGCTGACAGTGTGGCGAAGAGCAGTGTGTGCCCAGCAGGTGAGGAATAGGGTCCCAGGCAGACTGATCCAGCCTCCCAGCTGCTTATTATCTTCACTGGATTCTGCTCAAGTCTGCTTCTTCAAGCTCCCTGTTTATTCTGAGTTCTATCCTATATTCTTTTGATGGATTCCTTTTCCTGCTTATGTCAATCCATCATTTCTATTGTTTGCAAATCACAGCCCTTGATCACTCTAGAAACTA
Source organism: Homo sapiens (assembly GCF_000001405.40). Lineage (NCBI taxonomy): Eukaryota > Metazoa > Chordata > Mammalia > Primates > Hominidae > Homo > Homo sapiens. The sequence goes on along the minus strand of NC_000005.10, from coordinate 59,971,812 downwards.
AAGTACAGAAAGTGCCCTGACTTTGCTAGAAGTTTAGGTGTAAAATTAGTAGTAAAGTTAGTAAGGAAAAACCAAAGGGGAAGATTGAATTTTATTTTAATGCATTATTTTTTTACATAAAAAGATAACAAAAGGAGGGTAGTGAAGAGAAGAGTCTCTTGAGATGTCCGTGGCAAAGTTTTTAAAGCTCTCAATAAGGAGACAAGGACTGGGCTTCATTGCAATTATTCCCTTTTGACTGTTGAAGCTGGTAGGCTTACAATGGACTCCTAATGAGAGTGGTTTGCACTACAATTAATTAAGTGCATGACATTATAAACTGCATGTCTCTTCCCTCTGGAGAATATTCTTCCTATATAAGTGCTATTTTGTTTTAATTTCTCTCTCTGTCTCTTCCTCTCTGTTTCCCTCTCTTTGTCTCTCTCTCTTTTTTATTTATTTATTTATTTTTTATTATTATACTTTAAGTTTTAGGGTACATGTGTACATTGTGCAGGTTAGTTACGTATGTATACATGTGCCATGCTGGTGCGCTGCACCCACTAACTCGTCATCTAGCATTAGGTATATCTCCCAAAGCTATCCCTCCCCCCTCCCCCCACCCCACAACAGTCCCCAGAGTGTGATGTTCCCCTTCCTGTGTCCATGTGATCTCATTGTTCAATTCCCACCTATAAGTGAGAATATGCGGTGTTTGGTTTTTTGTTCTTGCGATAGTTTACTGAGAATGATGATTTCCAATTTCATCCATGTCCCTACAAAGGACATGACCTCATCATTTTTTATGGCCACATAGTATTCCATGGTGTATATGTGCCACATTTTCTTAATCCAGTCTATCATTGTTGGACATTTGGGTTGGTTCCAAGTCTTTGCTATTGTGAATAGTGCCACAATAAACATACGTGTGCATGTGTCTTTATAGCAGCATGATTTATAGTCCTTTGGGTATATACCCAGTAATGGGATGGCTGGGTCAAATGGTATTTCTAGTTCTAGATCCCTGAGGAATCGCCACACTGACTTCCACAATGGTTGAACTAGTTTACAGTCCCACCAACAGTGTAAAAGTGTTCCTATTTCTCCACATCCTCTCCAGCACCTGTTGCTTCCTGACTTTTTAATGATCACCATTCTAACTGGTGTGAGATGGTATCTCATTGTGGTTTTGATTTGCATTTCTCTGATGGCCAGTGATGGTGAGCATTTTTTCATGTGTTTTTTGGCTGCACAAATGTCTTCTTTTGAGAAGTGTCTGTTCATGTCCTTCACCACTTTTTGATGGGGTTGTTTGTTTTTTTCTTGTAAATTTGTTTAAGTTCATTGTAGATTCTGGATATTAGCCCTTTGTCAGATGAGTAGGTTGCGAAAATTTTCTCCCATTTTGTAGGTTGCCTGTTCACTCTGATGATAGTTTCTTTTGCTGTACAGAAGCTCTTTAGTTTAATTAGATCCCATTTGTCAATTTTGGCTTTTGTTGCCATTGCTTTTGGTGTTTTAGACATGAAGTCCTTGCCCATGCCTGTGTCCTGAATGGTATTGCCTAGGTTTTCTTCTAGGGTTTTTATGGTTTTAGGTCTAACGTTTAAGTCTTTAATCAAAAGTTGTCCCTGAAGGAAAATTAACTCTGCTGTTAGTCCACTGAGAAAGCTTCTCTTTTAATACTGGAACATATCTTTGTCTAACTCTCCCTCACACCTAGTGCTAAATTTATCAGCGTTGTTCCTGATACAAACATTTTGAAGACAATCGTGAGGAAAAAGATGAAAAAAGTTGCATTTAACTTTTGTTACAGGTGTCCTTGTTCTCCAGAAGTTACTGTCTTTGTTGTAGTGTGCATGCAGTCACAGGAGTGTGCATACATGTGTGAAGTACTTGAGAAGTGTATTTGTCCGTTCTCACACTGCTATAAAGAACTGCCCTAGACGGGGTAATTTACAAAAGAAAGAGGTTTAATTGACTCACAGTTCAGCATGGCTGGGGAGGCCTCAGGAAACTTACAATCATGGCAGAAGGGGAAGCAAACCCTTCTTCACGTGGTGGCAGCAAGGAGAACTGCAGAGCAAAGTGGGGAAAAGCCTCTATAAAACCATCAGCTCTCATGAGAACTCACTATCACGAGAACAGTATGGAGGTAACTGTCCCCATGGTTCAATTACCTTCTACCAGGTCTCTCCTGTGACACATGGGGATTATGAGAACTACAATTCAAAAGATGAGATATGGGTGGGGACACAGCCAAACCATGTCAAGAAGTATTTCAGAGACAAGTCATTCCCCAAACCTTATCATCAGGGTCAAGACCTGGCAGGTGAGACATTAGCAGGTGAACACAACATTCTCAGAAACCCTTGAGAGTACTCCTTTCCCTCCAGGCATCTTCTTTCAACCTTAATATATTCTATTCAATTATATTCACAGCTTTTTACCTCAATTATAATTCCATTCTTCCAAATTTGTTTTCTTCTCCCATCTTTCCTCCTAATAAAATATCTATTCTTCAGATAGTCTTCCTTTGTAAAATAGAAAGGATCTACAAAAGCCATTCTTTGTGAGATGTGAATCATTTCAAATAAATTAATGCCTTGTTCTAATGTGAATGGTGGACTTGTGAAGAGAAGTGGGTAGATATTTGAATTTCTGAATGCTTTAGAATATTAGTTGCACATGCAGTAATATTTCCTGTAGCTTAGAAGAAATTGGTTGGCTTAACAGAAAATGCAATTAAAATAGTTTACAAATAGGTTCTGGCATCAATAATAGAAATATTAAAGAAACTACATATTATATCAAGATGCTTCTCTTTTTTTCGGGGGGGGGGTGCCTTTTCTTCCTTGATGAACACAGTACTCTTTCTTCTTTGTCTTTTATCTTCCATCTCAAATTGTCAATAATAAATTTGAAGAATGGAGAATAATACATTATCACGTGCCAGACCTTATGCTAAACACTGGATATGTTATATTGTGTTTCATACTCAGGATGATGCTACGGTAGGTACCATTATTATCTTATTTTACTTATAAGAAAACAGAAGCCTGGAGAAGTTAAACAATTTCCTCAGTATCAGAAAGAACCAAGATCAAATATCTAGGTTAAGGTATTTTATCTTAACCTAGATATGCCAGAATATCAAATCTAGGTTTCACTATTATTTTGTATTCTATCCAAATTTCTAAAACTGCTAATGATGGAGGGCTGTTATATGGTTCTAGCTTTATATATTTTTTTATTTCAACTTTTATTTTAGATATATGGGTATTTGTACAGATTTGTTACATGGGATTATTGCATGATGCTTAGGTATGGTATATCCCATTACCCTGATAGTGAGCATAGTACAAGATAGGTAATTTTTTAATGCATCCCACCCTCCCTCTACCCTCTAGTAGTCCATGGTGTCTATTGTTCCCATATTTATACATATGTCCACGTGTGCTGAATGCTTAGCTCTCACTTATAAGTGAGAATGTGCAATATTTGGTTTTCCATTCCTGTGTTAATTTGCTTAAGAATATGGCACCCAGTGGGCCGGGCGCAGTGGCTCACACCTGTAATCCCAGCACTTTGGGAGGTCGAGACAGGTGGATCACCTGAGGTCAGGAGTTCTAAACCAGCCTGACCAACATGGAGAAACCCCGTCTCTACTAAAACTACAAAATTAGCCAGGCGTGGTGGCGCATGCCTGTAATCCCAGCTACTCGGGAGGCTAAAGTAGGAGAATTGCTTGAACCCAGGAGGTGGAGGTTGTGGTGAGCTGAGATCGGGTCATTGCACTCCAGCCTGGGCAATAAGAGTGAAACTCACTCTCAAAAAAAAAAAAAAAAAAAAAAAAAAGCATATGGCTCCCAGCTCCATTCATGTTGCTGCAAAAGACATGATTTTATTCTGTTTTGGGGTTGCATAGTATTCTATAGTATATATGTACCACATTTTCTTTATGCAATCTACTATTGATGGGCACCTGGGTTGATTCCACATCTTTGCTATTGTGAATAGTGCAGTGATGAGCATATGAGTGCATGTGTCTTTTTAGTAGAATTATTTATTTTTGTGGAAGTATATACCTGGTAATGGGATTGCTGGGTCAAATGGTAATTCTGTTTTAAGTTCTTTGAGAAATCTCCAGACTGCTTTCCAAAATAACTGGACTAATTTACATTCCCACCAATGGTGTATAAGCATTCCCTTTTCAGCCTCGCCAGTATCTGTCATTTTTTGACTTTTTTATAATAGCCATCCTGACTGGTGTGAGATGGTATCTTATTGTGGTTTTGATTTGCATTTCTCTGATGATTAGTGACGTAAGCATTTTTCATATATTTCTTGGCCACTTGTATGTCTTCTGTTCATGAAGCCCTTTGCCCACTTTTTAATGGGGTTATGTGTTTTTTGCTTATTGATTTGTTTAAGTTCCCTGTAGATAGTGAAAATTAGGCCATTGTCATATGCATAGTTTGCAAATATATTCTTCCATTTTGCAGGTCTTCTGTTTACTCTGTTAGTTTCTTTGCTGTGCAGAAGCTATCTAGTTGGCCATCTTGGCATCTAATCTTTAATTTTCTTTCTAAAATATTTGAATGTTTTGCAATTTCTGACTGAAGTTACTTCCCTCTTTCTGAAGAAGGCCCTGCTGACATCAATAATTATCTGAGAGTGACATAAGCTGACTCCGATTATGCCAAAGTAACCCTTACGTGGTATGAAAAGAAAATGAAGGTGACTATGATTCCTGGGGCATTTGAGATTCTGAGAAAACTCCAGGTCAGCTCGCCATAAAAATTCCCCACACCTGTAGTTTAATTTACCAATTAGGAAATTATATATTTGGGGCTAAATGGTTTCTGATTTGTTGGCCTGAAAGAAATAATGTACTTTTAACAACTATAAAAGTTCTCTGCTAGGAATATCTTAAATACAGTGAAAATCTGCCTTGACAGTGGACAGTAAGTTAGATTTCATTGTTGTAAATTGGCACCATTAACTAAAACCCTTGTCCATTCAAAATAATATGTATTGTCACATAACACTAAGCTCTGTTATTAAACTGCCACAGATTATTGCTTTAACAGTTTGAAAATGATTTTTAGAAAATTGACTTTGTACAATGCTATATTAGAGTCTGTTAATTGATGAGAAAACCAAACTCAGATGACATTTGCAAAAATAAAATTGGCATCAGTTGAAACATCTGTACCATTTCTCTTATTTAAAAGACATTTTTCATCTGGAAAATGACTACTTCGATTAGCCTCAGATCACAACCACAAAATAAAGTTGTCTATGGGTGGCTTCTTATTTGCATTTAAATTATTATGTTGCAGCATTTTGTATGCACAAGCAAATGGAAGATTGTTTTGAATGACATAGGCCTATACACCTGAGAGAGAAATATGTCATCTACAAAATGTAAAAATATAGGTTTTTGTAAATGCCTCTGAAAGGATTATAAGAATCTACATTTTCCCCTCCCTCCTGGAGTTTGTCTTTCTATTAAGGCTCTAGACGAAGAAAAGCTCTAATATACTTTCCTTGGAGGGGTCATGAGACAATGAAGCATAATAGGATTTGAAGTATATTGGATATAAAATTCATGTGATATCCTCAAGTAGAGAGATGTTATTTTACTGTTCTTTAATCTTTACTGTTGGCGATAATTGCCTTTGTAAACTAACTTTATGTTGTAAACTAGTAGCGAACCAGAGATTGAGTTGAGAGGTGGGGGTAACAGATGAGATCCTCACTTGTGAGGGCTCCAAGGGCCTGTGAGGCAATGGAAAGGGCTGACCTTGCTACCTGGATGGGAACAATGCTGTTATCATTTTCATGTGCTCCTGTTTAGAAGATGAGTTAACATCCATAAAAACAAGTTAGACTAAGGGTTGTCACACTACAGCCTGTGGGCCAAATGCTGCCTGCCACTTGTTTTATAAATGAAGGTTTCTTGGAGCTTGCACTACTACTGCAGAGTAGAGTAGTGGAGATGGAGACCATTCGGCCTGCAGAGTCAACAATGTTTAATATCTGGTGCTTTACAGAAAAACTTTGCCAAGCCTTGATTTAGACTTAGTAACTTTAGTAAGAAGTTACTGACTGCACAAATTACCAGGATATTTAAGCTTGTAAAGTATTAAAATACCATAACTATCTGCTTCTTGTGGCAGGGAGGGGGCCAAGGAGAGGTGAAGTGGTTATAATGCTCGTGCATTGGTTCCTTCATTCACCAGAGTGATTGTGCGCCCTCTCTGAAACAGGGATAATGCCAGGTACTCAAGATACAGCAGTGAGCAAAAAGAGGCATAGTGCCTTCCTTAATGGAGATATGCATTGGAGTCACATAGCATATAATGTTGACAAATATCCCTGCTCTCATGGATCAAGAGGTTAGAGTTTTAGGGTAACCATGGAAGATCTCACTGAGAATGTAACTTTGAATAAAGGATTAGAGGACTTGAGGAAGCCAACCATGCTGCTAGAGTTTCTCTGCAGAGGAAAGGGGAGTGATGAGATATAGGTGAAGGACAATGTGAGCCAAGATTGTTTTTTTTAAGTTGAGGAATTAACAGCATGGTTGTATGCTGAGGGGGACAATTCAGTGGAGAGGGAAAAATTGATGTTGCAGGAAATTGCTGGGATAATGTCTTTGAGCAGATAAAAAGGGATTGATCCAGTGTACAACAGAAGGGACTAGTCTTGGTTTTGGATCAAGGACAGTTTATCCATAGTAAAATAAGAGAACGTAGAGTATATGGGCACAGATGCAGGTCATTGGGTAGTCGTGGTGGTTGAAAATTGTAGAAGTTCTTTTTTTAAAACTTTAATTTTTCTTAGTATGTGCAAAGGCCTTGAAGCAAAATAGAGCATGGTATAATCAAAGAATTGAGAGAAGAAAAACATAATCTAACTGTAAATTAAGCAATACCATGGAGCCAGATGAGGCTGACGAGGTACACAGGATACAGACGTCAGCAAGACTAAGAATATGGTAATGCTAAACCAATTAAGAATGGGGTTAAATCAAATTTGCCTTTTTAAAAAAAGATGACTGTGGCTACTGATAGAGATTGGATAGGAGAGTGCAACAAGAGTTTCTGTGGAGAGACCAATCAGGAAGCTACTGCAGTAATTCAGGTGGGAAATGAAGGCATCATGGTCTAGAGTAGAGGGAGTGGGGAGAAGAGAAATGATCAGATTTTGAGAGATATTTAGAGGCAGAGTAGATAGACTTACCTCACTTATGTTTGGGTATAGAAGACATTGCCTATGTAAAGACTGAGTAGAGAAGAGAGCCTAGGAGTAGATGTGGACACTCAGGAGAAGGATTGAGATCCTGGTTTAGAACACTGAGTGAAGAAGCTGGGTATTGTTAAAGAAGAGAGCCAAACTTCACAACTGCCTAGCAGTGAAGAAGCAGATCAACAAAAATCATATGGTGCGGAAGGGATACTTGCCATTAGATTAGTCCAGCTGAAGCCAAACGCTGGTTGCTTCTGATTTTTTTAAATCCTATAAATATATTGGTTAATTTTATTTAAAAAAATTGAACTTTTCATTCTCATAATGAGACCAAAGTAAAGGTCAAAATCTTAAGAAGAGAATGGGTCAGAACATAGCAGGCAGATTGTTGTTTGACATGATGTCAATGGACACTTCAGTTGTCATGTTCTAGGCCCATTACATTGGCCTTTCCTCTTTTGAAGCTTCTCTCATGGAACCAAGTGCATTTTATATCTGCATCTGTTCCAAATATGGGTATAACACAGACTCTGTGAGTAGCCTGCAATGTGTTTCCCTTCCACATATTGCTAGATAACTCTGCTTATAAAAATCTGCTTGCAAAAATCATAGAACTTGCAGATCCTGTCAAAAGAATTACTATTAGATGAAGTTAAGAAATGACTGTAGAAGTAAAAGAACAAGAGCTGGTCTTAGGAGTTCCATCCCTTCATCAGTCTAGGAGGGTTGGGATCTTAGAGGCATTTTTGAGCTGAAAACTCAAGGCAGGAAACAAGCCATCCCACTCTGAATAGGGCTGTGTTTCTCACCTGAACAGTGAGAAGAGGGTGTTATATTTTCTAATAAAATCCCACATTAAGTTAGACAAAAACTCTGTATAACTATGGAATAGACTTTACTAATGGAAAGAGTAATGTGAAAAGCTAAATAGGAAAATTTTAGGCACGTATTTTCACAATAGATCTTGCTGTACTTGGGGGAGGCTTGTCTTCTTGATTACTAAGGTTAACTTAGTGCTTCAGAAGCCAGCCCGTTTTTATGTTCTGCTGTTTTCCTGATTTTGGTGTGTCTTGATGCCACTGTGTTCTAGTAAAAATTCCCTTCAATAGACTGCCAGGAGAGCAGACCAGGGAGTGTGAGTGTTTTGTGCATGGGCGAGCACATACAGATGTTAGGTGACAGTGGTTATTCAGTCATGCTTTCAGACCTGGAGAACAGTTCAGGTCAAAATCTCCAAGTCTGTGGAATGAAGCTTTGGGGGAATTAATCAAAATGTTACTGAAAGAAAAGGGAAATCAAATCTGACTTCCACCCCTCTGAGATTTTTGTTGAGGACACAGAATGAGAGCATAACCTTCAGGTCCAGAGTGGAATATAGAGAGATCTTCCACTGACAATATGCTATCAACAAAAGCAAGGTAGAGAGGAAACGTTGAGCCTCAGCAACCTGTAAGTCAAGACCCTCTCCATCATCCCTAGATGCTTTTGCTCTGTCATTGGGATTGTGTCCCTTTCTATAACACTGTGACTTCTTTGGATCTCCACAGCCTGACTGTGTTCACGTTCTCCTCTCCAGTCTTTTAGTTTCTCTTACAGAGCTGGTGCATTTCTGTGGGGACAGAGCAGCTGGAACCTGGGCCCGAAGCTGGTTCAGATATGGAATTCCCTTTAAGAGCAAAAATAACAATTACTAATATAATACAAGCCCAATACAAAGTGAATAGTTAAAAGGAGAAAAGATATCACTATGAATTCAAATTTTAAGTTAACATATATCCCAACTACCACAAAATATTATAAATCATAACATTTTATTAACTGCCCAACCCAATTTTATAATACATTTTCCCCTATGCTTGGCTAAATATTCTTTGATTGTCTCTTTAAATGACACTGAAATTGTAATATTTTCTATGTAGAGATTGGGAAGATACTTTAAACTTTTCTTCAGGATTGTTGATTTTTAAAAAATTATTAATAGTTAGAAAAGTTTTGTAATGTCATATACATTCTTAACATTGTTATCAAATTTTGAGAAATATTTAAATTTTTTTTTCATGTAGGAGCGTAAGATTTCAGGGCATTCGATGTGGTGTGTGTGTTTGTGGGTGTGTATGTTGACTAATCTTACATACTTGTATTCTTTTACCAGTTTGTCATCGAAGTGTCACTGCATTTGTCATGAGATTTAGATCCTCTCTGTCAATGTCAACATTTTATATCAAATCAGAAAAAAATTAAAAATTGTTTCAATGTGTGTTAGTTTGATTAACTCCTTTTCATTAATTTACTTGTCAAGCAACCCAAGGGCCAATTCATCATATCTATTTGAAATTTATCTCTTTCTCTTATTGAATTACCACTTTTGAGATGATCTGGAAAAAAATTGTTACAATGTACTGTCTGATATCTGAATAATTTCTATTGATTTAACCACTTGGCTTTACTGCATTTTCTTCATACTCCAATAATTGTATTTGAAATTTTCTTATTCATTTATATTTTTAGTCCTTTAATCTAAAAAAATTAAGGATAAAAAAGCATCCTTCACGTATATTGAAATCAGGAGTCAGTAATTTTTCACTTGTTTAAACATTCAAAACATCTTTCTAACTCACTTCTTGATATTGGGATAATTTTAATTTTACTTTTGCAAATTTTGCCAAAGCATCTGGCTAAATAAACACACTTGCCAGGGCACCGCCCCAGAGCCTCGGCAGGTACTTATGCAAGCAGAGAGCCCTGCAGCTTTGGCTTTTATCATCTTCACCATAAACCCATCTCTGATTCTCCCCTTTCCCTACAGCACTTTCCACTAACAATACACATACACACCCATATCACACCTATACTATTTATTTTTCTTTATGCCCCTTTTCTGTAGTATTTATATCCATAGCAATTATCACCATCTAACACACTACATATTTTGCTTATTTATTTATTTATTGTTTATCTCTCCACACTAGAATTTAAGCTTTGTAAAGGCAGATGTGTTCCTTTCCTGAGGCTGCCATATAAATGACCACAAATGGGTGGCTCGAAACAGCAGAAATTTATTCTCTCTGAGTTGCAGAGAGAATTCTGCATCTCAGAATACAGTTCAAAATCAAGGTGCTGTAGGGCTGGTTCCCTCTGGAGGCTCTGGGGGATGATTGCTTGCATGCCTTTCATAGCCGCCAGTGGCTGCTTCCAACCCTTGGCACTCCTTGGCATGGGGCTTCATGAGGTTCAATCTCTGCCTGTGTCCTCTCGTGGCCTTTTTTTTTTTTTTAATCTGGGTCTCTGTGTCTTCTCTTTTTCTGATCTTAAACATAATTTCTTGAGGAAATCATAAATCATTGGACTTGTAGCTCACCCTAATACATGGTGATCTTATCTCAAAATCTTTACCTTAATTACATCTGCAAAGATCCTTTTTACAAGTAAGTTTACATTCTTATTCCGGGTGAACTTATCTTTTGTGGACCACAGTTCAACTCACTACAGAAGTTACAATTTTTCTGTTATGCTCACTGATGTGTCTCCAGCACATAGACCAGAGCCTGGAATGTAGTAAGTGCTAAATAAATATTTGTTGAAGGAATGCATTGAGAGCCTATAGTGCCAGATGCTGAGGTAGGTACTTAGAGCACTGCAATTTAAATATTCCCTAACTATAATTTATCTTCTCTTTTCAATTCACATATAAATATTTTTTTAATTTTTTAAATTTTTTATTTTAGATTCAGGTGGTACATGTGCAGGTTTGTTACATGGATATATTGCATGATGCTGAGGTTCGAGTTTCTATTGATCTTGTCACTAAGATAATGAACATAGTACCCAATTGGAAGTTTTTCAGCCCTTGCCTCCTCTCTCCCTCCCCTCTTTTTGAGTTCCTTGTGTCACTGTTCCCATCGTTATGTATGTGTGTATGCAAATTTTAGCTTCCACTTATAAGTGAAAACATGCAACATTTGGTTTGCTGTTTCTGCATTCATTCATTCATTCATTCAATGGCTTATGGCTGCATCCATGTTGCTTCAAAGGATGTGATTTTGTTTTTTCTTGTGGCTGTGTAGTATTCCACAGTGTATATGTACCATATTTTCTTTATCCAATCCACCGTTGATGGGCACCTAGGTTGCTTCCATGTCTTTGCTATTGTAAATAGTGCTGTGATAAACATACATACAAGTGCAGGCATCTCTTTGGTAGGATGGTTTATTTTCCTTTGGTATTATACCCAGTAATGGGATTGCTGGGTCAAAATGGTAGGTCTAATTTTAGTTCTTTTGGAAATCTCCAAACTGTTTTCCACAGGGTCTGAACTAATTTTCATTTCTGCAAACAGTGTACAACCATTCCCTTTTCTCTACCGTCTCGCCAACATCCGTTATTTTTTTACTTTTCAATATAGTAGCCATTCTGACTGGTGTGAGATGGTATCTCCTTGTGGTTTTGATTTGCATTTCTCTGATGATTAGTGATATTGAGTATATTTTCATGTTTATTGGTTGCTTGTATGTCTTCTTTTGAAAAGTGTCTGTTCATGACCTTTTCCCACATTTTAATGGGGTTATTTGGTTTTTTTCTTATTGATTTGTATAAGTTTCTTATGGATTCTGGATATTAGGCTTTTGTTGAATGCATAGTTTGCAAATATTTTCTCCCATTCTGTAGGTTGTCTGTTTACTTGGTTGATAGTTTCTTTTGCTGTTCAGAAGCTCTTCAGTTTAATTAGATCCTAATTTTCAATTTTTGTTTTTGTATGCAATTGCTTTTGGGGACTTAGTCATAAAATCTTTGCCTAGGCCAGTGTCCAGAAGAGTATTTTCTAGGTTTTATTCTAGGATTTTTATAGTTTGAGGTCTCCCATTTAAGTCTTTAATCCATCCTGAGTTAAGAGGTAGGGGTCCAGTTTCATTCTTCTGCATGTGGTTAGCCAGTTTTCTCAGCACTGTTTATTGAATAAGGAGTCCCTTCCCCCCTGCTTATTTTTGTTGACATTGTCAAAGATCAGATGGCTGTAGGCGTGCAGCTTTATTTTGGGGTTCTCTATTCTGTTTCATTGGTCTATGTGTCTATTTTTGTACCAGTATCATTCTGTTTTGGTTACTGTAGTTTTGCAGTATAATTTGAAGTCAGGTGATGCCTCTGGCTTTGTTCTTTTTCTTTAGGATTGCTTTGGCTATTCTGCTCTATTTTTGGCTCCATTTTACATTTTAGAATAGGTTTTTCTAATTCTGTGAAAAATAACATTGATAACTTCATAGAAATACTGTTGAATCTGTACATTGCTTTGGGCAGTATGGACATTTTAGTGATATTAGTCATTCAAAGCTATGAGCATGAAATGTTTTTCCATTTGTTTATGTTGTCTATCATGTGTCATTTATTTCAGTAGTGTTTTGTAGTTCTCCTTGTAGAGATCTTTCACCTTCTTGATAGTCCTAGGTATTTGTGTGTGTGTGTGTGTGCACCTGCGTGTGTGTGTGTCTATTGTTAAGTGAGATTGTGTTCTTGATGTAGGTCTCAGTTTGAATGTCACTGGTATATAGAAATGCTACTGATTTTCGTACATTCATTTTGTATCCTGAAACTTTACTGAAGTCATTATCAGGTCTAGGAGCCTTTTGGTGGAGACATTAGGTTTGTCTAGGTAAAGGATCACATCGTCAGCAAAGAGAAATAATTTTACTTCCTCTTTTCCTATTTGGGTGCCTTCATTTCTTTCTTTTGCCTGATCGCTCTGACTAGGACTTCCGTTACTATGTTGAATAGGAATGGTAGGAATGGGCATCCTTGTCTTGTTCCCATTCTTAAGGGGAATGTTTCCAGCGTTTGCCTGTTCAGCATGATGTTGGCTTGGGGTTTTTCATAGATGACTCTTATTATTTTGGGATATATTCCTTTGATGCCTAGTTTGCTGAGGGTTTTTATCATGAAGGGATGTTGGATTTTGTCCAATGCTTTTTCTGTATCTATTAAGATGATAATATGGTTTTTGTTTATAATTCTGCTTATCAATTCACTATAAGTTCTTTGAAGATGAAAACTCTGTCTTTTATGGTGTTTGTACATTTTGAATTTCTTAATACTGTGTATGTAGCTGACAACACATAAATAGATATGCAAATGAGTAAGAGAGTCATTTGGGATCACTGCTGATTTAACTTATCTTGCCATGAAAGCATTCTGTTCCTCTTTCCCATGCTTGGTAATATATCCTTTTGGAAGAAACACTCTTGCCAAAAGAGAATGGCATTATTACATCCAAGGGAAATATTATTTGCCCAAGAGTGTAAAAATGTATGAAAGAAATATGTAAATAAAATCCTATATGTAAAATCTAATAATATCAAAGTTTAATGATGAAATTTGTCAAGATGATTATAAAATATCACAGTTAAACTGTATATTATATTCATGTTTCTTGCCATTTGTATGCTAAAAACTTATAATGATTTGAATGTACAAAATCAAAAATCGGGAGAAAAGAAGATAGATCAGAGCCTATTACCAATAATTTATCCTTTACCTCCATAAATGTTTGCTAGAAATGCCAAAGGCTCTAATTTGTCTATTTAAATGTACTTCAAAAAAGCATTCCCCAAGTTGCCTATTTACTCTGTTATCTCTATAAATCAGGAAACTCTCCAGGCTTTCCACTGTGAATGTTGTATGGAATTGATAGAACAATTTCTTTTTTATGTTGTACTCATTCACCATTTAGTTACTTAGACAATAAACTTAGAATGACAAATTCTAAGTCTCAAAATATGAATGAAAATTCACTCATTTTCAGAACAAAATTTAGCATCACACTCTCTTGAGCAAAATCTCACTAGAAAAAAAGATAGAGAAAATACGTTATAGCATTTGAAGTCTGCTACCTCATGTCCTTTTATCTGCTTTCTAATTTATTAGAAATAAATATGCAATTAAAATATGACTTTCCTTAACCTTTACATAATTATAATTATTATGAAAAATATGTGTAAAAATATACATGTTATATTCCTTTTCTCTATACTACCAACAGCCACTCCCATTCATGTACTCATATTAGAAGGGAAGAGCTTTGAATATCATATATAACATTTTCAGATAAAAGAACTTAGGTCCAGAAAAGCTAACTCTTTTGCTGGTGACTAAACATACACATACGTGCACTGACACACACATATTAAGTTACTGAGTTGATAGCAAAAAAAAAAAGTGCAACTTTATATGGAAGTAGAATTATGTAAAAATGTCTGTCTAATTCTATACTGGAAAATATCTCATATGAAATGGCTCCTTCATATGACAACACTCAGTATTCAAAAGCAAAGCACAACAACTAAGAAAGTTACTTTCCCCAACCAAAAAAAATAATAATAATTAAAAAAAGAAATGTACCTATTGTGGACTAGCTGATTGGATACCATGGCCACAGCCCTGATTTTCAGTAAAGACATAGTTTCAAGAATGTCATTCAGATGGTTTCTTAAGTAGGGATGTTGTTATTTTTAGCAAAAGAAGCCTTTTGTCCTTGTCACATCAAAACACAAAGAATTCCATAAGTCAGTGCCAGTCTTGTTTTTAATGCCTAAATATCTGGCCACATATATATTTATGTTATGTAAATGTTATTGCCTTGTTTTTCAGAATAAGAATTTAGAACATTAGAAATTGACTTTTATAATGCAATTTTTTTCAAACTCTTTTTGGCTTTTCTCTAAATCTCAAAATTTGTTTCAATTTAGGCAATGGAATTGGACTAGTCAGTCTAATTTATTTTTGTTAGCCAGTTTCACCTCTCAGATTCCAGGGAACAAAGCCAAACTATAAGATATCTACTGAAAACATTTGTAAGAAATAATTAAAAGCAGACTCTGAATAAGCATATAAAATGAAGCATTTTTATCACAAGCTTTATAAATTTTTTAAAAACTGTGTTCATTTAATTCTGAAAGCATGCCTCTTTTGTAATTATGAAATACAGAAATATTTGAAATTCCCCAGTCATCTTGGCTCACAAATAGAAACATTTGGTTGCGTTTGGTTCACAAGCACACAGGGGCCTGCTGCTTTTGGTTCTGTGTAAAGCCCATACTATTTCTTGCTTTTTTTTTCCACAATGAGTATGTGGGTGCTAGAATGTTATCGAAATATTTTGCAAGACATGAATCTAAAATGAGCACTCTGCTATGGTTGCAGTTACAGTGCAAACCCCATCAAGTTGCTAGCATTGGACTGATAGACAAGGTAGGGGCAGCCAGAGAGTCTGAGTTCCTGTGAGGAACTGCAAGGGGGAAGGGGCTGTGTTCAGGGGCTGTCCTGCAGGCTGAAGGTTGTTATTAGTTGTGTGGTTTCTGGGCCCACACAAAACTCCACCTTCTCCCATTAGAAGTCAGTGTCCTGTTGATGTGACCACCTGCTTTATTATTCGGGGTTTTCTGCCATCTAAGACCTGGGCCACTCACCTGGATTTTTGAACTCTTGCTTTTGCACTGATACCTGATTCAGAATCCGATCAATTGCCTTTCCATCTTTGTCTGTGGGGACCAGAAGTACAGAGGTCTTATAGGTGAGCTTTTATTCTTTCTTCCAGAAAGAGTATCCTATAACTGTGTCAGTGAGGAAGTGAAACACAACCTCCTGTTTGAAACACAAAAGGAATTTAGAGAGGAGTAAAATACAGGGCCGTTTAATTATTCCCTTTAATAAGAAGCAGCATCCCCACCAAAGAACATGTCGATCTTACTTGGTGATACATTTCCCTATGGAGAAGGGAGATCTGATTGAAAGAAGACCGAAGGGCAGGAGGGAGGGAGGGTTGTAAAGCAAGGATGTGGCTCTGTGTAACCGGGATAAAAGCACCCTGCCTTAGGGAGATGTTGTGAGAAATACCCCAGCACCCTCCTGCTACAAGAGGCAATCCTTATAGCTGGCTCTTGCCATGGTTAAAATGATTGGGACAAAAATATTAAAAAAGAAAATGCTCCTCGCTATACTGGTTGGAATCCTCAGGCTTGGAGTAGGAGGAGCTGAGTAATCCCTGCAGTGTCCCGAAAGCTGGAATCCTGAGTAGATTCAGGCCAATTTGTGTGATATTCCCAGGGATTCCCTCCCTATTTTGGGCAGAGGAATGGATTTGGATGGGGCAGCATGTTCCTGTGAGTTGGCAGGCACCCACTGAACAGAATAACTGATTTGGTACCCAGACTGCAGATACCAGCTGAATTGCCAAGCAGATATTGCCTGAGGGAAATACCTGCTAAAGTTGAAATGATCACTACTTGGATGGGTTAAACATTTACCAGTATCAACTAGTATTATACATAGTGTTTTAGTTTTTCTGAAAATGTGCATGCACATGAGAAGAATAAGTATTAAGATGAAACTCCCAGTCCCTCTCCAGAGGCACAACCATGGTTACCAATTTCTTATATAAAGTATATATATAAAAGCTTATATAACCTCTTCTTTTACTTATTAAATACTTGCATTGATTACTTTAGAATGGGCAAGTAAAAACTAGTTTAATTGTAATAATTGTAATCACTCTAATACATTTTCTTATTCCTGAATATTTGCTTTGTTTTAAACTTTAGCAATTATGAACCTTATACTAGTCTAGGAAAATTAATCTGTAAATATTTCTGTTGGAATCTCAGATTTATAATTAAAAAATTATATAGGGTATGTTACATAATTTCTGATCAAAGATTTAGATTAAACAAATATGTTTGTGCACTTATTACATCGTCAGCACTGTCCTGTGCCTCACTCAATACGTGAACTTATTTAATGTAAGTCCACTTAATTTCACTGTAGAAACCAAGGAGAAAAAGGTCTGGGGCACATACATGGCATTCTTGTGAATCTTTCTGAAAGTGCTCTCTTACCTGACATGGTAGGGATATCCTGAAAGGTAAGAAGGGAAACCTTCAGGGCAGTGCCATTTGCAGCTAGGTCTTTGAGAATAAGAATGAATTCTTATTCAATATGCTGGTGCCACAGTTAGGGCTAAAGTATCTTTAGACCTGCCATCTCTAATAATAACGGCCATTTCTGACTTGTTAATCTTCCCGGCTTTTTTCCCTACAATTTTAGGTCTAAATCTTCCATGTAAACACACTCTTTCATGCTGAATCCTGCTCAAATAACTGCCAAGATGTTTGTTTAGTAATCCTGAAATAGAAGATTGGCTTCTATGCTAAGATAATTATTGGGAGAATCTCTTCTTTTAATAAATACCTGGTTCTTCTCAAACCCATGCCAAGAAGAATTCTTATAATATCATTTCTTCTCAAACCCATGCCAAGAATAATTGTCACCATATCATTTCTTGCTATTCATCCCTTTTAAAACTAAGAAACAGGCCAGGTGTGGTGGCTCATGCCTGTAATCCCAGCATTTTGGGAGACCGAGGCCGGTGGATCACCTGAGGTCAGGAGTTCAAGACCAGCCTGGCCAACATGGTGAAACCCGTCTCTCCTAAAATACAAAAATTAGCCGGGCATGGTGGCGCATGCCTGTAGTCCCAGCTACTTGGGAGGCTGAGGCAGGAGAGTTGTTTGAACCTGGGAGGCAGAGGTTGCAGTGAGCTGAGATCGTGCCATCGCACTCCAGCCTGGGCAACAAGAGCAAAACTCTGTCTCAAAAACAAAACAAAACAAAAAAACTAGGAAACATTAAAGCTTCCAAGGAATTGAGCGTTAAGTGGGGTCTAACATTTAATATGACTGTAGAGTAACTCCTCTTTACTAAGTCTTTTTACTAGTTTCTCCCTTTCTCTCAAATATGTACAGTTTAAATTGGATGGGTAAAGCAAATGGGAGAGTATTGCTACTTTTTAGTCATATTTATACAAATGAATTATATAATATTAATTGTTCATAATATTCCTTGTAATTTATAGCACTGTGAGCAGTATAAATAATTTGATAAGCGCTGGGCCTGCCCAGCCTTTGTAATGTCTTGTCAAGAGTAGATTGAGAACTGTGACATGATGTTAGGAAATGGAGATTTACAAGCTTACTGAAGAATATAACTGAGGCATTAGGAGTGCTTTTCTGATCGGATTAATGTTCAGTTTTATTTTCAATTTTATCAAGTGAGTGTTAATGAGAAATTTAGTTGGCTCCAGTAAAATCATTATTTTTTTCCTATGAAACATATGAAACCTAAAATAATAGTCTAATTGTTTCATTTTTATGGCTTCGAAATTCTAGACAAAAAAAAAATTCTAGACAATGTAAATATTTAACCAGTAAATATTTTGATGCATTAAATCGCAAAATATCTTTTATAATTGCTGCATCTCTCTTCCAAATAACTAGAACCCAATTCCCATTTTCACTTTTCTCACATAAACATGAAACCATTTCTTATAGTCTGTAAACATTTCTACATAAGTGGCTAGAACATATACTGCCTTATGTTTAATTGCATGAGACCCGAACTTATTTAGTGAGTATTTTGAAAAGCAGTTAAAGAAAAAAGATGATGAAACATTAATGGCTCCCTTCCTCCAAGTAGAAGATAAGAGTAATATACGGTCATGGAGTTCCTTTTTAAGGGGATGTATTAGTTTTCTATTTCTGCATATAAAGTCACCCCAAAGCTTTGTGGCTTAAAACAATAATATTTTATTCTCTCATGGTTTCTGTGAGTCAAGAAATTGAACAAGGTAGGGTAGAGATAGCTGGTCTCTTGTTATGTAATGTCTAAGGCCTTAGCTGGAAGACTCTAAAGGTTGAGGGCTGAAATCATCTGAAAAGTTGTTCATGTCTGGTGGTTGATGCTGGCTGTGGGCTAGAGACTTCAGTTCATCTCCATGAGTTCTCTCCTTGAGGGTTAGTTTGAACTTCCTCATAGCATAATAGCTGATATCCAAGGGCAAGCATCCCCAGAGAGAGTAAGAACCTGTTAGAATCTGTGTCCTTTTTATGCTTTGGCTTGGAAACCACAGAGCATCACTTCAACCACACTTCATGGGTTGGATCAACAACAAGTATCCTTCAATATTCAAAGGAAAAGAACGTAAATCCAACTCATAGATTCTACCAGTCACAACGTAAAGTAACATAAGAAGATCTGTATATTAATCTTTGGAAAATATAATATGCTATGGGAGGAGTGGACACAGGTTTAGCTAATGCCAGGTTAGGGTTTTATTAAGTGGGACATGAAAGCTTAGAGCTTGAAGTGACGAGAAAGAGGGAGCAGGGTTGGATGGGGTGAGAATTTTACGGACTGTGGATATAAAGGGGCTGCATTAGTCAGTTTTCACACTGCTATAAAGACATACCTGAGACTGGGTAATTTATAAAGAAAAGAGGGTTAATTGACACAGTTCCACAGACCTTGGGAGGCCTCAGGAAACTTACAATCATGGAGGAAGGGGAAGAGGCATGTCTTACATGGTGGCAGGTGAGAGGAAAAAGAGTGAAGAGTGAAGGGGGAAGAGCCCCTTAGAAAACTATCAGATCTCTTTAGAATTCACTCACTATCACAAGAGCCGGATGGGGGAAACTGCCCCCATGATCCAGTTACTTCTACCTGGTCTTTCCCTTGACATGAAGGGGTTATGGGGATTATAATTTAAGATGAGATTTGGGTAGGGGCACAAAGCCTAATCATATCAGGGACAGAGAAAGGAGAAGTGAGGAGGCTGACATTATGAGATGGATTTTGAGGGAATAACAGAGATGTTTAACGGGGATATTTATGGAGCTTTGCTGTGTGGAATGTGAGGTAAAATTGTTTCTCTATATTTTTATAATCTTTAGAGGAAACATCCCACTGGGTTGTAGAGTTGGATCTATTTTTGGACAAAATACATTAAGTTGCTGAATATGGCTTCTATGTAGAGGGAGGGAAAAAGTAGAGGCCTACTAAATCTAGGTTACATCTGTTACATCTGCTTTCAGAAAAACTTAGTAATAAATGTGGCTGTCATGTTAACGTTTGGTGGTTCCTAAATGTCATTGCAAAGACTGAAGCCAGTCCATGGTAAAATTTTCATTGGCAAGCTCTGAAATCAGAAATTAGACATCATGAATCTTTCACAAAGCTAAATTTGTTCAATTAAATGAAATGATCTTTATTGTGAGTTTATATCCTTCCAAACTTTTTAGTTTTAAAATGATCTTTTTTAAGAGGAAATGATGGTGACAGTAGATAGTACTTGTGTTTTGGATTTTTAACTGTCCATATTTGGAAAAGTAAAAAGTTACTGACCACCATACTTTAGTTTCTAAAACACTGGAGTGCAATCTCTAAATTGCAATGTGTTTGGGGAAAAAAATTCAATCCCTTTGCATTAGGTATTTTTATTGACATTAGATATAAGAGAATAGTATAAATTTACCTAAATACACAGAAAAATAATCTTTACTCTTTATAATCCCAAAGAAATATTCCTTAGTTCTTTTTTCTTCTATTTACTATCAATATCTATCACAAAAGCTGATATTACATGAAAATATTAATATAAATGTTACAACATTATCTTTCTTACGCAGGTTTGTTGTGAGGATTAAATAAATTAATATTTATGAAGAACTTTGAATCATGCCTAGCATGTAGTATGGACTCAAATATTGCTAATAATATTGACAATTTTTTTTGAAATTGCTCTTCTTCTGTAACACTCAATTTATGCCATTGGCATAAATGTTTTGAGCTAGACAAGATATTGCTCTATTCAGAGTTGCCCTGGAATAACTTGTTTCTTTAATCATAACTGGTACTTTTTTAACCTATTTAAGCTTTAAATTATCCAGAAATAAAACGAGGAAAAAAGAAGAAATTAAAAACAGTAATAAAACCAATTTCTCAGAAAGCCAAAAGATAACAACAAAATAAACTTTAACTACAAAAGTCTTTTTAGAGAAGAAATATTCTTATCCACCTCATAGCCTAGACTCAGTCAAGGGAAAGGGCAGCCAAGAATATCTTAAGTGATATCCTGGGCTTTGTTTTCTTGATTCAAGTAGTGTTCACATTATTATAATTATATATTCTTTTATCTGTATATCTGTCTATTCATCCATTTATTCATTTGACAAAAATTGAGTATCTGTGTTTGAGAGACACAAAGATAAATAAGATATCCACATCCCTCCAGGAAAATGTAGCATCTATTTTATAATACTTATGAATATTACTGAAGATCTAATTATAAAATAAATTAAATCATTTATCAAATATAAATTCTATTAATATGAGTTTATATGACCACCTATAATGATAACAAGTATGAGTTCCCTCTTTTACTTTTATCTGGCCTTCCCTCAAAAGATAGAGCTAACTACCTAGCTACTGGGCTGAAAATACTGAGTTATTAGCCTTTGTGCATAGTAAGCTGGTGGTCTTAGATCAGAGGTATATGGCTTTTTTCCAAAGACACTGTGAGATACGCAGAACAAAAATCAGAAAACTATAATCTTTTAAATGAATCATGAAGTACCAAAAATGTAAAGATCTCTTAATAAAAATAACATTTAGGATAGATACCATCAGACCAGTTCTGTACTCTGCCTATACTATTTTGAAAATCTTCCTTAAAGAAGCTTTAACTCTGATGTTTGAAGTGGCTCATACAATGAAAATAGGTTTAAATGCTTATTAATCACATGTAAATTAAACACATAACTTTTGTGTTATAATCATAAAGTGGATTTGCTTTGTTTCATGTTTCTTCTTAAAATAATATAAAGCAAATAAATGAAACAAAAATGGAGGTGTCCTCTGCTAGGTCTACAGTTATATAAGGAAAACCGGAAAGATAACATAAAAATCTCCCTAAATCAGGTCTATACAGAAACAGATTTGCTGGATTTAGAGAGTAGATAATGCATGTAATCTCAAATATAAAATATAGCAGGTGACTTTTTATGGGGAAGTTTTTTCTTAATGTTGATAGTAACATATCTGTACTTGACATTAATTAATCCATATCGTAAAGATTTGAACCAGAGAATCAGGCCCACTTGGTCATAGAGGCAGTCAAGGAATGGGCTCTCCACTACAATTTGATGTGAATTGTCTACTTATCATGTCTCATAGTTAAACCAGATAGTTTGGTAGATTCTTTATCACGTGTGTTTCTAATACAACCAGGAAAACCTATCGTATATTCTTTTTTTTTTTTTTTTTTTTTGTGAGACGGAGTCTTGCTTTGTCGCCCAGGCTGGAGTGCGGTGGCACGATCTCGGCTTACTGCAAGCTCCGCCTCCCAGGTTCACGCCATTCTCCTGTCTCAGCCTCCTGAGTAGCTGGGAATACAGGCTTCCGCCACCATGCCCGGCTAATTATTTTTGTATTTTTAGTAGCGACGGGGTTTCACCGTGATAGCCAGGATGGTCTCGATTTCCTGACCTCGTGATCCACCCGCCTTGGCCTCCCAAAGTGCTGGGATTACAGGCATGAGCCACCGCGCCCAGCCTATCATATATTCTTACATTCTCTCTCACACAAATGTGCATGCGCACACACACACATGCACACATATACATCATTCTGACACTGCCTTAACTTTCAGAATACAAGGTTGAGTCCTCTGCCACATACTAGCAGTATAATCCTGGATGAGTTACTTAAACTTACTTTGCTTCAGTTTGAGGATGAAATGAGAGAATATGTGTAAGACATCTGGCACACATAGTGAGCATTCAATAAATGTTAACTATAAGTAGGTGACCAGTTGGGGCCCAAGGAGATTGTAACTTGCTTAAGGTCATTAAGGTAGTTCGTGGCTAAGTCAGAATTAGAATCTACATAATGATTCTCAATTCAACCTCCTTTATACTAAGTTATCTCACTAATTGGCAGCTCTTTCCTGTGTTAACTTTCTGTACATGAAGGGTTTGCCTTCCCAAGTAAGTTGTAAGCATCTCAAAGGTTAAAAGCATTGTGAGTGATATCTTCATCAACCATAGGTTCTAATAGAGACTTCTTGCTATTTGTAGGGGTTCAGCATTTATTTGTTAATTATGAGCTTTCAACTTCACAATAGTTAACCTGAAATTGTTTTATTCATCCCATTTTTCTCATTCTGTCTTCAGTAGTTCTGTATATAAGAACAGCAAGCCATTATCATTCTCAGCATAAAATTAGAATTGCACTCTGCACAACTACCATCCTCTCCCTCTGTAAGTCCTCAGAGAAAATCATACAATTTTCTACTATATTTCTGCAGTATGAAGAAAATAATTTAATATACCTATGCTTTGGTTTCTCCATATACAGAACTTATATATGGCATTACTCAATCACCAAAGAATTCCATTATAATTTAGCTTATTGTTATGTAAATTCAGGCATAACCCAGGCCACAATATGATCCCAAGAATATAACAAGTATCCATAGGGAAAACCTGGTAGAATAACTCAAGAGTGGGAATTATTTTTAGCTTTGGATGACTTTTATATAAAGGAGCTCCACTCACAATACATTAGTGGCACTATTAACTACACTCGCTAGTAAGCTAATATTTGAGGTCCATTTTTTACATCTCTTTGAGAGTATATCAGTATATCAAGCATTACAAATTACTACCTTGATTGCCTTTGGAGCTACTCTTTTTTTGAGACAGAGTCTTGCTCTGTCACCCAGGCTGGAGTGCAGTGGCACCATCTCAGCTCACTGCAACCTCCACCTCTTGGGTTCAAGTGATTCTCCTGCCTCAGCCTCCTGAGTAGCTGGGATTATAGGCGTGCACCACCATGCTCAGCTAATTTTTGTATTTTTAGTAGAGACAGGGTGTCACTATGTTGGTCAGGCTGTTCTTGAACTTCTGACCTTGTGATCCACCTGCCTCGGCCTCCCAAAGTGCTGGGATTACAGGCATGGGCCACCGTGCCTGGCCCTTAAGAGCCAACCTAGCATATCCTTGTAAATCAGTTGCCTAAACAAGCTTCCTCTTAAATATGCCTTTGAAAAATATAAATTCCTCTCTATCAGTATCTACATTTCACTTTGAAGATCTTATCGGCTTTCAGCAGCAGGTGTGCATATCCTACAAGTTTCAGTTTTCTCTTGATGCTCAGGATGAACTAAACATCTAGACAAGGGAGCATCTGGGAAGTCTGACTAACTGGACTACTTGGACTGGTTTGTCCTCACAAAATGTAAGACTTACAATCTGTAGGCTGTTACCTAGCTCCTGAGAGCTACCTCCCCCGGGCCGCCCACACTAGATTTTTAGTCCTGAGCTGCATACCCAGGAATTCTCCTGTTTCCGTGAATCAGGAAGGATATGGCAAGTTAAGAGAGAAGGAAAGAACCTGCTGAGCCTTGCCTTCCAAGGGATATCAGGAAGTTACTCAAAAGACGGCAAAGTGCTCTCTACACAAAAGTGCTGGAAGAACTGCAGTTATATTCCCTTTAGGAAAGGAAACTTTAAGATGATTTGGAAATAGCCAAATGTAATCACATAACAACCAATTTTGAAGTTTGCTGGCATGCAACACTCCTTTAGGAATTCTTGGTTTCCAGCTTGGTCTCATTGGCAACAAATAGAATTTCCTAAGCCTTATTAGGAGCCTGACATTTTGTTTGAGAATCAAAACTTTTCTGTTTGAAAACTAGAGCCAAACTCAGTTATATAAAAACAGGGATGTAAGAGAAAGAGCAAACAAGGAAAGCTATTATGTTATATGTGTGCAGAACATAATAGTTTGAAGAGGGAGACTTCTCGATGGACCAGAATAAATACTAGAATGTAATACACAACTCGGTTATACAAGGTAAAAATGAGTTACTGGCCCTTCAGGATGGGTATCATGATAGCTCATTAATTTAAATAACTCCTAATATGCGTGTAGCAGTTTATCAGTTAGAGAGTGCTTTACATGGGTTGCTTTTCACAATAGATAACTTAGGGCAAGTGAAGGCCTGGGTCTGAAAACATATTCTGCAAAATAAGCCCCTCACTGT
Source organism: Homo sapiens (assembly GCF_000001405.40). NCBI lineage: Eukaryota > Metazoa > Chordata > Mammalia > Primates > Hominidae > Homo > Homo sapiens. The sequence goes on along the minus strand of NC_000005.10, from coordinate 59,946,656 downwards.
TAAAACCTGGCAAATGCTAAGGACTCCACAGCTAGAGCAAATGGCTTCTATAGTTGAATAATCTTTCAATAAAGTTAGAAAAATGGGTGTCCTTCTTCAATGCATAGCATGTTGGGAACCCAGGATACTTTAGAAAGTCTCTTGGTCCAGCACTCCGACTTGTGAAAGACAAATATTGTCATACAATGCTTTGGCTGATCTCTTATTTCTTGTCAACCTAAGGTACAGTGGGTATTAAACTCTTTTAGCTTCCTGAAGACAAACTAATTCCCGACCTCCCTGTAATAATTGCTGAACATGGGAAGTTTTGGGGTCTGAGTTTTAATTCCAAGTAATTCATTATGTCTGTCATTGTCTGTGGTAGGTTGCTTGCCCACCACTTTGCCAGTATCATTATCTGTGACTTGAGGCAAATGGTAAGGACAGCTTGTCTGAGTCTCAGCACTTGGGTGGCAGATGTGACAGAGATAGATAAATTGGCCAGAGTGAGTATTTTAAACCAGAATACTGCCCCCAAGCCCAGTATGGGACCATCTACAGTATGGAAGGCAGCTCAGACATAGGTCAGTTTGTTCAGGAGACCACACATTATGATCTGTTGAGCTGTTCATCATTTTCACTTGAAAATGAGGGGTGGCTGTTTTTAGGCTGTCAGCCTCAGATTTGAATTCTATAGTGATTAGGTGGTGAAATGGCTGCTCTCTGCAGACTGCTCAGGGGCTGTTAGAGCTACACAATTGCCCTAAAATCAACAGGAGCAAATAGCCTCACCAAACCAGCCTTGAGTCATTCCTTTAAGTGAGGGTGATTAGGAGGGTCAGCTATTTTTAAGAAAGAAATTCAATAATCAGTCTGTCCAGAGACTCAAAATTATTTATCATGGCATTTTCCAATGTCACCTTTCCTCACCATCACTTTGTTGGCATTAGGCTTTGAGACATGGTTCTCACCAGCAAGATGGTTATTTTTATGTCTTATCAAGGTCTCTAACAGGTCCTATGACACGCAAATGTTAGAAAGGAGAATAAAGCAACAATTGAGTAAAGCAATAGTACAGTGGGAAGAGAGACAGGAAGATGATGTTGCCATGTTTTAGTTTAATATAAATTGTTAATATCTTTGTCTCAGTCACTGTATAGAAATAAAATATTTTCAGATTAAAAGATCCTAGATCTTCATTGAATCCTACCTCTCTTAACCTCAGCCCTTTTGGAAAACAGCACAAACTCCAAACTGTAATTCAAGCTCTAAAATAAAAGGCTGGGCTGGATCCAAAGTGTTTTCAATATTTTTCTGGTAGATTTTTACTGGTTTTTCATGAAAAGCACTTAATTCAAATATTATTCTTCCATCTTTTAATGTTTTAGTCAACAGTAAATGATACTCTCTTCTGATATACTCCTCTCAAAGTGGTAGAAGAGTTTGTGGCAAATTGCCATTTCAACCATTTATTCTGCTCCAATAATGCAGTATTGAATACACTGAAGCACGGAAAAATTAACTAAACTACTTTTATGCACTTTCAAAAGAAGCAACAGAAAAACTTGGCAAAGTAATAATAGTGAAATTTTATTGCTTCTCAATAGATTAATATACTTAATAATATCCTAGAAAATGCTGCACTTTGAAATTTTAACATGTAACAGTGTATATCTTAAATTAAAAATAACTGTATAGTCCAGGGTGGTTATTTATACTTTATATAGTCTATATTCTTTGTGAGATTTGGGTTTAAACACATCAGAGTTTAAATTCTGCGAAGACTGCAGAGTAAAGAAGATTAAGATGGAGGGAAGGAGGAAGAGCAGGAAGAGGGAAAGTAGGTATAGAGGAAGAAGAGAAAAGGAGATAGTAGAAAGGGGAAAGGAAGATGGCAGGGAGGAAGGAGAAATACCTCAAGTCCATGAGGGGTTAGTGCTGAAGGATACCTTCATCATTAAGTAAAGGGTGAATTGCACTGGGTTGTTTAAAAGCATGCCCAGATACTGCTGGGTGCGGTGGCTCACGCCTGTAATCCCAGCACTTTGGGAGGCCAAGGTGGGCAGATCATGAGGTCAGGAGATCGAGACCATTGTGGCTAACACGGTGAAACCCTGTCTCTACTAAAAATACAAAAAATTAGCCGGGCGTGGTGGTGGGGGCGTGTAATCCCAGCTACTCGGGAGGTGAGGCAGGAGAATGGCGTCAACCCCGGAGGCGGAGCTTGCAGTTAGCCGAGATGGCGCCACTGCACTACAGACTGGGCGACAGAGCGAGACTCCGTCTCAAAACAACAAACAAACAAACGAACAAAAACAAAAAAAAAGCATGCCCAGATACAATCCTAAAGTATGCCCAGATACAATCCTAATGCAAAATTTTATCAGATGGAAAAGTATCAAAAGCTGGAATAAATAGAAAAAGGAGTTCATGAAATGTATTCAAAGAAATTTTAAAAATAGCTCAGGTACAGAATCTGTTAAAGCAACAAAGCAGACACATGACTCTTCTTAATCTTCCACACTTGACTCCACGGCATTAAGTTAACACTTCCTTAGTCTCCTCTGAGTTGAGACAAATTTCCTGAAAGGAAGGTTGACATTCCCTGGACACTTTAAGGATCTGTTTGTGCCTCATGGGTATAGGTTGTAAAAGTTCTTTGCATAGATATGTCAGCATTTTAGTGCATTGTTTGGCTCCAAGTGACCTTTCCTCCCTGCATTTCCTCATTTGCCATTCATCTTCTTGCTTCCCTTCGTCTGCCATAATAGTCCCTGGGGTATAGTATAAGTGCTTCTAGGGCACTCCTCTAACTGCACGGTTATTGTTACTGCACAATTAAAGGACTTAGATATTGAAAAATGGTAGTGTTTGGAATTCTGCAATCTCATTCCTTAGGGGCAGGGAACAATTGGAACACCTAAAAAAGGGTCAGAGTCCAGAACCAGATTCAGGAGAGAGTTCAGCTTTCAATTGGGTTGGTCCATTTTTCAGTGCTGCCCGCACGAGCTGTCAGTTGCTGGAACTGCAGAGTATTTCAAGGAAAGGCGCGGCTAAGCAGAGGTGAAATCTTTAGACAGATGAGTCTCAAAGAGGAAATTATGCAGAAGCCAAATGGCTACAAATGGTACTGAGGATTGAAACCTAAACTATAAGTGAAGGTCTCTTCCCTAAATGATACACTCAGACTTAACAATAAGCTAATAAGGTGGTTCAATAAAGAAAATGTGGGTCTGATGGAAGAGTAGAGAGTTTAGAAGGTGAGTAAGAGATATCTATGATATTAGCTTGGGTGTGTTTTTGGTATTGATGCCATTGTGTTGGGAGTACAGCAGAAGGACAAAGAACTCCTTTAGCAACTTGGCCTGCAGTCAAATAGGCCAACATTGGAATCTGAGCTCCACTGCCTTCTTCACCTGGGACTAATCACTTACCCTCTCAGTCTCCTCATCTGTAAAAAAAAAAGGATAATAATAATAATAATTGTTACCTTTGGAAAATTACACCTTTCTCTTCTGTACCTTTAACCTTTCTCTCAACTAGATACTTTCCATGAGACTCAAAATACATTCAAGTGTCTTCTGCATTAAAAACAAACAAAACAAAAACCTCACCTTCAACCACTTATTTCCCTATGTTAGGGTTTCTCTTGACGTTTGGGGCTAGATAATTCTTTACTTTGGGGCTGTTCTGTGCGTTTTGGGATATTTAGCAGCATTCTTTACCCATGAAAATATTGTGTCCCTCGCCCCACAAGTTGTGGCAATCAAAGTTGTCTCTAGACATTGCCAAATATCTCCTGGAAAGATGCCCACCCCCCACCCCAGTTAGGAACCACTATTCTAATGACTGCCTCATCTCTTGTCTCCCTTGCAAAGCCACACTTGCCCAGTTTTGCCTATTCTCTCTAGCTATATTCCTCACTTCCCTATCACAGCCGATCCTATTCTAGTCTGTCTCTTGTTCCCATTTTACCAATAAAATCATTTTTAGTAAGAAGAACAATAACCTGGATAGTTCTAAATGTAATGAATATTGCAATTCTTCTCTTCCTTGATTTCTCACAATTTGAAGTGTGTTCTTCTCCTGGCTCCTCTGACACTATTCTCTCTCGGCTTGATCTGTGAAGCCTGGGTCTCCTGGAATAGCTGCAGCCTTTCTCTCCACTTTCTTACCATATTCTCTCACTGTGTCCAGGACACTAGCTCAGACTTTTTCAAATGCTGATTAAAGGGCTTCCATGCTGACAGAGGGCAAACCTCACAGAGCAAGCTTTTCTTAAGCTTTTGCTTATATCACATTTGCTAGCACTCTCTTGGCCAATGCCCAGAGTCACATGGGAAGAGCCTACTGAAGGCAGAAATACAGAGAGAGAAGACTTTTGGCATAACATCTTGAGGGCTTCCTTTAACCCACTCCCCAGTAAAACTAGTGAAAACTATGATCAAACAAATAAAAACTCCAAGCACTTAAATCCTCTGGAAATGATCCTAAGGACAAATAGCAAATGAAGAAACATCTATTCAAGAACATTTATGAAAATTCAATAAGAAAGGCAAGCCTGTGGTATTTAAACCAAGACTGCTCCCTCTCACCCCCTTCCAAGTTCAGGGAGATGGAGCTTCCATTCCAGGCTGGTGCAATCAAGAACACAGAGCTCTCTCCCCTCCAGCTGGAAGGTTTCTTCCTGGAAGGAACAGAACTTCAGTGTTTCTCATCCTGGCCATAGTTACCCATTGCTAAGGCTAAGCTCTGGTGAATACAGTAGAGAGGTAGGGGCTTCCTCCCCTGCCAAATCCCCCATCATTGAATGGAGGGGATACCTTAGGCACTGCATGCTAAGAATACAGAGGCCTCATCATCCTTGCCTGGCCTCCTGAGGTGGGGGTTCCACACCAGGAGAGATAAATATAGAAGATATTAGAGTGCTGCCACCTCCCAACTAAGCTAAGCTCCTAGAGTGGGAGTTTCATGCAGTCATGCAGGAAGAACCTCTCCATTTTCTCCACCTCCATCTTGAGAAACATGGCTTAGAGATTTTGCCTGGTGGTGGCGGGGGCAATAATCCATCATAAAATAAATATTCTTAATCTCTTCCCAAAGGGCATGGCTTCATTTGCAACAAAGTATGGAAAAGTTCAAGCCTTAGAGTGCGCTCAAGAACAGTGGAAGCTATGGTGAAAGGCAATTGGGAGGAGAGTCAAGATACAGGCTAAATTGCAGACTAGTTTGCAGGAGAGAACCAGAGAAATAACACAGCTGGGAGGAGCCCTGACTTCGAACTATTTCTTCAAAGGAGACACAATTCGATTGTATTAGTGTGTTGAACAATATAAGGTTGTAAAGCACTGTTGAAAATAACACAGCAATTGTTCACCAATTAGTGGAGTTGAACAGCTGAATGTGGTTAAGGAAAGAGTGAAGGACAATCACACGAACATCACTCTCATGCCGGCTGGGCTGTCTGTGGACATACCCAAAGATGTACCTCCCTGATAGCAAACTCAGTGACTTAACTGAGGGAAATTAACTCACCTGACTGTGAAGGAAATATACTTATTAAAATAATCCAGCCCCTCACTAAACAACCAAAGAATAATAGCAAGCCCTGGGTGGTGGTAGGGGGAGTAAGAAGAGTTGCTACAGTATATTATCTGCAATATCCACTTTCCAACCAAAGATCACAAAGCATGGAAAGAAACAAAAAATATAACCCATACACAGGATAAAAGAACCAGATGGCAGAAACTATGGGTGAGAGGGACCCAGATGTTGGATTTAATAGAGAGATGGAGAGGAGAATGAATGCAGCCAGTGTGCAATGTGTCATGTCCTCTAAATGTTCAAGTCCCTCAAGTCATAGATCCACCTATTTTTTCTCAAGTTAATATCTCTACACCTAGTTTTAATTCCCTGTCATGTATACAGGACTCACACATTTTATCTTCAACTTAGGCCTTCCCTCTGAGCTCCGGACCTGTGTATCATTCAGCCTTTTTGAAATCTCTATCCATATGTCTCAAAGGCACTTTTGATTAAATACTACCAAAAATTAACTCCCTCTATCTCCCAGTGTTCTCTATTTCAGTGAATGATACCATCAAACATCTACTTTCAAAATCAAAACTCTGAGATAAATCTCTAACAGCTCCCTGCTTATCACCCCACCCCATCATATTGAAAACCAAACCCATTTAAATACCTTTCGTTTGTGTCCTCCTCTCTCTACCTCCACCACCAGTACTGTAGTGTAATCTGCCATCATCTCTCACATGGATTACTGCACAAGTCTCCTATCTGGTGCCCAAATTAGGAGCACCCTCCTAACTGGTATCCAATCTAATCTCTACACTGTAGCCAGAAAAAATCCTTTGAAATTCAAATCTAATCATGGTATGTGCCTCCCCCTTCTTCTATGGAGACCATAGGAAAGAAACCGAAACTCCTGTGGTGCTTGAGTTGATGCTAGTAACCTCTAAACCTCATTTCATGCCTGGATCTGTCACTTCCTGAAGCTCCATGATAAAGCACAGCCTCCTCACCCTCCAAGTGCGGGGGTTCTCTAGTTGTCTCTTCCAGGTGCCACCAGAGGGACTTCTCTCATAAAAGGCCTGTGCACCCTATGCTCTTTCTCTCTCTGTTATGGACTTCCTTCCAGAGAGCTGGTCCCCATTCCTTGATATGGGACTGTCCACTTGTATGAGTAATAAAAATCCTTCTCTGATCATACCAAAGAATTGGTGTCATGAGTTTTTATATTAGAAGCTAAACTTGAGAGGGAACTTCCCCATGTCACAGTGAAGGTGTGATGATACCCTCTTTCTACCATCTTTAAATTCTTCCGTCGCTTCCATTCCATTTTCTCTTAGGATAAAGTTCACAATCCTTAGGTTGGCCTACAAGGTCCTCTACAGTTAGGTACCCCCGTCTGCTTTCCTTCCTTCCTTCACATTAGTTATGCTCCCCACTGCCTGAAAACATGCAGACCTGCTGCATCCTCTACCTGAAATACTCTTCTCCTCACCCCTGCCAGACTTTACCTAATTTGCCCTTCGTTTGTCTTTGTAACACCGCTCAGAAATCTCTTCCTCAGAAAGGCCTTCTCTGACACCTCAGCACAGTCCTCCTCACGAGGTCAGATGTATTTTTTCTTCAAGGCACTGACTTTGGTTTAAAATTTGTATTTATTCATGTAATTATTTGGAGTGCATTTATCTTCCTCACTAGATATAATCACCATTAGCTCAAGGGCTTTATATGTTTTGCTTGCCATTGTGTCCTCAGTGCCTAGGCCATTCACTGACCCACAGTAGGTGCTCTGATAAATATTTGTTGAGTGTAGAATAAATGAAGACCCTTAGAAGCATAAAATATATAATCTCAAAGCAGAAGATACTTTAGTTAGAATAAGTTAGGTTCAACTATATTAACACTCCTTACTACACACACACATAGCTACACTCATCAATTTTGGTGGCTTACACCAAAAAGGCTTATTTCTTGTGCACACTGCATTCTTGTGCTTTAACAGGATACTCCGCCCTACCTCATCTTTATTACAGACCTTGGCTGACGGAGGCTACCACTTGGAATATTGTCTATTTTCAAAGTCCAGCAGAAGAGAAGTTAAGAAGGGTTTCACTCTGGCAATTAAATATTCCAGCTAGGAAATGACATACTTTATCTTCATATACAATCCATTGGCCATAACTAGTCTCATGGTCCTGCCCATTTGTAAAGGGGAAATAGGTAATCATCTCATGCATTGAGGAGGAAAGAAGAATTAGATACATGTGACCAGTAGAAGTCTCCTTACTGACATTTTAATGTAGAGCTGTATGTGATTAAAGTTAAAATTGAATCTGAAGGGCTGACAGAAAAATTCAAGAGGATATGATATTTAATAATTGAACGAGGCTGAAAGATGAAATTTGGACAGATTGAATGGGTAGGCCTTGCTAGCAGGAAAGACAAAATAAACATAATCAAGAAGTATGTATGAACGTGTGCCCAGGGCAGTGAGGAGTGATCAGCCTCCTTGAAGTGGAGGATGTGTGTCAAGGAACCAGAGGAGATGATTAGAGTGGCAGACCTGATTATTAGCATATCCATGCTTCTGTCTGAAGCCTTTTTGGCCTATAATGTAGAAATATCCTTGGAGTAAGCAGTTCAGCATATGGTTTTAGACATATAGGTCATCTTGGCTGGATTGCATATTCTTCATTTTTAAAATTCCAGGCTGTATTGGTTGATATGCAGTCCAGAAAGAGCTGGATCTGACTTAAGAAAATAAAAACTGCTTTAATCCCTCTTTTCAGCCCATTGTCTATCCATTAGCAGGTAAACACCAGTGTCCCTGCAAGTGTGTGAACTGAGCTTCCTTAATTTCACCTTTAATTGGCACTTCTAGTGACTTAACTGAGTGAAGAGACCCTTAGCAATGATACAAAGTGAAGGATGGTATAGAATAATAGGTTTTCTGAAAACCTGAATGCAATTGAAGGGTGCTATTTAATAAATCTGTCCCTAGAAGCTAATAGCACGTAGTCAATACAATTTAGCCTATTTTCTCCCATGTTACATTTGTTAGTTGTACTGGTTTTGGAAAAGGAAAAGTCATGCTGTTACAGTTCCACTAATAGAAAACAGATAATTTGGGAGGAAATTAGATTGGAATAAAAGCACGTTGTTAAACAAGAAATCACAATAAAGTATTGAGTAGAGAGAAACCGTTAATGGAGACAGCTATGTCATACCTAATATGCCCTCTTTTCATTGATCCTTAGAGGAAGCATAAGATCGCAGCTAAGTATGGTCTCTTGAGCCAGCCTGCCATGATTCAAATTGAAACTCCATCATTCACCACTGTGTGACCTTGAGAAAGTTATGTAATCATTCTTGGATAGTGATTCTTACTGCTATGGACAGATTTGTGTTCCCCCCAAATTCAAATGTTGAGGCAACTGTGTGAGGAGAGAGGGCCTTTAGGAGGTAAAGTTAAATGAAGTCATAAATGTAGGGTCTTAATTCAATAGGATTAGTGGCCTTATAAGAAGGGGAAGAGTTTTCTCTTTTTCTTTCTCTACTTGCCTGCACCAGGGAAAGTCCTTGTGAGGACACAGTGAGAAGGTAGCTATCTGCAAACTGGAAAAGAGTCTTCACCAGAACCTGACCATGCTGACACACAGATCTCAGACTTGCAGCCTCTAGAACTGTGAGAAAATAAATGTTGTTTAACTACCCATTCTATGGTATTTTGTTATGACAACCTAAGCTGACTAATACACTCACCTATAAAGCAGGGATAATAACAGTGCCTATATGATAGTGTGTTTACAAGGATTTAATATATGTTAGTTTATATTATTTTATGTCCATATATGTTAGCGTATATATTATTTTATGTCTATCTCTAATTCCTCATTGAGGATACTTAAGAATTCTACTTTCCATGTTTGACAGACCTGGTTTGGATTTCAGTTCCACCTCTTGTAAACTCTATTACCTTGAGCCAGTGACTAATGTATCTAAGCCTCCATTTTCCTATCTGTAAATGGGGATGATAACTAGTGCTGCTTGTCTCTTCAGGTTGTTGTGAGGATTAAAGGAGATATGCATGACAATTCATCTGCCAGGTAGTAAGCATTCCAAATATGCTATTTACTGCCATCATTAGAGGTTTGCTGAGCTTCCTCTTTTGCATTAAGTAAGAGACTATTCTCTCCAGAAAACTTTGAACTACATGATGGAGGAACAAATAATAGCAGTTTCTCCTCAACCTTGGAACTCTAAAAATGTTTTTTCTAAGCCATTCTTATCTTTATTTTGTCATTAAAAGATACATGCATTGTGCATTTTGCTTTTATTTAATATATGCCATGAGTGTCTTTCTCCCTATCATGATGTCAATGTTACATTACAGATTCTAAGGAGCAGGGGCCATATCCCTTAAACATGATTTATTTAAAATAACAATATAGGATTGGATGTGACTACTGCTTTTGCAATGAAACTGAAAGATGGGAGAGTGAGATTTTTCTCACAGCTATGGAGTGGCAGACCTGAGCACTAAAATCCAGTCTCAGAACCCAGTTATTATCTCACAATGTGAAGGCAGGAATCTATAGACAGATTATTGAACATCTCATGTATCATATCATGTATATCATTAAGCTTATATGTATGACAAAATAGTATTTTGTGCAGCAGTGCTTCTCAAACATTAATAAATGAATCACCTGAGGATCACATTAAAATTCAGATGCTGATCAGGGAGTCTAGAATGGGACTGAAGTGCTGCATTTCTTTTCTTTTTTTTTAGACTTTAAGTTTTAGGGTACATGTGCACAACATGCAGGTTAGTTACATATGTATACACGTGCCACGTTGGTGTGCTGCACCCATTAACTCGTCATTTAACATTAGGTATATCTCCTAATGCTATCCCTCCCCCTTCCCCCTACCCCACAACAGGCCCCGGTGTGTAATGTTCCCCTTCCCGTGTCCATGTGTTCTCATTGTTCAATTCCCACCTATGAGTGAGAACATGCGGTGTTTGGTTTTTTGTCCTTGCGATAGTTTGCTGAGAATGATGGTTTACACCGTTGGTGGGACTGTAAACTAGTTCAACCATCATGGAAGTCAGTGTGGCAATTCCTCAGGGATCTAGAACTAGAAATACCATTTGACCCAGCCATTCTGTTACTGGGTATATACCCAAAGGATTATAAAACATGCTGCTATAAAGACACATGCACAGGTATGTTTATTGTGGCACTATTCACAATAGCAAAGACTTGGAACCAACCCAAATGTCCACCAATGATAGACTGGATTAAGAAAATGTGGCACATATACACCATGGAATACTATGCAGCCATAAAAAATGATGAGTTCATGTCCTTTGTAGGGACATGGATGAAGTGCTGCATTTCTAACAAGCTCCTAAACGATGCTAAATCTGCTGGTCCTCAGACTACTCTTTAAGTAACAAGGATATAGTTGGTTTTAGCAATAGTGACTTAAAGATTTTTTGCTATTTTTGTTTTTATCTACCCATTTTTGTATTCACTAAAATGTGTTCTGGATGCAAACTTCTTTAATACAAAGGGAAAATAAATTAAAAGCCAACTTTGCAAGAATTGAATTACACACATTTTAAACTTAAAATGCTTCGGTTCATTTCTCTGTATGTTGTGTATTCCTAAATCATTCACAATGTCTTTATTTTTTACCCCTTTTTTATCAAATGAGGAAGTAGTACTCCTCTGACTTTTTTCAGTTTTTATCTTCCATAACACATTAAATCACCTCAACCTTCCTAAAAAGCTCTCCTTGTTTTCTGACTTTTACTGTCTTGAGTCTCCATTTCTCAACCCCTAAGTCATGCCCAAATCCTGTTCTCTGACATTTTCTCATCTCTCTTACTTTCTTCTCCTTGGGAACTCCCATCCACTGCCACATATTCAAACATTAAATTCAGCTCTCTATACACTTCTGCATCAGTGTCTTTCATTCCAAAGTCTTTTCTAAGTTTTATTCTTCTATGCCCAATGGATTGGATACTTATGACCTCACAGCCCTTTAAACTCAACATGTCAAAAACCAGAATTCATATACTTCTTACTGTTAGGCCCCAAGCCATCTGCCCACAACCACCAGGTTATATTGTTCCCTTTATCAAAATTTTCAGTGATTATATTTACGGTGGAATAAATTTTTAACTCTTTATTCTGACATTGAAAATTGTCGTCTCTCCAACTTCAATATTTTTTTGTACCTATATCTTCCATTGCTTTTAAATATGTGGTTGACTTAAGTTTGCCTGAATCCTGTTTCCAGAATGTGCCTGGAAACTCCCAACCTCCATGCCATTTCACTCTGAATCTAAAGATCTCGTACCAATCTTTGCTTATTCAAATGTTGCATATCTTTTAAGGCCTACACGAAATGCTACAACTTTTGTGGTATATTCTCTAATCCCTTACCTGAAAGTGATTGGTCCCTCCTCTGCACTGCTATAATGCATATTCTTTGCTATTTAGAAGACAGCCCATGCTGCACTATATATTATAGATCTATGCAAATATCTGCCACTATCTGAAACTTCAAGGCTCCATCTCTTCTCCATTATTCCTCCAAACACCACTCACAGCAGGTTGTTGTCAGTAATAAAATTTTATTGAAAGTTTTGGGGATTATGCAGGGCAATTATAGCAGAAGCAGGAATCAACTGGAATTAGAGTGATAGAACCACAGCCCTTAGACATGTATCAGACACTCCCTGACCAAGTCTGTCCATGGACACAGAACTCCTCACCTCCAGATACTTCCTCTTGCATCTCTTCTACCAGTATCATAACCCTCACAAAAATGACAAAACTCAATGCCTTTTACTTCGTTATGCAGTAATTTCCCCTCTTTTGTTACTGTTTAAACTTTCCAGCGCTTTGAGAGGCCAAGGTGGGCGGATCACCTGAAGTCAAGAGTTTGAGACCAGCCTGGCCAACATGGTAAAACCCTGTCTCTACTAAAAATACAAAAATTAGCCAGGTATGGTGGCCAGTGCCTGGAGGCTGGGGCAGGAGAATCGTTTGAGCCTGGGAGGCGGAAGTTGCAGTGAGCTGAGATGGTACCACTGCACTCCAGCCTGGAGGATAGATTGAGACTCTGTCTCAAAAAAAATAAAAAGAAAAAGAAAACCCTCACCTTCTATAATCAAATAGGTTTTTAAGTGTTTTCCTAAGCTTGATAGCACTTCAGTCTCTCAGAGGAATTCTGCAGTCCTGCAGTTGTCTTGGGTCAACCAGCCAAAAGTTAACTAATTTGCATAATGGCAGCCCCATAAAATGCGCAAAATTATTATCTTTTATATGAATGCTTATTAATATATATATATATATATATCTCCTTTTACATCTATCTAGAAAACGTTTTAAGGGAAGAATCATATAGCTTCAAACATTTTTGTTAATTACAATATGGAAGAAAAGAGAGTTCAATTCCTTAATCTATCATGTGTGAGTTAGGGGACTTTAAGCAAGTTATTTTCTTAGGAATCCTGTTTCCTGACCTATCAAATGAATGTAAGAATAGCTACCTCACATAAGTGTGAGGACATAGATAATTTCTATAAAATCATTTAGTTAGAGTCTTGGCACATAGTAGGAGCCCTGCTCTCAGTACAAGTTTAAAATGTCTGTTGAATGCTAAAAGATTACTCCATTGAGCTTTTTCAAACTTTAAAGTGAGTATAGTGTTTCACTGTAGGATTCCAAAAGCTGTTTGATGCTATGATTTCTTTCTCAACATCATGTTTACTCTGAAGACATTTCCATAGTGTTCTACCCTTAATTGAACAGAGATAGGAAATCACGACTTTAAAACTTTCAGCGTTAAGAGTAAATGACACATTAGTTTAGAGACATATCAATAATTATGGAAGTATCTTCTCAAACTGTAATGTTTTCCTCTGCCTTAGTGCTAGCAATCAAATCCACTGAATTAATCTGAGCAGGGTCAGGACTTTGAACCTGAGGAAAATCACTTGAATTTGAGGCATTAAGTGTGCAGTACAAGGTGTTCCAGCTACAAATTTTCTGAATCCTATTTCAAAGCAATGGTGCAGGAGACCAGATAGCCACCTCAAAACTTCTGAGTCCCATAGTGTTTTGGTATGGCTCCAGAAGCCTGTTGCTGCCCCAGAAAAGGGAGATTTCACCATTTCTAAAGGGTTAGCTGCTCCCTGGGGATGACAGATAGGTGGCAAAAATTGGAATGTAGAAATTTTCCTTATGTTCTAAAATTGCACAGAAATTTTCTAGGGAAATATTCTTTATAGATTTCCCAATTTTGTTGACTAATCTCTTCATCTGAAATGTTTCCCTCCATGTATGAATTTTCTCTCTGTCTTTCTAAGTCCAGTGTAGAATCGATTTGGTATCTACCGACTTTCCAGATTCCTCCAAGTTGGGATAAATCATCATTTCCTCCTCTGTGTTCCTAGTGCATAGAAATAAAATCATTTATCACAATCTTTGGTTACTGATGATGGTGGGGAGGTCTTTACAGTGTGATGGCTTGAAGTACAAAGTACAAACTTGAAAGTCAGATTACCACTTACTTTGGACCTTAGGCAGGTTACTTAACCCCACTCTGCCTCAGTTTCCTCACCTGAGGACTTAATAATAGTAGCTAAGCAAATGAACTTACTAATAGTAGCTACTTTATGATTTTTATTAGGATTAAATGTAATGGTGCATATGAAATTAGTAAACAAGAGTTGCAAAGTAGAAAACTGTCAGTGAATGTCAGCTCTCTCTATTATCCCTCAGAGACTCCTCCTGCCACTTTAGGTAGAAAGCTCCTTAATAATTGTGACCATAACATGTTTATTTCTTTGTTGGTATAGTCAGTGCTCAATACATTATCTGTTGAGTTGAACTGCATTTTTGACAGGAGACAACTTAAGTTATAAAAATCCTATTTTCTATTTATACTATCATAAAAGTCGTGATGGCTATGCTTTTAACACTTGACCTACCTGAATGTGGATGGTTTCTAAAAGTAAAATACCTTTTAATGCTGTTTAGAGTGTATGGCAGGATCAGAAAGGCATATGTGCCATGGCTTGAATATTTGTCTTCTCTAAAACTCATGTTAAGATTTAATCCATGGCCGCGCCCCACAGTGGCTCAGGCCTGTAATCCCAGCACTTTGGGAGGCCAAGGCGGGCAGATTACGAGGTCAGGAGATCAAGACCATCCTGGCTAACACGGTGAAACCCCATCTCTGCTAAAATCACAAAAAATTAGCCGGGTATGGTGGCAGGTGCCTGTAGTCCTAGCTACTCAGGAGGCTGAGGCAGGAGAATGGTGTGAACCTGGGAGGCGGAGCTTGCAGTGAGCTGAGATTGCACCACTGCACTCCAGCCTGGGCGACAGAGTGAGACTCCGTCTCAAAAAAGAAAAAAAAAAAAAAAAAAGAAGAAGAAGAAAAGTGTCAGTATAGAGAAGTGAGACCTTTAAGAGGTGATTGGGTCATGAGGGTTCTGCTCTCAAGAATAGATTAATTGATTTCTGGATTAATAGGTTTTCATGGGATTGGGACTGGAAGGAGAGGAAGAGAGACCTGAGCTGGCATGCTCAGTCCCCTTGCCATGTGAAACCTTGTGCCAACTTTGGACTCTGTGGAGGGTCCCCACCAGCAAGAAGGTGCTCACCAGATGCAGCCCCTTGACCTTAGATTTCTTAGCCTCCGTAACTGTAAGAAAGTTTCAGGTATTCTGTTATAAGCAACAGAAAATGGACTAGGCAGCATGTAAACCAAATTAATCAACATACACAAATTTTTGTAGCACTATTTTACTCTTTTATATAACAAATAAAGCCTTAAAACAAATACTATTTTGAAAGAAACTTACATGAAATGGTCATAAGCATAATTTAAACTTTAAAATTACATATGTAAAGTTTTCATTGTCCAAACATGTTGATAGACAAAATGGAAAAGATAAATAGTTTGTACAGTTCTCTCTTCTTGAAAAGTATTGCTTTGATTAAAATTCATATTGTCCCAACATTGTTTAATTCATAAATAGTAAAATAAATATGGAACATTTTTTTCAATGCAGTATTTGTTTTCCTTGAAAGCTTTCAAAAGGGAGAGACAAGAATCCCCAGAATATTAGAAATCTTTCATATTTTTATTACAATCACTGTAATCCTGAATATTTTTTTCTAGCTTGAAGCCTAAAATTACCAGTACTTTAATATACAAGATGAAAGTTTGTTTACTCATACCACTGCATATTATTGTTTGAAACAATCATTTCTGGCAATAGTCATACCTCTGCGTATTATTGTTTCAAACAATCATTTCTTTCAATGACTCTAAATAAAAAATTCCTGCTTCTCTTTAAAAAGACAGTGGGAATAAGTTTCTCTCCTTGAGCAATGGGGCCCCTACTCTGCCTGGTTTTCTTCCCCTTTCTTAGCACAGACACCACTGGAAGAGCTGAGCCCTCATTTAAGATTGATTCTATATTAGTTTCCTAAGGATTCTTTAACAAATGACTGTAAGCTGGGTGGTTTAAAACAACAGAAATTTATTCTCTCACAGCTCTGGAGGTCAGAAGCCTAAAATCAAGGTGTTAGCAGGACTTGTTGGTTCTGGAGACTTTAGGAAAGAGTCCTTTCCTTGCCTCTCTCCTTGCTTCTGTTGATTCCAGGCATTCCTTAACTTGTGGCATCATAACTCCAATCTGAGTTGATGGAAGTAGAGATCTCCATCAGTACATGGTCTTTTTCTCTCTCTGATTCTCTTCACTTCTTCTGTTCTCTTCTAAGGGCACTTATCATTGGATTTAAACTCCACCCTAATCCAGGATGATTTCACCTTGAGATCCTTAATTGAATTACATCTGCAAAGATCCTTTTTCCAAATAAGTTCACATTTACAGGTTCCAGATGGACATATATGTTATGGGGCCGGTTTTTTTTTTTTTTTTTTTTTTTGGAGACGGAGTCTCGCTCTGTTGCCCAGACTGGAAGTGCAGTGGCACGATCTCGGCTCACTGCAAGCTCCGCCTCCCGGGTTCACGCCATTCTCCTGCCTCAGCCTCCCGAGTAGCTGGGACTACAGGCGATGGGGCCGATTTTTAATCCACTAACAGGTACCTTGAGACTAGGGCTCACTATACTTTGGTCAGAGATGCTCTAGGCATGAAGATTATATTTGCATGAAGCTAACATTTTTTCAAGACTACGTGATTGCACTGCTCAAACTTACATTATGGTTTCCAGAGACAGCTAGAGCTTCCTTGTTCATTAACTTTGAAAGGAAGCATTTTCCCTGGGAAGAGGTGCCCAAGCCTCTTTTGTAAGGTGGGCTTGTCTTAGGCAGTAACTAAGCCTAGAGTCAGGTCTACTAATAATCCATTAAGATGCTGTGTTAGAAAAATCCTCTCCAAATATGATGGAAATAAGTATGTATAAGAAGTATTTCACAGATGAACACATTCCCACTTTATTAACCAAGTGCCTGTGTGCTTGCTTAAATTTTTCACATTTTCAGACACTTAACATATTATAGAAAATAACATCCAAAGAGAACATGATGTTTAGCTTTTTGGATTCTTTGGGATAAAGAGCAAACCAATTTTGAATTAAAAAAAAAAAGACTGTAGATACCACATCCTTAAATAACTCAAAAGTTTTGTACCAAAGGCTACTTTTTAAAGTTGAATCAAAATGAAATAGGTGTGAACACCTATGTTTTGAGAGGCAGAGAAATTGGTTTTTTTAAAAAAGTGGGAATAAGTGAGTATTTTTTAAAATTGAAAAGGGTGTAGATTGGGTTCCTCAGAGATTGCTAAAGCTGATATCATAAATTACCTAAGGACAGGGAGAATGAAGTGAATTGTGTAAATGTCTACAATATTATACTTTTCTTGCTTATACTAAGCTAAACTAGTATGGATGACATGTAGTAAAAGTTATAAAAGGAAATTCATCTTCACCTGTGTACATGCAAAACTGCTGCATTTGCAGATTAAGTCAAAATTATATATAGAGAGAGACACACACACACATAACACACACACACATATATTGAAAATCTTTAAGTACATCTAATTTTTTATGACTCAGAAAAGAATCCTTATTTAAGCCCTTTTTACTACAGCAAAAAATGTTAATGTCCATTAAATTAATGGACTTTGCTCTGATTTGGGGATGATAATTGCAGAAATGAGTAGGGATATATATATGATCTAATATATAGAAATGGATATATAGAATATATATGTATATAGAATATATAGAAATTTCTAATATATAGAAATTTCTAATATATAGAAATGGAGCATTTTAAGGTCTGGAACTTTGGGGCTGTCAACAGTTATAAGAAAATATAAAGAGAGATATATACAGAGAGAGTAATAACAGGTAGTCCCAGGAGTAGGACAGGAGATTAGTGGCCCAGAATCAATACCATATTTGTTCTATTTCATCTTTTTGCAAGACAAAATAGATACCCAGGGGGCTGGGGAAGGTGACCAGTAAGTTACTTCCATTATTTTCTTTTTCTTTTTCTTTTTTTTGAGATGGAGTCTCACTGTGTTGCCCAGGCTGGAGTGCAGAGGCACAATCTCGGCTCACTGCGACCTCCACCGCCTGGGTTCAAGTGATTCTCCTGTCTCAGCCCCCCGACTAGCTGGGATTATAGGCGCGCACCACCACACCTGGCTAATTTTTGTATTTTCGGTAGAGACGGTGTCTCAGGATGTTGGCCAGGCTGGTCTCAAACTCCTGACCTCAGGTCATCTGCCCACCTCAGCCTCCCCTATTACTTTCTTCCTTTATCCTTTTCTACTGTTTAAAAGCTCAAAACTTGTTGAAACTCCCTCTCCATCAGATTCTGTGTGCCCAAAGAACTGTCCTTGGAGGAGAGTTTCAAATGTCTTTCATTTTAATGTCTGGCCTTGGTGATTGTTTAAGAAGTCCCCTGAATGAATTTTTGGGTGAACTCGGGGCCTAGACTGGCTCAGGAAATCTGGCACTGAGCCCCATATTTACTTTGGCCAAACACAATACTTGCTGTGCAGCCACATTCACTATGCACTGCTCACACCACGCAGCTTGAGAGCTTTGTCCCTGATTCAAATCTGCTGGGTATTATTCAGTCTGAAAATTTACTTTTACACCAAGCATATAAACAAAATGAAATACAGTTTAAGAAATCAGCTCATAACATTTACAATTAAATTCATTAATCAAGGCAGCTTATGGAAATGCCACATGTGAACTGTAAACTTTATAAATATTCAAGTAGTGAACAACTAGACAATCACATTGGCAGCTTTGTTTCAGTATAAGTGATGTAGAATATTACCATCCATCAGCTTGCAGTTTTGTTTTAAAACTTGTTGAACCATGTATATCATCAAAAAGAACTTTTGGTTACATTTCTGTTTCCATATGTTTCCCATTTACCTTCCTCTCTAGATTTATGTGCCTTCGTACTAATTAGCACCTGCACTGAATTCAGAAAGCAGCACTTGAATCAAACCAAGTCAAGCTGTCTGTGAAGGAAAAAAATACCAAGTTCCAAGATTTCTTGTTAATGGAGATGAACAGTACACTTTGTTGATGTTCTTATTCACATGTGTCTTCTTAAAGTATGAGAATTTAGTATATGTTCTTTCAGTATATGCAAATATATCCACATGGGTATTTTCAAACTATGCTGCAGTGTGCTTTGTCTGGTTACCAGTTTTTATTCTAGTACAAGAATGCAGGATGTTATTCGTCACATTCACACTATATTAATTTAACCTCCTAGGTCTGGGAGGAGAGAGGAGGAAAATTAAAGGAGGCCCAAGCTTTGCATTTGAGAGAAAAAGTGAACTGGGTCTTGAAAGATGTCTTAAGAAACAAAAGAGAGAAAGAAAATAGAGGAAATGTTAGAAGTTGAGGTAAAAGTGTGTCATGGAGTAAAGAAGAGCATGGAGAGAATACTATTAGTCAAGAGAAACTGCAGCTCAAACACTCAAATGCAGAAGCATCATAAACAAGCTAAATTCCACTCTTCCTTTAGTTCATGTGTTTTGGTCTATGTAAGCTGAAGACAAACTCTCCTTTTTCCATGCTCCCATACCTCATAGAATGTGTTTGGAAGTATTCTCTCCTCTTCTATTTTTCAGAATAAATTGGGAAAATTGGTATTACTTCTTTAAATGTTTGGTAAAATGCAGCAGTGAGGCCATCAGATCCTGGGCTTTTCTTTGCTGGGAGACTGTTTATTATTACTTTGATCTCATTACTTACTATTGGTCTATTTGGATTTTGGACTTCATGGTTCAATCTTGGTAGGTTGTATGTGTCTAGGAATTTATTCATTTCTTCTAGCTTTTCCAATTTACTGCCATGTAGTTGCTTATAGTAGCCTCTAATGATACTTCTAATTTCAGCAGTATCAGTTGTAATGTACCCTTCTTCATCTCTGATTTTATTTATTTGTGTCTTCTTATTAAGATGCTATGTTAGAAAAATCCTGTCAGAGTCTGGCTAAAGGTTTGTCAATTTTGTTTATCTTTTCAAAAAATCAACTTTTTATTTCACTGATCCTTTGTATTGTTTTCTTCATTTCAATTTCATTTACTTCTGCACTGATCTTGATCATTCCTTTTCTTCTGCTCGTTTTTGGTTTGGTTTGATCTTGCTTTTCTAGTTCTTTCAGGTGCATCATTAGGGTTTTTTGTTTTTGAAGTTTTTCTTCTTTTTTTGATATAGGGTATAAACTGCCCTCTTATTACTGCTTGCAACTGTACCCGTTAGGTTTTGGTATGTTTCTGTTTCCATAACCATTTGTTTCAAGAAATGTTTCAATTTCCTTAATTTCCTCATTGACTCACTGCTCATTCAGGAGCATATTGTTTAATTTCTATGTGTTTGTTTAGTTTCCAAAATTCCTCTTATTGATTTCTAGTTTTGTTCTATTGTGGTCAGAGAAGATACTTTCTATTATTTCAATTTTTTTTAATGTTTTAAGACTTATTTTGTGGCCTAACATGTGGTCTATCCTTAAGACTGATTCATGTGCTGAGGAAAAAAATATGTATTCTGCAGCCATTGATGAAATCTTCTGTAAATATCTATTAGTTCCATTTGGTCTATCATGCTGATCAAGTCCGATGTTTCTTTGTTGAACTCCTGTCTAAATGATGTGTCCAATGCTGAAAGTGGAGTGTTGAACTCTCCAGCTATTATTGTATTGGGGTCTACCTCTCTCTCTAGCTCTAATAATATTTGCTTTATATATGTGGATGCTCTAGTGTTGAGTGCATATATATTTACAATTCTTATATCTTCTTGCTGAATTGACCCTTTTATCCTTATATAGTGACCATGTAGTCTCTTTTTATAGTTTTTGTCCTGAAATTTATTTTGTCTGATATAACTGTAACTATTCCTGTTCTTTTTTGGTTTCCATTTACGTGGAATATATTTATCTATCCCTTTATTTTCAGTACATGTGTGTCTTTATCAGCGAAGTGCATTTCTTGTAGGCAACAGATTGTTGGGTCCTGTTGTTTTATCCATTCAACTACTCTGTGTATTTACTGGGGAGTTTAGTCCATTGATATTCAATATTAGCATTGGTAAGAAAGAACTTACTCTGCCATTTTGTTGTTTTCTGGTTGCTTTGTTTTCTTCTTTCTTCTTTCCTTCCTTCCTGTCTTCATTTTAGTAAAGGTGATTTTCTCTGCTAGTATGTTTTTAATTTCTTGAATTTTATTTTTTGTGTATCAGTTGTATGTTTTTTGATTTGAGGTTACTACAAGGTTTAGAAATATCATATCATAACTGATTATTTTAAGCTGACGACAAATTAAAACTGATTGCATAAACAAACAGACAAGGAAAGAGAAAAGTAATAATTTTACACTTTTACTTTGTCCTCCTACTTTCTACTTTTTAACTTTCATTGTTTCTTTTTTTTTTGAGATGCAGTCTCGCTCTGTTGCCCAGGCTGGAGTGCAGTGGCGTGATCTTGGCTCACTGCAAGCTCTGCCTCCTGGGTTCACGCCATTCTCCTGCCTCAGCCTCCTGAGTAGCTGGGACTACAGGCGCCCACCACCACACCCAGCTAATTTTTTGTATTTTTAGTAGAGACGGGGTTTCACCATGTTAGCCAGGATGGTCTCAATCTCCTGACCTCGTGATCTGCCCGCTTCAGCCTCCCAAAGTGCTGGGATTAGAGACATGAGCCACTATGCCTGGCTGTAGTTATTATTTTTGATTGGTTTGTCTTTTAGTCTTTCTACTCAAGATATTAGTAGTTTAAACATCGCAATTATAATGTTATACTATCCTGCGTTTCTCTGCATATTTACTATCATCAGTGAGTTTTGTATTTTTAATTGATTCTTATTGCTCATTAATGTCCTTTTCTTAAGAAATCCCTTTAGCATTTCTTATAGGACAGGTCTGTTGTTGATGACATATCAACTTTTGCTTGTCTCAGAAAGTCTTTATATCTCCATGCATGAAGGATATTTTTGCTGGATATACTATTCTAGAATAAGAGGTGAGATCTTTTTTTTTTTTTTTTCCACACTTTGTGTATGTCATACCACTCTCTGCTGTCAGACATTTTGGAGCGCCACTATATATTATTTGTTTATTTTCTCCTGTTGCTTTTAGAGTCCTTTCTTTATCTTTGACCTTTGGGAGTTTGATTATTAAATGCCTTGAGGTAGTCTTCTTTGGGTTAAATCTGCTTGGTGTTCTATAACCTTCTTGTACTTGAATATTGATATAATTCCCTAGCTTTGGGAAGTTCTCTGTTATTATCCCTTTGAATACACTTTTTATCCCTATGTCTCTCTCCACCTTCTCTTTAGGGCCAATAACTCTTAGATTTGCCCTTCAGAGGCTATTTTCTAGATCTTGAGCTTGTGTTTCATTTTTGTTTGTTTGTTTTTCTTTCTTTTGTCTCTTCTGACTGTGTACTTTCAAATAACCTGTCTTTAAGCTCACTAATTCTGTTTTCTCCTTGATAATTCTGCCATTAAGAGACTCTGATGCATGTAAATTACACTTTTCAACTACAGAATTTCTGCCTGATTCTTTTTATTTCAATCTATTTGTTAAATTTATCTGATAGCATTCTGACTTCTTTCTCTGTATTATCTTGAGTTTCACTGAGTTTTCTCAAAACAGCTATTTTGAATTTTCTGTTTGAGAGGACACATCTCTGTCTTTCCAGGATTGGTCACTGGAGCCTTATTTAATTTGTTTGGTGAGATCACGTTTTCCTTGGTGGTCTTGATGCTTGTGCGTGTTCATCAGTGTCTGGGCGTTGAAGAGTTAAGTATTTAGTGTAGTCTTTGCAGCCTGGGCTTGTTTGTACCTGCCTTTCTTGGGATGGTTTTCCAGGTTTTCAAAGAGACTTGGATATTGTGATCTAAGTTTTTGTTCACTGCAGCTATGTCTGCATTAGGGGGCACCCCAAGACCAGTAATGCCATGGCTCTTGCTGACCCATGGAGGTGTCCCCGCTTGGTGTTCTTGAATAAGATCCAGAAGAATTCTCTGGATTACTAGGCAGAGATTCTTGTCCTCTTCTTTTACTTTCTACCAAACAAATGGGGTCTGTCTCTCTCTCTGTCTTGAGCTACCTGGAGCTTGGGGAGGGGTGACACTAGCACCCTTGTGGCCACCACCACTGGGATGGCGCTGGGTCAGACCTGAAGCCAACACAGCATTGGATCTCTCTCAAGGCCTGCAATGACCAGTACCTGGCTACTGCATATGTTTGCTCAAGGTCCTAAGGCTCTACAATCAGCAGGTAGCATAGCCAACAAGGCTTGTATCTGTCCCTTCAGGACATCAAGTTCCCCTTTGCCCTAGGAGAATCCAGAGATGCCATATGGGAGCCAGGACCTGAAGTGAGAAATCTTAAGAAGCTACCTGGTGTTCTATTTTACGTGACTGACCTGGCACCAAAGCTATAAGACAAAGACCTCCCCGTTCTTCCCTCCCTTTTCTAAAAGCAGAGGAGACTTTCCCTGAGGCTACCACCACCCTAGACCTATGGCAAGTGCTGCCTGGCTACTGCCAGTGTTTACTCAAGATCCAGTAGCTCTTCAGTCAGCTTGTGGTAAGTGAAACCAGGCCTGAGATTCTCCCTTCAGAGCAGTGGGCTACCCTTTTGCTGAGGGCAGGTTCATAACTGCTGTCCGAGAGCCAGGGCCTGGAATGGGAGATCCCAAGGGCCTGCTTGGTACTCTACCCTACTGTGGCTGAGCTGGAGCCTAAGCTAAAAGACAAAGTCCTCTTTACCCTTCTTTCTCCTTTTCTCAAGCAGAAGCAGTCTTTTCCCATAACTACTACAGCTGGGAATGTTCTGGGTCACACCTGAAGCCAGCATTTCTCAGTCTCACCCCAGGCCCACAGTGAGTACCACCTGGCTATTGCTGCTGATTATTCAGGGGCCAAGGGCTCTTTAGTCAGCAGATGATGAATGCTGCCAGGACTGCTTCCTTCCCTTCAAGGCAGCAGGTTCCCTTTTGGTCCAGGGTATTTCTAAAAATGTCATCCAGGAGGTAAGGCCTGTAATGGTGGGCTCATGACTCTGCCTTTTGCCCTATCCTACCATGGATAAGCTGGTATCCAAATTGCAAGACAAAGGCCTCTACTCTTCCCTCTCCTCTCCTTAGGTGGAGGGAAGGAGTCTCACCTGCAGCTGCAAGCTGCTCTGCCTAGGGTTGGGGGTGGGGTGGCACAAGCACTCCTTTGGCTGCCCCTGCTAGTGTCTCACTAGGTCACATGTCCCCCATAAACACTAATTCTAAACCCATCCCAGCATCAGTACTTGCCCAGGAATTTCAGTCTTTGTGGCTTAGACTGTCGTTCAAGTTTATTTAGTACCCCAGAACACTTTAACTTATGGCAGTGAGGCTTGCTGGATTTCAGATTCTGACTGCTGGAATGGGCAATTTCACTCTGGCTAGGGCTGGTCTATATTCTCCCTCCACTGGCGCTAGCTGAGTTCTGCCCAGTGTTGCTTTCCACTGTGACAGGGCAGCACTGAGTTCCAAAGCAAAGTCCCCCAGTCGCTGCACTCTCCCTCCCCCGAGCACAAAGATTCACTCTCTGTGCCACGTGGCCACTGCTGACGCATGGGGGAGGGGTGGCATCGGCCATTCAAGACTTTCTTTCCTACCCTCTTCAGTGCCTTTTTCACTGATATATAGCTTAAACCAGGTACAGAGATTGCTCACCTGATTTTTGGTTCTTAGATGGTACCTTTTTGTGTGGATCATTGTTAAATTTTGTATTCCTACAAGGAGGATGATTGGTGGAGGCTTCTATTTGGTCATCTTGCTCTGCCTTTCCAAAATAATTTTTATTCTGTAACATGTTGCCCTGTTACCCACAAAATTGATAAACCAGACTTCCTTATCTTCACCCAGGTTGTTGGTTAAAATGCAAAATTAGAATTCTGGATGTCCTTTGAATCATGTTTCCAGGTTAATCTCAAGCTATTAATCAATACTGTCTGAGTACAGTATTTAACCAGCAACCAGCAATTAATCTACCCAAGAGACTATCATCAACATCACATTTCAAACAACAAAAATCAATGATATGGTTACAACAAAAATCAGTGATATATTTAATAGTCCATGTTTTTTTTCTATAAATCAATATTGCGTATCTGGCACTGTAGTACTCATATCTATCCCATTTCTTTTGTTGAAATTCTCAATAACCTCAACTTTTGATTTCAAATGTTAGGCCTTATTATATTTAATGAGAATTAACACTACTTAATAATGTTCATATTATATGAATGGCCATTATGCTGTTTTCGTGTTTTAAAAAAAGTTTGCAAAAAACATTAATTTTTTGCCTAAATTATTTTGAACATTAGACATGTTATATTTTAGCAACCCTAATAATA
Source organism: Homo sapiens (assembly GCF_000001405.40). NCBI lineage: Eukaryota > Metazoa > Chordata > Mammalia > Primates > Hominidae > Homo > Homo sapiens. Next base: position 59,921,208 of record NC_000005.10, on the reverse strand, counting down.
ATAATTTTTAATTATTACACTTAATATCCTGCCCACTTTGAAATATTGACATCATAGAGCTTATGTATGAGACAGGTAATTAAGTAGTTAACATTTAGTAAGGATGTTTTATGTGGCAGGTACTATTCTTAGCATTATACACCCATTACCGTACTTAATGTTCACACCAACACTATGAGGTAGACACTTTTTTTAATATACTTTAAGTTCTAGGGTACATGTGCACAACGTGCAGGTTTGTTACATAGGTATACATTGCCATGTTGGTTTACTGCACCCATTAACTCGTCATTTACATTAGGTATATCTCCTAATGCTTTCCCTCCCCCTCCCCCCTCCCCCCACCACATGACAGGCCCCAGTGTGTGATGTTCCCCTTCCTGTGTCCAAGTGTTCTCATTGTTCAGTTCCCACCTATGAGTGAGAACATGCAGTGTTTGGTTTTCTGTCCTTGCTATACTTTGCTCAGAATGATGGTTTCCAGTTTCATCCGTGTCCCTACAAAGTTATTATCCTTTCCAGATGAAGAAACTGAAGTTCAGAGAAGTTAAGTGGCTTACCAAAAGTCACACGACCAGGATTCAAGCCTGGATAATGTGGCTCCAGGGTCTGTTCCCCTAACCACTATTTCATAATAAGGACTATCTTCCAACTAACTCTGTATGTTACATACTGCTAGTTCAAAGCCAGGTAGACGAAAAAATACTCCCTGTTTCAGCTGAAGAAGGTTTTCCAATATATTTTTAGCTGCAAATATAAAATACCACAAAGCCAATTTACATTAAAGGAGAATTGTACATTCAACACATCAGCATTTCCACAGGATTGTAGAATAATATATTAGAACAAAAATAGTGTTTGTAATAGAAATACAGTTATTTTACTTTGGAGAATGGGCTTGGAAATGGCAGAGATAAGAATTATAAGTTATTTATAATTAGCTTAATAATTTCGGTATTCTTATCTGCAGCCATACAGAGTTATGTGAGTTGTGAACTGGGATAGGACATTAAAGCTGACAGGGTTACATCTGGATCAGAAACAAGACAAAAAAGATATGCCTCTTCATGAGCCTCATCAATGCCCCAGCATATATTGTTATTGCTAGCACAACATTAGGGTTTTGTCTAAATTTTACTTATGGTTTTAGTGTATTTTAAAATATTTAAACAATAAATTTTATTTTACATAATCTCAATTCAAGATTTCATACTTATATCTTTTGTTATCAGAGAATATTAATTAAAATTTACCATGTACATAGAAGAAATAGATATATAATATGCCTCATTTAATAATAGGGCTATGTTATTATAACAAAGCATCTGCTCTGTCTTTCTCTCAACAGACCAAATTAATCTTTGCCACATTATTCCTTGGACATTTGAGAGGTTAAAATATATGCGCATATACATGTAAAACCAATTTGAAAAATAAAAGTTCCCAAATGTTTATTCAGTGTCTACTTTGTGGCAGGCACTGACCTGAGGGCCGAAGAAAAATAGGGAGGGTCTTTCCCACAAGAAGGAAGAAAAGGAACAGATGGTGCATGATTACCAGGTTCAGTGGTTTGCATGGAGTGCTCTTCAAGCACTGATAAAAAGTGTCTAAATCAGATTAGATGGAACAATGTCAGATATGGCTTTTAGAGGATGTGAATCTGACCTCAATTTGAGAATGGGTAGTAGTTACCTACATAGGGATGACCATTTATGCATAAAGTACAGATACAGTTAATCCCACTTTTTGATAATGAGGGCCTGGAATTCTTTCATATCTAATGAAAGAATAAACCTCCTAGAAAGTCCATGCAGATTGTATGGTACACATTTTAATTGGTGCCTAAGAATGACTGTAGTTGGAGAAAGGAAGGTGAAAACTGAATAATATTCTTGAGCTGAGAATATTTCTATAGCCTTACTTTAAGCACACATCTTAAATCCAGGCTAAAACTCTTAGACTGGCATTGGCAATTAGCTATTTCATGGATATAAACTAAGGAGACTTGACGTTACCAACCTGCTTGGGGAGTATTTTGCTGAGTCTATCCAACTGTTATCAATTCGAGAACAATACTTTTTAATTTGAATCAACCTGTTTTTTTAAAAAAGGTTTTGTTTTAACTAAATTCATCTGTTCTCCCCACAAAAAGCCAGTTTGTTTGTACTTACATATCTCTATGTATACATGTATATATTTTTGAGTCTGCAATATTCTTGTCAGAATAATTTTGCTTCCTTGAATATTTCAACTATTCAAAAATTTACTGGGTTAAAACAACACACACTTACTATCTCACAGTTTCCAAGGGTCAGGAGTCTAGGCATGGCCTAGCTGGTCCTCTGCAAGGCTGCAATCTAAGGTCACTAGGGTTCAGTTTTCATCTGGAGGCACCACTGGTGATGGATCAACTCCTGAGGTCACTCATGATAATGAGAGAATTAATTTCCTTGCAGCCGCAAGACTGACGGTCGCAACTTCTTGGTGGCTGTTACTTATATCAGAGGTTACGTATCAGAGGTTACATTAGCTCTTAGAAGCCATCCTCAGTTCGCTACTACCTTGCCCTCGCCATAGACCCTTTACAACAAGCAGCCTGCTTCTTCAAATCCAGCAAGAGAGGAAGAGAGTGAGTTTGCTAGTATGACTGGATTTTATATAGCATAAGCATAAGAGTGACAGGGCATCACTTTTGCCACATCTTATTTGTTAGAAGCAACTTAAAGTTCCTGCCCATATTCAAGATGAGGAAAATATAAACAGTTGTGAATACCAGGAGGAAAGAATCATGAGGGTTACCCTGATATCTGTCTGCCACATCCCAAAAAGAAAATCTATTTCAGGCTTTGGTATCATTTGAAAGGTTTCCAGATAATCAGGTAGTCAACATTAAATAATTGTTTGAATGACATTTAACTATTGCACAAACAGGTGCCTCTTTAAAAAAAAAATACACACACATATACACATACACTTTTTTAAAGCAGAGTCCAAGTGTGCCAGTAACTGACTTGAGTATAAAGCTTATTTTTTTAATGTTATTTATCTTTCAAACCATAACAGAAAATAATTTTATTTCAAATGATGGTTATATATTTTTATCATTATTAAATATAATACTATTTTTCTCCAAATTTATCCCACAAATTTTCTCTTTTTTGTGTAATTGATTGTGTATAGTATAAAACTATAGGTCACTAGTTTTAGCAACTGATTGAATTTAAACTGATTATGTGTTTGGATTTTCTATATAAGCTAATTTTAATTACATTAAATGTTTATAGCAGTTTGTAAAAAGAGATGCAATCGTAACATTTTATTCTATATTATTTTAATAAACAATCTATTTTTATATAACAAAATCTATAAAGATATTGACAAGAATATTAGGTTATATTAAATGTTTACAAATGGTCTTTTAGATTAAATAAGTTGCATTGAAATAATGTGCTTCAGTCTTTCAAATTCATTTTAACAATTTGTTCAGCAAATATTTTATTAAGCAAGTGTCAAGTATGTACTAAAAGCTTACAACACAAGAGCAACCAAGTCACATATTATTTGAAGCCCTAAATATTCAGGGCTATGTTAGAAGAGTATTAATATGAAATAATGAATAAGGACATTAAAAGTCAGAGAGTTTAATTGATATATTATAGGTTATAAATTTAGGGATCCTAAAATTGGGATTGGAGTCCAGGTCTTCTGTATCACAGTTTACTGGCCTTTCACTACCTCTTGTAGCTCTTAAGTAATAAGTTGCCTTCATTTGTCAGAGAGGGTGATCAGTGCCCTGCAAAGTTCTTTTCATGAAGCAGTTATAGCTTTGTGTTGATCCATAGACTCTCTGGTTTGTTCCCCATTGAGACCAGCTAAGCCATGAGTCACAAGCTGATGGTTAGAGTTCAGCTTGGAAACATGAAACAGAATGAGGTTAATGACACAGATCAGAATCAAGCCTGTGACTTTGTTTTCATTAGTATCATGCTCTACATAAATTTGCTAGCCAGTCGTAGATGTCAAAGTAGAATTCAATCTATACATTAGTTTTTCTCTTCCTCCTTTGACCTCCAGCCGTGTAATGAAAGACTTCTTCAAGAAGGATGGCCGGGCATGGTGGCTCACACCTGTAATCCCAGCACTTTGGGAGCCCGAGGCAGATGGATCACTTGAGACCAATAGTTCAAGACCAGCCTGGCCAAAATGATGAAACCCCCTCTCTACTAAAAAAAAAAAAAAAAAAAAAAAAAAAAATTAGCCGGGCATGGTGGTGCACCCCTGTGGTCCCAGCTACTTGGGAGGCTGAGGCAGGAAAATTGCTTGAACCCAGGAGGTGGAGGTTGCAGTGAGGTGAGATTGCACCATTGCACTCCAGCCTGGATGGTAGAGTGAGACTCTGTCTCAAAAAGAAAAAAAAAAGGAATCTATGTAGTTTTATAGATTTGCAAAAAATACTATATTCCCAATGTATGCTGTGACTCTTAAAAGTATTTACTAAATGTTGCCAATATCTAGAACCATCTCTTAAAAAATATTTCAAACATATCAGTGTTAACAATTAATGGTGAAACAACAATGTGATTAAATGGTGTTTTAAGTAGGTTTTAAAACCAAATTATATGTACATTGCATTGGCTTGTCAGACTCTAGTTATTAAATGCATCGATTTTACCCTGGGAACACTCTTATTTCCCTACAGTTTACCTTTTAATAAGTGCAGTTGGCACATGTTTTGACCAGAGTTATTATATGTCTTATTGTTCACTGTATGTCTGGGACTTTTTTTTGTTTTGCATGAACTTGGCAGCAAATTCAAAACTTTTCTCACATTAATAAAGCTACTGGTTAAAATATGTCAAGGGCAGAGTAGCTCATTCTTGTAATACGGTTGTATATACACACACCTTTGTTTTGTTGTTATAGAAAATGCTAATTAGTATTTCCTGATGACATGTGAGCTTGTTGCATAGATTATTTTCCACTTACCTTAGGTCTTGGTGTATTAGGCAGGCTGCGAAGCACAGCTTGCAGGGGAGGGCCACCATTGTCCTTTTCTCCTTCAAATATTATATAAAAGTTCAGGAAAAAAAGCATTCTCATAGATTATATTTTGTGACTGACTACCCGTATTTTGGGGTTTGTGTGGTGTGATGAGTAGAGATTAAATAATGGAACTAACTTGGTTATAGATAGTTCTGGGGACTAGGAGATTAAAGACAATAACAGATGTGGGGAAAAATTACTTTTGTAGAAATATTCAAGAGAAATTATTTCAGAGAAATAAATGTATGTTTCATGTTTAGTTCAATGTTATTTTCAAAGGATTATGTACAAGAGAACCCCCACTGTATTTTTTCCGGAGTGATGATGTTCCTGATAATTTATGTCACCAAAAAGAAATGTGTTCTAAATAAATGAAAATTACCTTTAGAAAAATACCTGATTTACTCATACTTCCTATTAAGAGTAAGACACGAATATGAGAGGGAAAAGTAATACAATCCTGACATAATGCAATGCCTTAGTCCCTAGTGAGGTAAAATATGTGATACATATATGTTTAATGGACATTATTGTGAAGAATACAAGAACAATGACAGTTATTTATATTGCAACTTAGAAAGGATACAAATGAATGGTTTTCTTTCTCAAAACAAACTGTAAAACTAAGGCAAACCATTTTCCTTTCCAAGGTCTGCTGAAGCTGACAGCTGCCACAAAGCTTATTCCCAGTGTTCTCCAATATGTAGCCACAACAAGTTGTTGAGTCCTCTTAAATAACTAATGTCAGTTATTAATATAAACTTTAGAGTACTCTTAATTGTGATTGCACCATCTCTTTCCTTGGTTTCTGGGACCATTTCTATTCTTCTTCCTATGGACTCACCTTTCTTCAGTGTCCTTTTCTGATTCCTTCTAATTTGTCCAATTCAATCCTCAGACTGTTCCATTCTGCCCTAGCTGGTCATCCATTGACTGACAATTCACAAATCTATTTCTCCAGCTTCAGCCACAAAAGAGAGTTAATATGTCCACTCTAACTCAGAATCTCTATAGAGAAATGTACAAATTATACTCAAGGTAGACAAACACAAGTACACTATGTTTTTGTACTCCACTTGAAGCTTTAATAGATTCTCTCCAACTTAATCTGTCTTAAAACAAACTCTGGATTTACAACCTTCAAACCTGCTCCTTCCCCAGAAACCCCACTTCACTCAATAGAAGCACTATAATTTGGGTTGCTAAGACCAAACATCTTCAATTTCTTTTCCTTTCTTTCCTTTTACACACATACACACACACACACACACACACACACACACACACACACACACACACCCCTATCAGTAAATTATAACCAAGCCTTAACTATACTTCCCCTTCTCCTACCTACTTCTTCCACGCCGGGCCAAGCCAGTTATCTTTCTTAATTGTTGAAATAGCTTCCAATCTGCTATATGTATCTCCACACTTGCCATTCTACCGTCTGTTTTCAACATGGCAGCCAGAGTATGATCTTCTTAAAATAAAACTCAGACCATGTCACACTTCTCAAAACCTGTCAAAGGCTTCCATCTCATTCTGAATCAAAGTTAAAACCTCTTCCCCCAAACACACACACACACACACACACGCACATGCACACACACACACACACACACACACACATACATCTTCCTGGCTTTGTCTTTTCTGATCTCTCCCTCAACTTGCTCCAGCCACACAGGCCTCCTAGTTGTCTTGCCCTGCCCCACAGACTTTGTCCTGACAATCCTGTCTGCCTGTAATGCATTTACCTAGCTTCCCTCAGGTCTCTGCTCAAAAATCACCTCAACAGAGAGGACTTTCCTGACCACATCTTGTAAAATTGCATACCTCCCTCTCCCAGGCTCCTTACCTTTCCCAGGCTCCTTAACCACCCCCCATCTTTGTTTTTCTCCACAGAACTTATTATCACCTGATAAAATATGTATATTAATTTGTTGTCTATTGTCTACTTTAAGGATGACAGGGATTTTGTAATATTTGTGCCATAGTCTAGCACCTAGGACATGTAGTAGTTATTCATATGTATTAAATAAATAAGTTATATGAAATATATCATTTAACAGCTGTTTGCACAAGTGGGAGTCAATATGTCAATTTCAACTTAGAATTTCTGTAGAGAAATGTACATATTCTACTCAAGGTGGCCCAGACTATTCTTAAACCATATTTAAGAAGGTGAAATAGAGATATGATTTGATGGTTTTTATTATTATATGGTTTTCAGTATTGGATACAGCAGTGCACAAATTATATTAAAACTACAATTAAAAACTACAATTTCATGCCAAAAAAACCCTGATTTTACTCTGATCATCCTTCAAGGCTGTTGTTCTTGATTCTAGCATTGATATTTCATGTTTATTTCATTACATTTTATACTATTTTAAAATATTAAATATTTAAAGCATATATAAGCTATTTTCACAGTTGATTTGCATTAAGTGGAAGTTAATATGTCAATTCTAACTCAGAATTTCTAAGTAGAAATATACATATTATGCCTGAGGTAGACAAATACAAATATACTATATTTACTATACCATGACTATTTAGTATCTTTAATCCCATAAAAATTAATTACCTGACTTATTTCCACCAAAGCTCTTCTAATTAAAGTTTTGGACCACAGTGAAAGAAAATAAGCTTTAATTTATATGTATTAAATTTTGTATATCTTCCTTTTTCTCTCTCCAATGGAAGTCTTATGAATGTGTAATTTAGACATGTTTGTCTAGCTCTCACATATATGAAAGGTGTTACTGTTAGCTTTTCTAAACAGAACATTGTAACAACTGCCACACCTACAACCCCATTCAGCCAGAAGTGCAACTCCCCAAGCTTTGGGAATTTTCTACTAAAGGACTTGAAAGAGTCAATGTTTCATAGTTAAGTTGGGATTAAGGAACCATCTTGACCACAGATTTCTGAATTTTTTTAGTATATAATAATCATTGGCAATTATCTTGTCCAATACCTTCCATATAAAAATAAGAAAAAATGAAATATTCCTCATGCCCTTGGAAAATTGCTGGCTTAGTTTTCTTTTCCCTGTAATGGCTTACCATCTGGTCATTCAAACTGGGCCAGCCACTTCTCAAGGCTGCCACACTAGCCTATTGCTCCTTCCATGATGTTTTCCCCAATGTTTGTATTTCTGGTTCCTCCATGTCATTCAGTTCTCAGCTTGAAGAACACTTGTCAGGGAGGTCTTCTCTGGCACCCAATCTAAAGCAGCCTTCAGTCACCTACTAGCATATCTCTTATTTTATTTTTCAGAATAACATGCCTCACTATTTCCTTTCTGAAGTGTTTGTTTTTAGATTTATTATGTGTTATTGTTCATCATGGTACATTAAATACAGAGGGTAGCAGCCTTGATTGTTTTGTTCACCACAGTATCCCCAATGAGTGGAACATTTCCTGGCAATTAGTTGGTGCTCAATAATTATGTATTTAATAAATGCATGATGTAATCCTTGTTACTTTTCATATTTGTATTAGTGACTAAAAACCATGAGGGGGCCTAAGAATGTACAACCCAACAAATACAGACTTTCCACCAGCCACATCATGGGCCATTTAAAAAAACACAAAATTAACTGATCTAATTGTCGTAAGTCTTCAGAGTTATATGCCCAGTTGTTTTTGACATTGCCAGACTACTCTTTGATAAACCTGTCAATACAATTAATTTGTTGATAATATGCATATCTCATCACCAAGTGCAGTCTTACTTTCCTGCATCTGAAAGAAGAAAGACAAGAATGCTTTCTGCTTCCTCTTGACATTTTCCTTCCCGGGAAATATTTTCCTCAAGTATTTAAGGTGAGTTACATTAAAATATAGAAAAATTAGCTTAAATCTTTTCTTATCAGAAAAATAAGCTGATCATATTCATTCAACAAATGATTTCTGAGCACCTACTATATATCAGGCTCTTCTGTCATTGGGATTGGTTTCTAATGGAAGGAGCAGATAACAAACAAATAACTAGACGGCAACATTCACGTGTTATTATATCCTTACCACAGTCCTTTGATGTAGGAATTATCATTCAGACTCACACTGCCAGCTGCAGAGTTGGGATTTGAACATAAATTTCTATTAGTTTAAAGCCTCCTCCCTTTGTACTTTATTGTTTGGAAAAAGAATATTCTATGAAAATTTAAATAATAATAACAAAACTGTGAGTCTTATAGGGCTTTAAAATCATTATAATTTATACAAAAAATAAATTATCCATTTAAACAGAGAAATTATTCCTATGTTTTGGTCATAGAAACTAAGTGCATTATACATTACCATAATACATTACTTTAAACATCTAAAAAATGAATTATAGTATAAATTAGACCTCATCAAAAGATCATTCAGTTACATAGTTTATCAGTTATTGTCCAAAGTGTTCTCAGTAAGACAGCTCTAATTGCTTTAAAGTGTTTAATATGGCAGACATTAGATTCTGGTAGGTGGATAAGCCAATCTTTAAGTCAACCGATGCTCCTGTAACTGCCCAGTGGGTTCATTTTGCCTCCTGCCCAGACAGAGCCAATTTATCAAAACAAACGAATTGCAATAGAAAAAGTTTAATTCACGCAGAGCCTGCTGAACAGGAGACCAGAGTCTTATTATTACTCAAATCAGTCTCTCTGAAAATTCAGAGACTGGGGTTTTTTAAGGATAATTTGGTAGATAGGATGCCAGGGAGTGCTGATTGGTTCGGTGGGAGATGAAATCATAGGGAGTTGAAGCTGTCCACTTGAGCTGAGTTGGTTCCTGGGTGAGGGACACAAGACCAGATGAGCCAGTTTATCAATCTGGGTGGTGCCAGCTGATCCTTCGAGTTCAGGGTCCAAAAAATATCTCAAGCACCAATCTTAGGTTTTACAATAGTGATGTTATCCCTAGGAGCAACTGGGGATTTTTAGAATCTTGTGACCTCTAGATGCATGATTCCTAAATCGCAATTTCTAATCTTGTGGCAAATTTGTTAGTCCTACAACAGCCAGTCTGGTCCCCAGGCAAGAAAAGAGTTTGTTTTGGGAAAGGGCTATTATCATCTTTGTTTCAAAGTTAAACTATAAACTAAATTCTTCCCAAAGTTAGTTTGGCCTATGCCCAGGAATGAATAAGGACAGCTTGGAGGTTAAAAGCAAGATGGAATCTGTTAGGTCATATCTCTTTCTCTGTCATAATTTTTTCACTGTTATAACTTTTACAAAGACAGTTTTACTCCTATGATAATCCTTCAGTTAGTTCACTGTCTAGTTCCTGGGAGTCTGTTTTGTGGATCCTAACCCTACCCCAAGGATTCTACTGCATTGTAAATTCTGACTTTACATTTAAGACATGGAGTTCTTTGGGGGCAGGGAGATAAATATCCTATTTTAACTATCAAGGGTTAAAGTGCTTTCAAGGATCTAGTGTCTGGTGGTGATACCAGAGTCATACAATTCAAATTACAAGCATCTGTTTGTTGTGTTGAGAGCAGGGACTGATAAATGAGGCACTTTTTGATTGTGCAACTGGGTATAAAACAGTCAAAATGATGCTTATAACTTCAAGCTTTTCTCCCACTTGAATCAGCCAACAAGATTTTCATACAACATTTAGACCAGAGTAGCTGATGCTTCTGTTTCTTGCATTTTGTCTGGTTTGGGATCAATTTTGTAGTCATGGATGTAGTTATAGCTCTTTGGTATGTGAACATGAGAGAGGTGTAAGCTCATAAAATAAGAAAATCTGTTTTTGTTAAAGTAGACGATGTGCAATTCAGAAACAATGAACCATATCAACTAAATAATGGGTTAAATCAGTAGAGACTTTGTCAATCTTGTATTGATTTAATCATTTCAAAATTATTTATTCATTGTCTATAGGTATGCTAGGAGAATAGTTGAATACAAAAAATGTTCTTACACTCAGGAACTTCACAATCAGGTGCAAAAATGAGACAGGCATACTCACATTAAAAATTAAATGACAATTCAAGAGGCGGCACAGGCAGTCTAGGATAAACTGCCATATGAATAATAGCAACAATAAAGTAGATGAGCTCCCAAAAAGGAAAGATCGAGGAAGGCAGCATGGAAAAATTTGACATTGCCTTGTGTTTGGAGTTGAACGAGTTGGAAGTGAATAAGTAGAGGTTTTTCCACGTTGCAGAGAAGTACGATGGTGGGGGGTATATATGGGGCATTCAAAATGCATGAAACTAGGAATTCGTTTGTCATCTTTAGGAAATTTCAGAAGTAGTTTCTGACCATTTTATGTGGGTCCTTTATTTTCAAGTTTAGACATTGGGATTTTATCCTGAGAATAATGGGGAACCATTGAAGGTTTTCTACAGGGGACAAGGATAGCATGTTGGAATGACTAACCAGATAGAAATATGCACAATTTCTTGAAAATAGGGAGAACGAGAAAGGAAGAAAGCAGAACAGTGGTTCTTGACTTTAATGTGCCACCTAAGGGCCAGGTGCAGTGGGTCACACCCGTAATCCCAGCACTTTGGGAGGCCGAGGTGGGTGGATTGCTTGAGTCCAGGTGTTTGAGACAAGGCTGAGCAACATGGTAAAACTCCATGTCTACAAAAAAATACAAAAGTGGTGGTGTGTGCCTGTAATCCCGCTGCTCGGGATGCTGAAGTGGGAGGATCGATTGAGGCCACAACATTGAAGCTGCAGTGAGCCATGATTGCGCCAGGGCACTCCAGCCTGGGTAACAGAGCAAGACCCCTTTGTCTCAAAAGAAAAAAAAAATCCACCTAAGGAGCTTGTTAAAATTGCCGATTCCTGAACCTTACTCCAGAGATTCTGGTTCAGCAAGTCTGGAGAGGACGCATAATCTCCCTGTTAAGGGTTAGATTCTAAATAAGTGGTCTTCAGGCCACATTTTGAATAATACTAAATTAGAAGGCTGTCACAATAATCTAGGAGTGAAATGGTGAAGGTTTGTATTATAATTTTGGAAGCAGGGATGAAAAGAAAGTGATGGTTGGTAGAGATATAGTGAAGGAAGAATTGATAAGACCTAGAAATGTTTGGGTATAAGAAATCAAAGGGAAGAAATAGTTTTAAATGATATTAATGTATTTATCATATTTGATATTTTTGTTAATGTAACTGGATTTGCAAGTCACTTAACTTACTTTAAAAAGCCAGTGCAAATAAAAATAATGTACAAATGTAAACCAAGTTGAAAATATAAGATCAAATGATGGGTATGGGAATATCTGTAAATAGGAAAGAAATTCATAAAAAATTAAGCTACCACTTTGTGTTATTTCCAAGTGTATTCTAATAATTAGTTTTCCCCATCATGGATTTAATTAATTCTTAGTCAAGATTTCTGGATTTCTTTAATCATTACCTTTTGAAAGTAGATGTAGAATTCTCAATTATCTAAATCTTCCACATTTAGCTGAGAGACCAACTCTAGGGAATATATTAGAGTATTTTCATAGTTCCATCAGACTATGAACCCCAATTCTTAGTTAAGGCACTATAGCTATGGGAATTATAGTCCATAGTGAATAAAATATACAATCATGGACCTTATTTTGAATAGCTTCCAGAACAAACATATGCGAACATCTTGAGGAGGTTATTATGGCTAGGTTCTAGCTTGCATCACTAAGTCATCAAGAATGGGAGACAAAAGGTATAAGGAAAAGTTTTCAGTAGAAATTATAATAATTGTCAGAGGAATTATTTCAGTCTCAGGTTGATGCAAATTTGGGTACAGTGGATGCTGCTTCCACTTGTTTTCGGAAGCCGTAACCAATAATCAAAAGCAAGCAACTTTTCCAAAAGTAATTCCATCTTGTTTTTTAAAAAAAAGTTTGAGTTTATTTAATATCTTCATTTAGACATGTGAACAAATTGTTTGCCTTTTTCATTAATGACATCTGAGTACTTGTGTAGATTGCCTTCATAGTTCATTTGAGGCATAATGCCTCAAATTAGGAACTGGAAATGTTTCTTTTTAAACATGAATATTGCCTAAAATTGCTGAAATTACCAAGTCTTTAATTTCATCAACAGAAGAAAATAGGCAAAGAAATTCAGGCAAATTGAAGAGTTAAAACGTTATGTATAGGTCAGGTTCAGTTCAGTGCAAATAACTGTAATATTCCTTTATGTTTTAAAGGGATGTTTGGTTTGAGAGGGAATGCTTTCACCTTCTGAAAGGGAAGAGGGAGGTCAAATAGTGACAAAAGAATGAGGACTTGGGGGAAGTTTCAGCTAAGAGGACAAGCAAAAGAAGGCTGAGAACAAACAGCAATTTGTGGTGGGCATGTTTGGGAGCTGTAAAGAGAATAGCTCTTGCTTTGGAGTAAACTTCCTCAGTCAGAACTAGGTCCTTGAATTCAGACCAGCTCTCATCTCCTTGGTCCACTCTAGGGCTGATGGAGGCTGCTGAAATCATCTTTTGCTACATTAATACTCATTTTTCGCTCAAAGATGACAAGGAGTATTTAAACGCAGAGAGAATGTTATTTATAAATGATGATTTGTTCGTGATAGAACTTGCCACATAGTATTTTCTCTTTTTTAACTTTTATTTTAGGTTCAGGGGTACATGTGCAGGTTTGTTATATAGGTAAGCTAGTGTGATGGAGGTTTGTTGTAACAGGTTATTTTATTTCATCACCCAGGTACTACGCCTAGTACCCGATAATTATTTTTTCTTTTCCTCCCCCTCCTCCCATCTTCCACCATCAAGTAGATAGACCCTAGTGTCTATTGTTTCTTTCTTTGTGTCCACGAGTTCTCTTAATTTAGCTCCCACTTATAAATGAGAACATTTACTAAATGGATCTTTATAAAAACAGTTTGCCGACCACTAATGAATAAGAAAATATTAGAATAAAAAAGCTCAATGTCACTGATCATTAGAGAAATGCAAATCAAAACCACAATGAGATACCATCTTACTCCAGTCAGAATGGCTGTGATTAAAAAGTCAAAAAAATAACAGCTGCTGGCAAGATTTAGGAGAAAAGGGACCAGTATTCGGTTTTCTGTTCCTGCGTTAGTTTGCTAAGGATAATGTCCTCCAACTCCATCCGTGTTCCCGCCAGTGACATTATCTCATTCTTTTTATGGCTGTGTAGTATTCTGTGGAGTATATGTACCACATTTTCTTTACCAAATCTGTCATTGACAGGCATTTAGGTTAATTCCATCTCTTTGCTATTGTGAACAGTGCTGCAAGGAACATTCACGTGCATGTGTTTTTATGGTAGAACAATTTATATTCCTTTGGGTATATACCCAGTTGTGGGTTTGCTAGGTTGAATGGTAGTTCTGTTTTTAGCTCTTTGAGAAACCATCACACTGCTTCCTACAATGGTTGAACTAATTTACACTCCCATCAACAGTGTATAAATGGTCCCTTTTCTCCTCCATTCTGACTGGAATAAGATGGTATCTCATTGTGATTTTGATTTGCATTTCTCTAATGATCAGTGATATTGAGCTTTTTTATTCTAATATTTTCTTATTCATTAGTGGTCAGCAAACTGTTTTTATAAAGATTCGTTTAGTAAATATTTTAGACTTTGTGAGATATACAGTCTCTGTCATACTCAACTCTGCCACTGAAGTATGAGAGCAATCATTGACATTTACTCATGTAATTACATGGGTTTGGCTATGTTCCAATAAAACTTTATTTACAAAAACAGATAGCGAGCTGAATTTGTCTAATAGCCACAGTTTGCCTGACCCTGTTTCATTGCAGTATGTGCTATTTCTATTGTGAATGAAAAGGCTAGCTTAGAAGGCTAACTACTTTTTCTGGCTTAGGAAGCTAACTACTTTCTCTAGCATAGTTTCCTAGAGAAATAGGTTCTCGATTAAAAATAGATAGGAACCTGACCCACACTGTATCTGGCAAATTCTTTAACTAAAGAAATGTAAAACGCTTTGGAGGTACCTAAATAGTGGCTAAAAATTGAGTTCCAGTGTTTTCTAATTATGAGATGAGGACACATTTTCCTCATCTGTAAATTAGGAATAACAATACCTTCTTCATAAAAAGGCCATGGCTATCAAATGCCATCGCATAAGTGAAGTGCCCACTGCAGCAGCATCTGACATAGTAGGCCCTCCAGTAAACATCTGTTTTCTCCCTTCTCCATTGCCAGGAAACACATATGGAATAGAAATAAAAGTAGAAACAAAGGAGAGAAGAAGGCAGAACTAGTTTCAGTTTTAAAATACAGAAGCTCTTTATCTCACTAAAATATTCATTGCCGGCTTAAAGGCAAAGCCCTATTACTAGTTCAACACAGTTCATAATTTTCAAAAGCACTACCCCTGTCATGGTACTGTGGGAGTTCTTGGTTTTTTACTCCCCTAATTTCCTAAATTATATGTATAACATCATATATGGAATATAATAATGTATATATGCGTGTATACTTAGGTATACATGCATTATTTATGTAACAGATATTGTGCTGAGCATTTTACATCTATTATCTCATATAATCTTTACAGTAACATTGCAAAGTTGATTCTGTTATTTTCATCGATGAAAAAACTGACAGAGAGGTTAATGTAACCCATCTGTGGTTACACATCTAGAAAGTCTTGGAGCTGAAACGGAAACTCAGGGCGTTCTGGCTGTAATGCCCATTCTCTTAATAACCATGATAAATGACATACTTTTAAGAATGAATAATATTTAACTGTGATGAGACTACTGATTTGGTTTAGATTCATCATTTCTAAGTTACTTGACCAACATCAAAGAAGAACTGGGTCAATTAGTCCAATCTGTGGTTTATAATTGGCCAATTAGTCCACATCTTTGAATCTGCACAGGGACCACTTGCACATAAATCTAGATCTACATTTGCCACGCTCCACAAAGCATTCTGAACAATTCACTGTGTTCAAAAATGAGATTTCTATTATTTATGCATGAAGAAAATATGCTGTTTTCCATGCACTGAGCCAGGGGGAAAACTACTCAGCCTTGGTAATATTAGACCATGGATCTTCCATTTATTTTAAATGATAGTGTCATGCTGAGGAAAATAATGGTTCATATCCTTCTTCTCCTTCCTCCAAATACTATGTCAAAACTACTTTGATTAAAATAAATAAAATCTTGTATCACTGTGCCAACTCTGTAAGAAGACAGAGCAAGCAAGCAAACACATTAAAAACTAAGGTGTTGGAGAGTCTGCCGTGACTTGTGAATTCTGTATATTTTTTCCTTTCCTGAAGTTCTTATTTTCTTTTCTTTTACTTACCAAGTTACTTGGAAATTTAACAATTTAATAAAAATAAACAGCATCTTTTCCCAATATTTAAAAAAATGTATTATTCATTAAAAATTTTGCATTCACAAAAAAGTGAATAATTGGGCTCCAATCTGAGTTAGTTTATGAGTGTTCCCCAGGTACCTATCCTCTCTCTTTTGGAGAGAACATGTATTCCTTGAGGACAGATTAAGAAACTAGTCTTCCCTTAATGCTGGGAGCCTCTTTGAAGTCTTATTTACTTCAGATCTTAAGGGAGAATTGTGGTACGCTGAAAAGTATCACATTTGTTATCACTTGAGGAAACACCATTTGATCTAATGAGCTAGACTTTTTCATCTTTCAATTCATGACAGCTATAGCTACATTAGAAATTGCATTTTGGAGGTCTTGGATAATTATCTAAAAATATTCACAAACCCCTTGGAGGCTAATGAATTTAAACTTGGATGGCTAATCCTAAAATGGCTTTATTCCAGCAAAGTGGGAGAGAAACTCCCCTTCTTCTGTTTATTTAAGGTTTCTAGTTTGGGGTCCTGGTTCTAGTTTGGAGTCCTGGAGTTCCTTTCAATGTGTTTCCATAATAGCCTGATTCAGAGGAGTCGGGGAGAAAGAAAGAAACAAAAAGAAAATGCCTTGTTTATTTTATTTACATATATACATACATATCTATACATATGTAAAATGCACATGGTAAAGCATAGTATTTTGCACAAAATCTTAAGTAAAGACAGACTTGGGTTTAGATTTATAATAGGATTTAGTAATACTAATACCAATAACAGCAGCAGCAAATTCTTGAGTGCATGAAATGGATTACTTTATGTAATTTCTGCAAAGTCCTATCATGTATATTTTGTCACTAGTTTATTTTACAGATGAGGAAACTAAGGCTCAGCAAAGCTGTAAAACTTGGCCAAAAAGTCATGCAATTTTTGAGGATTCTGATTTGCTCTGTCTGGTGCTTATACCCATCTTCTTAAATAGAACAATCATGAGGAAATTGACAATGTCCACAGACATAAGACACGCTTGCAGAGAACTAGGTATTGGGACACTGCAGAGAGGCAGGCAGGGAACACTGGCCTGAAGTATGAGCTTTGAAACTGGCAGTCTTCATTGTAATCCTGGCTTTGCCCTTGCTGTCTGTGTGTCCTTGGATGAGTTACCATCTTCTGTGTGCTTCAGTTTCTTTATCTGTACAATCGGGATAGTAATAAACTAATTTTTGAAAACCAGCTAAAATAATGCCTGGTTCATAGTAAACCCAATAAGTAGTAGTTGTCAATTTATTAGGTTGGTGCAAAAGTAATTGCAGTTTTTTTTCTATTACTTTCAATCACAAAAATCGCAATTACCTTTACAACAAGCTAATAGGTATCCTGCCTGCTCTGTCTTATCCCTTTCACCCTTTAGAGCAGCTAAACATTAGACGAGTGCCTCATCCAGAGATTTATTGCAATATTTTATACATCAGAACAGTTTGAAGAACCTGAGATAATATTGAGAAGATAGAGAATTTTTCTCTGTCACTCCCCATCTTCTATTTTAAACTAGTAATTCTCCTCTCTTGCCTGCAAACCCCGCTTCCTAATCCTTAGGCAACTGTCCTGAGTTCTTGTTAGTTATTACTAATTCCTGCTGTGATGTTCGTTGATAGCTACAATGTTAGATGATAAGGAATATTATATTTTAAAGTCAGATATTTGAGAAATAAAATTGCATTCTCACTCCAAGAAAAGTTTCTGCATATCCAAAGGATGTGGGGGATAGATATTTAGGAATATATGTGTGCCAGGATTGGGCAACTCGCAGCCAAAGAATGGAACAGGTTTACCTTGGATTTGAGAGCTACACACACCACTTCACAAAAATTTTTATCTTAATTTGGTATTAACTTTATTTAACTATAAAACTTTAAAACTAAACTTTGAGAGGAGGATGAATTTTGTTTTAAAGATGTTTGTAGTTATTTTTAGCTCAGAGTTCTATTTAGGTTCCCCAAATTTTGTGCTACAACAGTTTTAAAAGTCTGCCCAGTTATTTAATCTGGGGAGATTACAAATACAGTGTTGACGACTGGCCTGCAGCTCTCTCTTCTGAAATGAGATATTCAACTCCACATGGCTTACTGCCTCTTCCTATCCCACTTAGTTTCCATCTCTTCTGCTGGTGATGATGTGAGTTCCCTACCCTGTGGGGTTACAATTGCCCTTATGGTTTTTCTTATACAATATTCAGCATTATAACATATGTAGGTTATAGAGCATATAATATATGAACTGCAATATTATCAATATGTTGTATCTACCTGTGGGCTCCTTCCTTCTCTCAGTTACCATATTTTCCTTCACCACTCACTGGGTAACAACCATCTGAAATTTCATGAATTGCATAACCTTTCCATTTTTAATACTTTTAAAAAATCATATATGTATGTATCCTCTAAAATCTTGCTATGTAAGTATGGTCCACAGATCTATGCATGAACATTGCCTGGGAGCTTATTAGAAATACTGAATTTCAGCATTGCCCCAGACCTACTGAACCAAAATAAGTATTTTAACAAGAATTGCTGTTGATTTACAGGCACATTAGTTTAAGAAGCACTACACCAAAATATATTATTTTGTCTTCCTAGGGGTTGTTTTGTTTGCTTGTTTTCTTATTTGTTTCTTGTTTTTGAGTGTTATAAGAATGACATTCTGTTTGTTGTCTTCTGCTACTTGCTTTGTTTGCTCAACAGGGCATTTTAAGATTCATCCAGGTTGCTTTCTGTAGTTGTTCATGGCTTCCTGATGTAACATTTGTGCTAATAGTCCTTCCTGCTAAACACTTAGTTTGTTTCTAGCTTGTGTTATAGTGTATAATCCTGCTATGAACAGTCTGGTGCATGTCTCCGTGTGTGTGTGTGTGTGTGTGTGTGTGTGTGTGTGTGTGTGTGTGTGTGTGTGTTTGCATGTAAGACATTTTCTGTGCTGTGTACCCAGGAGTAGAATTATGAATTGTAGTGTATGTGAATGTTTACCTTTACCAGATAATGGTAAATTGTTTTACCACCAGCAGTATATGAGTTTTCATTGATCTACATCTTTTCAAATACATGGTGTCATCAGGCTTTTTACTTTTTGCTGACCTAGTGGACATAAAATGTCCTCTCACTGTGGTCTTTATTTGCATCTCCCTGATAACTAATGAGATTGGTCAATTTTTTCATCTATTTAATTACCATTCTGTTTTCCTTTTCTGTGACGTGCCTTTTCATGTATTTTGACTATTTTTCCATTTTTCTCTCATTGATTCATAGGAGTACTTATTTTGAAATAGTCCTTTGAGAGTTACATGGGTTGCTATGTTTTCTTCCAATTTATGACTTATCCTCTCACTTTCTTGATCACTCTTGAATAGAAGTTCCAAATGTTAGTATAGTTTATCAGTCTTTCGCTGTAACTGCTTTTGTATCTTTTAAAAAAATCCTTCCTTGCATGAATACTATAATACTATTCTAATAATTTCAGTGGATGGGTGGTTTAATACATAATTAGAGCTCTAGGATGATATTAACTGAAATATTAAACCAGTCTTCAACTGGTATTCTTAAATAACTCATCAATTGGCATTTTACTTTCAAAAGGCCTATGTTTAATTTCTCCCATTTGTCATCCAGGCAAGATCACAAGTTTTGGACTTAGCTTGACGAGGCTCAAATCCAGGCTTTGAAACAGCAAGTATCTGACCTTAGTTAAGTAATTGTCCCCATAAGCTTCAGTTTCCTCATATGTAAAATAGTTGCTGCTACAATTCTTCTATTTTAAGAAATCCGTTAATTACAATAGTTGAGTCAATTTAATGGGAGCTTTTTAAAATGAGAACTATTAGTTTAAATTTACATTTTCTTAAGTGATTTAAAAATGCATACATTTTGCCTTACCAATGCCTACCTACCACATTACTTTTCATCATCTCAAACTATAAGATTAAATCTTTTCTACATTAAGAATCTAAAGATCTTTATACAGTTTTAGCCTTTGGTAGTTGGGCCTAATTTCAAAGTGACAAGCTCTTTCATGATCTCTTTTACATTTTTGAGATCAAGAGTGACATTTCAAGGCATATTGATTCATTTTTATAAAAAATATAATTATCAACCACAAAAAGTTAAACATCTCTAAAAAGTTAGCTAAGAGCTTGTGACAGATGGACATTTAGCAACTGAGTAATCATTCTTCAGGTCTCACAAATCTGTCACTTTGAAAGTTCTATGACATCTTCTGAGGGATTTGGTAATATCTACTCATTTTAACTGTATTGCTGCTGTGTGACTGGCCATGATTTTATAGACATTTCAATGCTAAAGCAATATGCAGCTTCCAATATCATTCTTATGAATATCTTGTTGCTTTTCAATAAGATATGGAAGTGCAGTTTTTCTCCCAGGAAGAAATATTTTTTCACTTATAGTAAATCTTTGTCTCCTACCCATGTTTTAATTTTCTTCCTATATACAAAATAACTTAGCTCTTCAATGAGGTATTAATAATTATAGTATGAACTTTTGAAGACATTTTAAGTAAATAGTGTATATATATATGTGTGTGTGTGTGTGTGTGTGTGTATATATATATATATATTTTTTTTTGATATGGAGTCTTGCTCTATTGCCTGGGTTAGAGTGCAGTGGTGTGATCATGGCTCACTGCAACATTCACCTCCCGGGTTCAAGCAATTTTCCTGCCTCAGGCTCCAGAGAGGCTGGGGTTACAGTTGTGCATTACCACACCTGGCTAGTTTTTGTATTTTTAGTAGAGACAGGGTTTCACCATGTTGGCCAGGCTGGTCTTGAACTCCTGACATCAAGTGATCCGCCCACCTTGGCCTACAAAGTGCTGGGATTACAGGCATGAGCCACTGCACCCAGCCAAATAGTCTTAATTTAGTTAAGTGCAAAGTTCATCAATCTGTAGCTATATGAATGCAAGTCAGAAATCCAAAGTCCTTACCATGACCAGCATGGACTTCCTTGATCTGTCATTTCCAAACAGCTTTCACCTGACTTCATCCCAGGCCACTGGTTGATTTACTATTCCTCAGCCATAACAAGCTGGCTGCCATGTCTTTGCACTTGATTTTCCCACAGCCTGGAGTGCTGGCTTACTCCCTTGCTTCCTTCAGGCCACTCTACCATTACTCTTTTGGATAAGCCTAACTTGCCAGCCAATGCAAAATAGCACTCCCAAACATCACACTCCAACTTCTTAATTTGCTTCAGTTTGCTTCATAACACTGAGCTCCTGTATCTGATATTATTATTTATATTTCTCTAATTAAAAGAAATGGAATAAACACTTAAGCATCTATATATATATATTTACCACTTAAGCATATATATATATATTTACCACTTAAGCATGCATATGTATATATAAATACATATATATATATGTGCTTAGGTGTTTATTCTGTCTTTTTTAATTAGAAGAGGAGGGCCAGAACTTTTCTTTATTGACTTTTTTATCTCCAGAACTTAGGGTTGGCACATATTAAGTGCTCAATAAATATTGGTTAAATGGCTGAATTAATGTTGAGACAATCAGGTGAACAGGTGTTTTCTATGTAGAGTTAAGAGTCCAACGGGCTATTCTCAACATTGGCAGAGGACTAGCACAGTTCTTTAGTCCCCACTGAAAGACTCATCCTGATCATTATAATGTTAAAATGTGATGAAAAAAGCATACTGTTGCAAGAATTAAATAAAATAATGTATGGAAAATGTTTGCCAGAATCAGAATATCAAATGTTAATTGTTCAATAAATGCAATAAAATTAATTCCATCTGAATCAATCCTTACCCCTTCCTTTCCTGTAACAGTGGAAATGTTGGCTTTTTTCTAGTTTGGGCAAATGCTTCCATCTGTGCCCTGCAGTTCAACGCCCCTCAACCCCATCTTCTCAGGGACAACATATTGTTATTTTCCTTCCTTCTGTCATATCTGTTATTTCTCCCTCTCTTTGCATCCTACTCATCAACTTTAAAACCTGCTCCACTCAGAAGGGGGTCCTTTTGATAATGTATACAAAGTCACTACATTGCCTTTAGGGGACACTGAATAAGAAGTAATTCTTTATCAGGCTTCTGCTTATTGCTCAGCTGTCCTTGCAGGTTTATAGACTTATTTGCCATTTTCTGAATGTCCAATGCCCCACAATATCTCTCATCTCTAAGTTATTGTCTGCGCCAGTCTCTGCCCAAAATGCCTTTACTCCTTCATCTCCCCAAGACGTACACACATTCATGGTCACACATATGTATTCACACATACTGAAAATAGCTAATTTCAATGTGTACTTGAGGTCTTGGCCTCAGATTAGATGCCACTCTCCCTTTGGTGAGGACTCACTGAGCTGTAAGGGTTGAATGTTCTTCCAGCAGACACTACATATCCGCATCAGTATATCTCTTCCCCCCATCTTCCCAAATTATAGTTGCTTATTTATTTATTTCCTCTGCAAGACACAAAACTCCTTGAGGATAGTAATTTTTTGTGCATGTTTGTCAATGCAGTATCACAGTCGTCCTGAGAATTAGCACACAGTAGATAAGCAATATTTTTACCTTGAGCTGACAAGTGGAATGGTATCATTAGAAAGTTACAAAATTGATTTTGTGATACTGAGCCTCCAACTAGTTGGAAATTAGTGTGCTGCTAAATTTGCATTAGTGTGCTAGTCAAAGACAAGGATATTCAAGTACAGCATTTCTTAGTTTCATATTAATTGCATATTTCTGTTTATTTCATATTAGACAAAAATTACTGAAAAGCAGCCTAATATACTGCGTTGGAAACAATATGATAGAGACTTTAATACTAGTACTTGTACTGGCAATACTGACAATATTATCTTGTATATGTATAGGTTTTTACAAATTTAAAAGCCTTTCATATATCTCAAGGAAATATCCTAAGAACCTGTTTCTACTCAACATTAAAGACCTAAGTGAAATCTGAGACTTTCAATGCCTTTGGATATGTAATTAGACAGGAGTTTAGCCTTTTGTAACACATATGATGATGAAAATTTCCGATTTTAAGCTGACTGTTGGGCATCAAGATGACCATCTTTACAAATGAAGTAGCACTCATGTGCTCAAGTATACATAGAATGTATGCAAAGTGAAAGTCTCCTTTAAATCTTCCTCCCATTGACTTGAGCAACGAGAACACGTGGACACAGGGAGGGGAACATTACACACTGGGGCCTGTCGGGGGGTGGGATGCTGGAGGAGGGATAGCATTAGGAGAAATACCTAATGTAAATGACAAGTTAATGGGTGCAGCAAACCAACATGGTACATGTATACCTATGTAACAAACCTGCACATTGAGCACATGGACCCCATAACTTAAAGTATAATAAAAAAAGTAAAAAAAAAAATCCTCCTCCCATTGCCAAGATAGAAATGGACCCTTAGTTACTGCCACTTGCCATCTCACTCTGTGTTCTGGATAGAAATGGTGCTTGCTCTCTGCTAGCTGTTAATTGACATCACTTCTGCCAGAACTCTCCATCATTATTGACAAGAATGTTCTCCCTTGTTAATTGCCCAGCAGCACATTGAGTGATTGATTGTATCTTTTGGACAGATTTGAAATGCATTTGCAGAAAAGGGTGGGGGTGGTAATGACATAATGCATGGTAATGACACCAACTAACTGCTTATTTAAGTTTGTTCAGGAAAAAGATACTGATCATTTACCTGATTTTTACTTTTTATATAGATGTGCTAATGGTAAGTAGTGATAGCTTTCCAGGATGTCCCACATTAACCCAATGCTTCACAAAAATCTCTCTCAGACTGTGCCCATAAAACTCCAAAATCTATGGTCAACTAGTGGGAAAAAGAATGGATAATTTATTTAACATATAAGCAGGGAAAACCAATGGGTAGATGGAATATTTTACATTTTTGTTGTTTTAATTAAAAGTAGGAAATACCTAGATTAATGAGAAGAGTTTTTAAATGGAAGGCTGGGAGTGCTCAATATTCAGCAGTATAAGATTTTCTTTTAGCATAGAGGCAACTAGAGTAATACATAAAGTGCATATTTTCATGAGAACTTTGCTTATAAGCTGGACTTCCCTAGAAGTATTTGAGACACAAGGGCGAGTCAACTAATAGTATCTACAGTGTTTTTGCAACCATTTAATGAGAGAGTAAGTCTGGATCAGTAGTTGCTGATGTATGAAATCACATGAAGAGTTTTTTAAAATGCCGATGCCTTGATCCTCCCCTAGAAATACTGATTTTATTTGTCTAGGCAGGGTAGTGATGATCAAACTTTACACTGAAGCAGCATCTTCTCACAAATTTGGTAAAAGTATAAAGCCTCAAGCCCTATCCTGCTTCATGGAGCCTGGGTCTTTGTGTGCTGGATTAGCTCTCCTGGTGATTCTGATAACATCAAAGTTTGGAATCACTGCTCTAGGTTCAACATCAGACATTTTTTTTCAAGCTCCCCCAGGTGATATTCCCTAGGTACAGCCAAGACTGGGAACTGCTGATTAACATGATATTTAGGATACTTCCCAGCCTGGCAGGAATAATAAAAATTGCTACCTTTATTAAACATTCATTGCATATAAGGCATTGTGCTAAGTATTATTTCATTAAATAATTGCAAAATTCTGTGAAGTAGGTAATATTAGTACTACTTTGCATATGGGAGACAGGGATGGTAAATAATTTAGCTAAAGTAACATGGGTAGGAAGTGGTAGATTGGAACTCAAGCTGTAACCTCAAAGATCACACAAGAAACTATTACTATCAATAACATTTTGGAATTATAAGTTAAATTAAAAACTCTACAAGTTGGAAACATATTAAATGATTTTCTTACATTTTAAAATGTTCCTGACTTGCAATTACATAGTAAAAACAAAACAAAGAATTTTTAAAAATCAGTGGGAAATATATAAAAGATAAAGTTTTCATGAGTAAAAAGGAAGGAGCAAATTGGTGGTGAAAATCAGGTTGGATTTGAATTATTCCAATTTAATCTGGAAAAAAATTATAAGTCACTTGTACTGTTAGTGTATGAGAAATTAGAATAAGAGTTTCGGATAGAGGTATTTTGCCACAGTTATATTGAGGCGAAAGGTGGCAAGCATTTCAGGGGAAAGAAGAAATTTGTGTACTTCTTTAAAATGGTTTTGGATGTTAATAATGCAATGAATTAAAAGAAAAAGGCAGTCTATACTGCAGAACACTTCCATTTCTCTCCTTTTGTGTTTGGGAAAATACTGGCTTAGTGCCCTCCTAGGCATGGTAAATACTTTGACCACTGCCACCAGTCACACTTGTGTCTGCAAAAGGGGCAAAAAGAGTGCCTTTGTAAAGTATGGTTTAATCCTACACAGTGGAGAGTGGTGCTTAGGAGATTGCCTTGTTTCTCTTAAGACACAACCTTTCTCAGATTTTGTGTATAGTCCACATATGAGCAGAGGGCTCATATTAAACTGATGGAGGAAAGGTATATTTCCAACCATAAATAAATAAATAGCATGAAGAGATGATGAAGGCCTTCTCCTGCCACTTGCACATTTCGTGGACTGTTCTTGCTGATAAACAAAGTGAGCACTTATTTTCATTGGCATTATTTTCCCAGTGGCATCTAGACTGTGTGGAGAGTGTTGAATTTTCAGCAGTCTAGAGAGTTTGAGACATGGTTCCTGATTCTGGTACTCTAGCATCCATTACATGATATGCTTGAAATGTACATATGAAAATATGTTAAGACTGAGTGTGTGGGAAGAATAGAATAATTACACAGCCAACAAGTTGTTGTGAGTCCTAAATATATTATCGTTCAAATAATGGATGGTACGTGGTAACTTCCACAAAGAAAAATTCTAGAATTATTTTAACAGTAAGCAAATTGCATTTCATCTTTAAGTAATATGGTCAAATAAAAAAGGTACAGGGAAAAAAGTGTCTATATATTGCCCTGAAATCCTCTTGGCTTCTTTAAAAAACATTTGACACTGCAGGAAAATGCTAATTAAAGGAAGACAAAAGTTGAATTTGGATTCTAGTGCCTCATAGGACTCTAATTTCTGTGAATATTGATACAACATGTTTTTAAAACACTTTAGTAATAGAGCTGTGTTCTGCTGGAAGTGGCAGAAAGGCAAATTGCAGGCAGGCACTGAAGATAGAGACTACCGAAGATAATCAGAGGTTTGTAATTGAAAAGGTGCCTTAACCTTAACTCTGGCCAGCGGGCTCAGCCATGGCTCTGCAACTAAGGACGACTCGCCTTGATTTCCAGCGAGGACCACTCCCGAGGCCAAGTTGGAGGAAGATCTTCAAGAGGAAACATTGGGCATTCTCCCTGCTGTGGGAAAGAGCCACACAATGTTTTATCCTATGTCAGGGAAAGAGACTGAATTAATCTTACTATTGGATCTTCACCCAGATCCAATTTTTCAGCGACGCGCATAGACAATATTCCAGGCAACTTTGCCTGGTCACATTCCTTATCTTTGGAAGCACCAGCATGGGGCTCATCGTCAACAAGCTCTGAGAACCAGCCAGGAATCGCCAAACTCCATTTCTCTAAGAGCACTGAGGCAAGCGGAGGTGAAGAGGAAGGCTCCGGGGCAGTGGGGAGCAGTGTGGAGGAGGGAGGCGCGGGCACGGCGAGGGGAAGGATCAAGAGGACAGGTCTGACTCCTGACTGGCTGGAGTGGTTTTGGTGAAAGTCACAGCTCGGGCGTGCCAGCCTGGAGCTGTCCAACTTTTCAGCAGCTCCGGGATCAGGGTTCCGGTGCCCTGGAGGCGGCTACCACTGCCGCCGCCGCCGTTGCTGCTGCTTCTGCAGCCCGAGTTGCTGACAATCCCTGCTCTCGCCGCCGGCGCCCAAAGGAAGGGAAGAAGAAAGGGAGGAAGAAGGACCAACCTCTGGCGAAACCGGGCACCGCGCACCCTAGTCTTGGTGACTTGGGGAGCCCGGGAGCGTGTCTCTGCCATAGCCTCGGTGGAAGGAGCCCTGCCGCGTTCTGTGACCCCTCCCGCTGGCAGGGCCCCCTCTCGGTAGCCCTGAGGCTCTGGCGCCTTCAAGTGAGAAGCTAAGCACCAGCCTCTGCTGGGCTGCAGAAGCGGCGGCGGCGGCAGCAGCAGCAGCAGCATCAGGAAGGCGCTCGGGCCAGCGCGGTGAACCCGGGCTGGGCAGCAGGTCGCGGAGCCGCGAGCCAGGATGGAGGCAGAGGGCAGCAGCGCGCCGGCCCGGGCGGGCAGCGGAGAGGGCAGCGACAGCGCCGGCGGGGCCACGCTCAAAGCCCCCAAGCATCTCTGGAGGCACGAGCAGCACCACCAGTACCCGCTCCGGCAGCCCCAGTTCCGCCTCCTGCATCCCCATCACCACCTGCCCCCGCCGCCGCCACCCTCGCCCCAGCCCCAGCCCCAGTGTCCGCTACAGCCGCCGCCGCCGCCCCCCCTGCCGCCGCCCCCGCCGCCGCCCGGGGCTGCCCGCGGCCGCTACGCCTCGAGCGGGGCCACCGGCCGCGTCCGGCATCGCGGCTACTCGGACACCGAGCGCTACCTGTACTGTCGCGCCATGGACCGCACCTCCTACGCGGTGGAGACCGGCCACCGGCCCGGCCTGAAGAAATCCAGGATGTCCTGGCCCTCCTCGTTCCAGGGACTCAGGCGGTGAGTGGAGAGCGCCCCCTCCCCCATTCAGGCAAAGGGTCACCTCCCCTTTTCTCAAATACTCCATCTAAGTCGGCTTATCACCACCAATTCTAGACCCAGGGTAAAATGCTAGTCTGGAAATTGGGGGAGGACAAACAGGGGTGTGCCTATCCTTTATTGAGAGTATGCTATTCAGGTGTGTGTAAGAGACCCCCCAAAAGTACTGCATAAATGTTAACTGGGGCCGTGTGTGTGTGTGTGTGTGTGTGTGTGTGTGTGTGTGTGTGTGGTGCGCGCGCTTCCCAGTTATCTGTGCCACGCACCAGCCCTCTCCCCACCCACTTCCATACCACCCTGGCTAGTGAGACTAAACAGGCAAAATCAGTTTGCTCTGGGTGGAGAAGAAGAGAAGGTGAAGGTTTTGCGGGATTTGACCAGCGAAAGCACCCAGCATCTGTCCACTCACCCTATTGGGAAGAGGGTCGGTGGGGCTGCTCTGACTGGGGAGGAGGGGGGAGTGAGAAAGCCTGGTCCCAGGATTGCAGCTAAAAGCCTAAGAACAACTCGCATTTCTCTTCGTCAGGTGGAGAAGTAAATTGAATAGCAAAAGGGGAGAACACGTGGGTGACTTGGAGAGTTTGGAGCAAAATGTTCAGCAATCCTTGAGAGAGACAAGGGGGTGAGGGAGGGAGAAGGAGCGAGGACGCTGTGGGAGTTACACTGTGTCGGTGTGTGCGAGCTTGTGTGTAGGGAGACCGTGTGTGTATCAGTCGTCCCTGCAAAATCCCAGGAAGAAAGCGCCTTGTTTTAGCAGCAGGCAAGACGTAGAGATTTGATTATAGTGATTTCCCCTTAACGTAAGTGCTCCGGAAGACAGGGCAGGGAAGCCGCCTATCAACCGGGAGTTTTAGTAGAAGTTGACCGCTGCTTCTCCAAGGAAATGAGTAAAGGACCAATTACAGCCATTCTGAGGAGTCAGCTCCAGATTCTTAACTCAGGCGTGGAGGTGGATGTGGGGCCCACGTTTGGTCCCTTTCCTGATAACCCAGGGACAGCTCCTTTCTTCCCTGTCCCAGGCCTTCCACGCCGTGAATCCCCTCCCCCACACAGGCACAGGAAAAAGATTTCAGGAGCTGCTGATCCTTGGCACATCTAATAGTAAAGTAGAGGGGTCGTCATCTAACCTTAGATGTGGACAGGCATCGATGTACTGCACCTCCAAGCCACAAGTCTGAACAATGGGCAGTTATAAATTGTAAATCAGGTCTGGGTGTGGAAACAGGAAAATCTAGGGCTGGGATTGTTTGTCCAACTCTGATTGACAGTAGGTTGGACTGATCAGAAAATCATAATGGTGTTCAAATGTGTGTTTGAGTTTTGTGTGTGTGTGTGTGTGTGAGCATGTCTCTCTGTTGTATACACTATGTACAAGGGAATCCAGCCAAACTATCATAACCCTGATGTGTACACATCATTTCAGCTTGCATATATGCTCTTAGCCCTTTGCCTGGCTCACACCCTTAGGTACCTTGTTGGAGATGTTCTTGTACCTGTTGGATGGGAAGAATAAGAATTGTAATTAATAACCTCAATTCAGATCAAAGACTGCAGACTTCCATAAATTAATATAAAAGTTTCATTTTTCAGCCAAGACTGCTAAGACCCTTTGTTTGAAGAGGTGGATGTCCTTCTCTCTCCCCTTTGGTTGAGCACGACACTATGTAGGACCCCAATGATAGAATGAAGGCAAGCCTGATACTTTGTATATTTGACCTATTAATAGAAAAATACCGTGTGATGATGAGCCCTTAATAAACATTAAATAAGAACAAGAGTTCTAGCTTGATCTGTGGGCTGATTGATTTTGTAGAGTTTCTTAATTGACTTCATTTTTTAATAAAATAGAATATGCCTGAGAGAGTGGAAGAAAGAAAAATAAGCTAATTGGAATAGAGGTATTGCATCATTGATTTGAATTTATTTTTTGCTATGCTTTCTACATTGATTAATTGTTCTATTTGAAATTTTTAGTTGAATGGTTCACAGGCAAACTAAGATGTATAATATTTATATGTAGCTGCCACTGTGGCTCACCTGATATATCATTGTCATTCTATTTAAGGATCCTTAGACTTAAAATTCTTTACAATACTTGCATATTCCCCACATGCTCACACATTGCATGTCATGTTTTTCCTTAATAGAGTTGCTTTTGCAAATAAATACATCTTTAAGGAGGACATGGATATTAGTTTCATTCTTTAAAGAGAACAGCAACAATACTTTTTTATTTTAAAGAGAACAGCAACAATGCTTTTAAATTATCAAAGAAATTTTACATTTATTAACTTATTTGAATCCTACAACAACACTGAGATGAGATGGTATTATCTCTATTTGATAGACAAGAATGCTGAGCCCCAGAAGATGCGAGCAATTTGTTCAGTATCACATAGACTGTGAGTGCTAGAGCTAAGACTGAAACCCAAGTCTCCTGCCTCATCAAAGGTGGTGAGCCCACCTTAAATAAATGTGTGCAGAACCTGGGCCTGTTGACAGCATCAAGAAATACATGAAACCAACGTGAAGTTTATATCGACTGATACTACAGGACATAAAGCCTGAATGAACTAAAAATGAGATATGGTTTAAATCCATTTTTAACAAAATGACATATATCACAAGCTTCTAGAAGTAATTAGAGATTTTAACTTTAGAAACTCTGGGCAGTATAAACTGGTGTTAATGATCACAACAGAGGCAAATCAGTGTATTTGTTGACTTTGTAAAATGCATATAAATACTTATGAAAGAGTGTTCAGATAAATTAAAGCTAGTGAGAACATCTAACGTCTTTTTCAATAATTTTCTAAAAGCAAACAAGAAAAGGTGTGTGTGTGTGTGTGTGTGTGTGTGTGTGTGTGTGTGTGTACGTGCGCACCACCATCTTACCATCATCCAAATGGGGGGTTTAAATAGTCTATCAAGTTAATGTCTCTGAAAAAGCCTCATGGGTGGATGGATGAATGATTCCCTATGGATTATCAAGAAAGGTATATCTTTTATAAAGCTATTTCTAGCATGCACTGTAGCATTTCCAGATATTATCTTGGCTGAAATTTTGAGAATTTGTAACAGTTTGTGAAGCAATGGGAAAGAGGAATCTTGTTTAATGAAAAAATGTATATAAGCAGTAAGGAGACAACCCTTAGATATTTTGTGGTCAATTCTTTTAAGTCCATGGGAAATTTGGATATGTTAAATAAATTTTTTATATAAAGTGTGTCTGTCAAACAAGGTAGATTCATGTCTTAATCTCAACATGCAAGAAATTTCAAACAATAAAATTACCAGAGAAATGAGTCTCTAAGTTACCAAGAGAACAAAATGAAATATGAAAAATGTTTAAAACACTCTTTAAAAATGTACATATCAGATTAATCATTTCAACCAATAGTCTTCAAAATGTGACAACTATTTAACTGAACTGATAAATAATTTTATTGTTTCTTTGACTTTACACAACAAAATATTATTTTCAATAATATAATACACTAAGGTTGAAAATACAAGCAGCATGGATGATTCCTTGATATTATAAAATATTCTGGATTATAGTGATACAAATATCCAGAAGGGGACATTTGATTTAGATACTTTGTTTGATTCATTTATTTTTATCTATTTATATTTATTGTTTTTTTAGAGACTGGGTCTCGCTCTGTCACCCAGGTTGGAGTACAGTGGCACAATCATAGCTCACTGTAGCCTTGAACACATGTGCTCAAGTGATCCTCCTGCCTCAGACTCCCAAAGTGCTGGGATTACTGTCATGAACCACCATGCCTGACTCAATTTAGGTAGAAGGAAAAGAGCTAAAACCTATAATCACACAAAATATAAATTCTGCGCATATTATATTTACTTGACATTAGCTTTTTTTTTTTTTTTTTTTTTAGACAGAGTCTCGCTCTGTCACCCAGGCTGGAGTGTGCAGTGGCACAATCTTGGCTCACTGCAAACTCCACCTCCCAGGTTCAAGGGATTCTCCTGCCTTGGCCTCCCAAGTAGCTGGGACTACGGGCACGAGCCGCCACGCCTGACTAATTTTTTGTATTTTTAGTAGAGATGGAGCTTCACCATGTTGGCCAAGCTGGTCTCAAACTCCTGGCCTCAAGTTATCCACCCGCCTCGGCCTCCCAAAGTGCTGGGATACAGACGTAAGCCACCGTGCCTGGCAACATTAGTTTTTTAAATATGTTAACATCATATATTAAATAAAGAAAACATATTGTAATATTTAAATAATAAAAGAAATTAGGTTTTCATTTTTCTATGCTAGGTTATAAAAGCTATTTCTTTATTGTTTTATTGATTTTTCAGGTTATTAGTGTAATTTTTTCTTCATTAAAGGATGTAACGGTAATCTAGGTTCATGATGTAAAATTTAGATTTCACATTACCAAAATAATTAATTGAAAAATTGGCCGTTCAGATTGTCTACATCAGTGAATTTGAATTTAGGAAACAGTATCTTTAAAAAAAAGCATATTGGAAAACTGACATAAGGTTGACATCTTTAAATTTTAATATGTAAGGACACTAAGGATATTTAAATAGCAAAAAATGCAAGGAAAATGTATATTTTTTACATTTCCTACATATTGTCAACACAGTAACACAGTATTAGACTTTTTAATTTTTTCAAAATTAGTTTGAACCTTTTATTCTTGATTTGCCTCCAATAGAATATTGTCTTGGTAACTTCATTTAATACTTTATCAGCTAGTGTGTTCTAAGCCTTTGATTAATCAGAAAAACATAATGAATCCATCACCTTTTTACATTTTGATTCTAAAATGATGTACCTTCTGTGTTTCATGGAAATGGGAGGTGGTGGGCAGAGGAGGTAGAAGGGAAAGGATAGGAACAAATCCCCAAGCAGGGAATGTTCCTAAGTCCTTGTCTTATTCTAATTGGATCATCTGGGTTCAGTTGCCCACATGTGGAGCAGTAGCATGAAAATAGGTAATTGACCACATCAACAAGACATATTTCTCTAAGATTATGGAATGTCGAGAAGAGAAGGGACTGAGGCTTAAACTAACCTAGTCCACCACTGTCCATCTTTTACATTTGAAGAAACATGTGTCATGAGGGGTTAAATTACTTAACACAACTAGTTTACTGCCCAAACTATAACTACAAACTATATCCTCCATATCTGCTGACAATTACTTTACATTTTACACATTGTGGCCATCTTTTAACCATCAGTAGCCCCAACTTCCAGGTTATAGCCTTGAACCAAAAGTTTGGAAATTACATTTAAAAAACATTTGTGAATAAGTGGAATATTCAAATATTGGCACAAGAGAGATGACTTCAGAAAACAAACATTCTTTCACTTTCAATTTGGATACATTTACACACACACACACACACAAACACACACACACACACACTGATGGCTTGCTCACTGATTTCTATCTCTAAACTTTAATGTGGGTTTGGAGGCATGTCTTGGGAAGAGTTCTTAAAGATCAAATAGAATAATAATCTAAAAAGACTTAGTTCTGTTTATGATTTTGCTAATTATTTAAATGTCTGAAGTCTATCATGGACAAACTTATGTCCCTCTCACAGCTTATTATCCATCTACAGGTTTAAAAATATGCAATATGTGAGTCTATAACTTGAATGCTGCTAGTACTGGCTCATAACAGCAACGTTGCTAAGGGATTACACCAAATAGCACTGTATTATATTTCAAAAGATGTGGCTATTTTTATCCTGAGGAACATTTTATCTACGTTTAAAAATAAGAAAACTGATTTTTCCCGAAGAATAAGCCACTTTACCTTATTGTTTAAAACTTATCAGCTAAATTGGTTGGACCCTATATTCACACATACCACCATTGCCCCAAACCTCACCATACCACTTTGGAGATTGAGAACTCTATAAAATTTGCTTTGTCATCTAAATGAGCATTTATAATTCTTGCTCCGTCTCAACGTGGGGCATCACATCCATCCAGTTGTCTCTGGTCTGTGGCATTCTTAGACTCTTCCTCTCCCCTAACTTTGGATCTCAAAGACCACCAAGATCTTTTGAATCGTCCTCAGAAATAACTCTTGTGTTTTTTCCTTGCCACTTCCCTAGTTCCAGCACTTATCCTCTATTCACTAAACTATCGCAATAGCCTCTAAGTGATCTCTAGCTCCAACCTCTCCTCATTCCTGTTGTTCCTTTTTTTTTTTCACCCCAGGCTACCAGTTTCACCACCATCTTCTAAATCTTAAGGTAATTTCTCTTTGCCTTCAAGATAAAGTCTAAATTTCTTAGTTTGACTCTTCAGAATGTTGGCCCAGTCGGTCTTTCTTGCAGAAAGTCTAACTTTTGTCCCCTTTTGTAAACCCCATGAAATAATCACACTTAAATTCTGGCCGTGGTCTGAGTTCTCTGTGCCTTTTCACACCTCTCTTTCTTGCTGAGGCTGCTTCTTCCTTCTAGATTGCTTTCCCTATGCTCTGCAACACCCCTTCCTTACCTGTTCAGAAAACTCATGAATATCTTTTCAAACTCAGTTCATGTTACCCTCTTGCGGATATTCCTACACAAAGAAGGAATATTTTTCTTTTCTTTATTTTTTTATTTTTTTATTTTTATTTTTTATTTTTATTTATCGTCCGAGCTGGAGTGGAATGGCGCGATCTCGGCTCACTGCAAGCTCCGCCTACCGGGTTCAAGCGATTCTCCTGCCTCAGCCTCCCGAGTAGCTGGGACTACAGGCGCCTGCCACCATGTCCGGCTAATTTTTCGTATTTTTAGTAGAGACGGGGTTTCACTGTGTTGGCCAGGCTGGTCTGAAACGCTTGACCTCGTCATCCATCTGCCTCGATCTCCCAAAGTGGGAATATTTTTCTTTTCTGGGCTTTCCCATAGCTTTCGTATATTATTTGTACTCTAGCAGTTATCAATTGCAGTTTAATTATTTGTTTTATGTGTTTCCCCCATTAGGTATGTTAGGACCTTGCACAGTGAATGGTTTTATATAGATTTTTAATAAGTGGTGAGCTTTTAAATGTGGAAATAATAATGAAACCTTGTCTTTTTAGTTTGTGCTCTCTCAGACAGGATATATTTGATTTTCTTAATAATCTCTTTGAAACACACAGAGTTAGTGATTATTTTACCCATTTTATAGATGATGGAAGGGAATATTGAATCTCAGAAAAATAGACACATATTCATGTTCAAAGATAGAACTTGGACTTGAGCCAAAAAGGTCTAGTGATCTTTTTTATTGTAATGTAATGAAACAAGAGATACTGTGAGTATAGGTTGGTATGAGGAGAAGCAGCCTATAATTTGAGTTAAGATTATGAAGACAGAGTGAAATTATAATATTATGAAGAGAAATAACAGTTTTGATCTAACTTATGAAAAAAAAACAACATGTAAGAGTGAAAATAACTCTGATGGGATAAAGCCCCCTTTGTAAATTTAGAGAAGTGCCTCTACAGAGTAAATTCTTAACCTTGGGTTATGTGGCTCTACAAGATTCATTACATTTGGAGGTAGGCACACATTTCTTAGAGAATGTTTATCCAATTCTCAATGAGTCTTTTATCCACAAAATTTAAGGCACTGTGTTCTAAAGCTAAGTTATTGACTGCTTCACTAAGGGAAAAATTATGAGAACATAGTATACTAATGGAGTAAGATTATCGTTGGGGTGGCTGAAAGTAAGCAGTTTGAAATGGGATTTTAGAAAAATGCAACACTTCAGACAGATAAGGTCAGAGGCTTATTTAAAAATGACAATCCCCAGTGGGATTTTAGGGGATTACTTGACTTAAAATTTAATTTAAATATAAGGATAGTAAAGAACATTTTGAAAAAATAAAAAGACTGTTTTTCCTTATAAGATAGCAGAACATATCATATAGGCTATTAATTCAAACAGCATGATAATAATTTAGAAATAAACCAATTATTCAACCAACTGGATAAATGGTCAAGAATAAGGCCCATGCATATATTGAAAATTTAGGGTTTAGTAAAGGTAGCAGTCCAAATCAGTGAGAAAAGGATAAATTATTTAATATAGGATAAATTGTTTAATGGTTTATGGAAATAAAAAATGATCATTACTTCATTCATACTATAATAAAGAGCACTGGATAAAAAAGATTAAAAACTCAAGAGAAAAACAGATAAAGGCCATGAACAGAAAATTCAAAAAGGAAGAAAAATGTATGACAAATATACATTTGAAAAGTTTTTCTACCTGACAGACAAAGAAATAAAAACTGAAACAATTTTTCATCTATCATTTTGGAAAAAGATGAAAAATTTAAAAGAATTTGAGATGGTATACAGACATAGCCACTTTCTTATGTACATTTTCAGTGAACAATATATCAGGAAATCAGGAAGTATAAATCAGGAAAACATTGGTGGGTGATCAAATAATATATATCAATATTTTAATGTGCATACTTTTGTCCCATTAATTCTATGTTTAGAAACTTAGCCTAAGAATATAATTGAATAAGTGAGCAAAGAAATACTATATTGCAATATTACATATAATAGTATACATCTGGAAACCACCCAAATATCTTTCAGGACAGAAATTGTAAAATAAATGATGATATATCTGTATTGAGATCTGTATGTATTGAAATTATTGAAATGTTATTTTAAACTCTACAAGTTGTTATGTGGAAAAAGCAATTTAGAGAATAGATGACAGAATATGGTATCATTTACCAGTGTGTTTTCATGCATGCTTATATTTACATATATGAGATTATGTCTATGTACATGTGTGCCTATAGTTATGTATGTAGGTGTATGTGTGGTATGTGTGTGTATATATATATGTGTGTGTGTATTTATATCTATATACATATATATGTAGAGTGAGAGAGAGACAGAGACAGAGACAGTACTACATATATATGTAGAGAGAGAGAGACAAAGACAGAGAGAGAGAATACATATATATTCTGTCTAAGCAGGAAAAACCACCAAACTGTTACAGGTGTGTGAAGAGAGGATATTTTGAGAGGTCTTTGATTTTGTTTTATGTTCTCTTCTCTTACTCAATTTCCTTTAAAATGAGCATGTGTTGTTTTTATAATAAGCAAAAATCATGTATTTTCTCCTTTTGTAAAACAATATTTTCAACTTATTTCGTTTAATATATTTCACTTGTATTTCACTTGTTTCTTACCCCCCCAAAAAAAGCAAAGGATTGCGTTTCATAAAAAAATTTAGTAAAAGATAAACATGAGGACATCAAAGAGAAGAGAAAATGGCATGAAAATAGTATGAACTATGAAAGCAAAAATTCATTTCATTAATTCCTGAGTAATTGCTAGAAACGAGTCACAGACTGGTTCTGATCTTCCTATCAACTAATCCAAGGAAGGGAACACTGTTGCTTTAAGATTCATATATCGGTAAGTTAAAAAATGAGTTGCTTGGTAAAATATATTGCTATTAACTCTGAGAATTAAAAGAAATATTTCTCTGTGGTGTTTTATAAAAAAGATGCTATGTGATATGGTGTGTGCAGTTTCAACATTTTTTCTATACTTCATAAAGTTTGAAATAGATATAAATGTTTCTTATAACTGTGACTGATTCTTATAAAACTACACATTGATGGCCTGTTGTCTAAGTTCCATTCATTGAAAATCTATCAGCACTGGAGCCCCAGTTAGCATTCTTAACAGGGCATTCTCTTTAAGACTGAACACTAAGTGTGCACCATTAAAAGAAGCTGCATTCTTCAACTTGGAAAATTCTTCTAGACTCACTCTCCTGTATCCCACGTTCAGCCTCTTGTTCTCACCTGAATACCCGAATTTGATTTGGATGCTGTATGTGTTCTCTGGTCCTTAAGATTAAAAACTAAGGTCTTATTTTAGTTTCTTGCTCAAATATTGCTTTTTTGACCTGCTCTGTTCCTGTAACTGTA
Organism: Homo sapiens; assembly: GCF_000001405.40. Classification (NCBI taxonomy): domain Eukaryota; kingdom Metazoa; phylum Chordata; class Mammalia; order Primates; family Hominidae; genus Homo; species Homo sapiens. The sequence continues at coordinate 59,883,188 of NC_000005.10, read as the reverse complement.
GCCCTCAAGCAAGCCCAACCTAATTCTCAAGTGTGGCTCAGAATTCTGGGACACCAGCCCAAATTGGGTCTTCCTTATTTGTGATAGAATGGAACCAAAGGAATAAGAGAGGCTGGGCATCTTGGCTCACGCCTGTAATCCCAACACTTTGGGAGGCCAAGACGGGCAGATCACTTGAGGCCAGGAATTCAAGATTAGCCTGGCCAACATGGCGAAACCCTGTCTCTACCAAAAAATACAAAATTTATCCAGGCATGGTGACACGTGCCTGTAATCCCAGCTACTCAAGAGGCTGAGACACGAGAATTGCTTGACCCTGGGAGGCAGAGATTGCAGTGAGCCAAGATCGCGCCACTGAACTCCATCATGAGCAACAGAGTGATCCTCTGGTATTTTTTCTTAAAAAAAAAAAAAAAAAGAAGGAAAGGAGAATTCAGTGTTGGTATCCAGCTTTCTGATTTTCTGACATGAACACCCCATTGTCTCGATATTTATAACATATCCACTTCCAGTTGAATGCACCAAGATAATCTAGTTGCAAAATGTAGCCCCATTAAATACATGGATTGACACATTTAAATATAAGCCAGTTAAATGTTAGAAGTTACTTACCAAAAATGAGGTTGATGTTTTAGAATAATTTACTCACAGCCCTTCTCTCTGAAAGCAATTAGAGTAATACATTTTTAGTCTATCGAGATTGTCCAAATTCATGATAACAATATTACCTAGTATGCAGGTGTGCTTCCAGCTCACTTGGAAGCATTTTTAAATCATTAAAACATAAAGTAAAAGTTTGGACTCTTCTATACACACATTTTTATTTTACTACCACTCAATCATTCCCACCACCTGGGTTTTCAGTTTTATTGAGGACCAGTTTCTTGTCTAATGATCAGTAGGCAGGGGTCTCTACTGTCCAGAAATCATGTGGTTACTCATCACGGCAGCTGCTACTACAGACACTGAAGAAAGATCATCCAACATGGATAAATACCCTGTTCTTATCAGATGTTTGAGAAGTAATAGAGTATAATGATGCCCCTCATGTAGAATATGGTTCTAAGAAACCCATACTTATATTAACTCAGAAACTGCCATAAATAGCTGAAATATCCAAATAAATCAACAGACCCACAGTTTGTGAGAAACAGAAGGATGTTCATGGCTTCAATGGGATAGGCCAAACTTTGTGTTGAATTATGTGCTTCTTTATGTCTTGTTTCCTCTGCCTGAAATGCCTTTTCCTCCACACCCATTAGTGTTTTATAACACCTACTCATACTTCAGATCTTGATTCAAGCATCACTTCTTTTGGTGAAGTATTTTCAGATCTCCCAAACCTGTCATAATACCATATAGTGCTCCTTTATATTGTTTATTATATTTTCAATTACATGTTTAATTGTATAATTATTGATAAGGCCAATTTCTTTCACCAAACTATAAACTCCTATGAAAATAATGACTCTGTCAATTTTTCTCACATTCAAACACAGTATTTGTACATTGCTTGAACTGAAAGAATTATTAATAAATAATTGAACTCCAGGGTTACCAATTTTATGAAGTTAGGAATATACTGTTAAAAGTAAGTAGAAAACAACTCCAAATTCAGACAACCTTTACCATGTGCTTTATTTTATTAAAGAGTTAAAAAATAACTATACAATTTATTTTATGTAAAAGACACTTCAGTTTACAAATGCAAATATCACCTCTGGAAATAAACCTAAAGGACAGGAAGTCATTGAAGAAGTGGCACCATGGATTGCCAGGATGATGATGTTGCAGGAGAGTTATATTTAAGGAGACGGCAAATAAAAAAATGATAATAAGGACATTAGATACTAATTTCAATGTTATTTTGTGTTTTGTCTTATGATTATTTTAGTGTTTATGCATTATTTAACATTTATTAATAAATTATAAATACTCTGGCTCAATTCATTCTGTTAGCTTGGTTTAAACATATATAAAATGCCCACAGCTACTCCTGTTATTGGCATCTGGTAGTTCTGCATGACATTAAGACCCAAAAGTAAAAATAAATAAATTTCTTGACTGAGAAAATAATTGCCAATTCAAAATGGTCTACTAACCTTAACATTCATAAGAAGAAGAGTATGTATCATCATCCTGGCAAAATGGCACTTATAATTTCATAAATGCTCCTTTTTAACTTTATGTATTATTTTTATTTTGGGGGTAGTAAGATGTGGAAGCTGTTAGATAGTCATTACTTCTGTTGACATGGAATATTTTATAAACATGAAATATTTCACAAAAAATAAAAAACCAGTAATAACAGGTCACATACACACTCAATAATCTCACTATAGCAATATTTCAGAAAAAAATGTATTTAGGGAAAACAATTTATGTCTGTTTGTTTTTAGTGGCAGTCATGACATGAGGACCCCAGACTCAAGTGCATTGCCATTTACTCCCTGGTAGAATGTGATTTCATTTCCAATGAGCTCAAACATAATGATTATATGTCTTACTAATTATACAAAACATGGTGAAGAGGTAGTGTGCTTTGTGATGTCACATATCAAAAATGCTTTCTTTTAAACATTTCTATCTCCTTAGCTAGGTTTAAGAGATAACAAGATGGGCCACTGAAGTAACTTTGTCAAGCATGTTCAATGTAATATTTCCCCAGAGATTGTTTTAACTGATTCGACCAAATTAGATTATTGACTTGACAATAATGAACAAGATACCCCTTTGAATTTTTGTCACTACATCTTTTTGTAACTCATGAAAAATTTCAGGCCAGGCACAGTGGCTCACACCTGTAATCGCCGTACTTTAGGAGGCCGAGGCGGGATTATTACTTGAGCTCAGGATCTCCAGACCAGCCTGGACAACAGACCAAAACCCTGTCTCTACAAAAAATACAATAATTAGCTGGGTGTGGTGGCGTGCACCTCTGATTGGTCCCACCTACTCAGGAGGCTGGGGTAGGAGGATCGCTTGAGCCCAGGGGTTCAAGGTTACAGTGAGCTATGCTCCTGCTGTGCTGCGCAATCCAGCCTGGGCAAAAGAGTGAGACCTGTCTCAAAGAAAAAAAAAATCAGAAATGTTTGAACCCATAAAGTAGATAATGAGGACATAGTGGGAGTATGTAGAAAAGCAATAACAGGCCAGGAGCAGTGGCTCACGCTTGCAATGCCAGCACTTTGGGAGGCCAAAGCTGGTGGATCACAAGGTTAGGAGTTTGAGACCAGCCTGACCAACATGGTGAAACCCTGTCTCTACTAAAAATACAAAAATTAGCTGGACGTGGTGGTGTGCACCTGTAATCCCAGCTACTCAGGAGACTGAGGCAGGAGAATCGCTTAAACCCGGGGAGCGGAGGTTGCAGTGGGCAGAGATTGCGCCACTGCACTCCAGCCTGGGTGACAGAGCGAGACTTTCGTCTCAAAAAACAACAAAAAAACCCAAAAACAATAACATATAGCAGTGTTGGCCCTCAAGCAGTCTGGCAGCCTTTTTATTGCTTTGGATGCCGTTTGTGTCTAAGCATTTGCTTTAAATATTTGATGTAGTTAATTAATGAGTATTTTGGATCTTCTATTATACAAATCTGCCTATGAAAAATAAATGCAAACAAATTACAAATTTCAAATGATAGAAGACCAAACGGAAATACAACGATAATGTCCTCAAATGTGCACTAGTAGTTTAACAGAATATAACTGCCATCTGATTATTAAACAGTAGAAATTGTTTAAGTAGATAGTTAAAAACTGTAGTATCTAATGGTTAGTATTTTCCAAGACAGTAGCCTAAGAGAGTAGTTCAATATATACGGAGTTCCGGCTGTGGAGGATGGGGCTGGTAAGGAAAAGCAAGAAGAGGAAATAAGGCTTTGCTAAAGATTCCTTAACTTCCCTATAAGATGTTACAGAGGCACTGATTGGTTTTAAGCAGGGAAATTATGTGGATAGTTTTGAATTTTTTAAAACTTACTTTGGTAGGGCCGGGCGCGGTGGCTCACGCCTGTAATCCCAGCACTTTGGGAGGCCGAGGAGAGCGGATCACGAGGTCAGGAGATCGAGACCATCCTGGCTAACATGGTGAAACCCCGTCTCTACTAAAAACACACACAAAATTAGCCGGGCGTGGTGGCAGGCACCTGTAATCCCAGCTATTTGGGAGGCTGAGGCAGGAGAATGGCGTGAACCCAGGAGGCGGAGCTTGCAGTGAGCCGAGATCGCGTCACTGCATTCCAGCCTGGGCGACAGAGCGAGACTCTGTCTCAAAAAAAAAAAAAAAAAAAAAAAAAAAAACTTACTTCGGTAGATATGTAGACCATGGAGTGGGAAGAAATTAAAGGTGTGATTTAGGTGTTTATTGCAGTAAACCAGATGAGAAATAAATGGTGATAGTCTGAAACTGATGCTGTGGCAGTAAAGGATGGACATGGCAGTAAAGAGATGAATTTAAGAGAGGTTTTTTTTAAAAGTGGAAATGATAGATCCTGTCGACTGACTGACTTAATGCTATTAGATAAAATAATTTTTAAATTACATGTATTTCCAAAAAGTACAATTAATGAATCCATGGCCAGGCATGGTTGCTCATACCTGTAATCTCAGCACTTTGGGAGGCCGAGGTGGGCGAATTGCTTGAGCCCAGGAGTTCAAGACTAGCCTGGGCAATATAGCAACATCCCACCTGTATTTGAAAAAATAGTAAGTAAGTAAATAAATAAAAATCCATAAGTATTTGGACACCTAAGGTAAATTTAAAATCTTGCAGTTTTGTTTTCCTTTGTTCTTTGTAATTTTTAGCTTGTTTGAGTGGGGGAAAGTTTGAAATATTGGGTAAGGCAAACATTTGAAAACGCTCATCTGCAGAGGAAATTTGCAGTGTTGTGGATAGATCACTTGTGTCAATATGTGAAGCATAACAAATGCTTTTTGATTGTGAAAGCATAGGTAGATATATTGCATTTCAGGTCACCACTAATTAATTGCATTAATTTAGTTAAATTGGTTTTCTCAACTCATCTGAAAAAGATGAAAACTAACACTTCAAACTACTTCCTCTTGGTAACATCATAAAGACAAATGAACTTTCTTTTTCAGTCATTTCCCTCCTTCCCCTGTTCTGCCCTCTCTCTCTAACTAGGAAGCTACTACACCAGCCTTTCCAGCTTTGGTTTTCTAATCTTAATTATTTCTGTACCCATCTATCACTGGAAATTCTTCAAACACTGATGTGTGGATGTTTGTGTGTCGGGGGTTGAGGGGTGAGTTTGGGGAGTGGTGCTGTGTGTTATTGCAAAATTATCCTTTTTTTGCTTTATCTTTAAAACCTTTTGGAAACTTGTCTAAACTTTTCTTTCTCTTTTTTTTGGCAGAATCTTGCTTTGTCACTCAGGCTGGAGTGCAGTGGCGCGATCTTGGCTCACTGCAACCTCCTTGTCCCGGGCTTAGCTGATCCTCCCACCTCAGCCTCCCAAGTAGCTAGGACCAGAGTTGTGTGCCACCAATGCCCAGCTAATTTTTGTATTTTTTTGTGGAGATGAAGTTTCCGGAGATGAGGTTTCACGTGTTGCCCAGGCTGCTCTTGAACTCCTGGGCTCAAGCTCCGCCTCCCAAAGTGCTGGGATTACAGGAGTGACCCACCATGCCCTGCAAACTTATCTAAGCTTTTTTTTTGTTCTTCTTCTTTTTTTTTTTTTTTTTTTTTAGGTTCTGGCATACATGTGCTGAATGTGTAGGTTTGTTACATAGATATACATGTGCCATGGTGGATTGCTGCACTTATGAACATGTATGTTTATTGTTTAAGCTTTTTTATCCTTTTTATCAATTGTATGTTTTTAAAAATCTCTGCCATGTGCTTTTGCCTCTGGCTAATTCTATCTGCATAGACACCATAATAATCTGTTAATCACACTTAACAAGCCTTTGCATTTGATATACCTCTTACAAACAACCAAACGAACATGCAGGCAAAACAAAACAGCAACAACAATAAACACTTCATAGTCTTTCTTTTGCTTGTTTCTCTAGGATGACTATTCTTAAGACCCACACCTGACAAGAATAATTCTTTAATTTTTCATTTTCTTAGAATCAAGGTATTGTGTTTTCATGTAGAGTTGTAAATATGGTATAAGCAAAGATACTTGCTCTCAAACCAGGATTTTATATATATTTTCATATTTTGTGGTTCTATGTATGCATTTTTGGCTCTAAATATTTGTTTTCATAATACCATTAATGTGTAGGACAATTACTATGTATTTTTGTTGTTGTTGTCCTATCCTTTTCCTTTCCCTTCATCTTAGTATTAGGATAAGTATGCAACAGTAATTTTCCCTTTCTATGAGATAAAAACTTCTACATCTTCCTAAGATAATATTACTGAGATAGCCATTTATAGATCATTATTTAAAAAGACTTTTTCATAGTGCATTGACATACACTATCCCAATTGTTCCTCATATAGAAGAGTTTTAAGTTGAAGAGAAACATAATCAATGTCCTCTAGAAAGATTCCTCTTGTAGTAGCATAGAAGGGGAATAAAAATAAAGCAAGACAGAAGGTGGGGGGAGTCCAGTTGAGACATTATGATAAAAATCCAGTATAGCAGATAGAGTCATAACTTAGAGCAGTGGAATAAATAGGTTGATATTATTAGGCTAGGTTTGTCCATTCTTAGCAATCAATTAGAAAAAGGCAGGTGGATAAAGAATAAAGAGATGGAAATCTTAAGGTATGTACTCAGCCAACTGGGTGAGTGATGGTAGCACTTACCAGGTCAGGGGAGGAAAGCTGAAGAGTTTGCTAGTGAACACACAAATAGAAATGTTCAGTAGATTATTGTCATCATCATCATCACCATCACTATCATCATCATTATCATATTTCCTCAGCACTATCATTTATTAATTTGTGAGGCTTGGTACTCCTAGAAGCTTTGCACAGATCACAGTTCACTTAATCTTTTCAACAGACCGTGGAAAATATACCCTTTTCTCTAGATGCAGACCTGGAAAATGGAACTTAGAAAAGTTATAGAATATATATGTTGTTGTTGTCCTTTTAAGCTCAGTGTACATGTGCAGGATATGCAGGTTTGTTACATAGGCAAACATGTGTCATGGGGGCTTGTTGTAGCGATTATTTCATCACCCAGGTATTAAGCCTAGCATCTATTAGTTATTTTTCTTGATCCTCTCCCTCCTCCCACCCTCCAGCCTCCAATAGGCCCCAGTGTGTGCCATTCCCCTCTATGTGCCCATGTGTTCTCATCATTTAGCTCCCACCTCTAAGTGAGAACATGTGGTATCTGTTTTTCTGTTTCTGTATTAATTTGCTAAGGATAATGGCCTCCAGCTCCATTCATGTCCCTGCATAAGACATGATCTTGTTCTTTTTTTATGGCTAATGCTAGAATTTTTATGACTCCAAAGTTCAGGTTCTTTCAATATATCAGATTTTAGGAACTCAGAAGAATTGAGAGAATAGTGTGGATTGGTTGGAAGTTACTAGGAAAATATGATGAGCATCAGAAAGAACACCTAAATAAGGGATGCCAGTGGGGAAAAGCTCAAGGATGGAAGCCAGAGGTGCACCATTTAAAGTGCAAGGAGGAAAAGAGGAGTCAGTGATGGGACCTAAGGAGGAATTCTCACTCTGTCCTTTTTCAAGCAGGATACAGATTCCTTCTTTTTTTTTTTTTTTTTTTTTTTTTTTTTTGAGACGGAGGTCTCACTTGGTCACGAGGCTGGAGTGCAGTGGCGCAATCTCGGCTCACTGCAACCTCTGTCTCCTGGGTTCAAGAGATTCTCCTGCCTCAGCCTCCCGAGTAGCTGGGACTACAGGCGAGTGCCATCACGTCCAGCTAATTTTTGTTATTTCTAGTAGAGATGGGATTTCACCATGTTGGCCAGGATGGTATCAATCTCTTGACCTCGTGATCCGCCCGCCTCGGCCTCCCAAAGTGCTGGGATTACAGGCATGAGCCACCATGCCCAGCCACAGATTCCTTCTTGTGTTCATTTGAAATGTGAACTCTGAACAAAGGACAGTTTATCTTGGATAGTCTTATTCCATGATTTATATATCACTAAAAGAGCAGAGAATCTGTAGATATTATAAGTGGGATCCTTAATAATTAATATATGGAAAGAGAAGCTTACCAGATACCAGGATTTTTCTGCATTGCCTGGAAAAGGAGGATATCTGCAAACTTTTGTACCCTGTGCACTTATCAGATTGGACCTCAGATGGGACCTCTGCCCCACAGAATTTCTCTTTAATGACTCATTGCTTACTGGTCTAAGAAGAAAAATAATTATAGCCTCAGGTTAGAAAAATTGAAATTGAATCATTTCACAGTCAGATTAATGCTCCATTAGTCCCATCTATATGAAAGGGAGGAGGGAGTCACCAAGTCAGGTTGGAAATTCCTTGGGATGATTGAATGTAAGGGAGAAAAACTGTGATAATTGACATAGTCAAGGCAAGAACCCAGTTCCGAAGCAAATATTTTCTTTGTGTGAGGAAAGGGTACAGTATTGCTGGTTCTTTTTTACATATAATATTACTTTGTATTCTCCCAATACTTTATTTTTTTTTAAAATGGATAAGAAATCATAACCAGTAGAGAGAGTAAAGAAACACAGGTCTATTTTCTTTAATGAATATCATCACTCTTGAGTTATAACTCTATTATCTACAGTCTTGTTAAGTGAAAATTGTTTCCTCAATAAGAACACTTTTTTATAGAAGTTGAAGTTCTCTTCTGGCACACATTAGAATTCTCCAGTATTCATATTTCAGTTTTATTCATGGTGTCAAAAGGAATTGATGTGATAAAATTTCCAATAATGCAATGAGAATATTCACGTTTGTGCAAATACCATGGAGATGTTGAGAAGTAGAGTGAAGGGACATTATGTGAAAAGTAACATCTCACTGGACTCACCAACTCTAAATCTTACTTTTTTCTTCAGAGATGAGGTCTCACTCTGTCACTCAGGCTGGGGTGCAGTGGCATGATTATGGCTCACTGCTACTTTGAATTCCAGGGCTCAAAGGATCCTACTGCCTCAGCCTCCTGCGTAGGGAGCCATCATACTCGGCCATTTTTTTAAAAAAAAATTTTTCTGTAGAGACAAGGTATCACCATGTTACCCAGACTGATCTTGAACCCCTGGCTCAAGCAGTCCTCCCACCTCAGTCTCTCACAGTGCTGAGATTACAGGTGTGAGCCACCATGCCTAGCTTAAATCTTGCTTCTTATATATGCAATTATTAACAATAGAAAGCTGTTTTGTATTACTAGATTACTTGGTTTTTCAAAATTTCAACAACTCTTTTTGATTTTTAAGAATATTGGTTAGAATGGAAGTATTGGCATAAGTCACTAGTTTTCAAAAACATACCCAGCAGAGTTGAAAGCGAATGTAAAACGCCATGGCCTGTTGATTCTATCATCGTATAGAGTATTTTTCTGCTTATGTACTTTTATTGTTTTGGTTTAGAGACATGTATGATTTATTACACCAGTATTTTAAAGCACATTCTCCCTCTTCATTTCTGCAATGTACTGTGTCGAACCAACTTCATAGGTAAAAGTTGTAAAATATTGCTAATTTCACATGGTTCAGCCTAATAGAATCTCATGCCCTTTTAAGCCTTGGAGAAGGAAAGCCTCTCATATTGTCTCCTTCCAGATTCTTGGCTCAATCCAAGCTTCTGCATAGTTGGAGTGGCAAATCCCACTCCTGCATCTGGTGAGCTGTGCAGTTAGCAGCTCTGACACTTTTCTACGCTGTTCAAACAATTACAGCCCCAAAATGTGAGTGTGGCCTTAAAAAAGGCTGATTCCATGTGACTACCAGATTGCTTCAAGATCTGCCCAGTCATCCCCCTGACTGTGTCATCCCTTAAAAATCTGTGTCATCTGGGTACAGAAAATTAGAAGAATGTTCTCTTGATCTCTGCTTAAATTTTCAGAATTTTTCCTTTGAAACCACGAACTAGAGAATTGGAATTAGACTTAATGACTTGACTCTATGTAGTATATATTTCTTTTCTCCAAACACTGTTTTGTATACATGAGGAGGGACAAGAAATGAAGGAAGGGGAAAAGTATAGCGTTTCAGCCCCAGAAAGGTACCTTTCACAATGTAAATGCAGAGTATCTGGTTAGACATAGCCATTTTGCGCACAAGCACATTCAGAGATGAAGACATGCAGTCTCTAATTGTTTCGTTGTATCTAAGAGGGTGAAAATAGAGGTGGCATATGAAAAAAACCTTCCATTTTCATTGAGCGTACCCATATTCTATGGCATTTCTTACCAGTCAGTAGGAGTTTTTTTTCCTACTGATCAGTACTACTGAATTACCCAAAGGCAAAAATATTCCCTATTGTTTCTTTGTTTTCTAACTTTGTTCTCTAGCTTCTAGGTAGATGTTAACTTTTTGGTATTTAAATGTGCACACTCCCTGAGACCAAACTGCCTCAGCAAGTTTTACTTCAATATTAATGGGCAAGATGAATATTGTTTGATGTTTCACTGTTAGCAAAAGGGAGGAGAAAGAACTAGAACTAAGTTCAATTGAACCATTACTATGCAGGGTCTATACAGTCATGATTATTATCTCAGATTCCAAATTCTGTTTACCAAAAATTATGATTATCAAATTGTTAAGATAGTAAATTTTATGTGTATTTTTACCACAATAAAAAGTTGGAAAAAATGATTTGACTATATCCAAGTTTGCAGAGTTGGTAAGTAGCTTTTTATTGCAAAAAACTTGCTGATTTGTGAAAGAACCTTCATTTCCAAATTAGGAATAATTTCCTGCAAGGAAAGACTATGCTGTGTGTGTGCCTGTGTGCTCTTGTGTGTGTGTGTGTGTGTGTGTGTGTGTGTGTGTGTGTAACTCTTCTGTTGTGAATCCATCAGTGGTTTTGCATTGTTTACAGGATAATGCTCAGAATCCATAACAAGGTCAGTAAACTCATCTATCATTTCCTAGGCATGTCTGTTATCTGATCTCTAGCCTTTCTTCTCCCATCGTCGCCAAGTTTAGTTCTACTTGACTTCCTTCACTTCCTTCCCATTGACCTAGGGAGCACCTCTAAGACTGAAAGGGAAGTCGTGGGCTTGGTGGAGTTGAGGTGGGGAATCTATGAACAGATAAATCAGATAGAAGCATTGTTTGGTAGAAAGAAGAGCTCATGAGTGGCAGTAGAGATTGAGTTAAAGAGTGGGATGAAAAAGAATCAAAAGGAAGTAGTACGATTTGGTGACCAATTTGTTAGAAGGGATGAGGGGCAGTAAGTAGTCAGTGATGACCCCGAGGTTTCTAGCTGGACCTAGAATTGTCCAACTAGTCCAAAAATGAAAAAATTTGCCTTTAACTAAGATGAGTTTGACAAAAGATGAAGTAAATTTGAGGGTGTAGGTAATGAAAACAAGTTGGCTTTTTCTCCCTTGATGGCAAATTTCAGTGTGTATGGATGTATACATTTGTGTATTTGTGTGTTTGTCAATACCCATTGATTTTTCTTAGGTTATATTCAAATACTGAAGTTGTACTAATTAAGCAACCGAAGTGTATGCTTTCAGCATGGTACCTTTCACACAGCACCAAACATCATTATATTATTTTCTATTGTAGCATAACAAATCACAACAAAATTAGCATCTTAAAACAATACACATTTGTTACTTTACAGTTTCCATGGGTCAGGAGACTGCACTTGACTTAGCTGGGTTTTCTGTTCAGGGTCTCAAAAGGCTTTAAGAAAGGTGTTGGCCAGGATTGGGGTCTCATTTGAGGTTCTGGCTCCTTTTTCCATATCAGGTGGCTGTTGGCAGAATCAATTTCTTAACCACTGTAAAATTCCTTGAAGCTTGTTTCTTCAAGGTCAGCAGGAGAAAGAAACTCTGACTTCTGACTTCTAGGCCATTTTTTGGAGAGCTAATCACTTGCTTAGACCAGACCAACCCTGAATAACCTTTGATTAACTTAAAGTCAACTGATTAAGGATGCTAATTACATTTGAACAATCCTTTAACTTTGCCATATTCCACTGGTTAAAAGAAAATTACAGATGTTGACCATCTGGGAGGAGATAGTGTAAGGGCCTGAGCTATTGGAGATCATCTTAGAATTCTGCCCACCACAATCGTGTTCTATGTTTATGCAGGTATATGTGTGAGTGTGTATTTATGTGTGTAGTTAATAACTTAAAAAATGAATTACATGTATCCCAAAACAAGCGGCAACTGCACATCCCATGCCTTCTTACTTGGATTAGTTTTTCCTGAAGTTACTCCAGGGTCCTGTCTTCCCATTGTTAGGTTTCCTTTCTGCTGTCCTGGCTTCACCTTTCGTAGCCAAGAAAGCACTAAATTTGGCTCTGAAATGTACATTTCAGTACAATCTCCCTGTCTTGGCAGCAGTGGTGAGGCTTTAGCAAATCGTTTGTGATCCCAAATGAGCTTCAGCAGTTTGGAGTGAGGCCATGGCCCACATGTTTGATGCCACCAGCCTGATTTTTGTAATGAAAACTATATCAATAAGGTAAGTAGTCCCTTCTTAGGCATGCATTCTTTTCCAATTTTATGTAGTGGTCAGTCATTCTTACAGTGATACAAATAAATATTTATGCTTTCATGTCTTTTAAGCTTTTAGCAACGTTAAAAGAAAAGGAGTCTGTAATGAATGAAATTGTCCCATTGAACTTATTTTTTCAGCTTTTGAGGATATATCGAGTGTACTTCTTAAAACTGAACATGTGCATTTGTTACATTTATATATGTTTCCACATATCACTTTGTAAAAGAATTAGAGAGAGCTTATGAAATAGAATTTAAGTTGATTTGGTATGAGCAAAATATATTGTTGGAATGAAGCAAAGGAAAGAAAGCATAAGAGCCATCATAGTTAATTCTGTTTAACTTGTTTTAACTCTATCAAGGTTGGGCCAATGTGGCAATTTATTAAATAATTTGCTCTCATTAATGCAAAAGAAGAAATGTTCCTTAGGGAAAAACATGTTGTCTTGGGTACAAAATTCCAGCAATGTTTTTTACCACATGAGACTTTATGGAAAATTCCAGATAACAGACCTTGCCCTAATGGTATGTGGGCAACAAATCCAGAAGTATCTATCATAGCATTCTTTCTTATAACAAATTTTATTAGAAGCCAAGGCTAGAATGTTGAAGCTGGACTCCGGGCAGGTGATTCAAATGCCATACTATTACTTTCCTAGCATGGACAGTTCTGGTTATTAACTCACTCTTACATAAAACTTTTAGAACCAGAGGATTGGAGGGATGCTGACATTCCTTAGATATCTTAGGTAATAATCCTGAAAATTCACTTTTCCTGAAGTTTTTGATAGCAGATAGTAAGAAAATTTCACTTTAAAACTCACTTTGAGGACCTGAAATGTTATATTCCACTTTGCTGATTGAGGTCAAGGACTATTGTTTGAACCTCAAACAAGCAGGTGGTGAGGTTCACTTTCAACTGGTAATTACGAGAAAACGAACCATTATGCTAGATGCAAGGCCACCTCATCTTGCATCCGGTAAACATGCCAACAAAAACACAAACAAGTGTCTGTAATACCTTTCAACAGCTCCCTGTTGCTCTCATTATAAATATGGAAATCCTTACCATGGCATTCAGGAATCTGCATGATCTGATGCATGTGTATATTGACAGCACATCTTGTATCATTCGTGACATCACTCTCTATTATTTGGCTGATTTTGACCTAATTCAGCACTTGGAAACCACCATACTCACTCCTGCCTTGGAGTTTTTATGCATACTGTTTCCTCTACACTGAATAATACCTCCAAACCCTACCGTCACTGCCTATTAACCCCCTACTTCTCCTGTTTCTCAGTTCAAATCTCCCTTTTTCTGATTATGTGTCTCTGATTCTCCAAATCTTGCCAGTTGGCCCTGTTAGGGACTCTCAGAGCTTACTGTAGTTTTATTTCATCCATAGCAGCTTATGAGATTTTTTTCATTAATGTCTATTAGCCAGATCGTCAGCTCCATGAAGGCAGGTTGCAGGCTTGTTTTTCTGACCACTCTATCATCAACCCAGAGCACAATAAATGAACATAAAGTGAATTCAATAAAAATGTGCTGAAAGGATAAACTACTGTTATTTACTACATTAATTACAACTTTTGTTAGCCCCTTACAAAAGATGCTTTCTTAGATGCTGCATTTCCCATTCTACAGAGGTTGAATAATATGACTATGATAGTTTTAGAGGAGATGGGAAATAGTTTGGTATTTCTTAAATTAAAATATGAATCTGTTAGAGCTAGAATTTTATTTTCTGAAAGATAATCTTGTTTAGCCAGTGTGAGAAACTACATTACACAAAGAACATTTTGCTAGTATTATTTCGCAGGAGAACTAAACTTGGTAAACTGTCGTTCCTAGAAGATTGTTTTTATCAGGCACCGTTGCCTTCTTTGAGCTTTATGAACTCATGTTTTAGGACAGTTAGACATTACTGATGGAGTTAGAGAATACTAGAAAGTGAACTTCAGCTAAAGAAAGTGATCTTTTTTCTCTAATGGCAATTCAGTTGCAAAGTTCTATTTTTATTCTAAGGGGCTCATAGAGGGTGGTCCCCAGGATTCTCTTAGGGGTCTGTGAGACCATACATATTTTCATAATAACACCAACATGTCATTTGTAATTTTCACTGTACATTTTCTCAGCAGAGTTCTCCAGAAGCTATACAATGTGATGCATATTATTTCATAACAGATTGAATACGGAAGCAGACATGAGAACCTAGATGTCTTCCATTAGGTGGCACAAATAAAAAACATTGTCACTCTTCTCACAGTTTTTTGGAAAATAGTTATTTTTACCGAAAATAAATTTATTATATTTTTTGAAAATGAATTAGTAAATAAATATTTATAATTGTCTCAGTTTTAAGATGGCAAATATTCCACATAAACAAGAAATCTGTGAGTCTTCAATAATTTTTAAGACTATAAAGAGATTCTGATACCCAGATATTTGAGAATCACTTCTCCGAGCCATTTTATTGACACAATTTTACTTGACTTTGCAACCTGACCGTTTTAGATACCTTTTCTTTCCAGTCTTTTCTAAAAGATCAATTGATTAATTGGGTTGACTCGATGATACAAGCACACGATCTTCAGTATCAAAAGATACTCATGACCAGTAAACCCCTCTTTAGTTCTCAATTATCCAATTCCCTTTCCTGGAGGCAACTGCTACTCTTGTATTTCCTAATGGAGATCTTTTATGTGTTTACTCAAATGCTAAGACATAATATATCATATTCTGCTTCCTGCTTATCTTCCCTAATGATATAGCAAGGAGATTGATTCCTAACTCTGCATGCAAATCTGCCATAGTGCTTTTAGCAATTGCAGTATCGTCCATGATCTGGATGAGACATAATTTCACCAGACTCCTGTTGGAGTCTGTTGGATTGTTTCCCATCCTTTGTCACTACCTACAGTGTAGTGATGACTATTCTTTTACTTATTTGTTCATGTAAAGTAAATATATCTCTAGAATTAATATTTGGAGGTGGAATTCCCAAGTCAAAGGAAGGAAATACATATTTTTTAAAAGGATTTTAGTAGATTGTTCTGAAAAAAATTACACCAAACTTACCCTCACATGACTATTTTTGCTTTTTCTCAGTATACTTTTTAATAGATTGCATTATAAAATTTTAATATTTACCATTTAAATAAGTGAAAGCAATGTCTAATTGCAGTTTTAATTTTATTTTTATTAAGGAAGTTAATCTTTTTTTTTTAGCTGAAGTCGAAAAATATGTTCATCTCTTTTTCATTGAAGCTCATTAGTTTCCAAAAATGTGTCCTCATTTCATACAAAGTATCTTTGAACCATTGCCAGGTCATAGAAGTGACTCTTGAAGATCTTCTTCTCTGGGATCAAGGGTCACATCTCGTTCTCCTGGCTTCATACCCTTCTCTCTCTACACATCTCAATTAAGTAAGCTTCCTTTCTTATCCTCTGAAATTATAATCATCTTTAGGCTCCCAGATATAGGTGACCTGTGCCATCTAGTCTGACTTCCAGTTTGCAAATTATCTTCAAAAAGTGGAAACAGCTTTTACTTTCTACTTTATAAATTCATACGTGCTCAGGAGGACTTTTATTAAGATTGGGACATATTGCTTAGTTAGTCTCTAGGGTGGAATCATAATTAATGAAAGAACTCTGTCTGATGGAAGGCTTAGTCTAACAAATCATCCTAAAACTTCATTAGACATTGTGTAATCCCCATGGACACTGTTGAAGAGACACTTGATTAGGCAGATCGTGACAACTTCAGCTTTGCCCATCATACATCCTCCAGAGACTCCTCAAACTCAAGACAGACTTTCTACAGGAAGGAATGGCTGTTTCTATTTCAGAATATTACTGATACCAGAGCTTTGCTGCATCTTCATGTACTTTCCTTTATTTTTATTTTTATTTTTTTACAGACAAAATCTTGCTCTGTTGCCCAGGCTGGAGTGCAGTGGCATCATCATAGTTCACTGTCACCTCAAACTCCTGGGCTCAAGTGATCCTCCTGCCCCAGCCTTCCGGAGTGCTAGGATTACAGGAGTGAGCCACCACACCCAGTCTTCATGTACTTTCTTATGTAAATTTATTTTGTTTGAGATTTTCTTTGTGATGGAATAAGCAATTCCTTCCTTAACTCATTTCCCGAGACATTTTTGGAATTTGCAATATATATGAAAAAGCACTTATTCTCAGTGATGGAAACACCATTATTTCTTTTACTAGAATGTGATCTTCTGGTTTTAATATTTATGTCTCTGTGCCAAGGTGAAAATATTGTAGAAATGAAAGTATAATGAGAGAGAATCCAGATAATAAGATTTTCAATAAACAAAAAAAGAAGTATGTATAGGAGTCCTGTCTGCTGCAAATTTTAAGAATGGTTTTCTGTCAACATACAGTTGTCATTGCTTACTGAAAACTTCTATAAAAAACAAGACACAAATGATTGAGAAGATAGTAGAGACTGAAACTAGAACTGTTGATTTAATAAGCTTTCTTACTCATATACTTAATCCACAGTAAATTATTAGCAAATTACATTTTCATAGTATTTCAGAATTAAAAGATCATAGTCAGGGCTTAAAGGAATCCAGTTGTTTTAACAGTGCTGGAGGCAAAGCGTTCTAGCAGCAATCACCTGTCAGAATGACTTAGGTTGGATTGTTTGCACCACACACTTTACTATAGTTACATGTCTTTCATGTCCCTTTGTATCTCTGACTCAGTTTCCTCATCAGTGGTAATAGCAGAACTTACATTTTAGTGGGAGGATTAAAATAATGTACATGAAATCAAATATATAAGTCAGCACTCAATAAATAATAGTTTGTCATCATTATTACTATAGTAAATGACCACTATCTGAAATGGGATATAAAAAGGAAAGTGAAATTACTAAATAAATATGAGCGTACAAAGACCTGACAATTTAGATACAATATACTCACTCTGTCTCAAAATAGTGTCTTCTGAAGCTTTAGTCAGAATATTATGGTGACATTTCTGCTAGATTTGTCATTGAGTTGCTGGGTTTGGGGAAGAACCTAGGCTACACATTTCTCTTGGCTCTACAAAAGGCTGTGGCAGTGGGTCCCTGAGTAAACCACCAGAAGAAACCTAAGGGGCACCTCTGTTTTTCAGTTAATCAGTTTTAGCTCAACTGGGATTTAATCCTGAAAATCTAAATTACATTTACAGACTTTAAGTTATTGTGAATATTTACACTACATGGGAGAATTACCAAAATATATTCGTTACTCATACAGTTTTCGAAAAACAGGTGAGACATCTTCCAGTTAAATTCATCTTCCTTTTATGTTTAATCTATTGAAGAATTCTAAACATTGTTTTGCACCAAATTGCTCCCTTAAGTTTTAAGAGCCACCTAGTTTGGGCATCAGATGTTCTCCTTTATTTCTGTAAAAATCTTGCAAATTCACTCCCAGAAAGAAATGTAGAGAATACTAGGCTATTTCACAGAAAAGGCTTGCTGCCCTTTCCTGATAACAAGGTAGTTATTATTCTTGGCTGAGCCTGTCCCAGAAAGAGTCTTAGGTGACCTGGTGTGGGAATTGCTAAATCTCAGGCTACTCACTGAGACTGTCTGCTGCTGTGCTGGGCACTGCAGTCCTCCAGAGCAGGCCTGTCAGCATCCTACCGTGCTCTGAGTAGGTCCACTGGGGAACCTGGTGGAGTGACATCATGTATCAGCCTCTAGCAGCAACTCCTCTCTGTAGCCCCATGTCTTTCCTGTGGTACAAAGGAACAAGTGCTACAGGGCATGTCTGTAATCGTTATCCCAAGGGCACGCTCCACAGGCATCTAAGGGTGAAAGGTACTGCCAGTCTGTTGGGTTTGTTATTTCCATAGAGCTACACAGGAAATAACACCACCAAAAATAACACATTCAAACTCAGAGGGCAATCTTCCCTAACTATTCATAGGCACACGTCAGGCATTCTATACATATACCCAGCTCTTTGCTAAGCATAGTGAAATGCCCTTTTACATTGCAATTAATTATTAGCCAACATTGAATAATTATTGGTGAGAGGGTAAAGGGCAAGTGAAATAAAAATAGAGCTGGTTTATTTTTAGGAAGACACTATTTTAATGTGTTGATTAATCAGACAGGTGTTTAAAAGCATTTGTTAGAGTCAATTCACAGAAAATCTCTTTTACATGCAGGTTACAGCCAAAGAAAGAAATAATAGCCAACACATTTACGATTTCAATTGCAAAAATTGTCATATTTTTGAACTTGTGTGGGTATTTGAAAATATTAGCTCCTACTAGGTCCAGTTAAAGCTTTTAATTCTATAAGGTTTCAGACTACCAGCTGACCACTGCTCAGCATCCCCTGGACTCCAAGGGTTTCATCTAAGACATCTAAGGAGAATGTCTACCCGCACATCGCACTAATGCCCATGACTGCACTGCTTGAACCATGAGGTTATTGAACAGAAAGCAAATCCTTTTCTGAAGAGCCTCCAAGATGTGGATATTTCAGTTAATTTCAGCTCCCTGCCAGCTCAGAAGAATGATGCTGTGCTGTGTGCTGTTCCCATGAATACTACACGCAGGGCACTGCTCAGTGACTCAGCCTTCCAGGGAGCCAGTCAGGGTTTTGAAGCTGCATCGTCCCTTTCATCCTTGAAGTTCTTTTGGATTTCATCAATGGCATGGAGGGATATTTTTAAAACAATGGAGATTTTTCAGGACTGGCAAAAGGGCTCCCCTCGTCACAGTGCCAAAACCATCACAAACATAAGTTATGTTAAAAAAAATCCTAAACTAAAAATATCTGGTACTTAGGGAACTAAAAGACATCTCATGTTTGCTATCATTTCCATCAGAGCTCAGGTCAATGGACAGAGATCAATACCAAAACAAACATGCATACTTAGAGCATAAATTCAGATAAATGCTGGAGAATTAACATGTAGATAGAAGTACCATCATGCCTAAAACAAAAACTCAGTCCAATGGTTGTTTCAGTGAACTGACTAGCCTTCATAGAGAAAAGTTTATTCTTTTCAAACTGAAGTTAAAAGATATTCGGTGCTTCATTCGAAATTTTCTATTTCATGATTTTTGAAGTAGTGATTTAGAACTCTTTAGGACTATAGAAAATCATTTTTCTTCTAAAATGTTGTCTTAGTCCTAAATTAGAAAAAAAAATAGTAAGAAATTAACAAAACAAAAAGTTAATAGTATTATTCACATATATAAATAATGGGCCATCATGGTATCTGATTTTGATAAAAGGAAAATATACTCTGGGATTATTTTTCCAAATTCTGGCACTCTATTTATGAGTACCTAGACAGACACTAGAGTCTCATGGAATTTAGTATTAGAAATGCTACTTTGGAGTACATTTGATGTCATTCAAGTTAAAAAATTAAGGAAGTAGATTTTCAAAATAGGTAGCATAAAATGTAAAATTATTGAATGTTGGAGCAAGAAGATCATCTAATGCCCTAGCAGTTCTTAATGTTGCTTGGGTCATGGATCCCTTAAGAACACGATAAGAGTTTACCTTCTTCCTCCCTAGAAAATATACTGCTTTTTCTTTTATAATTAAAACAATAATATGAAAGTTAATCTTAGTCCAGAAGTCCTAATAGCCCAAGAATAGAAATGTCAAATTCATCTCATATCATTAGTTTGTAATTTTCCGTTGCCCTTTTAATTCCAATAACACAGAAGCTGTAAAACTGCTTGTCATCTGACTTTTTATTTGTCATTACCCAATTGAGCTTCTTATATTACAGATAAGGAAATTGAGGCACAGAGATATTAAGAAACTTTTCCGCAGGAAAAAAAATCTGCTAGTTATTGAGCTGGGATTCAAATTCAGGTAGCTGATTCTAGTGTGCATGTGCTAACCACAGCACATACTGTGGCTAACCATGCCTACACTCATGCTCAAAACTACGCTGTGATAGGTCTTATTAGCATCCCCATTTTACAGACGTGGAGATTGAGGTGTAGAGTGGTTAAGTGACCTGGCAAAGGTGGCAAAACTAGCATCACAGTCAGCCAGTCTGGTTCCAGAGGTAGGAACTAAACCAACACACTGCCCTTCACATGCCTGTGTGTGAGTTCGCACACCCACACAATACATGAATTTGTACATATGTATCTTAGAGGTCAGGGTAAGCTGAGGATACGCATGACAAATGGGATTAGATATGACTTTTTCCTTCTTTCTTTCTTAGTTTTCTAATTATTTTGTTTTAAGCAAGCATTATTTTGGAATAAAAATTATAAATATTATTTTTAAAAAGCAAACAGGTTGATAACTTAAAATGTGTTAGCTGGTGAAACGTCCAGCCTTATGGAGTAGGCCCCTGAGGTATAGAAATGGTTTTGATGGCATAGGATGTAGCCTTGGGAATGTCCTGGAAGAGTAGGAGCGGCCAGTTAGGCATTAACACTCAGGAGTAAGGAGACTGCATTTGGGATGCTCAGCTGATTGGAGGGTGGTGTTGAGTGGTCCCCTGGGCAGTGAGAAGAGAGGCCAATAGCACTGGCACAGGAGGACAAGCAAGTTGTTCTAAGTAAACTCTCAAATGAACTGAGAGATAAAAACTCTAAATTTGGACTGCTTCACAATTTGCCTAAGGCTGGCCCTACTCAGGCCTTTGCCAGCTGTTGTTTTCTTTTAAGCCTCTGATCTGCAGGAAAACAGTCCTGATTTCACAAAGCTTTAACAGAATTTTTATAAACGCAGATTTGGGGCTCCATATCCACAAAGTTTTCCATCCTTTATTTTGAGAATCTGCATATTTAACAATGATCCTCCCCAAGGAACTGCAATGCAAATGTCCAAATACAGTCCTTGGTAATATGTGTTTTCACAGGGTGAAGTTTTTGTCCAACACTGTGAGATGAGAGCTGGGGGAAAAAAAATGAACATTAACCATAGAACAGGAATGCAAATTTTCTGAAAAGTAGAGCGCTACTCCTCTCCTCTCTTTTTCTCCATATAATTGAAGAGACACTCAAATTGATTGTTTTCCCATTGTTTCGAATGGTTGCTCCATGTAATTACTGAACTGAACTGGTAGTTTGGGGGGAATAGGGGAAATTCAGAGAATGTTGTGTAGAAGTAGAAGTCTACCTATGTCAATGACCTATTTTAGCATTTTTCTCTATTAACTGGCTAACAATTCGCTTGGAAACTCCTCCAGCTGAGGCTTTGTTAGGCTTTGCTGAAAATAAATTAGGTGACTCATTAAATTGTTGCTGGAGTTAAAAAAAATTAGGCTTATTGATTCTTAAATTTCTGCTAAAAATGTTGCTAAATTAAATATAGGTTATTGTCTTTATCAAAACAAATAACCCACAGCTTCTGTATTGCTTTATCTGTATTCAAAAGTTTGGGCCGGGCGCAGTGGCTCATGCCTGTAATCCCAGCACTTTGGGAGGCTGAGGCGGGTGGATCACCAGAGGTCAGGAGTTCGAAACCAGCCTGGCCAACATGGCGAAACTCCATCTCTAGTAAAAATACAAAAAAAAAAAAAAAATTATCTAGGTGTGGTGTTCGGGTGCCTGTAATCCCAGCCACTTGGGAGGCTGAGTCAGGAGAATCGCTTGAACCCGGGAGGCAGAGGTTGCAGTGAGCCAAGGTCGTACCATTGCACTCCAGCCTGGGCAACAGAGCGAGACTCCATCTAAAAAAATAAAAAATAAAAATAATTAAAAAAAAAAAGTTCGAACAACAAGGTTATGTTAGCATTTATCAGAAACTAATGATAATTTATGTGGTATTAAGTAGGGTAGTATCTTGAATGAGAAAGAATACTGTAGTTTGGATTCTTTGGAGGACCTTCGGTTTATATTTTATTTGCAATTATGTTTATGCTTATTATTTCTGCTTACTTTGTGACTAAAAGCCAGTTAAATGTGATTCTCAGATTTCATTTTCAGTGTTTTTATTAGAATGTGGTCTTTTAGGATTTAAACCTATTTTCATCTTGCAAGTATATATTTTAAAAGTGATTCATTTAAATATTCTGCTCAGCAATTAGCACAAATGTTGTCACTAAATTATTACAATAGTAGCTATTAACTTCAATAAGTAAAATAACAGTTCCCTATTGTATAATATATTTAGAAAAAAATCACTTAGTGGGGTGCATGTATGTGGAACAAGGTGAAGACTACCTATCTCATCACAGAATTCCTCAATTAAGAAGAAAGTGCTCTTAATTACATCCAATGGCATCATTTTCATGAAGATAATCAATAACAAGTGACTTATTTCAGTGTCTCAAATTTTCAAGTTTATGCATCCATCTACTTCACAGCATCCATCTCCATGGGCCCCAGGCTGATTCTTGTTATCCTTGCTCAACCTATCCATTCTCACAGTAAAAAGCCATGAGAGCCATTATTTTTTAGGAAATGTGACCCATTATCCCCAAATCACTGGGAAAATCACCTTACTCGACGGGTCCTTATAGCTATCCCTAATATCTTGTTGATTTCTCCTTTAACCTTTTTACTATGCCAATGAAAATGGAGCAATGTATAACTCAATAAACTCCAATTCAACTGTCAAATATCCCTTTCTTCCCAAATTCTGTTTAAGAGTCTGTGGGCCTCTTCCAACTACAATCCCTGCACACCCATCCTTAGCATTAGCCATTGTACTTTTAGAGGACCAATTTGTAAACTTGATCATATCAATCTTGAAATCTAGGAACAAAGAACCAAACTGATAAGCTCTTATATCCACACTCAGGAGCTCATCTTCCCTGATTACCTTGGGCTCCAAGTACCACTTTCATGAGTGCCTCACTTGTGTAGAATCTCACCATGGTACAGCTCATCACACCATTTTATTATCCAGCAGTGGAAATGTAAATTCATATCCTTTTAACACTCACAAAAGGAGTCAATTTCAGTCAATTTTTAGGAAATTTGGTGAAAATTTAGTTGGTTATTATCCTGTTCTTCAAAAAGCACATCATTAGACATACTTTTAAAAAACCAGAGAATAATCTTACCTTATAAAGACAAATGACACATGTTGCTATGAGTTTAGGGGAGGGTTACTAACCTTATTATCATGTGAACTGTTTGGAATTACCTTTGAACCCTCTATACATGGATTTCTGTCGGAGGCCTAAGAACTCCTTGTCAGGAGAAGGAAATGGTAGAAATCAGATGAATGGTGAAGTATGACCATTAGAAACCACCCTCTATACACCTACACTGCCTATTTTTACATCAAACATAGCGAACTGTCCTTTAGGAAGCAGAAAAGGCAGAGCTGAGGAAATGAGAGGCACCTCTCATGTCTTTAAGAAAACAACTAAGTGGCAATTTCTGGAAAATAGGTTATTGTTTGTCAGGTATTAGCCTGAAATTTTGCTTGAATTGTTTCTCCCTAGGAAATGAAAGATGTTCACTTCTTAGTTGTTTTGGAAAAACAAATACTTACTAAAGATTATAATGGCTATCAATTTAAACAAACAGATGCTTTTAGTGTCTTTGTGAATAACACTAGTGAATTTGCAAGAATTATTGCTTTACCAACAAAGCATAAATTCCCATGTTGCTTCAGTACTTGTGCAGTGTTTGTTCTGGAGCCTCTATTCAATATCAACCAGCGTATAGTAGTTCCTCCGTGAGAGTCTCTTGTAAAAACTTACATTCATTCTTGTTATTATTTTATCTGAGTGAATATTTGACAAAGACCAAAGAAATCCCCTTGAGACTGGTACCCATTTTCTCTAATTTGAAAGATATTGACTAATTTTGTTAGATCCCACCATGAAGGCAAAAGGAAAATATATTAGCTATCACTGTGGCTTAAAACAAGAAATTATTTATTATTTTTAACAAATCTGAGGGGCAACTGGTGTTTGGTTGATCTATGTTGAACTTATGGATAGTTATGTGAGTGTCAGATAGAATCAGACATCTATGTGAGCTGGCGCATCTCCATTCCACATTCTCTCTCATCTTTCTTCTGGGACTGATGAGCTTGCCTGGGTGTGTTCTTCTCGTGGAGATGGAAGAGGTGGAAGAAAACAAGCCCAACACAAAAGCACATTTTCAAGTCTCTGTCATGACAGTTACTGACATCCCGTGAATGAGGGCAAAGACAAGCAGTGGGGCAGGTCCTCCCACCCTTGATGGGAGGGCTCAGAATGAATACATAGATGCAAGGAGTAGGGATTTGGGGCCAGATGATACATCCTACCACAGAGAGGTAGGATACAGGGAAATTCTAGGCCCTCCAGTCCCTTTGCTCCAAATAATCACCATAGTTGAGACTTGAACTATGAGAGCATCAAGTAGGAATGCCAGGTGAGCTTCAGCTGCTGCCCAAGTGTCTAAGAACACTCATTCACCTCTCAGATACTCACATACCTATGAAATGCACCAATTTTATATCATGAGCCAAAGTAAAACTCAGAATCATTGAAATATTTGTCTTTGCATAGAAAGAGTCCCATATGGAAACAACCCAGCCTACCTGCTTGACTTCCTGCCTGCCTGCATGCCTCCCTACTCCCTCCCTCCCTCGCTACTTCCTTCCTTCCTTCCTTCCTTCATCTCTCCTTCCTTCCTTCCATTCTCCCTACTTCCTGACTGCCTATGTGCTTTCCTCCCTCCCCCCTTCCCTCCCCCCTTCCTTCTTTCCTTCCTTCCTTCCTTCCCACCTTCCTTCCTTCTGCTCTCCCTCCTTTCCTCCATTTCTCCCTCTCTCCCTTATATTTCTTCAATTCTTATCATTTGAGTATCTAGTTAATGAGTTCTCATTTGATGTTATAGATTTTTTTAGCTCTTCCTCACCTGTATTCCTTGGAGTAAATTTTATGAATCTTAGAAACAGAGTCTGGCTGATAAATTTATTGGTGCATCAAACTCATTGAGAAATGTCTTCCAGTTTCATCTTCCAAAATGTTACTAGTTCTAAAGGTAGTGGTTGATAGTTCACACAAAAAAATCAATACTGATTCAGAAATAACTTGCTCATCAGGGAAATAAACCTGGAAGGTTTTAGTCATAATTTATTTATAATCCCTCCCTTTGTGATATTCAGAGATGAAATTTGAGGTGAAAAAATTCAAGTATTCTTTTTCATATATTTTGAAAATATAAGAGTCTTTGATGTATTCTGGGAGCTAGCATCTTGAAAAGAGGAATAAAAAATGACTTATCTGGAGTTAGGAAGGTGCTAGTCCATCACCCATAAACCAGTTAAAGAGATAAAGGTGATTTATCAGAAAGTACAACAAAAGTGATAACAATAGAATATTATTCTCCATACCAAGCAAGTTACAGGTATCCCCTGCTCTGGACAAATGCGTGATGTGTAAACCCAGATTGACCAAGGGCATAAGGGAGATGTAGATCTGTAGCTTTAGCACACATGACCAAGGTGGTGCACTTGGTGTAGGCTCTCGGCTGATTGCTGACTTTGCACACTTGCGGGGCATTTCATGAATCTAAATTCGGGAATAAGATTTAGAAGCTGGCAGATGACGAAGAGATTGTTTGGGCAACCAGGACTCTTGTATGTGACATAATCAATGCTGAAGTTAGTTCATCATCCCATTCCTTGTATTTCCAAATCTGTGATGCTTAGGGCCTTATCTAGTGCCTTTTACCAAGTGGGTGGGTTGTAGAAAAAAAAGGACTAATACTCATTTTCTTTGAAATATAAGCTTTTGAAAGAATATTTTAAAAAGAGGACTAACATTTTAGCTTTCATGTAAAAGTTTGAAAAAATGCAATTTCAGTACTTGGAAATGAGCATTTTAAGACTCCTTGTTGACTTCCCTTGTATTTTAATGCATTTCTAGAGAGATGTCTGCTTCTGCATTGCTTCCCCATGATTTACTTCAGTTGAAAGTTCAGCCAGATCCATTATTTTCTTTCTTTGACACATTATGCAAATTAAATGCAAAATTCAGTGATGAGAGGAAAAGGTCTCAGAGCATTGAGCAGATGCCGTGTCGGTAATAGAGTAAGGCAATTACAAAATTACTTGCAGCCACTGTGACTGTGTATTTTCCCGTATTCTGAAAAGAAATCTGTCATGTGCTCATCACTACGAGATTTATTTTTCCATTGATGTGTGGGAGATTTATGCATTTAACTGTCGTACACATTGATGAGAGAAACATGCACCTACAGAAATAATTTTTTATAGATTAGTGAGATATTTAATTCTGACTTTCTTTTCCACTAAAATGATCCTTTGTAATAGTCTTCTCTTCGCCTGTATTGTAAGTATGAACATCAGAATGGCTCAGTAAGCTGGAAGAGCAAAACCATGTCTGTGTGTAGAATTCCAATGCCAAAAGAGAAATACCACTTATCTTCCACTTCTATAAATAAAGGCAATAGCAAAGTCATTAACAAGAGCAAGGGGTGAATTCAATGATCTCTAAGATTTTTTTCCAGCTAAAAATGATATGATTCTTATCTATTACTAGGAAATAGTGGTATTGAAGTAGAATTATGAGCTCTACATTCAGTCTACTTTTCACATCGGATTGTCATCTCATTTTTGGAGGGTAATTCTCTTTAGATTCTCTAGTCCTAAGCTGTAATATGTCTTATAGTTGTCATATTTTAGTGAACAAACCAGAAAAAAAGATTGCCTGCATCATATGTAATTTTTGTTCAATCCAAGGGCAATATCGTAGAATACTTGACTCATAGTTTAAAATGATCATTTTTATTGAGTTCAAATTAAGTCTTCTGTAGATATAATAATTATGTGAATCAAAAATATGTATTTGTGTGAAGAAATGCTCTTTCTTTTCAGGCTTGCCTTCAAAAAAAGTTAGTCTCATACTGAATGGCAATAATTTCTTCTTCCTGCCTCCTAAGAATACATTGAGGATATAAAATTATGAGACTAGAATGCTCTTATTTCAAAAACATTCACAGTAGGCATTGGCCTGAGCAATAATTGTGAATGTTTCATATTTAGAGAATGGGTAGATTATTAAATATGAACTATGAAAATTTCTACCCTTCTGGTTTTTCTGTGGGATATAATCCTCTGGTCTTAAAAATTAATTTTAGTAATGGATTTTCACAAGTTCCCTTGGAGAGCATGCTTGGAACATTTTTGTGACATACACTCTTGAGGTTTTCCTTCTAAATTTCTTTTCATCACTCATTTTGACTTTCAGATTTCTTAAATATTTGTTATTACGTGTATCTTTGTAAATAAAAGTGAGGCTTAAGAAGTTTGACTTTGTTTTAGGATGGAACCTTGTTAAAAGTACAAGCACACATGTGTTGACAGCAGCTAGAGGAAGCGTGATAGTGTGGAAAGAAACAGAAGTCCAAAGACCTAGGGGTACATCAAGTTCCATTATTTAATTGTCATCTTTGTCTTTGCTACTGAAAGTATGGTCCACAGACCATTTGCATCAGCATTGCCAGGGAGCTGGTTAGAAGGGAGAATCTCAGGCCCCTTCTAGACTTACTGGATCAGAGCCCGCATTTTGGCAACATTACCAGGAACTCATATACACACTCAAATTTGCCAGGCTCTGAACTCTATAATCTCCAGCATTCTGATTTCTCCAAGTCCCTCCTTTCTCATCTTTGAAACAGAGTAATTTCTACCTCACAAGTCTAGTCGAGAATTAAATACAAACATGTAAAGCTGCTGTGTTCGGTGCCTGGCATACATGGCTGTCCCCCATTCCTGCCAACACACACCTTCAAGCAAGACAACTTGAGAGAGGCTGAGTGGGAGAGAGGGTGAATAAATGTTAATAACTCACATTAGAGTTGGCATTTTTTTTCTTTTTACTTGTCTCTATTATATAGGGTGACTGTATTAATTGTGCAATACCTTTGCTTTTAAATAATACTACTGGGATAAAAGTGAGATTCTAATCTCACATATTATTTCAAGATAAGGTTCAGATACAGAGTTTTAAAGAACCACCTATAAAAATCAAATCCACATAAATTCAGAGGAAAATATCCTCAATGCTTATATAATATTGGATGTTTAGGGTGATACCCTCTAAGCACAACTTCAAAGGAAGAAATCATTAGGGAAAATACTGACATATTTGAGTACATATATGTTTTAAAATTTAATTTACTTGAAAAGGAATGAAGATAATTAAAAAGGAAGTCACAAATTGAAAAAAATTATATGCATAGACAAAGAGTTGATAAATTTAACATAGAAACAGGTTTTACAAGACAATAAAAGGATAAATGTAATGATTTTCAATAGATATAAGACATTAATAGGTGGGCATGTAAAAAATGTCAAGATAACATGAAAAAATTAGTTTTACTACTCATAAAAGACATGCAAGTGAAAACAACCAAGATGCCATCTCCAGTCTATCAGATTTCTCTAAAAATGAGAAAGCGCTCATAACCAGTGAAGGAGAAAAGGATCTGCTTTCATCTTGGTTAAGATATACATTGCAACAATATTTATGGGAAATTCTTTGGCTATATCTATCACTATGAATTTATGCATACATTTTTCACCCAATAATTATACTTTTGAGAAGTTATCCTAAGGAATTAATCTAAAACTGAAATGATACATGTTCAAAATTTTCATTAAAGAAAACCACCAAACTGTACCATAATGGGAACTATTCATAAATATGTAAATTATGTCCATATGATAGAATACTAGGCACCCATTAAATCATGTTGTAAACAATATTTTTATTGAATTTTTTAATTGAAACCAAAAAAGAGCAAGATAAACTCAGTATACATAGCATGTCATTTTTGCAAATGTGTATGCAAATGTGTAACATGTATATTTTTAAGATTGGAAGCTGGTACACTAAAAGTGAATGTTAATTCTGGGTTATGTTTTTCCCAAATTTTTGCCTGTTTCTGCCCTGCCTCTTTGATTTTAACATTGAGCATACATTTATAGTTTAAAGACTGTTAAAAGTGGCACTTAGATATAGCTTAAAAATAATTTTAATAGCACAGGGAAATTATTTTATTAATGCTAGTTAAATTAGACGAAAATATAAAATTTTAATGGCAGAAATATTTCAATTTATAACATATGCATAGGAAACTGAAAAGAGTAGTTAGCTCTAAATATGGGGATTATGGATAAATTTTATATTCTTCACTTTTTTATTTCAAAATTTTTATAATTAGCTTTAGGATTTTTATAACCAGAACAAATTACATTTAAGACTCCCTTCTAAACTTATTTGCTTATTTTCAATCTCAAATTGTGAATTTGTATGGCCTCTATATTTCCAATCTAATTTTACAGACATTAAATTTCTCTTGAAATTCAGTGAAAAATTAGCAGAGTCGAAGTTACACTTCTGTATGGCATTTAAATTCCTCCTCCCAGAATACAGCCACTGTTCTACAGTACAGAGGAGTCCTTCATATCACGATTTTCATTGTGTCTAAGAGGCATGTGTTTCCACTTTGTCATTATTTGGTCTAAAAGGATTTTTCTTCTATTTTGCTGCTGTTTTTGTACAAGACATATAAAGAAAGGTGTTAAGGGAGTGTTAAATATAATCAAGGTGTTAAGGAGAAGAGCCCAGAGAGAGAACTCTTAATCTTTTCATCTGGTCCAGTTGTCAAAGTCTTTTGTCTTTAGCCATCACTTTTTTAATCAGAGACATATAATCTATTAACTATGGGAACAAGAACCACAGATTTAGCCTGTGCTTATCTGGAAACCTCCCCTAAAATACTACTGAACGACTCTTTTTTTTTTTATTCCTGTCTCTTTTTCTGTTGCAAACTGATTGTCCACTATAACCTGGAGAGGGGACTCAATTTTTAGAAACTGTCTTATACACCTCTTAATTAGTTACCTATTGCTGCATATACCCAAAATTTAGCAGCTTAAAACAATAATGAAATTTTATTATGCCCACAGTTTCTTTAGGTCTGTAGTAATTTAAGAGAAACTTAGCTGGGTGATTATAGCTGACTCTCTCATGATATTACAGTCATATACATCAGGACTGCATTCTTCTGAATACTTGACTAGAGCTGGAAGATTCACTTCCAAGATGGCTCCCTCACATGGCTGGCACATTAGTGCCTGCTGTTGGGGGGAGACTTCAATTCTTTGTTGGGTGGTCTTCTCCATGGGGCAGCTTAAGGATCTTCATGGTTTGTGGGCTGTTTCACAAAGTGTGCGTGATCCATAGGAGATTAAGGTGGAAGCTGCAATGTCTTTTATGATAGAGCCTCAAAAGTCACACAATGTCATTCCCAACGTATCCTTTTTTTCACATAGGTCAGCCCTACGCAATGTGAGAGTGAGGAAGGGACTACAGAAAAGAATGAATTCCCAGAGATGAGTAGGATCATATTGGGTGCCATCTTGGAGGCTGGCTACCAGTGAAGAAGACTGCTTTCTGGCCCTCAGTGATTTACTTCCATCTCACATGCAAAACATACTCCCTTTATTGTGGTTCCCAAGAGTCTCATTCTATTATGGCATCAGCTCGAAGTCCAAGATCTTATCATCTAAGCCAGGTGTACTAGTTTTCTTTGCTGTCTAACAAATAATTTAAAAAATGTAGCAGCTTAAGATAACACCCATTTACATGTCACACCTCTGTAGGTCAGAAGTGTGGGCAAAGGGTAGCTGGGTTCTTAGCTCGAGGTTGAAACCAAGGTGTTAGCCATGGCTGCGGTCCTTATGTGGAGCTGAGGGTTCTCTTTCAAGCTCATCCAGGTTGTTGGCAGAATTCAGTCACTTGTGACTGACAGACTGGTGTTCCTAGAGACCACCTGCCATTCTGTACTGCGTAACCCTCTTCACAATATGGCAGTTTACTCCTTCAAGGCCAACAGAAGAATCTTCCTACTGCTTGGGTTCTCTGACTTCATTTGACCCTGACCTCTAAACCCAGATTTAAAGGTTTTATATGATTATATCTGGCCCACCAGCAAAATAGTCCTTTTTATTAACTCAAAGCCAGCTGTTTAGTAACCTTAATTATATCTGAAAAAAACAGAATCAAAGGAGTGGTATCTCGTAGTATTCACAGATTCTATCCACACTTCAGAAGTGGAAATTACACAAGGCCTGAACATGAGGAGATGGGAATCTTAGAATCTGTCTAACATACCAGGTCTATGTGCAAATAAGATCAATCTCTGTTAGTTTACTCTTATGGGGTAATTAATTACCCCAAAACTTAGTGGCTTAAAACAATAGCATAACTAACTTCTCAGTTTCTATGGGTCAAGAATTCAGAAGCATCTTTCTTCAGTGGTTATGGCTTTGGCACTCATATGAAGTTGCAGTTAAGAAGTCAGTCAGGGTGATAGAAATATAAAGGCTTGACTGGGGCTGGAGGATGTGCTTCTAAGGTGATTTACTCACATGATCAAGTTGGTATTGGCTGTTGCAGGCAGGTCTCATTTCTTCCGCAAATGAAATGCTCTCCAGGCTGCATGAGTGTCTTCATAACATGGTTGCTGATTTACATTGGATGGAGAGATCAAAGAGGATGAGAGGAAAGCAGCAATGTGTTATAGGACCCAACTTCAAAAGTTACACATCATTGCTTCTGCCCTATTCTGTTGGGCAATCCTGATGCAATATAGGAGGCACCATGAATAGCAGGAGGCAAATATCATCTGGGCTTTCTTGTTAACCTCAGTTAACAACAACAAAACAAATATTTAAAAAACTAAAGGAAAGAGATTTCTGGAATATTTCCATTCTCTGTCATGCCCACTGCCATAGTCTACTCAAGTTCTCATCTCCTATTGGACCTCTGCGGTAGCTTTATAAGTCCTGTCCTTGTTTCCAATGTCATCCCTTTCAAAACGCTTCAAATAGCCTCCTTAAAGCCATGACTCCTCCCACGGTTATAACCCTGCAGGTAAAGGCACTTGAGGACATAATCTGTACCATCTCTGGCGTCATCCCTTTCATTCCCCTTCACCTCCCCCAACTATTTTTGTATTTCAGTCATGCTGGACCTCTTAATGTTTCCCCAAAACATCCTAAGCAATTTCACGTCTCTATGCCTTTTCTTTTCCTGTTCTCTTTGCCTGAAATAAGAACGACAGATAATAGTGACTATGCAAGTCCTAAAATCGAGGCAGCCACAGTGCTAAATCACACATTGGATAGTTCAATTTTATTCTTATAACAACCCTTTGTGGTAAATCTTATTACCATGCTCATTTTACAAATGGGCACTCCTAACCCGATGTGCATAATGATTAAAAACATAGACTCAAGAAAAGTTTGGAGGTTCTGGCGTAACCCTCTTTGTTATTCTCTATGCAACTAGCTTAAAAATAACAACTTTGATTATTCTAATCTATTAACCAGTTTTCAGTGTGTCTGACCAAATCAGTTGAATTTTATTTTTTTAAATATGTGTGTGTGTGCATGTGTCAGTATGTACGTGTTAAAGAGTAGAGGGAGGAAGTTGAAAATCTGACATTTGATTTATTTCTCCTGGGACAAAGGAAGTTTGGATATGTCAAACTGCTGGCTAATCAACACGTTAATCAATGCAAATCTCTAGTATGGATATAGTTATATTTTGCCCCCCTCTTCCTTTCCAAACTTCTTTCCAGTCTCATGACCAGCTTATTGGCTTCATATTACCAAGTAAATATATCAACTGCCCATATGTATAGTACCCAGACAATGAGAACACTGCCTAAATATTGTGTTTTCAATACTACTTGCTTTTAGCAACAAATCATAGCACCCAGCCTAACTTTAAAAATTCCATGTCATCCAACTTCAAACTATAACAAAAATTGAGTTTTACAGAAGAGTTTCAAAACATTTTTATGCATTAGACACTTCAGAAATTATCTCTTAAAAACAAAACAAAATAAATAAGGGACAAAAACAATAGAAAACGTCAGGCACCAAACTGTGAACTCTCTTTTGTCCATGTATGATTTAAAAAAAAAAAACTCACTGATGGTAATTTAAGAAATTTGACCTTTAGGAAAATCAGGCTGAGGCTCATCTTTGTACTTTTTAAAACAAGTCAATAAAACATATAAATAATAGAGATGAGTGCAGCTCACAGGGGACACTCATATTTTCTAGGAGCCTGTGGATATAAACAATGAATTTCATGAACACAGAGCACATTTCTACATGATCTCCTTTTCTTTACAAGTTATTTATGTTTTACTGGAAATATTAAAACTTCATGTCTCTTTGTTGCTCTTGTTTCTTTAAATTTTTATTTTTATCATCAGTCATTGTTCAATAACTCAAAATCATATAAAATAAAACAGTTTCAACATCATTCCGTACTCAAGATGATCTCTATTAAATAATGATTTTTTTCTTGAAAAAGCATTCTATAATTTTTTTTAGTTTTCCAGATGACTATTTAAACCAAATGTTTAAATGAATGATTAATGAGTCTTTTATCTTATTTATCCCACCTGCCTACTGCAAAAAGACATGAATTTAATACATTTTAGATTTTAAACAGTTGTATATCTGTAAAAAAACAATTTTTACAGGTTTCATATTCTGGACACTAGAAAACACTTCCTCCTCACAGCGCCGAGTTGTATGAAAAGGCAGCTCAATTGTCTTTCCTTGAGCAGCCTTGTGTGCCTGGGTATTCCCTTCCATCTCTCACCCATGGAGTTCATATTCCTGTTGTCATGTCACCACCTCAGTCAACGAAATAGGTTCTGCCATTTCTCAAATTTTATGGAGAATTATCCTGATGAGTTAAGGCAGAGGTTGAAAACTTGCAGCCCTTACCCCGGTTACGGATTTTATTTTTAAAACCCAGTGTTTTTGAACACTTTACAGCTGATATTTCTATTCTAATGGATGCATTATCTTCTTTTAAAAATACTTCCTATATTAGCCCTCTTAAGGGGTATGAAGTGGTGTCTCATTGTAGTTTTGATGTGCTTTACTCACTCTTAATACCGTTATTATAGGTTATTTATTGTTAAAACTGTGATATATTTTCCTTTATTTTCTACATATACATAGATACATGCAGTTTGATAATCTGCATTTAATCGCATTAGAAAGGTATTTTGCTATGTCATTAAAATTTTTTTGTGAACATCATTTTTAGTGGCTGCAAAAACTTACATAAAGACAGACATGTCCTAATATATGTGTGTGTATATTTTAACTAAATATTGGCACACCAAAAATAATGGATTTAATGCAACTAGCAATGATAATGCTCAAACAACAGGAGTGCTATGAAGACAATGAAACAGGTGAGTTGTCAGAACACCTTCTGTCATTACATTAACTTTTTTAAGCACTAAATTCACTTGAAATTACAATAAACAAGATAAGTACAAGCATTAGATAATTTGACCTATCAGATATCCCAAAGGCATAAACTATCACTAGAGGGTCTTTTCTTTATGCAATTAGGTGACCAGTGACTCTTATTTTTTAAAGCTTTTAAAATAAAAAAATAGCTTTAGGGATAAAACCAGCCAGATTTTTATCGTCAAAAACATGTTCACAGTTCAGCTAAGCCTTGCTTTCTTTTGAAGAATTGCTCTTTATAATGCTCACCAATGGATTTAGAAATATCCCATTGTAATCATGAAGATCTCAATTATATGTTATGAAATAAGAAACATAATGAAATACTTGAACCTTCCTGCCCCGCATAGCAGATATATTTTTGTATTTATGATATTCACAGTAAAAAAGCTGTGCTGAGAAGCTCAAAATAGTATTTGATCTTAGTGGTTTTGGAGCAGAGGAATTGGCATTGCCATGATTTTTCTATAACTTGGCGCAGGCCAATGGTTTCAGGCAGGACTTTCAGAGCAGACTTCTGTCAAATTTGCCATATGGAGTTACTGGGCTCAGATTATAGAGGTTTTCCTGGTTGTTTGCCTAATTTGGGAATTATCAGTGCTCTCCAGGATTTTCTCCAAAAACAAAGAACATGTTCAGAAGAAACTGACACTTCAGGAAGAAAAGTAGTTTGATATTTGAGAGGTTTAGATGGTTTCTAATATTTCTAAAAGGTACCATGACTCGTGAAGAATTTGACTGGTAAAAAAGAAAGGTTCCTGTTATCCCTGGAACACAGCTAACAGTCTGGCATGTAGCCTTACCTGAACTGGTACCCTCCCCGTACACCTCACACTTAGCATTCTGCACAGCCAAAGACCCTGTCAGTTATTGGCCAGCCTGAAGAATGAGGTTGAATTCAACTCAGGGACTGAAATCTACTTTATAGCATTTTAAAATATTGTAGATCCAACCTTGAGTTGACCTACTCCGCAGGTTCATGGGTGATTAGGTGTGAGATACAATGGGAATGAATATCTGAAAACCCTTTGCAGAAGAGAAGGAGGAGGAGGAAGAATAAATCCAATTTTTACAGGTTTCATATTCTGGACACTAGAAAACACTTCCTCCTCACAGCGCCGAGTTGTATGAAAAGGCAGCTCAATTGTCTTTCCTTGAGCAGCCTTGTGTGCCTGGGTATTCCCTTCCATCTCTCACCCATGGAGTTCATATTCCTGTTCTCATGTCACCACCTCTGTCAACGAAATAGGCTCTGCCATTTCTCAAATTTTATGGAGAATTATCCTGATGAGTTAAGGCAGAGGTTGAAAACTCGCAGCCCTTGCTCCAATTACAGATTTTATTTTTAAAACCCAGTGTTTTTTAAAAAATCGAGGGAGTTTACACAAAAATTCATGTTTTCTGTTTCTCTAGAAAACAGCAAATCTGGCAACACCCTGCTCACATTCCCACCTACCAAGAATGCTGCACATTAAATGGTGGCTTTTCTTTAGGTGACTCTAATTCACTGGGGTCTCCATGTGACGTTTCAGCCTTTGCACCCTACTTGTCCGCTGCAGGCCCAGGAGCTCTCTACTCCTCATATGCATTACAGGACCCCATGCACATTGAAGATGTTTTCTCAGGCAGAGCAGACACCAGGCAAATATCTTCTGGTCTTAGGAGCAAGTCTTCTGAGAATCAATGATGACAAATATCTTAAATGGTCTACTCGATGGTTCTGAAAATGTAAGAGCTAAACTACCTGTATCAAAATCATCTTGGGGGCTTATTTAAAACATATATGATAAGGCCCCACCTCAAACCTAAGGAGTCAGAATTTCTACGGAAAGGCTTGGGAATAGGAACATTAACACAAGCATCCCGGGTGGTTTTTATGAAACAAAGCTTGAGAATTATTGAATTCTTCTCCGATCTGACAGCTCTTCTCCTGGGCAGACCCAATTAGAGGGAACTGATGAGTTTTAGGAAATACTGTAATTCTAACTCATCAGTCCAGCAGTGCTGAAAATGCAGAATTTTGTCCTTATCAAAAGCCAATTAATGCTAACCTTTTCAGTGTGTGTCCAGTACCACCATCGGTAAGGTAAATAAACAGGCAGTTTTGCATATAATCTAGTGATTTTTAATTTAGTTTTTTCCCTTACTCATCCTAAAAAAAGCAGGGAGTCATTGGGCTTTTGTATCTATTTTAGCTGAGTTATTATTTTAACCCCTATCTTTAGTGCAGAATTAAAATATCACCCTTCTATTTGCTTTTATTCCTAATATCTGAATGGTTTCAGCTTGACGCAATTAGCATGTAGAGCATGCTCACCTACTGTAATCTCCCAGATGAGTCACTCAGCTCCAGCACATAACTGCTTCTGGGATCCTGTTGGCTAACCAGGCTT
This sequence comes from Homo sapiens, assembly GCF_000001405.40. Taxonomy (NCBI): domain Eukaryota; kingdom Metazoa; phylum Chordata; class Mammalia; order Primates; family Hominidae; genus Homo; species Homo sapiens. The sequence goes on along the minus strand of NC_000005.10, from coordinate 59,845,881 downwards.
TGAAACCCAGGGAAAAGAACTGTGTGTTTTCTTCAGAAGTAATCCATAAATGAGAAATTACCATAAATAGGCAGTTTTATTCACTCTAAGTGATTTTTACATAAAAACTGACAAGGCCGTAAATTGTATATAGAATCAGGTTCCATATCCACACAGCTAATGCACACATGAATTATTCGATGAAATTTGCTTCAGTAGTATTATCTGAAATTGGTTTCAGACAATACATTAAATGTTACACATTATGGTAAATTTACTGTATTTTTGTTCCAGCCACGTCTTGTGTTGGCAAATCTGCTAAATTTAAGTTTGCATTGTATTCACATGTGTTGCTATTTCCTGAGATGTCCCAATATATTTTAGCCATCAAACAAATAGAACTTCACCTCTCTGAGGCTCAGTATCCACACTTGTTTATCATGCAAGAGACATGCAGGTGAGAAAATAGGCAACTGCCATTCTATCTGTGATTGCTGTTCATGGAAGAAGTAAAAATGAGCTGGGACAATATATAGGTGGCGCCAGGGATGGCTCCTTGAAGGAAGTGATCTCACAGCTCAGACCTGAAAGCTGAGTGGAAGTTACCAGAGGAAAAGAGAAAGGGAATGCATTGGTTTTCTATTGCTGGGTCAGAAACTACCACTAACTCAGTGGCTTAAAGCACCATTCATTATCTCATGTTTTCCCTGGGTCAGGAGTCAGGTGCGTATCAGAGTCTCAAGAGGCTGACATCAGGTGTTTGCAGATGGCATTCATGTCTGGGGCTCAGGGTCCTCTTTCAAGCTCCTTCAAGTTGTTGGCAGAATTTAGTTGCTGTGGTTTTAGGACCGAAGTTCCCACTTTCTTGCTGATCACCAGCCTGGGGCAGCTCTCAGCCCCTTGAGGCCACCTGCAGTTCCTCATCCTTTGGCAGATCCTCTCACAACGTGGCCACTTACTTCAAGACCAGCAAGAGAATGTTCCTCTTCAGGAAGGGCCCAACTCCTCCTTATGGATGTTCTTCTGATTCAGTCAGGCCCACCCAAAATAATTGCCATTTTTGGTTAACTCAAAAATCAACTGATTTGAGATCCTTAATTACATCAGCAAAATCCCTCCACCTTCTCCATACATAATAACCTAATCATGGGAGTGACTGTTCATCCTGTTCGTGATTAGGCTCACATATAAGAGAAGGAGATCATATAGGACATGCATGTAGAGGATAGAATCTTGGGGGCCATCTTAAAATTGTGCCTACCACAAGGAAGGATTTTCCAGGCAGGAAGAACCAGATATATGAAGGAGGCCTAAATGACAGGATAGCAATTTCCAGTGTCTGAGGCTAAGGCTGGAATGCTGACCTGGCCAGATCATGCACTGCTAGGTTTAATGGCCTATGCATACTCTATTATGCAATTATTAAAATACCTGTTTACAAAGAATATTTGAAATATTAAAAAATGGAAAACTGCATACCGTAAAATATTAAATGGGAAAATCAGGATATGTGTTTATATAACATAGTATCAGTTTTGGAAATATATATGCATATCTTAAAAGACTAGAAGTAAATACATCCATCTGTTAGCCATGGATATCTCTGGGTGAGAAAGTATGGATGAGTTAGAGATTCTTTGTCCCTTTTCTTAGTTCTAAAATTTGCCACAATAAATATGTATTCTCTTATAATAATAATTAATTAAAAAACTATTCATGGTACTTGCAAAAACAAATGAATTTGAGCAGTCTCTTTGAAGGAATCAAATTTTGTACTCCAGGTGTTTGAGAGGTTGAAAAACAAGCTCAGGAATTAGCTGCGCATGATCTGTACAAACAAGGGGATCAGTCAGTGGAAATGAAGTCCAGCTTCAGCCAAGGGTGGTGAGTATAACAGACCTACTCTGATATGTTTCATCACTAAACATTGAGCAAGAAATCTAGTGTTTAAATTATGGAGGCATTAAAGCAATTAACCTCCCTCTACCTCAATTTTCTTATATCTAAAAATTGAGGGGAGCAAAATTCCATTCTTGTCACAGGTCTCAATTGCAAGTAGCATGCAAGCAAGTAGGCTGAACTCTTGTCTGTCAATCTAGCTCCTTCCTGGATGGGGTATTTAATCAGCTCTCCTTCCCAAGCACCCAGTGGACTTGAAGCTCACAGTTAGACAGAGATGGCTAGAGGTGCCAAGTGCTGTTTATCATAGGTGACATCACCTGTGTGCTCAGAGTTATAAACATAGGCAGCTTGCCTACTGCCAAATCCATTACAACTTTCAGAGGTGTTCACTTAGGAAGAGGAGGAAAGAGTTTTTTGAGAACCAGATGGGAACTTAGAAATAAGTAACATTGACAACCAAATCCTTCAGACACATCTTCAAGTTTCAAGAGAGCAGTTAACAAAAAAGAAAAATGTATTTTTAGAAATTGTTTGGGAGGTGAAAGGATTTTTCTGGGGGGGAGTAGGGTAGGGAATGGATAGAGATGATTTTTTTTTGGCTCTGCAATATCTCAGAGATCTTTGAGTTGAAATATAACAAAATGTATTTCCTCTCTCTTGCTCCAAAAACTGAAAAGCAAGTGCACTAGAAAATGTCAGAGTTGGCCACTGAACAGACCATATTTCTAATTCATGGCAAGATGGCTAAAATAAAAATTCTTGAAATACGTATTTTAAAATTAGATTTTGACCTTTGATAGGGCTTATCATGCTATTTATATTGTAGCAGAAGGAACTGATTTTTTAGTAGTTGCCTCATCAAAGACATGACTCACATTTCCTTAAGCATTTACACCATATGTTTCCTGAGGTAAAAAAATAAATAAATAAATTTTATATTTTTTATACAATTAGTGAAATGTGAGCAAAAAATATAAGAAATCATTTAAAAAATATTTTGGGGAGGATGTGGTCTAGAAATGTTGTTTTCTAGAAATTGAAATTATGTTAGCTATTTGGCCAGTGTAGCCATTAGGTACATTTATGAATATAGATGAGAAGTAATCATTGTGATGCTAGTTTTATCATTAAGGAAAAAAGCAGAATTCAAAAGTTTAGCAATGAAACACAGGTACTACTGAAACTCACTTTATATTTGAAAATGTGAATGTGAGTTTAAAAAAGCTTTTGTTAGACTAACTGAAAAGAATCATTTTAACATTTAAAAAGAAAAATATTATTTTAAGTGACATTTGGTGACATTATTATATGTGTACAAGCTGTGACTATAAGATAATGAGACAAATTATTATGTGGCCAGTGGAAATTAAATTTATCTTTATGATTACTAGCAACAGGGACTATTTTATTCAACTATCTTTACATAATACAAAATTATTGTAAAATTTCTAGGAAATTCATATTCCACTTAAAATATGAGGAAGTACATTTGGAAAAAATATTAACATATGAAAATCAGCATCCCAGTTAAGGAATCCCCAGTTTCCCACTTGGTGCTCAAATCACTTCACGTTTTATTTCATTGGTACTTTTTCTAGGGCAGTAGATTTAGGAATAGAAAACAGACTCTACACATGGAATACACTAAAGTCTTGAGGAGGTGTGATATTTCCCTAAGTTTGGATAGGTGGTATCATCCTTTCAGTCACTCTTGACTCTGCATTAGACTCTCTACCTAATGATCCCCAAGTCATTTCACTTCTGCCTTCTTAACATTTTGAAGATGTCCTCTAAAATTTCAAGTCCCACCATCTCTGCCTCCGAACTCACCTCCCTGACTTTCAGTCTTGAAGCACCTTAACAACCCCTCCCCTCCTGTGCATGTTCCACCTGGAAACCAGGGTGATCACTCTGAAATGCCAATCTGATCAGTCATTTCCCTACTTTTGAACCTTCAATAACTTCCTAGCACCTATTCCTAGAAACCATTCCAACATATCACCTAGGCAAAGGAAACCCTTTTCTTACCTGGCTCCTACTTATCCCTCCAGATTCACCTTTTGACACCTCCCACTTCATCTCTCTGCAGCCCCCTTCCTGCACACACACGGAGTTTCAGTCTTGCCAAACTCTTCGCAGCTTCTTGAGTGGACCTTGCTCTCTGCACTACAATCTCTTTCTGCCTAGAGAGTCCTTTACCTCCCCCAATCTGGTTAACTTCTACTGTTTATTTAAGTCTTAACTCTAAGTAGATGTCATTTTTGAGGATGCTCTCTCTGTTCCCACTTTGGAACTTGGGCTTCTCTGTTGTCCTGGTGTCCCGTGTATTCCTCTGTCATAGCCCTCATCTCATTGAATTGTAATCATGTCTTCACTAGTGTTTCCTTTCTAGCATGATAGATTTTTGTATTGCCAGTGACCCCAACAAATTCCCCAGGTCCTAGCCCTGTGACTGGAACACAGTAGGCATTTAATAATAGTTGACAAATGAGTTAGTATATGTAATGAAAAATCTACCTGCCTGAGCATTAGGAAATATAAAATTAATCTAAACTTTGCCACTTTCTGTAATATCTGTGTGTCAGTCAGGAATGCTTTTGGCTGCAAGAAAACCCCACTGACAGTCTTTTAAAACAAATAAGGAAGTCTAAAAGGAGTCAGATGCTGGCCTTGGTTCAATACAATGTTAGAGGCAGCATCTCAGTGCTTCTCTAATGGTCACAAAATGACTACAGTAACTCCTTCCCTCACATCCACTTCCAGTTCAAGAAGCAGAATGAGAGACAGCAATAGCCACCCTGTTTCTTCATCAAGAAAGCAAAGATATCTTAGAAGTCCCCACTGTCCTTCATTTACTTCTCATGGGCTAGAATTATCTCAGTGGCCACCCCAAGTGCAAGAGAAACTAGGGAAATTAGTTTTTAGCATTCCCACACTCTATGTTGAAAATGAGTAAGAGACAATAATTTGGGGAATAGGTGTGGGATTAGTCAGCCAACAGTGTTTGCTACACCTTGGGACAAAACATTTTACCTCTCTTACTCTTTGATTCTTTCATTGAGTGAAGAATTAGAATAAGTAATCTTTCTTCAAGAATCAATTTTCTCTCATCTATAACTCCCATATATTCTTATTTCCAAAATGGAATTACCTTCTACACCAGACAGTTACTTCAAGCTTTTCCCCTGAATATTTCACATTTCCAGAAAGCACTATATTACAAAGAAGCCCTTCCTTTTCAAGAACTCTATTTGCCATAATGTTCTCCCTAACAAGGGCTGAACAGTACGTGCCCAGATTCCCTGCCTCTGACCTCACCACACCCTCTTCTGTGTGGCGGTCTCTCAAATTGTTTAGGACAATTATCATGACTTCTCTAAATCTCCCTTTTTCCAGGCTCAAATTCCCTATGCTTCAGTAGTTTTTCAGATAAGCCCCTTCTGTCCCTTCACAACCCTGGTCAGCCAACACCAGACATACTCTCTTCATTTACTTATGATTCATTGAACAGATAATCACTGAGTTCCTGCCATGTGTCAGCACTGCTCTAGGAGCTGGTGATATGGTGAGAAACAAGGAAGGGAAGGCCCCTCCTCTCATGAGGCTTACAGAGGAGCAAAGGAATCAGATGATAAGATAAGCGTTACACACACACACACACACAGAGGATCATTTCAGAGAGTGATTCGTGCCAAGATGAAAATGACAAAGGGAGATAGGAGAGTGACAAGGGATGTGTGTGTGTGTGTGTGTGTGTGTGTGTGTGGCAGTGCACGTGTGAAACTAGAAGACAAGCCTTCAGATGATCAGGGAGGTTTCTCTAAGACCTGAATGGGGATAATTAACTAGCATGGAAGAGGAAGAGGTTTTGAAGCAGGAGGACTTTGTAAGTGAAAGGCCCTGGGTAGAATGAGCTAGACCTGAGCCAGGAAAAAAAAGATGCTCAGAGGGGGAAAGTGTTGGAAGATGGCCTGATAATGCACATGGGGAGCCCCCCACCACAAGCTCATGTAGGACAGGACAAGAACTCAGATTGTATTCTAAATGACAGTATTTCAATACCCATCTTAAAATGTGTCTGGACAAAACTTAACACTTAGCTACACATATAGCCTGACTGGAGCAGTCCAGTTTATAACCTCTCCTTGTAGTGGGCACTGTATTTCTATGGATGCAAGCTACAGTTATATGACTTTTGTGGAAGCCATGCTATCCCCACAGTTCCACTGTGATTTCCTATATGCTCTTTGATGCACACTGCTCACATGCATGAATATTACTTGCACAAAGAGAGAGAGTAGGTGGATGTGATGCCAGGAGCTATTAGAATGATTCACATTACACTTCCACCATATGAAAAATAATGTACAGTCTAAAGCAACACTGCATCATATCATCGAGCAGCTTGGGAAAGCCTAAATTACATATTTGAAGTTCAGTCAGTCATTGAAATTAGATAATCTGGATGGTCCTGAAAGTGTCTTTCTTGAGAGCTTTCCTCCAAAAGCAAAATTGAATGGTAAGGAAAAAAATGAAGTACAACAAAAATGACAGCAAAAAACCTGAAAAACAAAAAACAAAAAACAAACAAACAAAAAACCCCAAAAACTGAGTAATATCAACCAGGCAGGAGTTGAAGGAGAGAAGCCCAACTGTTGGTAGATAACTTGGGATGAGCCAATTAAATATTGGTCTTCTCTCTCTCAGAGGCCCTAATTGCATTCCCTCCAGCAGCCACAGGCCTGGGGTTTTCCCCAGGCCTGTGGCATTCAGACATCAGAGCTGAGAACTCCAGTGACCACCAGGCTGCATTTTAATGCTAAGCTGGGAGCACTGATACTCTCCAAGACAGCCTTGCAAGCTCCATCTTCCACTGACTCAACGTTCAGTGGAACGTTCAGTGTGTTTCATCTGCTGTTCAGTCATGCAGGCAGCAGGGATCCTGAGGGCTCTCCTCCCCAATATGGTACCAAGTTTTGATTCATCCTTTTCCTCTTCCCTATCAGCAGGTATTCTAGAAGACAGTTTTATGATGACATTCACAGCTAGCATTAAAACCAGATAAAAATAAAACAGGATGTCAATAAAGAACTAATGATGTGTGTCTGTGTAAATGTATAATAATAATAAAAAGAATAGACATCTGTTTGTCAAGGTACCATTTAAGGCCTTGGGGCTTTAAATGAAACTGCTTTATAAATGCACCAACATATGTGACTGTTTGCCTACGTCTTTCATCCATGAAAATTGCCCTGTAGACAGTTGCCTTTGAGGTGAAAAGCATTCTATAGGCACTAAATATTATGCTAGAACACCTCTAAGTGCTAATCTAACTACCTTCATGACGGAAGTTTCAGGAGAACAATTTAAGGGTCATGGAAAAAAAGTGTTAAACGAGTTGGTAATCTGACATTTCCTAAAAACTAGATTCAAAACCGAAGGGAAAGTAGAGAGAGGAATCAAAACTAGCCTAGTAGGATGGAAGTAGGCCTCCCTCCTTGGAGGTGTGAAAATGCCTGGAATAATTTAGGCAAGAATGCCAACTGTCAGTGATGACCTTGGTTTAGGGGCAGTTATAGCATGGTGGAAACACCCCTGGACTGGAGATCCGGCATCCCTTATGGGGATATGAAAGAAATTTGGCAGGTCTCTTAACCTCTTTGACATTCCTTTCTTCTTTGTTAGGTAAGAAGCTGGTGCTGGTTCAGTGTAATTTGAACTGTGTTCTGCATGACTGTAGGGTTCTGCTTAGTGCCACGTGGAGGTGGGGATGCCTTGGGTGAAGATGAAGGAGGTGTAGTAAGCAGGTGGGGCTCTGCACTCTTTTTACTCTCCTTCTTCCAGTATCATCAGAACAACTCCACTTTTTTGTCTTTATACACTGAGTTATTTATAAAATCCTAGTTTTTTTAAGTGTCAAACAATGCTTGATTATGAAATGATAGCATTATTCTAGCATTCTAACTAAAGTGTGTAAATTATAAACAACTATCTTTAATGGTCAACAAATTGTCATCATTACTGAGCAGTGTTGTTAGTAACACCAAGTAATACAATTAATGAAATCCTTGAAAGTAGAACCTATCAGTGAGCCATGCATACAACTGATAAGCTGTGGATAATGTATAGAAGAATGAGTTCATTTGGTAATTATTTGTACTTTTCAAAATATTGGTGAACTTTCATCTTTAAGGAGCAATGGTGTCCTAGTTATTCTTGCCACAACTGCATGGAAACTCTCGAATCTGTTAGTATGTCCTTGGGCACAAAAACAGTATTTTTTGGAACTGCTCAAAAATTATGTAGTTTTGTAGACATTTAGGGAAAAATCTCATAATTTATGTTAAACACTCAGTTGTCTTGGTGTTGATTGAAAGCAAATAATACGTGCTTAACATCCTGCTAGTTGCTGAGGGAGATTCATTCATCATTTTAGAAAATGTTTCTGGGCATCAGTCATATAATAAACACTTTCCCAGCACTTGGCTTCACAAAGGAACAAAACAGACAATGCACATTCCTGCCCTAGTGGAGCATATATTCTAGATGACAGACTGAACACCTAGACATATATGACAAGCTCTTTCTTGCAAGGAGAGTCCAGTTAGGAAAATGTCAACACCTAAAACAGTTAAAGGCTAAGATAGCTTCTGTGGACACTAAGTGCTACATAGTAGTTCCAGAGGAGGCAGAGAGTTAGACCTGGCTAGACACTGGACAGGGGGTAGAATTAGACAGATAGTTCCTGGCTTGGTGCCTGGTACATAGTAGTTGCTCAATAAATATGTGTTGAATAAATGAAAAACCAGGACTGACTGAATAGACAGTTTACACATTTACATAATAAGTGTGTAATTTAGGGAAGTGGGGTTAGAATGAGCCTGGGTGAAGGAAGCCTTGAATGAGAGATGGAGAACTGTAAACGATAAAGGTTTTGAAGTTGGGGAAAGGTGAGGGGGAAGTGAAGTGTAACATGGAGAAGCAAAAGTGTGAATATTTTCCAAGATGCCTCGACGTTATGATAGATGAACCTCTGAGACAGAATGTAGGGGGAAGATAGAGGAAAGAGCCAAAGAGCCTCTGAGGGTGCAAAGAAGTAAAGAAAAACCAGGATGTATGATGAGAATTTTATTATGGAGCTATCCAGTGTGGATGTGACTTCTCTTCCCCATATCGACACAAAACACTTAGCAAAACATTTCTCTTTCTCTCTCTCATGCTCTCCTGTTCTTTCTCCCTCTATCTCTATCTCCTTTTGCTCTATCTCTAGATATCTATTAGACAGATGATAGATAGACAGATACATAGATAGATAGGTAGATAGATAGATAGGTAGATAGATGATAGATAGATAGATAGATAGATAGATAGATAGATAGATACATCTTGGAAGTGGTAAGACAGAAAAAGTAGTGAGTATAGCCTCAAAATGGCTGCAGGGCAAGGTAAGAAGCTGAGCTCAGCCTTCAATCCAATCCCTGTTTACACTCTGCCTATTTATTTGTTTATAATATACTCTGACTCCCCATCGACATATTTACATTCTTGGTAGAAGAGATTATTTTTGATATCTCTTTGTATTTATTTCTTAGCACCAAGATAATTTTAACCACTATTTTATTATTGTAAATTCTATTGTTTTTACTCCAAAGAAATACATATTTGTTGAAGAAAAATTAGAGATACAGATAAGTTAGGAAAATAATAATATCAGAAAACAGGGCCATCATTTAAAACATGGTTACATAAATAATAAAGTACTGTGCTAAGTATTGTAATGATGCTGATGCTTTTGTAATAATGATACTGATGGTGAAGATGGTGATGGTGATGATGATGACAATGATGAACACATACCTCCCACTGATTATGTGTAAGGCACTGTTCTAAACCTTTGTCTAAATTAATGCATGAAGTCTTCACAACAGCCTCAATAGATGTTATTCTTCCTCCCTCCTATTTATTTTATTTTAGCATATTTTATAGATGAGGTATCTGAAACAGAGATAAGCAACCTGGCCTGAGTCATACAACACAAAGTGATGGAGGTAGGAAATGACCCAGACGGTCAGGCTCCAGTTTTTTGGGCACTACCAAATTATATTAATAATACAACTCTGTAGCAGCCTGCTTTCGAGTTATGGAATAGTTTCTAGAATAAGTCACACACATAGATTTCGAGCCCAGGACCATCTACTCTGAGCAGAAGCTCCTACCTAACCTTGACTATAAACTGACTCTACCAGATAATCACACTTGGCCTTTCTGTAAGTGATAAGCAACTTGCCTCTGTGGGCACCTACCCTGAGAAAGGTAGTCACCCTGCTCCATGCTCTGTTTCAAGTACATTTATTATTATTTATGAATTACTTATTAACATAAATTTATTATTATTTACGTATTATCCAACTTATTAAGTGATGTATATGTATGCAGGTGTGTATGATTATGAAATACAAGATGAAAGAACTGTAAGAAAATAGCTTTGAAAAAATTAGTAATGACTGGGCCATAGCCCAGTGATAAGGCATGTTCACATATACCATTTCCTTTCATGATGGTAACAGCCCAGCAAGGTAACTGTCATCAGGGCTGTCATGTATTCTAGTACTGTTTGTGTACTGAATAAAGGCATTTGCCTGAGGGATGATAGGGCTCAAATCCAGGCTGCACTCCTCTTGATGATCTATGAACCCAAGAAGATGAGTCTACCTGGAGGGAAAGGCTTTTCCAATATGCACAAAGTTCCACAGAAGCTAGAGTTGTCTTGGGAATGATTATCTCCATTTTGTAAATAAGGAAATTAAAGATCAGAAAGATTGAGTAATTTCTCAAGAATATGTATCCAGCAAATAACAAATCAAGGACTCAAACCTAGGCCAATATGGCTCTCACTTCCTTTCTCCAAAATCACTGCTATGTCTTTCAACTAAATTGCATTGCTCTGTTCACTGGTACAAAGCTTGTTGCACCATTTAAAATTCAAGGACTATCTGATTGTGTATTATATTTTTAGATCCTTTCCTGAAAGCAGGTTTTAATGGGGAGGGAGAAAGTAGCAACTGGAAGAGAGTTTTGAGATGGTAGATGGTAAAATGTGCAAGCAAATTCCCAAAAAATCTGGGGACACAGACTTCACTGCCTTCAGAATAATTGAAAGGAGAACCCTTCAAGTATGAAGCTTCAGCTGAAATTTCAACGTGGTTTATTTACCTAATATGCTGTTCATTAATTACAAGCTATTAGTGACTATTAGCCTATGAAATTGTATTTACAGTTCAGAAATGTATTTGATTTTCACAAGCCTTACTGGGGAACAATGCTCAGTCAACACTTTCTTCGCCTAAAGAGTACGATCAAAGAGCATGAAGCGTAGTAAATGTTTAGCCTTTGAATTTGGAGTTTACAAAGGATAATTATCCACGGGTTGGTGAATTCATGTTCCTCTCTACTCCACACAGCCTCTGGTTTGCATTTACAGTTTTGCACAATCAGATGTAAAATTAAAATATAATCATTCCATTTTAAATGGTTCCCTGTACAATTATCTCATTTTAAATCTTTTGCTAATGTGGTTATTCTAATGCAACTATGATCATTATTTTATGTATGTAAAGATGTCAATACTGTCCAGCTGATGATATTATCTAATAGTATGTAGCAAAGCATGTTCCCTTCCTACAGTGCCTCACTCTTTCGATGGGTAAGATGGGAGGTGGGAGTGGGGGGAGCATGGCATTAGCTGTGGATAATAAAGCAAAGTAAGTACAATAGGTGTTCAATAAAGTCATCATTTTTGGTACTTACGATGTAGTTTTCTTGTTCCTTTGGTTCCTTTTGCAGTGGGTGTATTTGCTTAGACAGAGAGAAGTGGCAGAGGGAGACTGCATTTGTATTTGGTTATTTCAGAGAAATGCAACTTGGTATTATGAGCCTTTAATTCTGTAGGGCAGTCTCCAGATCATTTTGATGCTGAACTTTGTCATAAAAAACTATTGATTTTTTTCTTCCAATTATAAACATTTGCTGGTTTCTTGTCAGTTAATAACTGACATAACATTATTTCAGACCTTTCACTTAGGGCTCTGTTGTGTGTTTCTCTTGATCAAAATTATTGCCTTAGCATATCAACTGAATACACAAGAGAAAAATCAAGTTATCTATGTTTATCATATGCATTTTTGAATACCTATATGTGATGCTTGAGCATAGTGGTTTTTATAATCCTGTAAGCGATTTTTCAGGAGACCAGATCTGACCTCCTCTCTCACACCCCTTTCACACTGCCTGCAACACACCACACATACCACACACATCACCACCCTGACCGACCAATGGAATCTGAGCCAACTATAAATCTCAAACTTGTTGATATTGGATAATGCCTGGAGGAGAAACACGGCTACCGTTCAGTAATTCCAGAAAGAATTTCTTCTTTAAACTCAGTAAACCCAATGGCTTCTCAGAAAGTTCTTTCTGAGTTTTCTTATTTGAAATTTGAAAATTATTTGAAATTGACTTAACTGACATCACCTGTTCCCCTCTGGATCTCCCAGTGATTTACTGTTGACTCTTTCAAATCCACTCATCTCAGGGCTGGGGGACTGAGTCACAGTCTGCTTTTTCCTCCATTGTCATTTCCAAATTTTTCTTCCCTCTCCTTGCTGGGGGCTGGTGCTAAGTTGACCCCATTTTTCCCTCCTTGTGCTGTCACTCACTGCCTTTCCAGAATCTTCTGCATCAGGTCAGTCACTCTTTCCAACTTAATTCCATATGTCAACCCATTCATCACCGGAGCCACGTGGTTTCCTTCACACAAATTGTCTTCTCTGCACCACAGATGCCAGTACACTCTGGCCCTTGCCATCTGTCCTTAAGATGCAACACCGGTCTGCTTCCAAAATCCCTAGTTCAGACAGCCTGCCTTCCAGTTGCCACATCCTGTTTGTTTCCCAGTTTAACTATGTCACTGCCACTGCTGCTTCTACTTGTCAGACCTTCACTGACCTCTCCATTTCCCCCATCCCTCCATTTCATCCTTACGTTCCTTCCGGCCCCCATCTCTGCTTCAACGAATGAACCCGTTTTCATCTGTTTTTCCATGTTGGGATTCTAGTCAGATTTCCTTGAAATTAAAGCTTTTTCTAGTATAAACACTCAGCCTGTCTCTCTCACTTTAAAAGTGAAGACATAGACACACAGAGAAGTGAGATGATCTTTGTCCAATATTGATTAGTGGTGGAAGTCCCTTGATAGCCAATCCATATTTCTTTCACAGTAATAGAAAGTACCAAACTTTAAAAATGAGATTAGAAGTTGCCTTTACATAAATGTTTAGGCTTTTGAGATCTCAGGGCTATTTTGTAATACTCTAATTTTAGGAATCATTGTTACAATGTTTCAAATCTACTGACTTACACATATATATCCTACATATATTGTCTAAACATATTCTGTAGAAGCAATGGGGATTCATGATTATGAAAAAAGTGGCCATTGCTGGTTTAGGCAGTGTGTAAATGTTGCTACTGACATCCTAATGTGATTTTAATTCTTGCAGTCTGGTGTCATAAAATAGCTTTCAAAAAAGAGCATTTTGATCACGACTCATTTTCCAATTTCTCTCCTCCATGATCCCAACATCTTCCTAAGAAATCCACTCTGTACCTGAGTTTCCACATGGAACTTAGGACAATGATGTTAGTGAATTAGAGGTCTGGCAGAATCAAACGAAAGTAATCCTCACCAAGTCACTAAACCACACTACTTTGAGTCTATGCAAGTTCAGGAATTTCTATTTGAGCAAAAGCCACAAATGGCCAGAGCGGACCTCAGGCTTTGTGCTTGAACTGCCTAATGCCATTTGATTTTTCGATCCCGCACTTTTCCTTGCCAGACCAATGGTCTTTTCTAGCAGTAAAATTTCAGAATAGGTAGGCTACCATCACTCTTTGGGTTACCCCAGTGTTTACTTAAGTTGAAATTCAAATAGATATGTATTTCTATATGAATGGCTGCCATTCTGCTATGCCCATGTTTCTGTTTCTCACTCATCTCTGGCTTGTCTCGTAGAGCCCTTTCTGGTGCTGACTTATGTTGCTGAGTCAAAGGCTTTCATAGTCAAAGCTCTTCTTTTTATCTGATATGTTTTGCAGTTTGCTGTACTGCGTCAACTCTACTGGGATCATATTTCTCTTGAGACTAACTACTAGGCAACCTGTGCCTTCTTCCTGCACTGCATTTTGCAAGTGCTTCTTAGGATTTCACTTTCATTTAAAGGCAGTAGATAGCTCAGAGAATGTGGAACAGTAACTAGAACAGATCCAAGAGCTGTAGAATCAAAGAAGAGTTAACTACTGTCTCTGAAACTTAGAATGTAACCAAAGTCAAGCTATGCAACCTCACTAAGCCTGTTTTCCCATATTTAAAAGTGGATTGTAATGTTTATGAGTCTACCACTACATCAGATTGGTGCAGTGATTACAGGAGACAGCGCATGTAAAACTCCTGGCATGGAGCCTGATGCATTTGAAACATTTACTACAAACTACCATTGTTGTTATCATTATTAAAAATAACCCATTCTTTCAAAGAATCTTGTTCTTGGCCACCAAGCTTGGAAGTCAGTGATATTGTTCATCTTATTTGCCCGGTTTTTTTTTTTTTTTTTTTTTGAGAATAATTTATGACCTCTGTGGCAGCAAGTCTGGCCTCATCTTGACCATTCTATCTGCATGTACTAACTTTTCAATTTTAATGGCCCTGTGAGCTTTCCTCCCATAAGCCAAAAAGTGCTGTTTTTCTATTCTAGTGTTTTCTTGTCAGGCAACAATAATTTCTAAATAACATGCCTCTTCTAAACCAATCTCTTAAAAAATAGATTGTTTTTGTTTCTGACCCTTTCTCATTCCATTTCAGAAACTATTTTTTCTCCTTCTTTAAGCAGGTTACAAACCCTTATATTTTTAATATGCTGAGGCTTGTAGTCAAACCATTACTGTCCCAAAAGAAAAGCCCTTTTAGCACATTTACAGCTTCTTGCTATCTGTGCCCTAACTAAATTGTGCTACAGGGATAGTTTCTTAACCATTAAAATGATAGGTGAACACAATTTTATTTTGAAGGATTACTAAGCTATTTTTAAAATTTCTATAGTTAGAAAAGAAAAACTGTTTAACTGAAACTTGAACCCAATTAAAATAACAATTCTCATGGCTCTCCGTTTTGCAATACTTTCCTATTCATAAAATAAGAATGTGCACTTTACCTTTTTGACCCATATATTTGATGTTTTTCAATTCTCTACACGTTCTTTATCTCTCTGTCAGTGTGGAATATTCTGATTTGTTAATTAATACCCAAAGCAGCAGTTGGCTATTAATGAAATGTACAGAAAGGTATTTGGTAAAGGCTACATGAAGATGATGATGACAATAACAAAGATATCTGATTGAAAGTAATCTTTACCTGTTAATCTTCCCTTAATGTCTCCGACTACAATGGCAGACGTTGCTTTCTTGGATGATGACTGAAAGATTAGTTTGGAATGAATAAATTTATTTTTCCATGGTTGATTCATAGATTTTTTTAGAAATTACTAATTTTGAAAATTAAACCTTCTTTTTCAGCCTTTTGAGTTTTATGTTTCTATAGTTTAGGCTTAAAAATAATGTAGACATTAGAAAAAAACTCAAGCGGTATTAATCCTTATATCCCTAATGGTAAAGAGCGAGGCAGCTAACAAATGAGGTGCTGGAACACTAGCAAGGGAGCCTGTCTCTCTTCTGGTCCTTTTGTTGTCCAATTACAGGTGAAAAGATGCTATCTGTCAGCTTGTCATTAACTCAAATACACAAAGGCCTGTCAGTTCTCTTATGCACTTGCCAATGTGAGCACATCCCATATTGATGTTTCTACTAAGGCTTGCTGTACTTGTAAACAGTGTACTTGTCTGGTAACTAAATAGGGACAAGCATGCAGTAACAGTGTGACACTGAGCATTTCAGTTATATGTCTTCTTACCTCAGAATTTTAAGAAGAAACAATGCTAAAGGAGATTTTTTTTAAAATTAAAAACAAAAACTACCTTTCCAGGGTATTTTAAAGAAAGAAGGTGAATTCCAATTGCACATACATCCGGTATGTGTGACGCCAGGTTTATCCATGGCCTCTCTCGCCCTACTGCTTTTTAAGTAATATGGGAAATGCAAATAACAAATAAAAACCTACTTAAATAGACTAGTAAAAAATTGAGCAATAAGGGATCATTGTATAATTAGATTAGAATAGTGATTTTGCAAAGGGTTTTAAAATGCCTTAACATAGGCACTGACAAAATGTTTGTAGGTCTTACTAATGAATTTTTATGTTTTTTCAATGGAATGTGCATTAGAATGAGGCCATTAGTTCTTTGTGGTTAACCAAAATCTCAAGATTTCTTGTAATGAGAGTAACTTTTCTTTCTGGGATCCCTGACAAACCGGAAGAGAGTGCTGCTGAAATGTGGGAAAAACAGCTGTGTTATAACAGGAGCTGCCAGCCCCCCACACAGCTGGCTGCAGAGATAATTAATTGTGAAGAGAGTAAGGAAGTAATTCACATAATTGTGTAAATGTTAAGTAATTTACATAATTGGGTATATATACAAATGGATTTCTTCCCTAAGCTATTTTTTTAAATACAGAAAAATCTAATCTACAAGCAGTTGATTATTAAGGAACCAATTTTTAAATAAACCAAAAAAAGTATCTATTCTAATGTGTGCTATTTTTCACAAAAAAAGTGTTTTCCTGTGACTGTATCCTGCATCCCTTGTTACAAGTGTGTGTGCATGTGTTTGTGTGTGTGTGTGTGTGTAGATAAGTATATGATGTCTTTCTGGGACTATATGCTTAATCTCACTACAATTACTTTTGGGTTATTCCATCAGCAACACAAGTAAATCTCTCTAGATACTATTTATCTCAGGAGTGACAAATATGTGTTAAGAATGACTTCTATTACCCCTGCATTATAAGTTTATTTTTTCCAGTATTTTTTTCCCTTTGATTTGAGACTTAGCCTAGGCATCATTCCCAAAGAAGTGCTCCAGACAGCCGCCATGAATGAATCAGAACTGGCCCTTGGAAGGAGGCCTACCTGCCGGTCCTCTAATGGACATAACTTACTTTTACCTCACAGTGTTACTCAGTGCTTTATCTACTAGGGCTCATGAGATGCAGTGTTCATACTGTTTTGTTTCCAGAATCCCTGGGTGTGTTTTATTCCCTCAGTTGTATATAACAGGACGCACAATGGGGTCAGGCCAATATTTTTTGGCTCTTAAAAGGACTCTTGCTGAGGTTTGCCAGTACCTGCTGATCTGCAGCTCCCCCAGCTTCATAAGCAGTGATAGGAGTACTGAGTCAGCCCCAAATTAAAGAACCATGCATAGAACAATGCCCTGCAGCAGACTCGTAGGACAAATCTGAAAGAGCATCCCCAGACTCTTGAGGCATAGATACCTCCTGAAAATAAGGGTCTGCCTTCTATAGGTCATTACTTTGGAACATTTAATAAAGCATTACCAAAAAGAAAAAATACATGTATTTTATACCCTCACATTTCTTTTTAGTCATCTTTAGTTTTGCTTACAGTCTGATTACCCCCTCACTCCCAAATCCTTAGCTCCTTACAAAAAGGAAAAAAATATTTTCTATAACATATATCTGGAAGTTTTAATTTTAGATTTATAGTTTCACATTTTCAAGCCAGTATTTTTCTAGTTCCATTTTGCTCTATTTCTAGATCATTTTTTCTCTCTCTTTTCTCTTAGGTTTTGAAATTGCTTTAGATCTTTAAAAAGCCATTCACCAGATTTTTTTTTAACTTGGCCTCAAATCATTTTTACTAAGTATTTTATTTGAGCCATCTTTTTTCTTTTTTCCATTTGTTTTGTTACTTTTCTCTCCACCGACCCTCTGCTATCAGGCAAGCATTTATATTTTCTATTAAGTATATAGTTTCTCCTAATCTCTATAAACAATTATGTGAAAATAATAAGTTAACAAATACAATATGACCTCAATTAACTGTCTTAATACAAGTGGAAATGGCAGAGATAATTCCAAGAGCCAATTTTTTATTTTAATGTGTTTTTCATATGTACATTTTAATGGGAGCTTTTATGATATTATTTTTCAGCCACACTATTTCAAAGAAAACAATGGAGGGCATTTTGTGGAGATCAAATTCTGGTTGAGCTGTTTGGACACCCAGCTGCCCATCCTTTCTCTAATGCTCCTCCCGAGCACCCAGCATCATCTCTCAGAATTAGACCTGAACTAGCCCTGACCTGAACTGATTCTTCTGTCCCTGGTCTTCTCTTTCTAAATTATATTTTCTTGATGAGTATTTTCTGTTTCTAAATTAGCATCCTCCTTCTGGGCAGTAAAATTGAGTGAGTATTAGACAAAATTGTGAAACGTGTAAACAGACATTGAATGGTTTAATTAATCAGCAAGATGTGCAGTTGAACTTGAAAGTAAAGCATGTGCATAATAATCCTGAAGATGATTGAAGATTAATTTTAGTATCTGTGATCAGATAAAGACACATTTCAATGATGCAACAATGTTTAACACTTGCAGGCTACTGCAACAGAATACTTCTTTAGGGTCCTGAAATCATTCTTGCTTTCCACAAACTTAGTTGAGTGCATTAAGAGATTCTGGCTCATAGACTACTTCTGCTTGTTGACTCATGCCTTATCCTTTTCACAGGATCACTATCTAGCTTTAATTAATTAAGTCAGGCTAATATTTAACCAGTCTTAACTACTATTGCTCACCTTGCTTTTCTATCTCGTGTTCATTGGGCCTGTCTTAGCAAAAAATGACTATAGAGGCAATCAAAATTTTTTATCTGATCATAAGTTCAAAGTTCAAGTCAGATAATTTACCTTAAATCTGGATTGAAAATTAATCATATCCCCAAAGTTTTGGCTTGAGTAACAGTCTAGATGTTTTTGTGTATTTCCTTAGATTCAATTCTATCAATCCTCTCCTGTGACACCTGTAACATTCCTATAGACGATTCCTGTTCAATGGTAACTCTTCACAGTGTGTCAGGAAGAGCTCTTAGAGATACTATTAGTCAGATTATTCAAATAATTTCTTTATTGTATATTCCTATTTGGCACCAATTTGATAGTAGCATTTCCTTGTGTGGATAGTTTCCCTTTATCTATTAAAAAAGCAGTCTTTTCTGACTATTTTCTATTTTCCCAGCCTCTACTCCCTTGCTTGGAATTGACTGCTGTGTTAAGAGCTATACAGGTTTACAGAAACTGATCTTTATGATTCCCAAAACACTTGGCTTTTGTGTGAAATTGCAAAAATTGAAATAGCCTCTTTGGTACTTGGTACTTATTCAAAATGTTCTCATGTGTCTTTTGGCTGCATTGCATGTTGTGCACAGGTACCCTAGAACTTAAAGTATAATAAAAAAAAAAAGTTCTCGATTTTCCAACACTGATGATAGTTCCGACTTTGCAGATTAGCAAGAACATGAATAAGATTAATTTTGCATAAATGTTTTTCATGTGCACAACTTGGAGATCTTCAGAAGAAAGAAGCAACGCGAATCTCATACATATAATCTTTCCGTAGCTTCTACTGTAAATTTTGGTGAAGTGAAACAATAAAATTTGTATAATGTAGAAATTAAGGGCTGATGACTGAATGGTCATTCACTTTAAATTCATGTATTTATTGAAATTATTACTCGAGTTCTTGGCTAGGGATATAGAGGTGAACAAGGCCCAAACTTGAAGGAGTGAGTATTGCACTGGAGAGAGAATCATGCTTACAAAATATTAGCAGGCCCATGTTCCTTAGTCTCTGAATTTGTAACAGAAAAACACAAATTCTTTCCACCCTGAGTCACTCCTATCCATGAGGAATTGATTGATTTAACTGGCAAGTGGCAAGAATTTGACATCCCTTGGTTCAAGCCTTCCAGTGGGGTAAAGGTGTGCTTAGAAGCCATGAGCACAGGGGATCTTGTTCTCTCATTTCTTATTCCCATCACCAGCTTTCCCCAGTAGACTGGATGGGTGAGAAGGAAGGCTCAATTAATTGCAGAACAATTGAGTAAGTGTCCTCCATGAGCAGTTTCCTCCCAGCTGCTGATTCTCAGGACCAAGATGAGGGGAATAATTAGAAAGCCTGATCCTGGCTGCAGGTCTCTGCCCTGATGCAGTGGTTGTTAAAGTACCAGTTAAGTACAGCTCAAGTTGTTCAACTCAGAAGGCACAATAAGCTTTAGCCTAATACTACAGTTCTATAGCTTTATGGATGGATACAGGGCAACGGACACAGCAGGTGAAGCATCTTAATGTCATCAGATGAGACAGAACCCACCCAGGTACACAGCTTCCATTGCTTCCTCACAGAGTGTGTGCGGCCACCATGGACAAGAACTAAACACCTGGGGGTCACTTTACCACAGAGACTCTGTCCTCAGTTTCCAACTAGTCTTTCAAAACTGTTCTGGTTTAGATGCCCAGGTCTCTATGCTACCCTGCAGCTCCCCACCCATGTGCAGTGCCACCACCAACAAGGCAGACATGGCATGCTGTATTCTTCTTAACTCTGTAGCTTCTAAACTATGAGTGCTATGAGAAGGCAACTCTGAGATGGTTCTTCAGCGTAGGCCTGGGTTAGCTCAGACCTGATGCTAACCCTTTACTTACAATGTCCAATCCAGATTTTTCAACAATAAAGATATTTTTTATTTTTATTGGATGCTTTTGTATGCTTAACATTTTATCTCCAATGTATCACATGTGAAAGGCTCTGTGGAGTCAGTTACACTCCTTTCTCTCTGGGGTAAGGACAGTTGAGATACATTGATTGCACCCAATTGACACGCAGAGACCAGTAGACATCAGACTTTTTTCATCTTACTAATGAGGTAAATTAATTATGTCTTCCCGTGAAGAGGTCTAAAGTGATGCTCTAGTGCTATTACCAATCCAAGAGTGGTATCAGAAGTCTCCTTTCAGAAATTGAGACAAAGAAAGAGGACACCTCTATTTTAAGAAAACAGGTATAATGCTGTAATATATCACTATCCACAGTGCAGTGGGATCCCAAGTGAAGGTGTGTCCAAGTGTGCCTGGAGGAGATCTGCTTCTCATTGTAGTGAGAATTTGAGCTGGGATGATAAGGCTCTAGTGAGGTGAGCAGAGAGAGGGCATTGCATGTAAGGGCTCAGTGGATGCCAGAGGGGAGCTGGGCAATATCCAGGAGATTGTGAAGCATACAAAAGACTGGGACTTTCCCGCCAAATTCATACTTACATTATTAAATAAGTACTTGTCGTCATCCAAGTTAATTAATTGATTTATTTAGATTTTTGAAAGCCTTTGAAATTGTATATAAAGATAGATACTCAATCTTTACTTAAGAATTCCATTGTGATCTCAAAATTCTTTGAACTATTCTCTTACTCAACAAATATTTATTGAATGGCCACTGTGTGTCAGGCACTAGTCTTTCTATAAACATAAGGGATGCTGCAGTGAACAAGACCGGAAAGGTCCCTGCTCACAGAAGGGTTACATTCTAGAGCTTCACTAGCAGTACAGTGGTACAGTAACCACCAGCATGTGTCGTGATGGAGCACTTGAAACGTGGCCAGTTCCAGTGGACATGTACTAGAAGAGCGACGTTCACATTGGATTTCAAGGACTTTGTATAAAAGAGAAGAATGTAAAATATCTCATTAATAAAATTTTTAATATTGATTACACATCAAAGTGATAGTTGTTGATTGTATTAGGTAAAATAAAATACACAACTAAAATGTGTTTTGTTTCTTTTACTTGTGGCTACTAGAAAAATTACATAGGTGGCTTGCCTTTCTGCTGGACAGTGCTGCTCTTGAAAGAAGAGTCAAAAAATGAACTACTTGACAAATAAATGAACAAGATGTTTTCCCACAGTGAGAACTGCTATGAAGACAGTAAAACTGGGTGATGCAATGGAGAGCGACAGAGACTACGTTAAATCAACCAGCCAAAGGAGGCTTTTCTGAAATGCAATTTTGCTGACATGAGGATGATAGGCAGGAGCCAGCCAGATGAATTTCTGTGGGAAGAGCAGCATTCTAGATAGAAAAATAGCAAAGGTCCCAAAGAATGGCTTGTTATCTTAAAAAAAAAATGGAAGGGTTAAGTAGTAATAAGTCTGAAGGAGAGTTGTATGAGAGGAAATCAGAAAAGTAGGCAGGGCTCAAGGAACTTGCAGACTTGGAGGTAAGATGGGATGTTTTTGAAGTGCAGCCAGAAACTACAGAAGAGTTCCTAGCAGAATGACAAAACTGATTTACATTTTTAGAAAGACCTCTCTATCTGTTTCATGAGGTAGGAGCAGAAAAATGTGTAAAGACTGTTCTAGTGTTGAATCGCAGACAAGGGTTCCAGAGGCTGCTTAAGGCTTTCAAATGGAGCCTCTGGGGGAAAGGAGAGGCTGCCAAGCTGGTCGACTCCTCTCTTGGCTAAAGCTTTGCTGGGCAAGCTCTGTCCTTCCCTCCATTCTTGCATTCTGCAGGCAGTTGGAGATAAACTAAAAGCATCACTGTTAATGTTGTTTTTCAAAGAATGGAAAAAAAAAGAATGCATTATAAGCAGGAAATCATGAAATGTGGGGGAAATTGCTTTATTGGCCCTTGGCTGGAGTCTACAAATTGGAGCATTATACAGGAAGGCATTAAACAGGGGGCGAAAGGGACATGAGTTTGATTTTATTAGCCTTAGGTGAGAGATGAAACTCTTTTTAAAGCTCCAAGAACCCCTAGGACCTGAGTTGAGAAGAGACACAGCACAAAGCAGTACAAATCTGCTGAAGCTTCAGATAATCTTGAAAAGAGTAGAAGACACTGCAGCTCTATAGCTAGAGAAAATCAAGCCTGCTTTGTTAAAAACACTGATTTGTAAGGATGGCTGTCCATTCTGTAAACCAGGGTATAACTCTTTTACGTGACAAGACCATTAGGAAAAATGGCAATTAGATGAGCCAGGATTTCAGCAGTCAGTCTAGCTGAGGAAAGCGTTTTCCATCCCTACTGCTTACCGGCCATTTTGGGGGACCATGATGACTGTATGAGACAGCCTTAGTTTGAGACAGTTGCTGGAACTTGACTGTCATATTTGAAGCTGCCAAGCAGTCAATTGACAATGAGTTATCAGGGGCTGCATTGTTTTAGGCCACGTATAAAGCTGGATTGGACAGGTATGCAGAGTGGCTTCTACTCACAGCTGGGCAGCTGTGGTTTCAGCAGTCCTTGTAAAATGCCTTACTTGGGAGAAGAGTCTTCAAATTAGAGTGGTAAAGATCTATTTAGTAGCAACATTTTAAACATCACATTTGAACAAGTATTAAATATGCCAAAGTTCAGCATTTCATTCATGGTCTACTCTTTCCCTCTCTACTCACTTTTTCTAAAAGCTAAGATATTACATTGGTTTAAAAAAGGGGAAGTTACATAAAATATAAATAAAATGAAATATAACAAATTCTAGTATAATAAAAATTCTCCTTAAAAATCATTACCTCCAATACAAAGTGAGATTAATCTATCTACCTTCACTGTGAAAAGTATATAGAAAACAAAATTTAAAAATTACAATAGTTCTACTCATCCAAGATCATAAAAGCATGTTTGTTTCAATGAAGAGAATTGTCTGCATTTACTTGGATGTTCATAAAACTGGGTTTCCCTATCTCTAATTCTTTGAGTATAAAGTTTAATTATATATGCCCTTTCTAATAACATATAAATAACAAAAAGAAAGTAAAATCCATATTATATCATATATAAATAGACCAATTTTTCGTCAGTATCAGATTAAATAAACAGTAGCCTGTCATTCCAAAACACATGCACACACAAATCATTATATACAATTTGTGGGAAACATTTAAAATTTATTTATAACGATTGGGAATAAAGAAATATGCAAAGACATAGGGCAAATCCAAACCAAAACAATTCAGCAGTAACAATATTAAGATTAGACAAGGGGAAATGTCAAGTTTAAACACCAAAAAAAGGTAAAATCAGTGGTGTTAGGGCGTTAGCTGGTACCAGCTTGTAAGAGCCTATGGTTAACATATCTTCCTAACTCCATGTTCAATAACATCATATTGAAATTGGCCACAGTGTGATTATTTACACCGTAGAAATTGGAAATGATACAAATCAGGGCTTTCTTCCTCCCCTCCTCTAGAGCCAATTGCTAACCATTTACTAGAACACCATGGGATAGAAATGATGAAGTTAAAATTATTTGAAATGCACATGTGCTCAACAATATAGCAACTAAAACTATAAGACAAAAACTATTAGAAATGTAAGGAAACTTTATTTAAAACACATGATTATACTGGCATATTTTAGTTTATTTCTTCAGAATTGTACACATCCAAAAACTATTAAGTAACAATATAAATAAATTAGATGTAATCCATAAACTTAGTAAATGAAATAGACAGTCTTTATTCATTCAATGTAAGTGTGTAAATGGATGTCTCCACCTTAAAAATGAGATATTTTAAATAAGCCATAATTGATTCAAAATGGAGTTACCTTTTTTGGCATCACTAACTTAGCGAGTAATCTTGTAATCTTCCTCTTAAAATTTGTTTTTGTGAAATCCTAATTTTCTATTTCTTTTTCTTTTGTTGTTGTTGTTGTTGTTGTTGTTGTTGTTGTTGTTGCTGTTGAGACAGAATCTTGCTCTGTCACTGAGGCTGGAGTGCAGTGGCACGATCAATGCTCACTGCAATCTCCGCCTCCTGGGTTCAAGTGATTCTCCTGCCTCAGCCTCCCAAGTAGCTGGGACTACAGGTGCCCGCCACCACTCCCAGCTAGTTTTTGTTATTTTTAGTGGAGATGGGGTTTCACCATGTTGGCCAGGATTGTCTCAAACTCCTGATCTCAAGTGATCTGCCCACCTCGGCCTCCCAAAGTGCTGGGATTACAGGTGTGAGCCAATGTGCCTGGCCCTAATTTTCATTTATTATACTTCCCTTACTATAGATTCAATACAAGGGAATGAAAGCTTAGACGTTCTTGGCATATTTTATGAACTCCTATAAACCCCAACCAGGTTGTGAGTAGTTATCGCTTACTGAGACCTTAAACACAAACAATATTTTAATGTTCATTTATTATCCTGAATAAGATACATAGATATATATTGGGAGTTGAGCGCTACCATGTCAAGAGGAGCAAGCCCATAGAATGATTTTTCTTTCATTTTTTTGCAAAACAACTGCAATGTCCCATTAAGACTTTTCCTGCATGTTCGTGTCAGATGAAGGAAAGTATTTTCCACTGATACCCCAGGTTGTTAGCTAGTCCCACGACTGCTCTTCAAGAAACACAAGAGACCTATCTGAATGTGGGTAAAAGGATTTCATGTTGCTTTTTACTTAGAAACCCAGATTGTTTGTAATAAGCTCTGTCTGATTCCTTCAACACTTAGCATCCAGGCAGTTTTCTTCCTCTAAACTTCAAAAAATAGGAGAGAATTGTAAGGAAAATGATAAAAGCATCTGAAGTTCAGCAAAAGTGAGCCTCATCTGAGCTGACTTGTCCTGATTTGGGGATAGCCTGAGGAGAGTGTGTTCACGCACCTTGCAGAGTAGCCCTTAGCAGCCACTTGAATAAAAACGAATGAAAAGATAAACAACAGGAGTGGGCAGAAGTTCGAAATGGAGGATGTGTGTGAAGAAATAATAACATTGTCTTGAAGATTTTAGAAAATGGGAGAGGCAAGAAAAAGAAACATAGAGATGAATCCTGGAAAAGGTATTTAAATCTTGGTTGATTGTTCATAAAGCCCCCACCCATAGCATCTTCATCATCCCTGTGGGATGCAAATATTGTTGTTTTCATCTTACACACACGGACATTGTGTTTCTGACAGGCCAAGGGGCTGTTCAAGGTCAAATGACTGTTGAAGGCAAAACCACTAGTATGCAGCAGTAGCAGAAAATGAATGCATGGCTTCTGATGATAAATCCTATGGTCTTTTCAAAACGCCTCTGTTGTCTCTAGGGAAATTGCCTCAAATTAGAAATCAACACATTCTACTGCAGTTCTAATTTGCACACGCTTGCCTGAAAACTTTCTAATTTCTGGTTCTTTTTTACCACCTCCTCTCCCACTTAATTTCATAGCTACAGAGGGGAAAGATAGCTACTGTCCAAATAGTCTTGCTAAAGGACCTCATTTTCAAAATTCTTTTTCCCCCTTCAAGTCTTCATTTGACTCACGGTGTAATCACATTAGTGAGGAAGATTTTGTACAGTCATACCTAGTGCCAAATATCAAGTTTTCCTCCAAAAAGCAAAATAAAATGATGGGCAGACCACCTGCTTTCCATAAAATTGTACCAAAATCAAGGAGGACAACTCTACGTTATCACGTAGAAATAACATCAGCATTTATGAGTAATAGGTCTGTTTGATGGGCAATGCTGTGGTGTGTAAAATTCTGATGACAACATGTTGAAAAAAAAGTCTGGAAGAATGGGAGAAAAAAAGTGAAAGTCTATGGAAAGTAGTAGATTTGGAGTCCTTTTGAAGAAAACATGCAAGAAGCTGCCAGATAACTGCTAGATAAGCAGCTATTGACCATTTATGAACTCAGTTTTACCAGGCGTTGAGAAGGCGAGAATACTCAAAATAAAACCTGCATAGATTCCACCCTTAGGAAACTTACAGTCTGGCAGATTCAAAACAATTTCACTTCACTTTAAGTAATTGTAAAATTGCCTCCATAAAAGCATAGCCTGGATGAAAACATTTTTCAATATTATTTACTCATTTTAATGCACTCAAATAAACTTTATACCAAGTAACTTCTTTAAAGATCTACCAATATAAGGCACGTATAGATCAAAGTAGACAATGTCAGCCCATATAATCCCCTTCTCCAGGTCCATTTTGATTGCTTGTGTCAACATTGGGGACCACAGTAAATTACTAATGGTCCTTAAAATTCCCCCCCTATTTATCTCTTTCTTTTCAATTTTTCTCCTTCACTCCTGCTACTCTATTTCTTGTGTTTTTTTTTTTATCTACTTTTTTTTTTTGCTCTTCCCCAGGGAAACTAGAGGAAAATTCTTCATCCTGATAAGAGTTTTTGGCACCAGAAAGGATATTTTACCTGTAGTCTGACCTACATGGAGTGAGGGAGCCTGAACATGTTTCCATGAGTGTTCTAGTTCAATGGGCAGAAAGATCCATCAGGAGAAAGCCTTTGTCACTGATGGCTTTGAAATTGTTCAAATGACTTTGCAGTTCACAACACGTGAGCTTAATCATTGGTTTGGCTCTTCTGAGGAGCTGAGGGAGACAAAGAAGCAAAGTTATTTTCCCAGAGGTAGTGAGGCCCAAGATGCTCAGAAAAGATTTAATTGAAAGATGCCATTGCTGAAATTTCTTTTATAATGTTCTGCCTGTGGCTTTCCAATAGTAATAGTAGTAGCAGTTGTTGTAATAATAGAGATAGTAGTTGTATTGATAGCAATAATAATAGCTACTATTTATTGAGCACTGACTGTGTTTCAGGCATGGGTCCATGCACTTTACATATATTAACTCATTTAAACCTCCCAACAACCTAACAAGGTAAAGATGATTATTATCCCATTTCACAACTGAGCAAACTGGGACATGAGATTTAAGGAACGTGCCCAAGCTCACACAGCTAGGCGATCACCAATTATACATTTCCTCTCTGCAAGAGAACAGTCTATTTTTCAAAAACATGCTGATAAAACAGCAATCCCATTTGCTTCTAAGGACAAACCCTGCCATGCCTGAGTGTTGCCATTCTTAAACTCCAGGCCAGGGCTTGCCTTTGGATACATGTGAGCTTCACTGGGCTCTCTGCTCAATGTCCCTCCTCAGAGTGTCTCCCTAACCACCTCTCTTGATCTCTCTCCACCCCTTTATTCCACTTGGGTTTTCTTCAGCACACTTAGGGCTACCTGACAGTGTTAGCAAGGCTACAAAGCAAAACACCAGATGGGGTGGCTTAAATAACAATCATTTATTTTCTCACAGTTCTGGAGGCTGGAAGCTTGAGATCAGTGTGCCAGCTTGGTTCAGTGCTGGTTATGGGTCTCTTCTTGGCCTGCAGACACAGACACCTTTTCACTATGTCCTCACATGGCCTTTCTGTGTGTGTGTGGGGGGGGGTGTGGGTGTGTGCGCGCGCGCGCGTGCCTGCATGCCTGTGTAGGGAGAAAGAGAAAGCTCTTTGCCTCTTCTTATAAGGTCAGATTAGGACCCTACCCTTATGACCACATTTAAACTTATTTACTGACTAAAAGCCCTATCTTCAGATATAGTGACATTGAGAGTTCAACATATGAACATATGAGCTGATAGGAATATATGAATTGATGGGAACATATCAACACTTCAACATATGAATTGGGGTGAGGGACGCAATACAGTCCATAGTGGTGACCCAGCATATATTTAATAGGTCATTAATGTGTTTACTATGTGTCTTTCCCACTCCTCCCGGTATTAGTAATCTAAATACCAGTAAGGATTTGAGGTTCTTCTTTGTTGTATTCCTAATACCTAAGACACTGTCCCACACATGGTAGATGTTCAATACATATTTGTTGGATAAATAAAAAATACAGAGCTCCCTCTTCTCCCCTACATGTTGGAAAATGTGTGTGATCTAAATGAGGGAGAGGGAGAACCATCTCATCTAATCTTCCAAACTTCCTGAGCCACCTTTAGCTACTGAGCACATTCACGTTTCCGTCAGCTGGGAATTTAGGTGCCCTGCCTATCATCCTCTGGAGCCCATCCCAGGAGGGGGCAGAAGGAGGTGGAGCAGCACACTAGTGTTCCCAGAGTGGGGAGAGCAGATGGAGAGGAGTTCATGGGAACGATGATTTACCCCTGCTCACTTACCCCTGTGAGAGGACACTGCCCTCCACGAATCAATGCTGGCTCCTCCTCCAGGAACCAGGCTTCTGCATCTCACTTGCCATGCTGTGGATCTAGGAACAAATTTGCATTTGGAAATTCATTTTAAAGTGTGCATGCTGAGGTTCTGGTGACATGCAGGGTAACTTCTCCCACCCACGATATCTCTTGACTCAGGCCTTCATGTAGGAGGGGAGGAGTGTTTGGCAGCAAAACTGGGTATTTCTTAGGAAGGAAATCCTTCTAAGCTTTATGGAAATCCTAGGGTGTTGTCCCTACCTTTCTGAGTGTGGAGCAGACTATCTGTGTACATAGCGGTAGTGAGGGGTGTAATATTGGAGAATGGCTTAGGTAACAGCCAAAATATACATTGTATATCCCCAAAAAGACGACCAAAGACTCACAGGCCATGCTGCTATCATTAGATATAATAGGCATAGCCTTTCATTGATATGTAAATGTTAGTATTTTTGGTAAGTGCCTTATTTTATCTTCTGGATAATATAAGATACAAGTACCATGAGGGCAGGATCCTTCTCTCATTCATTTTTTTTCCCAAGAGCATAGCACAAAGTAGGAAGTACTTGTTGAGCGAATGAATGATCCTAAATATGAAAGGATGGCATTTTATCGCCATTTTCCAGATGAGAAAAAAACGAGGGAGCTTATCAGGTTTATATATAGTGAGTGACAAACTTCAGAATTAAACCAAAATCTAGTAATTCCTATAACTTACAGGTTATTAAGGAGTCCACCTGAATGTAAGTCCAACAAGACAGGTGTTTATTTTGTTTACATACATTCCAAGTACCTAAGACAATGCCTAACATATATAAAATACTTCATAAACATCTTCATGTGTGAATAGAATTTTCAAAGTTCATCTCAATATATGCCTCATGTGACACTTCCAACCCTTCACTGCCAGGTCTTTCAGTCTTTATTTGAATAGGTTCAGTAAGAAAGAATTCACTCGTGCTTTAGATATGTATGGCTTTTCCACATTGTTGTCAGTTCTAAATCCCGAAAGTTATTTTTGTATGCTTGGAATACTTCACAATATTCACAATTTTTACAATAAAATAATTTCAGGTCTTCTTGATGAAAAATGTCGATCAGGACAGGGCTGAGGATAATCACAAGGCTTGAAATTAAAGAAGTCTCCTTAGGCTGAAATGAATTTCTAGTTGTAAAACCAAATATGAATCTATGTATTTGTGTTCCTCAGACCACTTTTCCAGCAGGTCCTTGGCTGTATTTTGTATGCATTTGTGAAATGCTTTGTTGAAATTCAGTTTCAGCCAGGTCTGTAGCATTCTCCTGGCCCCTGGTCTGATAGTTGTACCAGGAACACTAGCTAACAATTGCATGGCACTAGTCTCAGCTGGATTTGTTCTAACTCTTTTATATGTATTAACTCAATCCCTACAACCACCCCATTTCATTACTATGCCCACTTGAGAACTAAAAACACTGAGGAAGAGCGAAGTTAAGTAACTTGCAGAGGTCTCAGAGCTAGGAAGTAAGACAGCCAACTCGGAACCCAGCAGACTAGCTCTGGAGCCTACCCACCTACCCTCCACACCGTACCTGTGGTCCATCCTCACCAACCAGGCCTGCTGCCCTGAGCATAACTTCACCCTCTTGCGTTCTAAAACTATCTGCTGATTAAGTGAGTTCTGAAATGTTTTCAGGGACCAATACTAAAATCAACTATGAAATAGTTTCAGAGATTGACCTTTCCTCCTTTTGGAATGGATAAGATTTTCCCAACCGAGGTCTCCCATCAGCTCTCCTGTTCCCCTGGACTGTGGCACATAGGAGGGCCAGGGACTTGCGCCTATTATTTCATTTCTTTTGTTATCCTTCATTTCTAGATCTCTTCTCTACCACAATTATCTCTCATGTTGACAGTTTCCCCACAGATGGGATGTCTATTTCCTTGATAATACAGCATTATTATGCTAAAATCTCTCATTTGTGTTATTAGCCAGACTCTGTGCAAAAACGTGTGTATATCTGAGACTCTGTGCTGTTCTTAGCCACCTTCTTGGTCCCTTCTCATGTAAATTACTAGGGCACTTCTTCAATATTATTATTATCATGCCCCCTTACCACCACCACAAAATCTTCCATCATAACCCATTTTTTTTTCCTCCTCCTTACCACATTTTCAGCTTTGAACTCTTATAATCAGATCAGGAATTACATTTCTGAACAAATGCAGGCTTTGCAGCATTGTGAAGTGCAGCTGGTCCCCAGCAGAGAGCCCTAAGCCCCTGCCTGAAGCCAAACCCCCTTTTGTGGCGAGAGGTCTGGATTTTATTTGTTGTTTTTATCTTTGGTGAACTGTCAACTGGAAGCAGAGATGCGAACACCAGTTATGTCCTCCCCTGCAAGGTTCATGACCAATACTTTATAGTTTCTGGATATGCTTCCTAGGTTTCTTCTGTTGGTGTCATTTGCCTGCATGTGACTCACTGGCAGGTGGTGATTTCATCATATTCTAGACATGTGTCTTAGGAAGCTGGCCCCTATCCTGGCTGGCTGGACACATATCGAAGTTCCTTAGATCTACCATTGTCACTTTCATATCCATTGTTAAATACTATAGATAGCATGCAGGGGTCAGCCAAATTGTTCTGTAAAAGGCTCAAGCATAAATATTTTAAGTTTTGTGGGACAGACAGTCTCTGTCGCAACTACTTGACTGATGCAGCATGCAAGCAGCCACAGACAATAAGTAAACAAATGGGAATGGTTGTGTCCCAATAAAGCTTTATTTATAAAAACTGTCTTTTTTTATAAATAAAGGAGCCCATCGTTTGCCGCCCCCTAGTGCCAGGAAGGAACAAGGGGAAAATAAGGAAGAGACCCAGAGGAAAAAAAGTGTCACCAACCATATCTCTAACTCATATTTATTTACTTATTTTTCTAAGCGCAATCGCTAAATTATCTCGTCTTCCTAAGGCGTATGAATCTCTTACATTAACTTAGGGACAGAATATAGAGTTTTATGTTATCTTCTGTGAGTTCTTTTTCCATTCTGTCATGTTTCAGACTTTCAGAGGTAATTTTTAAGTATTTCAGCTGTGCCTTAGATACATTAAGGGACCTATAGTGCCTCCCTGAGGCCAAGATGATGGTTGCAATCATAAATAGGTTATTTCTGAGTTGAGACTGGTAAGAACAGATTATCCTGCCCAGACAGTGATGTGCCAAGCATTGGCAACTTTGAAAAATTTGCAATTTGATTTTATAGGAGAGTTTCCTTAACAGGCCTGAGTTTTTTTCCCATTGCTTTTGTGAATACAGTATTTTCCCCTGCTAGACTCTTAGTCAAATGTTCTTGCCATTATAAGAAAAAAGGAAAACTGAAAAACTTGAAAATAATTTTATTGGCTTAGGAATTATTTTCATGTTTGTCTGCTAATGGCAAATAAATCTACCTTATTGAATCATACGGATTTTAATTCCCCGGGGGAAAGGTAACCAATGACAGGCATATGTGTGTGTGTGTGTGTGTGTGTGTGTGTGTGTGTGTACAAGTGTATGCTTGTGAAAATTGAACAGCAAAAAGAAATTAGGTGGAGAGGAAAACATTAAAGCTGGTACTGGTGGGTAATCATTATATATAGTATATATACACATATGCCTTCTCCAGTTTTATGGAGGCAGTCAGTGCCTCAAAGACGTGTAATAAAGAGACAGCAACAATTATTGGTGGCATTCATGTAGGAGAGGCTTGAGCCAATGTAAACTTGACTTGGTTAGTAATCTTTGCCAAAACTCCCTGATTGTTGTAAGGGAGTTGTGAACCATTAGGTTTGCTTAACCAGAACAGCAAGTAAGCATCCAAACAGATTGTCCTTGGACCATAAGCAAATGCCCAGAAAATAGCCCCCTGCATAGGATATTAAGTACTTAGAAACAAATGAGAAAAAATATTACAGCAAGTCTTCCAGGTATAGAAGGGATAAACAACCCTATTGGTATCAGAATTTAGGAATATTATTATGTCTCCCACTTTAAATGAAATACAGCAGCCTGACTTGGCAAAATTTGGGGAACGGTTCCCCTTCTTTGCAGCCAGGTTCGGTGCTTGCCCTCTGGCATCCCTTCAATTGTGTATATTACTGGCAGAGACAGCTGTTTGAGCTGCTAATAAGATTGCAAAATAATATCAGCTTGTGCTTCAGGTTGAAGATAAGAGATAACATTGCATTGGCTGTAGGAATGGCTTTCTTATAAACTGGATTTAGTTTTATCTCACTTGTCTCACTTGTTACTTTTTTATTTATTTACTTTTTTTTTTTTGAGATGGAGTCTCACTTTGTCACCTGGGCTGGAGTACAGTGACACGATCTTGGCTCACTGCAACGTCCGCCTCCCAGGTTCAAGCCATTCTCCTGCCTCAGCCTCCCAAGTAGCTGGGATTACAGGCATGCGCCACCACGCCTGGCTAATTTCTGTATTTTTAGTAGAGACAGGGTTTCACCATGTTGGCCAGGCTGGTCTCAAACTCCTGACCTCAGGTGATCCGTCTGCCTCGGCCTCCCAAAGTGCTGGGATTTCAGATTACAGGTGCCATGACGCCTGGCCCCACTTGATACATTTGAGGGTCTCATAAGGTCTTGAAATTGAGCCTGTGAATTTATAAACAGGGCTACAACCATCCTGCAGATGCAACTTTTTGGCATGCCAGAATCAGTGGCACCTGAAGAGCATCTCCTTGAAAGCGGTAGTAGATAAAAGGAGATGCCTTTCAGGTTTCAGACGTGGACCTCAGATTCACCTCCAAGACTAGAGTTATCACAGTGCACAGGATCATCCAAGAACAGACATGCAGAGGGAGGAAAGGCCATTGTAAGGCTCAGGAGAACATAGTAGAGCCTAAAAATGAGAACAAAATGGTACTATCAGAAAAGATGGCAGTGGTTGGGACATAAGAGAGGGTAGGTTCACAGGTTTGTGGGACCAGGACTCAGTCACTTTCCTCGCGCTAGGCTCAACCCTCACGATGGGGAAAGTAATGTACTTCTGGGCTTAAAATTCTTCACAGTCAACTGGTAGAGATATGAGGGAATTTATTGCTAAGTAGTAGGGAAAGTGTTTTCACAAATAACATACAGGAAATTCCCATATCATACAAAGGAGGTTGTATTATCACCACGTTTTTACATATGAGAAAATAGAGTCTTAGAAAAGTTATGTACCTTGCCTAGGAGCATGTGCCTAGATAGTGGCAGCTCCAAGATTCAAACCTAAAACTCCAGAGTCTGAAACTCACACAGTTTCTTCTCTGTTCTGAGGCTTCATGCAGCTGGACAGGAGGTTAGCCTGAGACAAGAGGAGGATCATTCTCGAAGGCAGAGAGGCTGGGGACATGACTGCTTTCTGGAAACCTGAGCTCATGGAGAGAGGCTGAGAGTCAGGAAAGTAGGACATGAAATCATTTAATGAGAGTGAAGACCAGCCAGGTCAGGGAGTTTGAAAAGAGAGTTTTGAAATATCCATTGTAGCTAATATGGGAGAGCATTCTTTGAGAGTGATTAAAATGGCGACTGAGGACACAGCTAAAGTGAGAAAGAATAAATCTGTGGCAGACTTGCATATTTTTGGTATGTGCATCTCTTTCCGAAATCAATTGAACAGAGGTGGGAAAAGTAGCTTGGTGGATAATGAGGTAGAGTGGAAAGTTGAAAAGACAGAGCTTAGGAGTCTTTCTGATTGGTCTAAAATTCCCCAGGGAAAATCATGTTTCTTTTTATGAATATAGTCCAGGTCTTAGGTCTGTCCCACGGCACAAAGTTTTCAGGACATTCTGGACAAATTCACACATTTCCCTGGATGTCAGTCAATTCCCTTTGCCTCTGTGCTATCACTTTCCTTCTCTCTGCTTTCTCCTTGAGTTACCTGTCCCAGCTCTTCACTCCACATTCTGCAGCCTCCGTTTAGCTCCTTTATACCTTTGTCCAGATTCTTCCTAACTTATTATACTGCCTCCTCATGTCAACTTCCATCCCATCTGCATTTGGGAAAAGAAGCCCACATGATAAGTGAGTCCATCTGCTAAATGTATGCATCTTAGAGCATTTGTTCAAGATCAATAAAGATACAAATTATTTTGATTTTTCAGCTGTTGCCCAAATCCACAAGAGTACACAAATGAAAATGCACTGATTTTTAAAAAGTACAAATAGCCATTAAAGTTTGTATTGTTTTATTCTTTAAATAAGCCGGAAAAATGGGAATACGTAGGAACGAGGGAGCTAGCAAAATAGGCGGGGCTTCTGCGTTTCAGGTGGTCTGAGACTGCAGTGACCCTGAGGCTGGTGGACCTGGAAGGAGCCAGGGAGAGATGGTGGATCCCAGGGGTGGGAGCAAATGCATGGTCCAAGGTTCTGAATGGCAGAGCTAGACCAAAGGACTAACCTGCTAACCTTGACCAAGGAGATGGCCCAGAGGTTTTCTATTTCTACTGCTCCATCTTTTCATTATAAGTTCCCAGTAGAAACGAGTCATCATTTAAAATATCGGTGCAGCACTTAACACATAAGGAAAAATCAATAACATTCATTTACTTACAGTACCCAGAGAAGAAATAAATTCAAATACGTAAAAATGGGCATGAACCATCCTGTTCCATATCCCACTTTAGGACTGTCAGCAACTGTATACATTGCTGAACGTCATTGCTCTTGTACATAATGAATAATTTTCTGTAACCCTGTGAAGGCCGACTGATTTTTACGGAAAGACAGCTTTGTGTTAGGCGGCCCGCCTTCCCCACGGAATCGGGTTTTCCCACGCCACGTTTTGATGTTTCTGAGAAGTGTGCGCCATCTGCTGGCCGCTGAGAGGATTGACGAGCAGCCATAAGGAGCACCGTGTTTCTTGAGCATGACTTAACCAGGCAATGGAATTACAATTATCTTTGGGTTTCTAAAACATAATAGACATTTCAGGATTCACGTGACTTATGAGAAGTCGCTTAATTGCCTTTCAAGCAGTATACATTTTTTATTCAATATGTGTATTATTCTTTGTAATAATAAACGATGCAATAAAGCAATCGAGGGGTTCCCACATGCTCTCTAGGCAGAGATGGACCCCGGGCCCTAGATGAAAGGTTAATAGTTTGGAGTGAGCACTAACTCTGGTCCTCTGACTCTGAATCTAAGTCAGGAGTAGAATAGAGCTGTACAAAGAAGACTGCTTGATGGAATTGAATTTTGTCCCTTCTTCAATGGGGGAAAATAAAGTACAGTTTTCATCAATAGATTAATGACTAAACTTGGACCTTGATGCCAAATCCAACTTGAGCTCCGCCTGCACAGTCTGGAGATGTACATAAGAGACACATGCTCAGCCTCTTAGCACATCGTTATAATCCAGGCAGGCAATACTATATCCTAAAATTACTCCTCTTTGCTGAAATTGAGAAAATAGGAATTACCCAGGGTAAATTTGGTACATAAATGTACCAAATGGTATGATTTATTCTAGTACTGTCTTCTTTTTCTTGATTTTCTTCTTTATTGGGAAATTTGTATTTTGTAGTTCCTTCGACACTTTAAAAATTAAACTAGAGGGTAAGATTTAAGTTTTCTCACAACTAACAAATGATTTTGATTTTATTGCCCAAAGCCCTTTATATCTCACTTTCGATGGGTCTAGTCCCTTTGGCTTAATTTAGATGTGATTTTTCCTTAATAATTTTGAAAATGGTGGTGCTCTATACCAACTAGCTAGAATAGGAATCACATTGACAGTATTTAATGGATAGAAGCATCTCAAAGATCTTTGCTTAATGAGGGCAAATCATTAGCAATGTCCAACTCCCTATGTTAGAGGCGCCAACTAAGGCACGGTACTTAAATTTAAAGCACAACTCTTCGACTTCCATAAAGTACATATATTACATTATATTTTTAAATTACGGGGTAGTGACTCGATATGTCACTGGAATGTTTTGAATAGTGCCCCCGGCCCCCCTGCCAAAAAAAAGAATGCAAGAACACTGTCCTAACCAAGAAGGCCTGGGAGTTTTAACTAATTCAGCCTTTCAGCCTCCACTTAAAATTCTGGAAGACAGTAGTGTTGGTGCTAGCTGTCCTTGGCTGCAAGTTGTCTTTACAGAAGAACTTGGGGTACATTTTGGTGTGAGGCCACTCTTGCAAGCAGCATTTGCAGGCATTAAGAGAATGCACACAGTTCAATAAGCTGGGGTTATATTCATAATCAGTCTTTGTTTAATGCTGTAAAAATACTAAAGGAATGGCCAAAATCTCTCGGTATCTGGGGAAAAGGGTTCTTTGAAACTTTTGATGTGTGAGCAGAATAATGGAAACTTATCTGTTCCCCATGCTTTTAACACACACACAAACACACACACACACACACAAACGTCATAGATCAAGATGTAACAGGTT
Organism: Homo sapiens; assembly: GCF_000001405.40. Taxonomy (NCBI): domain Eukaryota; kingdom Metazoa; phylum Chordata; class Mammalia; order Primates; family Hominidae; genus Homo; species Homo sapiens. Next base: position 59,808,554 of record NC_000005.10, on the reverse strand, counting down.
GGAATGGGGCCTAGGCTTGGGAATTTTGTGACTCCCCAGGTGATCTCAATGTACTGCTGGTTTATTAGCAGGCTTTGCCCAAACAAATACTCTTTCTCACCTACCAGGAGAAATCAAAGAGCTCTGGGTTAAACACTTGTATGTTAAAACCAAAATGGTGGGCATTGCAGAGTAGAGGAATTAGGAGAAGAAAATAGATATTGGGTCAAAAATTGGCCTCAGGAACCAGGAAGTAAGAATGGCCAATCTTAAAAGAGAAAGTTCTGTTGAAGAGGGAGCATTATCTGAAGTTGGAATGACTATGGAGGACAATGACAGCTGTCCCACAGGATGTCACTGGGCTGAGGAAAATCAGACTGGAAGCCACAAGCCCATGGGGGCTCAGGAAGCCTGTTTCCTGAGCAGAACAGAGCTGGGTTTGGCACATGCCTAGTGTTCCAGTGAAATCTGTCATTTTTCTGCTTCCACTTTTTACAAATGAGTTATTCAACGCTACTTTGTTGACACATGGACTCAGCATTTAAAAAATGACAGTGGAGATAAGGGTCTAAGGTAGTGATAGGCAAATGAATGATGGGCATCCATCATCTGAAGAGCTTCTTAAAATTCAGATTTCCCAACCCCACCACAGACGTCTGTCTCCGTAGGTCTTGGGTAGGGCTCAGAGCAGGCTGCTTCTGAAATTTTGAGGTTGTGAGGTAAGAATACAGGTGGGAGCCTGCATACCACTTGTCTAAATATTTAAAAGTTGTAAATCAGCCTAATGAACTGTGAAGGAAGCTCTGGCCTACTTCCTTGACAACTTAAGCCTATACAGAGACCTGGAAGATCAAGTTCAAATGCAGAACCTGAATGTTTCGGTTCTATCTGCTCCCTCAGTGTTAAAGGTCTGTCCTTTTTCCTTGACAAATATGCTTTCATAATTGTCTGGAAGGCCGGATTCCAATTCAGCAATTCCAATCCCTCAGTGTTGAGGGAAAGGGCCACCCGCTCTGCTCTTCTCTTCCCATCTGGCTCTGTCTGGAACCACGAAGCACCTCTGTGTGTGTGTGGGGACAAGCCAGCCCAGGTGCCTGCGTTTTGGCCCAGTACCTCCTACCCTCATACTACATATGTAGCCACCCCCAGGCATAGGGTTGTGCACACTGGTGACATGTCTGCCCTCTAGAAGAAGCATGGGGGAAATGGGACCCCACAGGCCCTGTTAGCTGATACGGGCCATGAGCTCCCAGGTCACGGTCTAAAAGTACATTGGTTTGGGGCTCTGCGTGACCATATTCCAAGGATCCTGCAAAGGAAGAGGCAGGACTGGAGAAGGGAAAGAGTGGGCCTTCTAAGGCTCCCAGGGCAGGACCTCTTTTTGTCTGGTCTAAGAGGGGTATTGAACCCAAGTGGCTTAGATGCTGAATCCCTGGGCTTAGAACCCAATGCCCTGGAGCATTGATCTCACAGTGCTGGCCAGAAAGGGGCTCGTTGGTTGCTACTAGGTCATTATCACTCCCAGGGCACCTGGGCAGTCAATGAAACTGAGCTCAGAAAAGTCCTGCCTTTATGATGTCCCTTCCACTTCCATAACTTTCTCCATAAAATAAAACCAAGAAAAATAATTTTTCTCTTGATTTCAAATCGTATTTAAAGGAAAATAGAAATTTTATTTTTAAAGAAATTGCATGTTTTCATTGTCTATATATTGTTTTGAAATATGTACACGTTGTGTAATGGCTAAATTGAGCTAATTAAATGTATAACCTCACATGCTTATCATTTTTGTGGTGAAAACACTTAAAATCCACTCTCTTAACAATTTTCAAAAATATTTGAAAAAATATAGTTATTAACTGTAGTCCTGTAACTATTTCCTATTAATTATAGGGAAGTAGAAATTTTAATAGTCATCTTTCTCATGCTTTTCTTGACTTTTAGATTCAAGAAATAATAAACTTGAATAAAAGAGATTAATTTCACAGTAATGCAATATTTCTGTAAAATTTCACACCTTGTTGACTGTCAATCAGCTGAGAACTTTACACCTCATTAAAAATCCATTAGAACAATGGCTGTTCCATTAGCCCTTCAGTTTATGCCTTAAAACATACTTGTCTAAAAACAACATTGTTTTTGGCAGGCTGCTCCTTTTGATAAGTGGGGACTTGCTCTGGTATTAACTGTTTCCAGGTCTCCAGAAAAAGGCTCAGGGTATGTCTAGGGACATCAGTGACAACAGTGAGGTAGAGCAAGTCAATACTGTGCCACCTCTGCGCTAGCCAGAGAACCTCTGCTCCAAGGTGAGTTGGTTCCCCCTTTCATTAAGGTCCTCAGGCCCCAGTAAAATCCAGATATGGCTTTGGAGAGGAACGCTGTCTGAGTGAAGCTCCCTCAGTTTCATAACCAGCTTAGAGCTTCTCAGCTCTGACCTGCCTGTTAGCATGGCTGGGGAGCCCAGTGGTTTATTGAACTGGCTAATAACAAAGATTCTGAGATAACGAAACAGAAAACAGGTAGGTTTTGATGAAAAGGAAGGAGATAAGGAGGATAAGAGGGGTAGTAGGGAGGAATAGTGGGAGAGGGGCAAAGAAGCATTAAATCAAGATTTGGAGAATGGCTGGAAACAGTGGCAGAGACTCAATAGGAGAGTGACCCTGACAGACGGGGAGGTGGCAAAAGTGCTTGCAGGCACAGGCCACCCAACAGTTATTTCGGGGACTGTTCACAATCTCATCTACTTCACAGTTTTGCCTTGTCCTAACTCAGGTCTTATTAGAGCCAGAATAAATTGCCTTGCATCGTCAGAAACTGACCATTCATTCCTGTGGTCTTCTTTGAGATTTTTAGAATCCCAAGGACTAAATATCCCTATCCACTTGCCTTTGTTCACTGTATTGGATGATGTGCCATTGCCTGTCTCCAGCATTCACTGAGAGCAGTACCCCAACATCCAACACATCTTTAAATGCCAAAGGGAAGTGAAAATGTCCTGACTTCTTAAACTCTAACATAGCATTCATCCTATTCTTATATTTTTTGAACTTTGCATCAAAACATACATAAATGCAGGTGCACAAATTGTAAGTGTAAAAGTCAATGAATTTTCACTAAGTGAACACACTTGGCTCACCAGAAGCTAAAGAAAGGGTGAACTAGAAGGGGACTTTGTAGATTACACTTCCTGACACCATCATTATTTAAGAAAGAACTGTTTCCTAGGTATATTTTAGGACCTTTTATCTGGTGATATCTATCTACTAACTTTAGGGGTGGGGTGGAATTGATTCTTTTTACAAGATTAGTGAAGCTAGAAACAACTAGCTTTTAATTCATTAAATGTAACCTACTTTCAAGTAGCTTCATGTGACTGAAATCAATCTGTTTTATTTTCCAAACCAGTGGAATACACACAGGGTCATTACATACATTTTGAAAGTCTTCTGTTTCAAATGTATTGTAGATTAAGAAACAGAATGTGGCAGGGCACGGTGGCTCATGCCTGTAATCTCAGCACTTTGGGAGACCGAGGCGGGTGGATCACTTGAGGTCAGGAATTTGAGATCAGCCTGGCCAACATGGTGAAACCCCGTCTCTACTAAAAATACAAAAAATTAGCCAGGCATGGTGGTGTGCGCCTGTAGTCCCAGCTACTTGGGAAGCTGAGGTGGGAGAATCGCTTGAACCTGGGAGGCAGAGGTTGCAGTGAGCTGAGATCATGTCATTGCACTCCAGCCTGGGTGACAGAGCGAGATTTTGTCTCAAAAGAAAAAACAAAAAATAGAAAAAGAAACAACGCTATTGGCACACCCAGAATAATCACTATTGGACTTCTGATACCAAAAACAAGGGGGATTTCCTCGTTTTTAAGTTTTATGAAATGAAGTAATATTCTGTATACTCTTCCGAGTTTAGCTTCTTTGAGTAGGTTTGTGAGATTTATCCAAGTGTGGAATGGAGTTATAATTTATTCATTTTTGGTTTTGGGTGATTGTATTTTTAAAATTAAGGTAAACATTAAAAGTTAGGGTTTAACCCACTACTGGGTATTCACCCAAAGGGAAAGAAGTCATTCTACGAGAAAGACCACATGCACAGGCCTGTCCAATTCACAGTTGCAAAAATAGGCAACCAAACTTGTTGCCCATCGACCAACGAGTGGATAAAGAAAATGTGGTATATATGCCCTATGGATTACTACTCAGTCATAAAAAGAAACCAAATAATGTCTCTGGCAGCAACTTGGCTGGAAGTGGAGGCCATTTATTCTAAGAGACGTAACTCAGGAATGGAAAACCAAATATCATGTTTTCACTTACAAGTGGGAGCTAAGCGCTGAGGATACAAAGGCATAAGAATGAATAATGGACTTTGGGGATGGGGGAGAGATTGGGAGAAGTTGAGAAATAAAAGACTACATATTGGGTACAGTGTACACTGCTCCGGTGATGGATGCACCAAAATATCAGAAATCACCACTAATGAATGTGTCCAAGTAAACAAAACCCACTGTACCCCAAAAACTATAGAAATAGAAAATGAATAAATAAAAGTTAGGGATTAAAAAGAAAGTGGGACATGGTCATTCCAGAAGTCTAAAATATTATAAGCTATATATAAAATACAAGTTTGTAACTATTTTTTGAGTACCTGCAATCAGCAAGTTTGCATTAATATTACTGTTTACTCCCTCACTTTTTAAAACAACTAATTTTCTATTTCCTATTTTAAGACCTTACCTAAGATTGCTGTCCTGTGGAATGGTTCCTAGCCCACGTGACCTTGTCTGTGTTGAAGCATGAGTGAATACATACTACCATCTACTTTAGTGAATGTTGATGATAAAATGGCCAATTTCATGTATTTGTTTATTTTCAAGAAAACCTTAGAGCACTCGTTCTCAAACTTTAGGATGCATCAGAATTACCTGGAGTGCCAGAATCCCCTGAAGTGGTTGTAAGAACTCATTGCTGGGGCCAGGTGCGGTGGCTCACACCTGTAATCCCAGCACTTTCGGAGGCCAAGGCAGGCGGATCACTTGAGGTCAGGAATTCGAGACCAGCCTGGCCACCATGGTGAAACCCCTTCTCTACTAAAAATACAAAGATTAGCTGTGCGTGATGGCGGGCACCTGTAATCCCAGCCACTTGGGAGGCTGAGGCAGGAGAATCGCTTGAACCCGGGGGGCGGAGGTTGCAGTGAGCCAAGATGGCGCCACTGCACTCCAGCCTGGGTGGCAGAGACAAATTGAAAAAAAAAAAAAAAAGGAGTTTCTAGGCCCCATCCCCAGAATTTTTGATTTTGTAGGTCTGCGGTGGGATCCAATTATGTACCGTCTAATGAGCTCCCAGGTGATAGTGACGCTGCAGACCTGGCTCCACATTCTGAGAACCACTGCCTTAGAGCCTGCACATCAAGTCACGTTTATATTCCTGTGCCGTACTCCCCTGGTGAGGATTCCTCTGGTCATTCATGCATTTACGTTTTTAAACTCCTTGGAATCAACCAGGTAGAGATTGTACTCTTGTTGTCGTATTTACCATCCTAAATCATTAGCATCTATTATCTTCCTCTGCCCTACACCACAACTCTGCTTGTAACCCATTTGGAGCGTGTTTTCTATGTTCTTGCTTTGTTTACATATTGGTGGCCCCAACTATTTATCAGCTTATTAAAGACATCAGGCCACTATTTGTCTATATCCCTGCACTGCCTAGCAGGGAGCACTGCAGGGACTATTGAATTCATGCACTGTATTCTCTGCTGGCCCATTGATTTCATCCTTATAGCCCCTGCTTCTCACCTGCATGTGTTTTTTTCACAATTTACATACTGATAAAATGAATTCTTGCTTCTTGCTCATGTAAGAATATGGAGGCTGGGCACAGTGGCTCACACCTGTGATCCCAACACTTTGGGAGGCCGAGGCAGGCAGATCATGAGGTCAGGAGATCGAGACCATCCTGGCTAACATGGTGAAACCCCCTCTCTACTAAAAATACAAAAATTAGCTGAGCGTGGTGGTTTGCACCTGTAATCCCAGCTATTTGGGAGGCTGAGGCAGGAGAATCGCTTGAACCTGGGAGGTAGAGGTTGCAGTGAGCTGAGATCACGCCACTGCACTTCAGCCTGGGCAACAGAGTGAGACTCTGTCTCAAAAAAAAAAAAAAAAAAAAGAATATGGAAGTTATAAAAATAATCTGTGATCATATAATGACTGTTTTCCCCAAAAAGGGCATTACTTTCCTGCTTCAAAGTATGTATTTCTTAACTAAAGTGTTTGTGGGATATGGCTGCGTGTTGGCATCACCTAGAGAACTTTAAAAAAAAAATGAAAACAAAAACAAAACAAAACAAAAAACTGATCTTCATGTCCCAGAGGTTCTCTTCTAATTGATGTGGGCTGTGATCTGGGCATAGAGATTGCCAAAATTACCCCGGTGATTCTAACACATAAAAATGTTTTAGAGTTTCTTAAGTACTTTTTTTCCTGATGAGTTTCAAGAGGGCCACTTTTTTTTTCTGGAAGATTATTTTCAGAAACACCTAGCCCTTCTTTATTTGTATCTCCTGTAGATGTTTTCCTTCTGAGTTTTTCTCTGTGAAACAAGAAAATATAATGAACTGTCATTTGCACGTTGCACAAAGCATGAACTTTATTTGGAGTCTTAGATAAACTTGTTCTGATCTAGAAATGAAAAATAATGAACTCTGCTGAGTTCTGCATTTCCTGTCTGAAGTTAGCTTTACCATAAGGATCTGGTGGGTAAGTGTTTGTTGTTCTTGTCATTAATTATTGGAACAGAGTTGTTTGGAGTAGATGATTCATTGTGGAACAAATCGTCTGATTTTGAGGGACATTTTCCATTATAAAATAATTATACATAAAAACAGAAGTATTGCTTTAATACTAAGATTTGTAACAATGCCATGTCATTCTGGTTGTAATGACTCTGTGTCTATTCCACTGGTTTGGAAAATAAAACAGATTGATTTCAGTCATATGAAGATACTTGAAAATAGGTTACATTTAATCAATTAGAAACTAGTTGTTTCTAACTTCACTAATCTTGTAAAAAGAATTAATTCCACCCCACTCCTAAAGTTAGTAGATAGATAGATATCACCAGATAAGTTCCTAAAATATACCTAGGAAATAGCTCTTTCTCAAATAATGATGGTGTCAGTAAGTCTAATGTAAGTCCATTTTATTTTACCCTTTCTTTAGGTTCTGCCCTTGTATCTTAGAATAATGAAATATGAAGTGAAATTTGGTGTCATGGTTTACCTGTAGCCATTTTATAATTTAGATTCATGGGTTTACATTACTTACTGAAACTACTGGGGAAACATTAACAACACAATAGGATTCCTAGATTGATAAACTTCAACACTCAAGCTATGACAGTTGTTCTCAGTCTCGTCTTTGATTCAATGTAAAAATTTGGACAAGTTAATTAGCTTTCTTTTGCTGCGTGTATAGGGGCAGGATAAACTTGAGAATTCCCACAATTATTCAACCCAGATCAAAGATATTTGTCTCAGGAAATCAACAATATTAAGAAAAATGGCTTTTTGAAAAAAAATTAAAAAAATGTTTAGCACCTTCAAATATCAGATTCACATCCTCATCATCCTCACTTAGAGATTTTAAAACTAATAGCAATTTTGTATGGCACATTTGCATTTACAATGCATTTTTGTACACATTCTATTTTCCCCTAAACCCAGGGAGACTGGAAGAGCAACAATTTACATATTTGCGTATTTTTAGAAAGTGAGTCTTAGAAAGGTTAAGTGACTAACCTAGGCTCAAACAGCCAGAAGTGTGTGGAACAAAGGCACCACACAGCTTTGCTGACTGTGAGCTCACTCTTTCTACTCCTCCAGCTATGCCAGCTATACAATAGCAACTTGTGAGAGGTGTTAGGTGTGAGGGATAGTAGGGGGGTAGGGGTGGGGAGGGGAAGAGGAAGCAAAGTCCTCATACTGATTGTATTTTTATCACTTTTCTAAAGGATTTTATGTTTTACAGCCTATTTGTCATTGGTGGAAATATCTCTACACTGGTGCTATAAACAGCAAAACATGCACTTGAGACTCCCTGCAAGCCCATCTAAGTTTTAAGGGTAATTGAGAATAGCAGCACTTGATACACATATCTTCATTTACTATATAGTGTGATCAATTATTTTCCCTGATACTAAGGGAAAATTAAACATCTTTTCATTGGTTGTTGCATTTCTTTCACGGTGTTTTTAATGCACTTTGCGAGCTTTTGTAGTTCTCAAAACTGGCCACTAGATGGTAGTGTTTAGTTAGTATTGTCGCACATGTTCCATTGTGGGAACTTTGATTCTAATAGGAAACATTTCATATATAATACTGCACTGAAACTGTTTCCCCAGTGGCTGAGGCACACGATAAAAACTCTGTGGCTTGAGCCTTCTTTTTCTTTTTTAATGACTAGACCTCCCTTCATTCAACACAGACCTTTCTTCCACATACTACTTATTCAGCAATTCATTTTTCTCCCCATAATAGTCTTTTTAAACACCCCACAGTGAGGGAGTGTTAAAAGTCCTGCCTTTCGTAGAATTTTGCTCTAAACTTCTGAGAGGTAAAGCAGATCTGGTGCCAAGATGATGTGTTCTAGGGAAGTACAAGGACAATAGACTTAAAGACCTGTGCTGCCAGCTTGTGAATAATTGAAGATTTGTATCTCGAAGTAAATTTCAGAGTACCCCTGTACTTCCTTGGGTATCTAAACCAAATAAGACAGAAGTTGTAGTTGCCTGGTATAGATACCACATTGCCAAAATTTTACAGTATTTTGGACAATCCAATAGATGTCTTCTCTCTGCTTTGTTTAAGCCTTCTAATTTCCCCAGCAAGACAAAGCAAAACAAAATTAATTCACACAGCCTGTTTGCATGATATGGTCCGATGGTTTACTATGCTATGTTTGTCATTAGTCACCCAAGCACAGAATCTAAAAGTCACTTATAACCATTTCCTGCCCCCCCATGACTGCTGATTCTTCCAAAACCATAAATCTCCTTTACTAATTCACTTGAATAACCAAACCTGCATTTCAGGTTCTCATTCTTTACACACCCAATAAAAAATGAGATGCCATCTGTTATTTTATTCATTAAGTCAAGTTCTGTTTCTCATGTTCTGCGGGAATTCTTCCCATGTGGTTTTACTGTTTGTTTCACTTTCTTCAATTTCCCTCATCATTACACATAAGCATTTATAAAATACCTCTTCATAAAATCCACTCCAGTCATTCTCTGCAGTTAACTCCAAGATCTCCAAGATCAAAACAGACCCCAAAGTTGTCAATGAAACTGTTCACTTGCACAGTGCAGGGGCTGGGGGTGTGGTTACTTGGGTGTGTGAATATGAACTTTCGGTTGTCTGAGGACAACAGGAAGCCTTGTTTCTGGTTGCTATCATATTAAACTTTAGTTAAGATTTTTATTGTTTATGAGATAGGGAATTTTTTCCCCTGGGGGTCAACTGGGGTCACCCTATTTCCTGAGGGCTAAATAAAATTGGCTGCAATCCCCATCGTACAGATTGTGAAAAGTTCTGCTTTCTCTCCAAAGCTTTTATGAATCCTTGATCACACCAGGCCCCACATCTCTGCTTCAGCCAAATTGGTTGCGTTTAGGAGTTCTCTCACAGTAGCTGTCATCATCTCTTTTTTCCATACCACAGAGGCTCAAGGTAGAACTGAGCCCCTTCCTTAGTTTTCCCAACCACCAGCCTTCCCTCTGCCCCAACAAAACAAAACTTGTTCACACATGGGATTTCTGCATTGTACCACACTTTACTGATGGTTTGAAGAAATGGAAGCAATGTTCACCATAATGTGAGAAGTGACTGTGTTTAGACTTTCATATTCTTAAAAAGTCAGTTACCCAGTGATTTCTATATGGAAGGTGTTAGCCTTTTGCTAGGTTTGCTTGGGTTTTTTCTTTCATTCCTACCCTTCCGTACCTCTCCTACTTCAAAAATTGCTTATAGGAACTCCAGATTTTTCTTACTTAATGGCATTTAGTGCTTTACGTCTCTCCTGCTCCATCCACCTTTTAACTCCCAGAACTACGCAAGTGCTCAGCAGAACAAAATGGGCTTTCATGTAATATTACCACAACTTGATAGAAGATATTTTTGGTTATAAATAGCTTTTAAAAAAAATTTTTTGGTGATTACATGTGGGTACGATGACTAAATTGAATTTTGCTCTTCGTCTCATACACACAAACACACACACACACACACACACACACACACACACACACACACAGGCATTTATATATAGAGAGAGAGAGATGGAGACTTGTTCTGTCATCCCAGCTGGAGTGTAGTGGTGCAATCACAGCTCACTGCAGCCTCAACCTCCCAGGTGCAAGTGATCCTCCTGCTTCAGCCTCCCATGTAGCTGGGATTACAGGTGCGGGCCACCACACCTGGCTATTTTTTATTATTTTTTGTAGATGCGGAATCTCCCTATGTTGCCCAGGCTAGTAACTCCTAGGTGTAAGTGATCCTCCAGACTCGGACTCCCAAAGTGCTGGGATTACAAGTGCAAGCCCCCATACCCCCAGCCTTCTGCTCCTATTTGACCTAGAAATTCCATATAGTAGCCATAGCATTCATTCATTCAACAAATAATTATTGAACACCTACTTGCAAAAAGGAATTCAGTTCCTATTCTGTTGGGGTGATAATCTAGTAAATAATAATAATAATAATGAAAAGTGTCCATGCACTCTTCTAGGCTCCAATAATCCCTATGAAGAGAGGGTATGCTTAAACAACAGATGCTTATTTTCTCACGGTTGTGGAGGCTGGCAGTGTGAGATCGGGGTGCCTGCATAGTGGAGTTCTAGTGAGGGCTGGCTTCCCCTATGCCTTCACCCAAAGTTTATGTGTTATTAATATCAGCAGCCCTCTATCTCTGGATGTCTCTGGTGCCTTAGAAGACATATTCTCTACAGTTAAAGAGTGATCCTCAAGAACGGACAGGGTAAATATATTTTATATTGCTAAATGCCCCCATTTGAAGGGCTATATACCATTTCATGTAGCAAGGAGCACTTAATGGCTCCAGCAGAACAAAATAACTCTACAGAAAATTTTTATTTGCCCAAAGCATCTAACGAGCTGGTCCTTCCATGCATGTGGTGGCACTCTTGTGAACTGCTTCCTGAGATCCTCTTAGTGCAAAGCCAACAACATTCAGTACATTTCCTTCACTTGCCTTTTGGCATGTCCATGACAATATTTCCAGCTGATCTAACTTCTAGAAAATCTATTTCCCACAAGCAACAGGTCTTCTATTTTCCTGCTTAAGAGTGTTTATTTTTGCTTTTTTCAGCAGCTTCACAACTTCTGACTTGGTTGACTTTTTTTTTTTTTTTTTTAGAGAGAATGTCTCTCCTCCATCTGCGAAGTGCTGCATTTTAGGTTTGATCTGACAATTTGATGCAACGGCTCAGGTATATATGACAAGGAAATGGAATTTCTATCCTCGAAATCAATTCTGAACAATAAAAGCTGAGAGGATAAGTTTATTCAAAGGTGATTTGGTATTGCGACAGGCTGCTCCAAATCAGAACTCAGCAACCTGATTTTGAAAAATTTCCAAGTTCATGAAAAGAATCACTTTGTACATAAGGGCTTTCTACTTGTTTGGGTTTGAGCATAACTAGATAGCTTAGTGGGATATCCATATTCTTGCATTTGATGATCACATTTGGCATCTAAATATTATGCTGTTTTCAAATGAAAGAAATACTGCTGAATAAGAGAGCTAGAATGAATTACATACAAAGAAAACTTAAAATAAGTGTCATCTAAGAAGATGAAAAAGCAAACAAGTACATATGTTCTTAACTTTTGGGGGCTTGCCTTTAATTTTTTTAATAAGGCAATTATCTGCTATTAGTAATTATAATAGGAGCTAAAATCCAGTTAATAGTCACTGTGTGTGAAACCCTGTGCTGAGCACCCCAGGGTATGGCCTCCAAGAGGACACACAACACTCTTTTTGGAGAAAGCTGAAGACAGTGGGGGCAGTGACTGAAGGTCACGGAGTTGGTAAAAGGCAGAGCCAAGCTCAAACCCACACAGCCACATACCTGCAACTGTGTTGTTAGCACTGCACTCCCCAGTTACCAAAGCCTTGTTTATTTTCCAGTCCTAAACTCTGCTTAAATGTGCATGAAGAGTAATTTCATTTTTTTTCCTTTTCTAGACTGTAAATTTGTATAATTGGATTTCTACAGGCTTTTGTGTTTCTGGTGAGATTCAAAATGGATTTTTCAAAGTTACGATATTCAGTGACTCCTATAATCTAGAAATTTCTCCCAAGACACCAGACTTCCTCCCTGATCTTTTGACTAAAAGCCTGGTCCCCAGCTGTATTCATTTCCTAGGGCTGCTGTAAGGAAGTATCACAACCTAGGTGGCTTACAACAGCCAAAATGCATTGTCTCACAGTTCTGGAGGCCAGAAATCCAAAAGTAATGTGTTGTCAAGGTTGTTTCCTTCTGAGAACCGTGAGGCAAGGATTTGTTCCAGGCCTCTCTCCTTGGATAGCCGTCTTCTCTCTTTGTTTCTTCATAGTGCCTTCCTCCTGCATATGTGTGTGTCTGCATTTCCCCATTTTATAAGAATTCCCCTCACATCAGATAAGGCCCACTCTAATGACCTTATTTTAACTCGATTACCTCTCTAAAGACCCTATTTCCAAGCAAAGTCCCTTTCTGAGGTACTGGGGTTGGAACTTCAGCCTATTTTTGCAGGGACACAATTCAACCCATAGCACCAGCTCTGAACCAGGGTAGTGCATGGAGGTGGAGACCTAGTACCGTGCTAAGGACCCCAGCCGACAGTGTGGTCCGAGGCAAGTTTCCCTTCTGCCCAATAGGGGATTGGATTGACTGATTTCTACTGTAATATAGTACAAGTATATATAGTAGAAGTATATATATAGAAGTAACATAGAATTCTATTTTTATAGAATGGCTGTAATTTATTTAATAGGTTTTCTCACTGAAGTAATTTCATAAAAGTTTTTGGAAAGTTGGCTTCATCCTTCTACTTTCATGCATTTGCCGCAGAGATTAAGTGTCTGCCAGGTATTCTTTCAGCGTGATCCACCGGGGAACCCACAGACCCAGCCTCCTCCCACTTTCCTTTTCCTTCTGAGATCTCTTTATTCTTCCTGTTCTGTGTCCAAAAAGAGGAACCAACTGCCCCCTAAGTCTATCCTCACATATAGAGCCTCTTACATGACAGGTGTCAGGAGAAACTAAAAACGATTAGACTTAGAAGGAGCTAACTATTAAATGGTGAATGCTCAATCAATATTCATTAATCAGGAAGGTTGACCATTGACTTTACCCTCTGTGACTTCACTGGCTCTTTCACAGCAACGATTCTTGAGAAAATACATGGCCAAGCCTTACATTAGCTGATCTAGTTTTCAGAGCCCCGCTAGGATATGAGTCCTGGTATTGCAGATGAGGAAACAGGGTCTCACAGATACACAGAAGCTCCTCTGGGTGCACACAGTGAGTACTGGGATAGGCAAAGGCTGAACTCAGGCAGCTTCTCTCCAGGATCCACCCTGAGTGATGAGCTGTGTCCCAGGCTGGAGAAGAGCCATGCTGCCCACTGTCTGGGCCTATCTACAAGCTCTTTCATTCATTCTTGGATTTTTCCAGCTGAAAAAAAGTGTTATATGAAGGATCAGAGATGGCATCTTAAACTTTTTTTTGCACAATTCATCATTAATTCACTGTTTTTTAAACTGTTGTCACAAAGAGTTGTTTTGAATGCCTTGATGAACTATGTTTTGTTTGTTTTATTATATTTTCACTTGAGATTTTTACTGTGAAGCATGCTATTTTGAAGACAAAATTTTTAAAAATAGAGAAGGGCAAGAAGAATGGTGGACAATGCAGGAGGTGACAATTGGTATAATTACAGTAAACATTTATAGGTCAGTGGAACATAAGCCCTGAGGGAAGGCTCTGAAAGCGGACCTGCAAGCAGGAGGGAGGGAGGGAAGGAGGGAGGCAGCCCTCGCAGGCTGCCGGGAAGCACCAGGGATGTCGTGCCTCACTGTGCCAGCCTCACAGATGGCATCTCAGCGACATGGCTGTTCTTTTGTCTTTTCTTCATGAGCATCTTAGAGAAGCGCATTTATGCACATTTCTACCTACAAAGTTTTGCCTCAGTGTGACTCATCTTCTTTCTGTCTCAGATAGGATTACTCTTCAAAGGAAAGATAAAAAAACAAGTTCTGAATATAAAGATGAAGCCAACTGCAGGGCTTGTTGAATTACCTCAGAGATAGCTAGAGTTGTCTGTGTGTGTGTGTGTGTGTGTGTGTGTGTGTGTGTGTGTGTGTGCGCCTCTGTGTGTGTGTCTGTGTATCTGTCCATGTCTGTGTGTATGTCTGTGTCCATGTCTGTATGTGCATCTGTGTGTGTGCATGTGCCTGTGCATGTGTGTCTGTGCATGTGTGTGTATACACATGAGTGCAATGTCCCATATTGGCAAATACCACATGGTAACGTCCTGCACGCCACAGGAGCTGTATATATGAGCTGTATTTTCATGATGGCCCACTGGGATAGGGATTAAATCAGATGATCACCATTTATACCTAAGTAGTAACACTTAAAAATGCAATTGCTCTCTGTCACCACGGCTTAATCTATGAGCCCCTAAGGGGAAAAAATTCTTACATTAAAAAAGCCATTTCATATATAGATAAATGTTGAATAGGCAGGTGTTGATCAGAAGGTCTAATCCCCATCCACGTGAAATGAACAAGTCAAGCAGATAATTGTTTTACTAGAGCTTTCCTTTGCATTAAATGTGCCTGGAAAACATTTCTAAAACCATTCTTTTCTTTTTGGTTGAACCATTATGAATGAATCTTCATCCTTTAAAAGGCTAGATGTTCATGTTCAACTGTTTTGGCAACTGACCTAAACCAATATTATTATGAACACATTTTGGTTGTTTTGGTTGGACATTGGTAACTGCCAGTGAAGTTGGAGGTGAGAGGAGTTAACTACTTCCTTATAATGTCACCACCTAATTAGAATAAAAGCATCTTAGATTAAATTCTGATTTACATAAGGACATTTATTAACTAAACAATTATTCAGCAGGCATGAAATAAACAAATCATATGACTAGTTCTCTCTCTAGGTGCTTGGCCACCGTTTGCAAGCTTCCCTTAAGGCACAAAATCCAAAATTCCAGAGTCAATATTTCATCATCACTATAGACAAAAGTTTGTGGTATTCACAGCTGGACGCTGGACATCTCCCAGGACGTGGTTCCTGAGTCATTCTGCCTCTGAGTGTGTTGCTCCCATGGAAATCATGCACCTCCACGGAACTCACTCAGGCTCCTCGGGGACTCCTGAGTCTGCAGTCAGATTGCTAGTCTTGCTCTGATTTCCTACCTATCGGACATTCCATTTGACTGTCTTGCCACTGAACTCAATGGGTGTAAGCTGACTCTTCTTCCCTGCATATCAGCATCCTCCTGACTTCCCCACTTCTGTGAATGTCATGATCATTCTTTCTGCCACCTAAGCTTGAAGCCTACAGTCATTTTTTAACACAGCCACCTTCAGCTCCAATTCCAATTCCAATCAGTCACTCTTTTCTCAAATCTCCCTTCATACCAGTTCCTGTCCTTCTGTCTCTTCTACCCTAAGCCAGAGCCATATCTCTGCAGATCAAGGGCCTTTTTGTTCTGTTTCTTCCCCAGTCAATTAGTTTACATGATGCCAAACCCATCTTCTTAAAACCACCTGGATTAGATCACTCCTCTGTTTGAAGATTTCCAAAGAGGCCTTATTTTGTAGTGGAAAATGTCCAAACTCCTTTGCATATTCACTTATTCTCAGCATGCTTTTACCACCTTGCGTTCTTCTCCTTCACGGCACAAACCTCTATGCCAGCTGGATTTTCCATCCATAATCCCCCAAATACATCACATGCATTGTTGCATTGGCCACCCTTGTTAGTGCTTTTTCCATGTGGTGTTCTTACTTTCCTCCTTCACTCCATGCCCACTTCCTCAAAACACACACACACACACACACACACACACACACACACAGCTTCTTGGAGCCTCAAAGTTGGTTGCTAGTATTTTAAGTGCCCGGAATTTGAAATGAAAAAAAATAAAAGTAAACTGGTTTTAAATGTAGGCGTTGCCACGTATTGGTTCTACTGTGGCCTCAGACTTGTTATGAAATATTTCCAAGCCTTAGCTTCCACATGAGTACAATGGGAATAATGCCTACCATCCTATTGCCCATCCTTAATTAATCTTAGTTCCGTTTCTGTGCCACGTTTCCTCCCCAGGGAAGCCCTTTATACCCTTACTACTCATGGATTTATCTCTTCTCTGAGCCCATAGAACTGAGTTCTGTTGTCACTGCTTTAGTAAAGTCACCATTTGCTTGTTTAAGGTCCCTCTTCTATTTTCACTTATTGTGTTTCGGAGCCACACATTGTATCCTATACTAGACTTTGAAAATACTTTAGTTGCAGTGCATTATTTTTGTGTAGTCAGAGTACCCAGGGCAGTTTCTCACACATTCTCTCGTTTTGTCTCATAACATCCCAGGAGCTGGATATAATCTGTGATTTATGAGGAGAGAAAGTGAGAGACAGAGGTGTAAGTGAGTTGCCTAAGGTCACTCAGAGAGTGAGTGGCAGAAGCAGCACTTGAATCAAGTCTTAGGATTCTAAGCCCGGGGCTGTCTGCTCCCTCCTAGACCTGTAACTTTAGAAGCAGGAATTTATTTCATATTGCTTATATTTCAGTATTTATTTTTAACCCTTACAGGGCCCGGTCTTGTGACTGACTGTAATTGAGAAGGTACTCTACAAATATTTTTGAAAGAATAAATAAAATGAATACTACAGACCATGTTAATAATGTCAAATAACTCTGGGAGTTTGAGGGATAATTCTGTCAATACGAGTTGAGGGTGTGCTTGGCCTCTCCATCATTTACCCTGCTTTTATGAGGGTTAGCAGCACAATGTCTTCATTCTAAAACACAGAATCATGAGGTTAAAGAAAGCATGCAATGCCATCAGCTGAGAAGAACCAGAATTCACAGTGCAGGTTCTCTAAAGTGGTTTTGTGTTGCTCTCAGCGCCGTGAACTCCCACCATTATATTCATAGCTTTTTAGCCTTTGGCTAAGATCAAGTAGAGTGTTTGTTCTCCTGGCTTTTAATAAGTAATGTGTTCTCCATCCAAGGACAACATATTTAGGCTGTACATGCATTACGAAGTATTAAGCTCCTGTAACAGTAAATTTCTCAACAGGAGATTTATGTGAATTCTCTTGGATGTTATTCTGTTGACATTAGGAACAATTAGGAATATAAAATGCCATGGCAGATTTTTCTGTGATGCTGGACGTACTGTCAGGACTCTGAGTCTGTGTACTCGGAAGTCTTCCTCAGACAGGGACAAGGCGCATTCTCTTTCTTAGGAAGAGAATTAACAGTGCACTCCCACCTCCCTGTGCTCACCACATGGGCACACATCCCAGGGCGAGGGTGGAGTGAGCTCAGAAGAACCCACGCTGAGCACAATGAAAGCAAAATTATTATCAGAGAAAGAAACAGATTGCAGCAACCTGGGTTTAACAGGACACATAGTAGTAGACAGGAAGTTTTTCGTGATCTATAACACATTTTCATATTAGGGTCATGTTAATTTCACAATGAATTGCATATTAGGCTCAATTAGAGAAACAATAAAGAAGGAAGACGGGATGACAGAAAGCATTGAAGAGGAGGAAGCAGAATGGAGGCAGAGGGTGGAATCAAAAATAAGGACAAAGAGAGGAAGGGGAAAGAGAAAGAAAATGAGAAGTAACGTCAGCAGCTCCGTAGGTTCTGAGGTGAGTTAGCTGGTCGTAGGTCAACAGCTTTAGTCACACATCCTGTTATTCACTTTGGGCATCAGAGCACATTTTCACTACCCTTTGAAATTTCCATACAGTCTACAGCGATTTTGTAGCAATCTTTCTTTACCGGGAAATTGCTTATCTGCTTTTCTTTTCAATCTTTGAGGTCAACTTATTAAAGGCTTTAGTTTCACATGAAGCCCGAAATATTTTGAAGGTAAGAAAAAAATGTGCCTTTGGTCTTAAATATTTCCACTTAAATCTTGATTCTGGGCTACTTTAATAATTCCAAAATAAGAGTGAGTGGCTTCTTTTTTCAATAACTGAAATACAACATTTAAAAACACTCATGTAATTATTTTGCTGTGTTCAGTTGTTTGAAAGTAGACAAGGTTTGATTTGACAGAGCTGTGTTTTAACCTGGGCTCTACATGTCACTAAACTACTGTCCCCTGTAAGCTCCTGTTTCCTCGTCTACAGATAGAGGTACTCCAGTAGCTCTCCAGGCTCTGTGTGTCTCTGTCACAGGTTTGGCATAAAGTAGACAGGAATGGTGTCAGTTCCTCCCTCCCCAAACTCTCTCCAATGACACTCCCACCAAGTGCAGAAACGTACAGAAAGAACTCTTCCTGCTTTTCAACTTCCATTGATCACACTGAAAGAAATATCACATTAGCTTATAAGGCTCAAAATTATCTTCAGTGCTATAGCTCTGTGTACTCTAAAATCAGAGCAACATAACTTTGGTTCTGGATGAAATCGAATCAGGACCTGACTCTACTCCTAGAAGAACGCTGACCCCAAACTCCTGTTTTGCAGAACCCTGAAGGAGCAAGTAAAGATGCCAGCCATTAAATATGAAGACCTTCAGAGACCTAGAACTAATGGAACTAAATCAAGGATTTCTATTTTATCTTAGATTAAAATGCCATTTATATGCATTCAGGGCATAGTTTTCACTCCCATGAGGAATAGATTCATACCTGTATAAAGCTGGGAATATAATGACTAATTAAATATACTGTATGACTTCAATATAGCCAAGAAAATTACAATCATTCCAAGTAATACTGTTTTTCCCCAGACACAAATCTGAGGATCTTGAATCTTAGCACTGGAAGGAATGTAGACATCACGCAGGCTCATCACTTCTCTGGCACAGAACTTGACTTGCCTTGAGCACATGTCTGGTAGCTTCTTCCTGGGAACATAGATGACATAACGCATATTGCCTTTCCAGGCAGCTTGATCTGTCATGAGACAGCTCTGGCCTTTTAGAAACCAGCCTTTATACTGAGCTGTGAGCCTGCTTCTCTGTATTGCACATTTTTTGTTCTTAATTCTGAACAAAAAGTTTTTGTGAATTTTCTTCCTGGAAATGGTCTTCACCACTTGAAACAACTGTCATGCCCATCTGAGCATATTTCTTAGGTGAGGCTTCCCAGTTTGGGAGACGCTTCTCTCATAAAATATTTCTGAATTCATCAGTATCTCTGTTCCTATAAAACGCGTGGCTGTCTACTTCAGGCAAATCCTAACCAAGCTCAGGTAACAGTGAAGTGATTGTTTGCTGTGAAACAGTATTGTACTGTTGAAGTTAAAGAGGTCTATGATTACATTGTGTTTATTTTGGATTTTGCATTATTGAGTATTTTTTACTTTATTTTCTTTTTGTAAAGCCCATATCACTACCTATAACAAGCTTTTGATAAGTGAACTTTCTAATTTTTCCTATTCTATAGCTATGTAAGGGAATCTTTAAATTTTGCCAGGACTTTCTAGCCTAATGCAACAAGGGAGGTTACATTAACTATAATAATTTAAATTTCATTAGTTTTTTCCCACATTTGCTGAAGCAATTCTTCTACACAATCTATTTCATTATTTCTGGGAGTTCTAAATGTGTCCCACAGGAACACATCCCCCTTCTTGGAACCACTGCTCTTCCACCAGAACCAGCAGCTCTCTGGACTCCCCAAGGCTTATTAGGTCTCATTGTTACCCAGGGAGTCAAGCAGCTATCACAAGGCCATGCTTTGGCTTTGTAGCTGCTCCAATGGATGTTAAAATTTCTCACTTTGTTCCTGATACTGTACGGAATTATATGCAACATCTCTTTACTTAAAAGCTCTCTGCTTCTCCCAGGATCCAGAGATTCATCCCTGGAAAAGCATTCAAGTGCAGCTGCCATATTCCATTTAGAATGCCTCCTTCCTTCAGACAGCCAAGGTTTTGTTATTGGGCTCAGCTCTATGTGCCCAGCTCCTTCTTCAGTACAAGGAGCTCTCTCCAAAGAGGTCACTAAATCCCCTGCAAATAGTCTTTAACTAGACCTTTTCAAACCTTGTCTCTTTTTTTTCTTTGAAATGACACTGTACCATGAACATTTTTATGAAATCATTAAACATGTTAAACTTCATCAAAGCCATCATTTTAAAGTCTTCCATGATGTCTATCTTATAGAGATACACCATACTAGAATGCATTTTTTTCATTTTTCTATTGCTGAGAATGTTGGGTTTTATACATAGCTTGTTATTTTAAGTAAATGTTGTGCTTTACCTTGTTCCTATTATACTTTTAATTCAGCCTACTGTTAGCATCTGTGGATGATTTTCTATGCTTATATGTCACTCAATATATTAGCATCATTCCCAGCTTTTGGCTTTACATATGCATTTTTAAGATGTGTCTCTTACCTTTTAACCATCAAATCAGATTTTAGTTGCTTGATAGACCCAGCTTTTATATTTCAGTTTATGCCACCTCTAAGGTCGTTGTAGTGAGATGCCTATATAAAAGACATACAAATTCAAGGAGTGAATTAAAATCTCACTTGAAATTTTAAATGTCACTGAATATTAATTGTGGTCGCTAATTGGTATATTTTCTAGTAATCACTTCAAAAGCTCCTCATTAAAAATAAATCATAAAAATATAGAATTATAAGAGCTTTTAGGTATAGTTCAATGATCTAATTCCATCCATTTATCTGTCCATCTATCCTTCAGCAAGTCATTTATCACCTTCCTTCTGTATATTACAGATGATAATAAAGACATCTGGGACAAAAAGGTAAGTCACAGACCTACCCATGTGTATGGGTGATAGAGTAGTGAATACAAGTGACAAAGGGTGTGATTCCTTCTGTTTGAGAGGTGAAGAAAGTATTCCCAAAGCAAGTGACATTGAATCAGCACCTTAAGATAAAACGAAGAACTCAGCAGAAAGAAAGTGAATGGGAAGATGTGGTAATAGGTTTAAATGGACATGGCATGTCGGCAACTAAATTTCTGTAGCTCCAGAATATTCTCCCCAGTCCCCTGAGACGAAGTTACAGAGCTGTGAATCCGGTAGTGAAAGCCTTGGTATAAGGCGCATAAGAAATGTGCAGATTATCTACCATGAAATAGAGGAAGAAATCAAGGTTATTCAAGTAGAGGAATGACACGTTTTAGAAAGACTTTTGTTATAACGTTATGGGAAATGGATTATAGGCTGGAGGCAAGAGATAAGACATTGTCAGTGTGACAGAATATTTTATTAATAAAGCACATAATTTATACTCAGATCTATGTGAGATGAGACCAATTCATGTCAACATGTCCAATGTTTTTGAAAAAATGCTAAGTTTTTATTATCGCTTTTGTTTATTTCCCTGTGAAATATAGTAGGCTAGCCCTCTATTTCTCCTGGCGAAATCTTTAGATAGGTGGAAAAAAAAATGTTGAAAAAGGGCATCAATGACCTCTTTTATCTTGGTTTTATCTGCCTTTTGGAAGATACTTGATTCAAAGCTATGAAAAAGCATCTCACCAATCCCGTATTTCACTTGGTTGGACGATGTGTCAAGAGAACGCCTGAGGCTTCCTCTGTCCGTTAACAGGCCAGTCATGAGTCACAGTCTGAACATGAGGAAATGTTCATGTACTTTTTCATAGTCATGGCAATGAGACTTTTTTGTGCCCAAAGTACTATCCTCGCCTAAAGTCCCTGTTAAAAAGGTTATTTTCTGCCACAGGCAGGTAGCAGAATGTCAAGATCCAATTCCAAGTGCTTCATCATCACTCGGATAGCCTCAGGAAGCTGAGGTTTTACAGCTGCCTGGAACCCACATGCTTCATGTGATGTAGAGCAGCCCTGTTAATTAGCTGTTTCAGGATTCTTAATGCCCTATGGCTTTGGAAACACTTGTTAGCCCACAGAGGGAGGGGAAGAGCTGGAAGCAATTGGACTACAGCCTGAATTTATTTTAATTCAATTCAGTAACCACCTTATCTTTCTAAATCCCTGTTTAGAATCTGTTGAAAATTATAGTTGATTTAAGTTTTTCTCAGTGATGCATCCTGAGAGAAGAGGGAGATTACAATTCAAGGTTTTCTGAAGCCACAGAAATGTGGAGTGCTGCAGAAAGAGCTGATCGATGGAACTTTCCAGACACATGTATGCAATTTTCTAAAGGCTAGAAAATAGATGCCGGGGATGGGGAGAGGGGAGGCCAGTTGATGTGGAAAGGCTTGTGTAGAGTGCCCACGAGTCTGCATTTCTGTTCACCTACCAGAAGAAACACTGCCAGTTCCCCCCACCCTCACCCCCCAACCATTCTCACTGCAGAGAGCTGGCACTCAACAAACTCATAATTTTTCTCAATACAATTCTCATGACATAACCTGACCAACCATATGAAACCTAATGAAGAAAACAACCATTGCCATTGGCAACAAATGCAGGAGTTGCATCACAAGTAAACCACATACTTTACTTCACAAATTTGAACATTAGAGTACCACCGGCAAAAACATGGTACCATCCTTCGGTATGGATGAGATATCAGTTTACAAAACCTTCACTGGAAAGTCCATACCAAAATTTTTAAAATGCATGCAAAAGCTAATTGTGTTGACATCTTTCTTATCAGAGCTATTGCAAATTATTTTGTCTAGAGGTGGTTCTTAAAACAGCCACCTGTCTGTCCACTAATCATGTACATAGCATCCTCTTCCTCATATTCATCCTCTGAAATACCAAGAGGTGAAAGAGTGTTTCAGTAGCTCACCATTCTTGGCTGTTACATAATGGGTCAGATTCCTTTCTGAGTAGTAGGAGAGGTCAGTGATCCAGATCTATATATCTTTGTGCTTTTTCCACTAATACATTCTTAGAACCTAGTAGGTGCTCAATAAACGTTAGCTGTATGAATGAGTTAGTGAATCAATGAATGAAGTGTTAATTTTTAGAAATATTATGGTCAGAATTTTACTAGGAAAAACATTTCTTATAATCACAAATGAAAGCTAGGTTTACTCAAAATTGGGAATAGTAAGTAGTCTTTCCATTTCCCATACCACAGGTATGCTTGTATTCTTCTTATATGCTTATGAAAGAAGAGAATGTGGATTAAGTTATAAACTATTTGTACATGATATTGTATATGTAAAAATCATGTCAGTTTTGAGGCCAGGATTTCTTTGTATTGAGTAAAATTTTCCTAAATATTTGCCCATTGTATTAGTTCATTCTCACATTGCTGATAAAGACATACTCAAGACTGGGTAATTTATAAAGAAAAACAGGTTTAAGGGACTTACAGTTCCACGTGACTGGGGAGGCCTCACAATCATGGTGGAAGGCAAAAGGCATGTCTTACATGGTGGCAGACATGAGAGAAAATGAGAGAAAAACCATGAAAAAGGGGTTTCCCCTTATAAAGCCATCAGATCTTGTGAGACTTATTCACTACCATGAGAACAGTATGGGGAAAATTGCCCCCATGATTCAATTATCTCCCACCAGGTCCCTCCCACAACACATGGGAATCATGAGAGCTACAGTTCAAGATGAGATTTGGGTGGGGACACAGCCAAACCACATCACCCATTTTAAAACAGGCTTGATATCAATTTATTGCTAGAAAACTATAATTTGTATTTTCTTTTACATTTTTAATGACTGATTGTACATTTGTTCCCTCAAAAGAGGCTCTCCAAAATACTGCCTAATTCCTATGTTAATAGCAACCCAAACATGTTTTCAATACTAATATTAAAACAAATTAGCTTAACAAATACAAAAGGTAATGCCTGGTTTATACAATACGGATTTGAGAAATGCAGGTTTCAACCTGTTCCACACCATGCCCTTCATTATATTCTTCTGCCAGAGATTTTATTCTTTACTTTTCATTCAATCAGAAAGAATTGAGAGGAATTTGAACCCATTCTGCCTATTTAGAATATCATTTGTACTGACTTTAATCTTTTGCTCCTAATCCATGAATTCCTGAGGTCTTTTATTTACATCCATAAATTTGAAAAGCACAATCCCCTTTTTTTTTTTAAAAAAAAAAAAAGGAAGTTACTTTTGGGAATCAGAGACATGTACCTCTTTGTTCTCTTGGAGAGCTGTGGGTTATGGGAGGGAACTCCTCATCCTGTTTCCTGATATGCAGTGACTTCTCTCTTACACAGATGAGTCCTAAAACCTTTGTGAGCTCAGACAAGTTGGCTGGTTTTATTTTTATTTTTTTATTTTTGAGATTGTCTCACTCTGTCACTCAGGATGGAGTGCAGTGGCCCAATTACCAACTCACTGCAGCCTTGACCTTCCAGGCTGAAACCATCTTCCCACCTCAGCCTCCCAAATAGCTAAGACCACAGGTGCACACCACCATACCCACTAATTTTTTGTAGAGATAGGGTTTCGCCATATTGCCCAGGCTGGTCTTGAACTCCTGGTCTCAACCAATTCACCTGCCTTGGCCTCCCAAAGTGCTGGGGTTACAGGTGTGAGCCACCATGCCTGGCCAAGTTGCCTGGTTCTTTACATGGAATGTTCTTTACATGGAATGTTCCAGGATCAATTAAACACAGATAAATAACAACTTATGTTTTGTAAATAAACACATCTGAATGGAATCTTACTCCAATTTAGATAGAAATTGATATTTTTCCTTTCAAATGAAATAAATGTTTTAGACTAGGACATCCCAAGTGAATTGAAGATTGGTACAGGAGCCTGAGGAAGGAAGTTTAAGAGAGTGAAAGCATGAGAGAAGAGCCAAGATTATGTAGCCCAGAGAAGGAAAGAATTATTACCTACCATTACTTTAAGGGACTGTGCTTCCTCACAGTAGTGGAAGACAGATGCTCATTTTTTATTCAAGACTGTGTAAAATAAATGGCCTTAATTTATAGATGTGGATGCTGGTTTATATCAATACACCTCAACCTGGGATGGCTCCAAATCTTGACTACACATGGGAATAACTTGAGGAGTTTTACAAAAAAACTGATGCCTGGGTCACACCCTGAGAGATTCTTATTTATCTGGTCTGGGGTGGTGTGGCCCAGGCACTGAAATTTATAAAATTCTCCGGGTGATTCTAATATGCAGCCAAGGTTAAGAATGCAGCTGTACAGCTGTAGATGGAAGAATACCAAAACCAGGCCTTCTGCTAGTGCCTGAGCTTCTCCTCATTTTAGTTTCTGTGATGTGTTCAGACATTGTTTCTAGAATCTCCTGGGTAATATGAGTTATAGTCCTTTGGATGGAGTAATACATTAACACATCCATACTCACATAGTTTGGAAGGGGCCAGGATGCAAAGGGAAGTTGGAGGAGGAAGAGAAGGAAATGGTAAAGTCCAAAGCATGGGTGAAGGGGGGCCAATATAAACCCACAGAGCAAAAAGGAGATGTTGGGTCATCATATTCTATTACATAAATTGGATTTACATTTCCTTGTCTTTCATTGCTGGTCTTTATTCCCACAAGTCTCCAAATACAGTCATAAAATTCTCATGAGTTGTTATAGCAAAATTGCTTATCATTTACTATTTCTTAAATGAATGCATAAACTGTATTACTTTGGCAGAAAGGATGCTGCTGGGTATCATATGTAATGTATACTAGTAAGGTGGACAGGACCATTAGGACTTTAAATTCCTTTATAATCTCAAAAGTCTGTGATTCTGATCTTCCTGGTCTTGCAACTCCAGAAAAGGTGGTAATCACTGGAGTAGGCTATTTATGGGCCTGTGAGATAGTGAAACATGCTATTAAGACAAAATGAGAGACTTCCTTCTCTGAAATGGTTCCATATAAAAGTAATATATGGCTTAAGTATCCAGGGGCTCATGTAATCTCTCCATGTCAGTATCTTTTACGGGGAATTATTTAACCAAACATGTATTGAACACTTACGTGCTACACTAAAATCCCAGATTTGTCAAGTTCCCGTTTAAAAAGTGGGTACTAAGCCTAAGATATTAGCAATACTTGTATCTGAAAAGGCCTCACATCTAGAAACTATAAAGAACTTCTAAAAATCAATCAAAACAACATAGTTCTTAGAAAATCACAAAGGAACAGGTTTTTCAGACTCGAGGATGTCTATATGGTGAAAAAGCAGCAGTATTTTAGAGTTGGTCTGAACTGACTCACAGGAACCTATTTTTAAATGTCCAGAAATTTGCTAAGCAAATTGTTAATGCATCAATTATCTAAAGTTTAATTATGTAAACTTCAAGTTATCTGAAAAACATAACACATACTCAAAACTCTCATCCCTTCCTAAGTGTTTTACTACATTCTGTTATTTCTGTTTGTGAGGTCATTTGTTTATTGCATCTGTATGATGGAAACACTGTATAAAATGACATGTTATTCCCAACTCCACATAGGCTGATATAACGTTGGTAGCTTAAAATCAGCTTTAGTCCAGGTATTTATACAATGGAAATGGAAATCAGCATACGCCACAAATCAGGAGTTGATTTTTTTTTTTTTTTTTTTTTTTTTTTTTTTGAGATGGAGTGTCGCTCTGTCGCCCAGGCTGGAGTGCAGTGGTGCGATCTCGGCTCACTGCAACCTCCGCCTCCTGGATTCAAGCGATTCTCTGCCTCGGCCTCCTGAGTAGCTGGGATTACAGTTGCCCGCCACCATGCCTGGCTAATATTTGCATTTTTAGTAGAGATGAGGTTTCATCATCTTGGCCAGGCTGGTTTTGAATTCCTGACCTCGTAATCCACCTGCCTTGGCCTCCCAAAGTGCTGGGATTACAAGCATGAGCCACTGCGCTCGGCCCAGGAATTGATTTTTTGTTTAATGGTGTTGACTGTCTACAAACTGATTAAGAAAATGTTATTAAAGTTGTACATCATGTCTGCAACCATTAAATTGTAAGTAGCACAAAAAATCTGGGGGAAACAGTCTTCTAGACTTTCCAGATGCAGCAAAGAAATTGCCTTGTTCCAACATACATTTTTATTGTTTCACTTTTGTCTTACTTAACCACTAAGTAAGACATAGTTCCTACATAAACCAATCATGTAGGAATTACACTCCTTTTTCAATTACAACTTTGGTTTGATTACCTTTGTGGTCTTCTGTTCTATCACCGTCTTTTTTTTTTTTTTTTTTTTTGAGAAGGAGTTTAACTCTTGTCACCCAGGCTGGAGTGCAGTGGTGTGACCTCCGCTCACCATAACCTCTGCCTCCCAGGTTCAAGCGATTCTCCTGCCTCAGCATCCTGAGTAGCTGGGATTACAGGCACCTGCCAGCACATGTGGCTAATTTTGCATTTTTAGTAGAGACAGGGTTTCACCACGTTAGTCAGGCTGGTCTCGAACTCCTGACCTCAGGTGATCCACCCTCCTCAGCCTCCCAAAGTGCTGGGATTACAGGCATGAGCCACTGCGCTCAGCTCACCATCGCTTTTAGATAAGGAAACTGAGCCCTAGAGAGTGGTTGGCTCGCCTCAGGCTCCAGGACAAATATGACTTAATCAAAACTATACTCCTGTTCTTTCATTCACATAAAACTACTTATCTAAGGATGCTGCAGCAACACTGCTGTCAGGCCAGAATTCAGTAAGTTTACAGCTGAGGCCTTATCTATAGACCATTGATTTTGCTCAAGGAAAAAGTTACACAAACTAGCAATAGAGTCCTGACCAGGCATTACAAATTCTACACTGATGTGTAAAAGAGGGACTAGGCACAAAGAATACATGCTTAGCACAATCTATCTTTATTATAGGAAAAGCAATTTAAAACATATTTTACTGAGTAGTGCCAGAAAATTACCGAAAAAGAAAGTTAATGCTTTTTCCTTCTCAAAACCCTTCTATAATGTGTAGGCATTGTCATATTAGAGAGACTCCTGGGAAATGCTTGGTCAACTAAAATTGTTAAAGAGCTAAAATTGAACATTGACTCAGAAGCAATGTGAAATACATCTTCCCATTTCCAGGATGGAGTGCAGTGGTGAGATCTCAGCTCACTGCAACTTCTGCCTCCTGGGTTCAAGCAATTCTCCTGCCTCAGCCTCCTGAGTAGCTAGGATTACAGGTGCCTGCCACCATGCCCAGCTAATTTTTTAATATTTTTAGTAGAGACGGGGTTTCGCCATGTTGGCCAGGCTGGTCTTGAACTCCTGACCTCAGGTAATCGACCTGCCTTGGCCTCCCAAAGTGCTGGGATTACAGGCGTGAGCCACCGCGCCCGGCTCACTGACGCTCTTCTTAATTTCTTCTGCCTAAGAAATAGAAGGTATTCTCGAGGGAAAAAAGGCATTGACAACTAGTACAGGGAAATTGATGACAACATAAGGCTGTTTGAGGAAAAAACGTGGGATCTCAAAGACTGTTGGTGGGAGTGTAAATTGAATAATCTACTTTGGAGAACAATTTGGCAGTTTCTATTAAAATTTAAAAATGCTGATATCTTATCAGTTAATCCTACTTCTAAGTATCTATTATTAAAAAAAATACTTGGCATGTATTCCCAATGCGTTTTGCAAGAATGTTCTTTGTAATTGTCAAAAGGTGGAAATCTGAATGCCCTCCAGTAGGGAAATGGCTAAATGAAATATGAAATAACCATACTATTGAATACTATGCATCAGCTAAAAATAGCAAGAGATCTTTGTTGAGTGAAAAAATAAATTGCTGATTGATCATTAAATATAACACTATGTTTTTAAGAAGCCTCAGAAAACAGTAATATATGATCCTATAGGCATAAAATTATTTATGATATCACACGGAGGTCTATAGAATTTATTGTCCTCTATGGTAGCCACTAGCCACATGATGCTATTTAAGTTTAAATTAATAAAATTAAATAAAAATAAAAATTTCATGTCTCATTTCTACGAGCCTCATTTCACGTCCTAATAGCAACATTTGAATGGTGGCCAGTGTAATGGAGAGTGCAGATCTAGAAGAACAAACACAACTGGTAACAGAGTTACCTGGGGGAAGGTTGAGTTTGGGGATGGAGGGCTACAGAAACTTTAGAGTTCTGCAGAACTTTTAACATTTTTACAATGAGAATACATCATATATTATCTAGCTAATTTAAAACAAATACATTGTTAAAATGAAAAGCATGCCTAGCCAAAGGATTTCTTTCTTTTTTTTTTTTCCGAGACAGAGTCTTGCTCTGTTGCCCAGGCTGGAGTGCAGCGGTGCAATCTCGGCTCACTGCAACCTCCGCCTCCTAGGTCCAAGAGATTCTCATGCCTCAGCCTCCCAAATAGCTGGGATTACAGCATGTGCCACCATGCCCAGCTAATTTTTGTATTTTAATAGAAACGGTTTTCATTGTGTTGGCCAGTTTGGTCTCAAATTCCTGACCTCAGGTGATTGGCCCAACTTGGCCTCCCAAAGTGCTGGGATTACAAGTGTGAGCCACTGCACTGGCCTAGCAAAAGGATTTCTAAAACAATGTAGAATTTTAGTAGATAGATCAGTATAAATTGATTTGAACACCCTACCTTTTTAGCCTGTTAACTATCTAAAAGCATAAAAAATAGTAAAACAAACGGCAAAATCATTTCCTCCTTCCTTTTCTACCTGTGTCTAGTGTCTATTGAACACTTACTATATTCCCAGCATTTAAAGTACAAGAATCATGAGGCAACTGCTGTTTAGACTGAAGTGTTTTCACCAGGGGTGTATCAAGAGGATTTCTTTGTCATAGGTTGATTTCCCTTATAACTGATTGATTAAATAATTACTAGTTGGCTTATGCAATGTTTATATAATTACAGGATATAAATGGTGGTTATTAGCCTAACTAGAATATATGCCTTTATAATATTGGTGTAATATTCATATGTATTTTACTACAGCTTAAAATAATAATTTCAGAAAGAAATTCAAATTGATTTTCATAATTTAGCAACCATTTGAGCTCTTCCAGGTCAGAATAACTTCTTGGGAAGCCCCAGAAAGAAAAGCATATACCTGCTTTTACAGTTATCCATAGATTGACTATAAGGCTAGGTATTGAGTTGGCGGATGCATACTTTCTTAATTCTTTAGATAATAGGTCAATAGTGTGGTAGTGAATCTTGATGGTAAGTGTCCTTCGCATGTTTCATACTGCACAGTAGACTAGACTGAAAGTCCCAGGAGACTGTGAGTGTAGCAAAGAATGAATCTTGTATCCCCAGATACACAAAGACCATGTCTTCACTGGACCCACAGAACCTAGCACATGGTGTGTCTTATTAAATGCTTGTAGAATAATTAAATAAATTACATTCAGAAAACAGTCTATAAGTCTTAAAGTTTACCTTTCAATTATGTAATTATTACTTTTAATTTATAATTTATTAACAGACATAGATATTCACAACACCTGCAAAAGAGTTTATTTCAACTTCTTTTTTTTGTCTCATCTAAAAAGTGTGGATTTAATATAGCAAAGTTTGCTTCTAGAATGGAATCTTTTAGAGTGTATATGCGCTTTTGAAAAAAATGGTTTATGATTTTGTTATGTAATACTGTTATATAAGTTATTTTAGAAATTGCATGATTTATTATAATATCAGCAGTGAATTTAAACATTACACAAATGCCTGAATATAAAGAAATAGGATCACCTGTGTCCAAGTTAATTGCCTTCTTTTGCTGTATTCATTAGCCATCAATACCTACATAATCTAAGGCCAAGATACATATGGAGCAATCTATGGACAGGCAATAGCATCCCATGGGAGCTTTGGAAATTCAGGAGCTCGAGCCTCACCCCAGATGTACTGAATCAGAATCTTTATGTTAGCATGGTCTCCAGGTGATTTGTAGGTCCATCAATGTTTGAAGAGCACCTGTCTGGCCTTCAGTTGCCTTTATACATCTTCTTACCAACAGTACCATCTAGTCCAATATTTTTCTGTCCTGTTAGTTTGTCCATAGTCTCCCAACAGGCTTCTGTCCACAAAGCTGTTATTTAGAGGCATGGCCCCATCCCTCTCATAGTCTTTGCTAAGGTTATGTCTTTTACATTTGGAGATACACCAATTGCAGAGGAGGGTGAAATTAGCCTGAGAGCAGGACCATAACAATAACCTGATTCTAATGGAGGCTGTTACCAGGGCAGCCAGTACCCGAACTAAGTCATCATTCTGCTGGAAGCATTCCGTTTGGCTGCAGTTCAACAAAAAGAAAAAAGAACGCACTCCAGAAAATCAGGAAGGTTTGCATTATCTATCAGCTATGTTCAAGGAGATGTTTGTGGAAAGTCGAGTTAAGGGTTCCTGGAAACATTAATCTCTGGACATGCTGGAGGATGCAGGTGGATTTAGAGCCAGGCGAGTCTACATTCACAAATCACATTAACATATTAAAAGACGGAGAGCTCTTACTCTGAGGAGCCCCATTTAGTTGTATTCAACCCAGCTCCATATATTTTTTAAATCACAAAATGCTTTTTTTTTTTTCGTGAAACATTCATTAAAATTAGGCAAAACTCATCTTCGGTGAGACATGCTTTGTGAAATGTGAGTGGAGAGGTTCCTCTGAAATTGTCTAAAAGGTAACTTAAGCCCTGATGTTTTAGAAAATTTGACTTATTATGTAACAGTGAATATACCTATCTGTGTAGTTTCACTATTTTAGAAGTAAAACAATGCTTTGATTTCAAATATTAAATTAACTTAGGCATTGCTCTCCCACTCCATCTCCCAAGCTGTGACTCAGATATCAGAACAAATTTTTTACCTAGTTAGGGAAAAAAGTTTCCCAAGTTTCAGAGCCATAAAAGCATCAGTAAAGCACCTATTTATTGTAGCACTCTCTTGTTTTCCATCTTCAATTTCCTAAACATTGAATATCTTGTTTTTCATTTTTCTTCTAAAAGCATTTGTGGTATATAATAACACCGCATGAAAGTGGAAGAGACTATATTGGCTCAGGATGCACTTGATATTTGTTTTCCTTAAATGACAAATGAAACTCCCAATTCAACACTAGGATAAGATTTTTTTTAAGTTATTAAACCTTAGTTAAGTTATATGACTTCATACTGGGAAAGTGAGTTCCAGAGAAGTTTAATGAACTTGTTGAAGGTGACTTTGCTAACTTATTACAAAATGGGGAATACAACTCTGGTTTCCCTAATGCCTTTTGTAAAGCATCCCAGATAAAAATCTAGGTTTCAGAAGATTCCTTATAGTTAGGTATGAAAAAATGTTATTTCTGAAAATATGATTTCCTTATGAGAAACCATTGTTTAGATATGTTTAACTTTAGAAAAAATTTCCAACTATAATTAAAATCTATGAATTATAGACATGTTCAGTGAAATACACTGTCTCATAGAAACCATATTCAAAAAACAGAATGACTGGAACAGATGTTATGTATGGGGATTAGAGGGAAGTTATCCAGTTATATTATACTAATTTGAGAAAGATTCCAAAAAAATCCTTTCTTGGGGGCCGGTCAGGGGTGGGTATAGCAAATGAAAGAGAAAGATAAGGAAATGTGTTCCTTGGTGTTGAGTTTTGAATAGATCACTATTGTGTTATATTCCTCTGAATTTAGGATACCTGTTGGATTTTGTTCCTTATCATGTCTGTTATGTGGACAAAGACAACAAACGTTTGTTTCTTCTTGTCAATTTCATTATGCACAAGGATTCTGAAGGTCCACCCAAGATCTTTCGTGCACTAAATGTCTGGTGTTTGTAATACAATGAACAATTTTGGGGAGTTTGAAAATCTTTTGATTATGACCTTGAGGATTAGAGATCATTTGGTGTGGATGACTTCGAGGAAGTTATTTAATTTTTTTTTTGTATGTCAGTTTTCTCAGATTTAAAATGTGGGTAATAGTAACCACCTTGTTAGAATGATTGTAATGATCAAAACATGTAATAATGCAAAGTGCTTATGCTTAGTGCACTAGTGTTTTGCACTTACATCTAGTTATTTTTTTCTCAGTAATTCAATAGGCTAAGGGATGATCTAGTACAGATTGAGATATGGGATTTTTGTTGTTGTTGTTGTTGACAAGTTGCAGACAAAATGTTTGGTTATTCCTCTCACTGAAATAAAACCCAGAAATATAGGGTATTATAATATGTTAAACATTTAGTGGCTATCAAAACTTATTTTCTTCTTTGAAGTCAGAGTAATATTTAGAGAGGGCATTCTGGGGTTTCCTTTTAGCAAAATAATTAGAAGTAATTTCCCTTAGAATTTTTAGAATGACTATATTAGGAGGAAAGGGAAGGTTCTTACCTAAATTGTATTGCAACTTTTCTCTGAAATAAAATAAACATGCTGTGTTAAAATTGCTGGTATAGGCCAGGCACAGTGGCTCATACCTGTAATCCCAGCACTTTGGTAGGCCGAGGTGGGAGGATCACTTGAGGTCAGGAGTTTGAGACAAGTCTGACCAATGTGGTGAAACCCTGTCTCTACTAAAAACACGAAAATTAGCCCGGCATGGTGGTTGGTGCCTGTAATCCCAGCTACTCACTACTCAGGAGGCTGAGGCAGGAGAATCACTTGAACCCAGAAGGTGGAGGTTGCAGTGAGCTGAGATGGCACCACTGCACTCCAGCCTGGACAACAAAGCCGGACTGTGTCTCAGAAAAAAAAAAAAAAGAAAAAAGAAAAAAAAAATGCCATTGTAAGTTGTGCCCTATAAAATGTTAACGTTTCTTTCAAGTGAAATAATGACTTACTATTTCAGCAGAGATCACTCTAACATTTAGTTTTAATCTAGGAAAAAAACCCCATATAACTAGATTTGGTCTTTTTATTAAAATGAATTGATCTTAGAAGAGCACATCATATGCTCAAAATATAGCTGTCATGTAAATCAAGACATATATTTGTTTTGTTCAATGAAATCTAGAAACTCTTAAAAAAACTGTTTACTGGCTTTTGATGTTTAATTGGGTGGAATGTATAAGAAATATCTGATGAATTTTTGACTTCTCTATTGACTTCCAAGCTTATATACAGCCAATGAACAAACTTTTCTAAGTCTTGTACTCTCTTTCCATTTCTACACAAATTCATATTGAATAGGAAATATTGAAATAAGATCTTTAGAATCCTCCTCTTGCAAATTATAGAACATATTAAAACCAGGTTAAACTTATTTAAATCTCTTTATATATTGTTTACCCACCTACCACGTAAATGTTACTGATTTTTCCATAGTAAAAAGTCTAAAAATCCAATGCATCTTACCTCCCCTAAACTACCTATCTCTCCAAACCTCTCATTATTCCTCCATATGTACCTTCTTTCAAGACTTAATTCAAGCCCTGCCTTGTTTTTGAGTTATTCTCTGTCTAGATAAATTATTGGTCACTCCTTTTAACCCAGAAGGCACCAATCATTTCTATTATTAATTTGATTCTTAGTATTTATTTTCTTTGTTGGGAGTTTTATTTATATTCCCTTCTAAAGTAGATATTTTACTTTTTTGGAAATCTCTGCCTACTAGCCCAGTACCTAATAAAAGGTCAATGATGATGATGATTTGAAAAACCATGTTCTACAGTGTTCAGATGTGCTTTTAGATAAGGGGATGATATAACTTTATCATCAAACTTTATAATGAAAAATAATCATGATGAAAATTTAAGATAAAATAATTTTAGAATATATTATTTGGCTAAGTGGAAAACTATCATGGAGTTTAATTAAAATTTCTTCATATTGAAAGAAGACAGGTATATAGAGGAGAAAAAAACATAAAAACAAAAAACATCTCAGGAATTCCACCTTCAGCTGCCCTTACTTCAATACCATGCCTCAGAAAGAACTTCATGACTTGGCAGGTTTACAGGTTGACTCAGTGTATATGCTGAGAATAGCCAAGGGCAAAATTTAGTGTTAACTAGATCAAGAACTCAGGGGACCCAGGTGTCTACTGTTTTCCATAGAAATAACCATAAACAATTTTAAATACTAGATCTGCTTTCCTTTTGGGTTTGTATAATGTAGAGTCAAAATAGAGGCTCTGGCACCTCATAGACACAGATTTAAATCCCATTTATGCCATTGGTAAACTATATGACCTCTGGCAAGTTATTTAACCTCCTTATGCCCTCATCTCTAAAATTGTAGTACGAAAGCAACACCCTAAGTATGATTGCAAGGATTAAGGGAAATAAAATGCAAAGTTCCTGGTACATAATTGATATCTACTAAGTGTGAATTTCTCTAAGTTCCTCATATCACATAATGGTAGATTTTTATTTACTGGGTGGTTATTCTGTACCAGGCACTCTCCTAAACACTTATATCATGGGGATTAACACATTTAATCCTTGTAGCATTCTTTTGCAATAGCTACTATCATCATCATCCTCATTATTATCGTCCTATTTCACAGATCTGGAACTGAGCCACTGAAAAGTAAAGTAACACAACTAGTAACTAGTACTTCTGGGGTTCAAAATAAACTTTTCATTTCTAAAATTAACCCATACCTTCTTATCCAGTAGACAACATAACCTCTCCCACTATCAGGTCATTTCCATGGCCTATATCCTGTGGACAATTTGAAAGCGATTTCCTTTTAACCCTTGTTTATCTAATTAGAACATAGTTTGGAGAAACATACAATGTTTTCCATAGCTGAGTATAAATCATTTCTTCCATCCTTTTGAATTAGCCACATCATTGCTCTCTTTCCATTGTGGGAAATCTAGCCTTGCTTGTTTGTACCTAGACAAAAGCACACTTTTTGTGTCAGAACCTGTGAAAATCTCATCTTCCTTGTTACCACCTATAAATGATTAATGAGACAAAACATTTTCAAGGATTCCAAATAATCTAAAAAATCCCACAAATTTTGAAAATCCACAAAGAGGTATCTAGGAAAACTTTCATGAAGTTAAGAGATGTTATCTGCTGTTCTAGGCGTGGGTGACTTTATCAAAACATTTCGCCCACTTTCAAATTTCCACTTGTTAAAACCTGAGGCCTTATTTGGCTGTCACTTACTGTACAGTGTTTTTCAGACAAGTTCCTGGCAGCTAATTTTAAAGAGATTTTGTGAAAAACACAAGCTGTGGAGTGCTCCTGTTGGAAGAGCACCCTCTGACCCTCTGCCTTAACATAAGAAAAAATTGCCAGTCTGTCCAAACCTCACCCACCTTTGGTTATCTTCAGAATCTTACAATTTGTGTTTCCTAAGGCAGCAATTTTCAAGCATGACTTTGAAACACTGCAGGCTTTTTCAAGTTATTTCAAGGACTGGCCAAGAATTCTCAAAACAAAATTAATTTTGTATTTTTAAAAAGCAGTATGCATATCATGTATCATTTGGCAGATTTAGGAGGTTAACAGTAAGCATTAGGAAATTGAATCAATAATAATAATGGGATATGGGGACCTGTAAAGAAACTCTCAATCCTGCTTCATTACTTTTAATGGCAAAAACTGTAATTACTTTTGCACCAACCAAATACACTGAAATCCTTTAACATACACCAAAGCAATGGGAGATCTGCAGAATGCTTTTGTCCATGTTTAACCATAATGATCAATGCATTTTGAATAGAATATTGTTATATCTACTATTTAGCTTAATTGTGATCATTAACAAAGTGCCCAGACTCTCTGAACATTCTACATGGCATACTATTTGTGAGAAGATCAGCATGTAAATAGTTTACTCTTTGTAAGCTCTTCTACAAGGTGGCTAAAAGCAAGAACTAGAACCCAGAGTCCCTTGCATTCAATGAATTTCCCTATTATTGCCCATATCATTCTTTCTTTTCTTTCTTTCTTTCTTTCTTTCTTTCTTTCTTTCTTTCTTTCTTTCTTTCTTCTCTCTCTCTCTCTCTTTCTTTCTTTCTTTCTTTCTTTCTTTCTTTCTTTCTTTCTTTCTTTCTTTTTCTTTTTCTTTCTTTCCTTCTTTTTGAGATGGAGTCTCGCTCTGTCGCCCATATCATTTTTAGTATAATCTCTTCCTTTACTTGGTCACTAAGAATCACTTTTCTCTACTTAGAGCCAGACATTTAAATATCTCCAGCCTCCAAGATCTCGTCTGGGTACTTGGGCTGCACTTTTTCATGTCAATCATTTTGCACTTGTCATCTATCCTATTAGGCTATAAGCTCCCCAAGGGCAGATATAGAGACATAGTATCAAGCTAACCTTTTTATTTATTTATTTATTTATTTATTTATTTATTTTGAGGCTGGGTCTCGCTCTGTCATGCAGTCTGGAGTGCAGTGGCATGATCATGGCTCAATGCTGCCTCAACCTCCCAGGCTCAAGCAATCCTCCCATCTCAGCCTCCTGAGTAGCCTGGGACTGCAGACGCATGCCACCACACTCAGCTATTTTTTAATGTTTTATAGAGACGGGGTCTTGCTATGTTACCCAGGCTAGTCTTGAATTCCTGAGCTCAAGTGATCTTCCTGCATTGGCCTCCCAAAGTGATGAGATTACAGGTGTGAGCCACCACACCTGGCCAAGCTAATCTTTAAATATCCTAGAGCACCCATTATAGTGTCTGGCAAAAAATAAATGCCCATAAATGTTTGTTGAATGGAACTGAGTCTTCAGAAACTAGAGATTTTTTCTAAAATATTTTTTTTTGCCATTTCAGTTTAATACATATTAGTTTTTCTCACTTATCCTATCATCTGAATTTTTTATTTCTTTGAACCTGAACAGGCTTTGTGTCTACAGACTGCTGAGCCTTTAATTTTGTTGTCGTTTGTTTTGTTTTGTTTTGCACAAAACTAAAAACATGTACAAATACATTTTTAATTGCATTTGTTCATTCTAGTTTTTACTCGTAAAGTGCACTTCTTTCTTTTCTTTCTTTCCATTAATTTCTGAACCTTCCCTTCTTAAACTTTACCCAGAGTTTTCTCATCATATACGCATTTCATTTTCATTGTACTTTTCTGCATCTGACTATTTCATTTTCCAGTTGTTCTGGTATGTTTTTCTAAGTATTGTCCAATCCTTTCCATTAAGTTACAAGCTCCTTGAGGGCAAGCATTGCACACCTGTTTTGCACAACTTCTAAGGCCGTTCAGTCCCTCAGCCCACTGTATAGAAATATAGTATATATATAGACAATACACACACACATGCACACACATACCTTGCCACTTAATGATGTAAAGTGACAAAAACTTTTATATTGGTAAAAATTATGAGAATAAGAATAATCATATCCTGATTCTTCAAATTCAAATATTTGTCTAACATTTTTTGATGAAGTCATAGCACTTATGTGTCATTGAATTGTTGTGGGCATGCTAACAGGAAAGATGGACCAAGTGGTTGACCCTGTCCTTCTGTGAATAGAACCTCAGAGTACACTTTTCTGTAAACATTTAAAAGACAAGGAATTGGAACTTAAAATGGAGCAACCAGGGGGGCAGGGAAACAGAATAAACTTTTAAAATTGACCTAATAGTAATCATAGGAAACAAAAAGAATCATTCCAGTCTCCATTTTTTTTTTTCTGGATGCATTTTGTAGCTCCCTAAGTTATTGGGTTTTTAAGAAACATAAAATATTCCTAGATCGTTAGAGATGTGATTTGATTTCAATCCCACATGGTCTGTAGCATCACTAAGCTACTGGGAACTTCCCTATGCAAAGGTTTGAGTTTCTTTCCAATGCTGTTTAATGTCTGCACTTCTAGTGTCCACATAAATGAGATTTAACAGGCTTTACTTCATACTTTCTTGTTACAACATTTTTACTTTTTTTCCAATTGCAAAATTATTTCTTTTAAGCTCTCTGAATAAGTTTGTTGAAGCTCTATTCATCACACATAAAAATCTTACATTAAAAGGCAATAAAGGAAATCACGAAAAGCTAGATGTATTCCACCCTCTTATAGTTGAATACATAAAATTGTATATATCACAAATAGTAATTGAAACTACTCTTATGAAAACTATCTGTCCTTCTGGAGGGGCATTAGTTTAAATGCAAAGAGAAAACATATCATTTGTGAGTCTAAATAGTGTTGTTAGTTCTTTGAAAGGGCCCTAATTAATAAGGTTGTAGAACACAACTGCAACCTGTAAAGCGTTCCATGTGTAGTATTTTGAAACCTTTTGTTTGTTTGGGTTCTAACTAGAGACAGAGGGAGAAAAAGTCAATTTCATTCTCATGGGATTTGTCTTATGTGGTTCATCAGATTGAGTTTAGTAAGCAGGGAAGTATTTCTCCTTGTGTAGCTAGTGCTTGTTTATTCTTCCCTTATTAAAAAAAAAAGAGAGAAAAAAACAAAGGATTGGCATTTTTCTTTTATGAACGTGGACTGTAGGGAGATAAATAGCCCTGCGGGAGAGGAAGGTCAAGTTCAAAGTTTTTCTTTCCTTTGGATTCAGGAATAAGCAAATGGAAAGACTAGCCAAACAACCCAGCAGCAGGCATCTGATGGTTAAGCCCTCCCCCCAGGACTTTTTATGTACATAAGCAGCAGAAGTCACTCGCGCAGCTGCGGCGCATTAGTTCCAATAGTTTAACAGGCTGCTTTGTAGCACGGACAAAGCCGTGCGAGCGCGGTGCTTTCCCTCCTTGTTCATTTGCTATGCGAGCTTGTCAGTGATCTTTGGCAGGGGCTTGGGAGAGGAGGGGTGACGTTTAATACGCTTCCGCGGAGGAGTGCGCTCGCCTCCTCTGCACCCAGCCCCAGGCTCTACAGAGAGACTGAGGCAGGCGACTGAATGCACTAACAGCAGCAGGCTCAGACCTGCTTCCCTGGACATTTCCGGGACCGTGAGCGAGGGAACCACGTTGCCCTGGATTCTTGCCAGCTGTACAAAGTTGACCAGGAAAATGGCTCAGCAGACAAGCCCGGACACTTTAACAGTACCTGAAGTGGATAATCCGCATTGTCCAAACCCGTGGCTGAACGAAGACCTTGTGAAATCCTTGCGAGAAAACCTGTTGCAGCATGAGAAGTCCAAGACAGCGAGGAAATCGGTTTCTCCCAAGCTCTCTCCAGTGATCTCTCCGAGAAATTCCCCCAGGCTTCTGCGCAGAATGCTTCTCAGCAGCAACATCCCCAAACAGCGGCGTTTCACGGTGGCACATACATGGTAAGGTTTGCGCAGACCTCGCAGAAATGGTGGCCGTTTCCCTTCAGGGAGTCCTGCTCTCGCGCCTTTAATTTTGGGGGTAGGGAGGGAGGACCATCATCATTCCTCACCGGGGATTTATGGCCAAGTGATCTCCCTTAACCATAAATCCCACAAATGTCCAAGTCAGGGCAAGAATCCTGGAGACTGGTACTAGGAGTGGTTGAGGTGGGTGGTTCTCAAAGTTCAATTCCTATTGCAAGTTCCTACAAGAAAATTGGATGCCAGATGTCAAATAAGAATGCAGTTTTATTCCCATACGTACGTAGTGGCGTTTCTTTGATTCCTTAAACCAATTTCCCTGCCAGCTTCCCCAACAGCTGAGGAAAGAAAGGACCAGAAATGAGGGGAGGAAAATCATAGTTTGCTCTGTTTTCTGCATGATCCCCACTTGGACAGAGACACATACAGTGTGTGTGTAATGGTGGTGTGTCTTCATAAAGCCCTTCCTCACTCCTGACTTTGATATACAGTATTCATAATCTTAAACATGCCTTTCCAAAGGAAAGAAGAAAGGGATTAGGAATTCTACGCAGAAAGTTGCAGGCTGGTACTTGGTAGTATTGTTGTGTTCTTTGAATTTGGATTGTTAGAACATTTTGCCAATCTTTTTATTTTCTTTGTGAATATTTTTATCTTCTTTATAATGGGTGAATTTGTTTCATGCATATGCTTCCATGTATTTTTCTGGAGGATTCCTCATCTTTTCCTGCTCTTGGAAAAAAAAAAAAGAAGAAAAACCCAAATATTAAAACAGACCATCATGTGAGCTTATTTGGAGTATTTGGAGTTTCTGCCTGAGTAGAGGCCATTCCAAACTCTGATCAGTGAGTCCAAGTACTAGGGTCTATGTTACACACTTAGATAATTTCAGGTAGTAGTAGGTTCTATACATTACATCTACATTTTGATAAGATGAGTATAAATTATGATAAAGAAAACATAACAAAAAAGAATGAGTGTGTTAGTTGAGAAACTGTATGACTAAATAATTTTTTACAGTTTTGCCATAACTAACTAAACAGTATGTACGTTAGCAATGGGAGGGAAAAAAAAAGCAGAAACAAGGCTTTTAGGAGGAAAGCAGCAAAAAGTAAAAGGAATTAAAACCTAAACCAGTGACAAGACCGTGCTCAGGAATGCATTGATGTTATAGATGAAAGTCAATGACAAAGGAAATAAAAGCCATGTCACACCCAAAGACATGACCAACCTCAAAAATTTGGTTTTAAGTAGCTAGATCTCTGACTGGGAAAGTGTTATTGTCCCCAGGATTTTAACACCTAGATGGCATTTCTGAGTTTGGTAGATGTAATGGCCATAAGAGGAGTGAGACAAACATTGACTTTTTCTGTCTTAAAGCAGTTATTGGGAAATGATGGCTTCTCTTTGAGGAAGATTTTCTTTTTGGAAAAAATTGTGAGCAACAAACAGTGAATAAAAGAAAGGCATGAATAAACACTGGGAGATGCACTGAAGGAGAAGGTTGGCTCAAGGCCAGGCATCGGGTGCCAGAGCAGGAGAGCTGGCATGAGTTCCTACGGAGCCAGGACCAGAATTTCCGTGTCCAGTGTCCCTTTTGGTTGCGCTGCTTTATCACTGCAGTTCCTAAATTGCACCCATTGCTGAATGAGTGGCCCTCAACTCAGCTGTTTGATTTCAGTCTGAGTGGAGCAACCTAGAGTTCAGCTGGAGGTTATCTGAACTATTTAGACATGTCGGGATGTAAGGAAGGCAGGAAATCCCATGAAAATAGGCTTTCTTCTGACATTTCTGGCACTTCCTTTTCTGGTGCTGTTTGGAAAAACTTCATGAGCACAATTTCTATCAATATTTCATTTTAGTGTATCAGGTCACAGCCCAGTAAGAAAAGCATAAAGAGAGCAATGGAAACCAGAAATAAAAATCATGGTATCGATTTTCAGTAACTCAGAAGGAAGCAGTTTCCCCTATGGACTAAAACTATCAGGCAAGGGAGTTGGAAAGAGTATCTCAAGTTTTCCATATTGGTTGAATGAGCCCCAAGACGTTCATAATATCCACAGGCATCTTTTGACAAAAATCTCATTTGTGCTTTCACAGTTTGTGCTAAGCACTATGGAGAATTTTGAAAATATGTTTCAAATTGTTCTGACATAAATATAAATATATTTGTATCTAATTTGTTGCTAGTACAGTGTTCTGCCTCACAGTTTCCTGCTCCTGGTATTCCCCTCCATTCGCTATGCATACACTTAATACCTACTGAGTCTAACATGTTTATTCTGTACCTAATTATTACAAAGTTGAGCAAGAACCATTTGTTGGTTTCCAATAATTTATACCATGGTAGAATAAATCAATAATATTGGAAGACATCTGTTTTAGCTAAGATAATCTTGCTGTTCTACAAAATAGTCTCCAAATCTCATTGGATTGACACAGTGAATTTTTATTTCTTGCTTCTGCTTTTTGTGGGGAGGCAGCCTGCCCTAGCCACTGGGTGCCTCAGGGACCTGGAATTCTACCATCCTGTGGTTCCATTATTTGCAACATGTGATTCCCAAGGTTGCCAGGCTCAGATGAATCAGGAGAAAGACCATGAAAGAGGATGGTATGTGTGAACTTTTATGAGACAGGCCGGGAAGTGCACATGTCACTTATACTCGTTTTCTTCTGGCTGGAACTCAGTTCTATGGCCACATCTAACTGCAAAGGAGGCTGGGAAACATAGCTCTGTTCCAAGGCATAAGGTAAAGTGCTGGTGGCTAATCTATCTTGGTTATATAGTATGTTAAGGGCTATCTGATTTACCCTCTATGCCATGGTTGAATTCTTAGAATAACATCTGTAATAACATATGCCATTGTTGAATTCTTAGAATAACATCTGTAATAACAAGTCCTTGAACCTCTCGTCAAACCTCCTTGATGAAGATTATACAGAAGCACTTCTGTTGTTTGATAGGGCTGTTGATTGGAAAGACCTTGCTTCTAAACAGTAGAAGTCTCCTTCCCTGCAACTATCATCCATGGATCCAAGATCTGCTTTGGGAATCCTACAACTTGAATTTTTGCTCCCTTCCATTATGAAGCCCTAAGGCAAGTGGCTTGGAGTAACCCACCAGAGAACCAGGGCCCTATTCATTCATTTTGGTATACCCATGCTTGGCATGATGGCTGGTCAATGGTGGAAGCTTAATAAATGTCTGCTAAACAAATTCATTAATCAATATTTTAGTGTTCTCATGCTCTTAAAAAAGACTTCTCTTGGGCTAAGCATGGTGGCTCATGCCTATAATCCTAGCACTTTGGGAGGCTGAGGAGGGCGGAGTCCCTGAGCTCAGGAGTTTGAGACCAGCCTGGGCAACATGGCGAAACACCGTCTCTACTAAAAATACAAAAAATTAGCCAGGCATGGTGATGTGTGCCTGTAATCCCAGCTCCACAGGAGGCTGAGGCACGAGAATCACTTGAACTCAGGAGGCGGAGGTTGCAGTGAGCCATGATTGTGCCACTGCACTCCAGCCTGGGTGACAGAGCAAGACTCTGTCACCAAAAAAAAAAAAAAAAAAAAAGGGACTTCTCTTTTCTTAAGTAAACATCCTGTTATTTCATTTCTATATGCTATATTTACCAGGTAGTTTTTATCTAGACTTCTCTTGGGTTTTCATGATCCATTTAAAGAATAGCTACTGAATTGACAGCATACTCTAGGTGCTATGTCACTCAGCACCAAAGCAGTTAGAAAAGAGACTAAACTTAAATTCTTACTTTGCATTTAGTAATTGTGTGACTTTGGTCAAGTTACTTAACGTGTGCTTCAGTTTCCCCGTTAGTCAGTTTTCTGGGAATAGTATCTATTGGGGGTTGTGGTTTAATTAAGTACAATTATGTATAAATTAAGTGGTTTCACAGGGCTGGACCCTTAGTGGGTGTCATTATAAGCTAGTATTTTTTTTATTATGTACTCTGTGCCCATTATTCCAGCCTTGGTCTGCATGAACCTTTAGGATCATGTTTAAATTTCTAGATGATTACTCTGTCAGTCATTTGTGGATGAATTAGAGTGAAGAGACAAGAGTTGAAAGAAACGAGTGTATGTCAGTTTTATTACTGTAGGAAAGGAGAAGGCAGAAATGAGAGATACTACTGAGGCAGAACTGTGGGGTTTGGTGTCTCTTCTCTGCCCACTGCAAAAATACATC
This sequence comes from Homo sapiens, assembly GCF_000001405.40. NCBI lineage: Eukaryota > Metazoa > Chordata > Mammalia > Primates > Hominidae > Homo > Homo sapiens. The sequence goes on along the minus strand of NC_000005.10, from coordinate 59,764,021 downwards.
TTTCAAATTCCTGGTTTTCCTAAAAGGTTCCTCCAGTTCTCCCAACTGGAAGTAATCCGTTCCTTCCTTCAAGGAACAGATTTCTATTGCGCCTCTTGTCTCTGATACTCTCAATGCTTATTAGTAATAGTTTTATCACTAGCTAGTATGTGTTGAGCACTGGTTTTGGTCTGGCACCATCTGTTAGGATTAGAATTCTCTTGTGTCTCTGCTTTTCACTAATCTGTTTGACTGCTTTTACTAAACATGCAATGCCTTGTAGTTCTAGTGATTATAGACATGATTCAGATTTCATCTGGTAGGGGATTCCCTCTATCATCAGCAGGAACTACAAAGTCAATGGAATCTCTGGTGAAGAAAACTTAACTTCCAGTACTAGTTTATTTCAGGAAAATTGAAATCAGGAAGTTCTTCACATTCTTCAGGCTTTTCTCGTCATTGAATTTTAAGCACAGTTTTGGGGTGTAAGGCCTAAATAAGTTTTAGAAGAACAAGGTAGAAATGCTGGTTTTCAGTCTTTGGGAACTTAAAAGTTGCTGTTTAGTCATATTTAAGTCATAAAACCTGTTATCTTCACATATTCTTTTAAAAAGTAATTTAGCATTATAATCACTTAAGTTATAATTTTTTCATATTTTTATAATACACATCTATATATCCACGACTCAGATTTTTTTTTATTTTTTATTTTATTATTATTATACTTTAAGTTTTAGGGTACATGTGCACAATGTGCAGGTTAGTTACATATGTATACATGTGCCATGCTGGTGTGCTGCACCCATTAACTCGTCATTTAGCATTAGGTATATCTCCTAAAGCTATCCCTACCCGCTCCCCTGACCCCAGACTCAGATTTTTAAAATGCCAAAATTTTGTCATTGTTTGCATCAGTTCTTTTATTTTTTTAAGAATAAAATGTTACAGATAATGTCTAAAGCTGTCACCCATCCTATTCTTCTTCCTTCGCAGAGGATCCTGAAATCAGTGTGTTCTTCCTTGAATGTCATTGTCTTTTAACTTCATATGTATGTGTCCTGTTTGTGTGTTTACCATTTTATATATAGAGATGGTACATGTATATATATCTCCATAATATGCCATACTATAAAATGAGAAAGAGCAAGCTATATATATATATATATATATATATATATATATATATATCCTTAAGCAGTTTGCTCTTTTTTAGTACGTAGTATAGGAATAGAGTTGTGAATATATATATAAAATATGTGTGTGTATATATACATATATATGCATATATGTACCTATATACATATATTATATATACCTATATGAACCTATATACATATATACACATATATGAACCTATATACACATATACACATACGTACCTATATACACATATACACATATGTGTACCCATATACACATATACACATATGTACCTATATACACATATACACATATGTGTACCCATATACACATATACACATATGTGTACCCATATACACATATACACATGTGTACCCATATACACATATACACATATGTGTACCCATATACACATATACACATATGTGTACCCATATACACATATACACATATGTGTACCCATATACACATATACACATGTGTACCCATATACACATATACACATGTGTACCCATATACACATATACACATGTGTACCCATATACACATATATGCATATGTGTACCCATATACGCATATGTGTACCCATATACGCATATGTGTACCCATATACGCATATGTGTACCCATATACACATATACGCATATGTGTACCCATATACACATATACGCATATGTGTACCCATATACACATATACGCATATGTGTACCCATATACATATATATACCTGTGTACCTATATATACACACACACACATATATATATCTATATACCTACATATATATACACACATATATATATACCTGGATCATTTTTTAAAATGCTCAACAGTACACACATGTAACAGCATTTCAGTCAATGGTGGACTGCATATTTGATGGTGGTCCCATAATATTATAACGGACCAGAAAAATTCCAATCACCTAGTGAAGTCATAGCACAATGCATTAATTACTCTTGTGTTTGTGGGCATGCTGGTGTAAACAAACCTACCATGCTGTCAGTCCCATAAACATATAGCATATATAGTTATATATTATACTTAATAATAACTATGTTGCTGGTTTATGTATTTATGTATTTTACCATTGTTTTAAAGAGTACTCCTCCTACTTATATACAAAAGTTAACTATAAAACAGCCTCAGGTAGGTCCCTCAGGAGGTATCTAGAAGAGGGCATTGTTCTCATAGGAGATGACAGCTCCATGCATGTTATTGCCCCAGAAGAGCTTCCAGTGGGACAAGATATGGAGGAGGAAGATAATGATACTGATGATCCTGTCCTTGTGTAAGCCTAGGCTAATGTGTGTTTGTGTCTTAGTTTCTAACAAAAATATTTAGAAAGTAAAAAAAAATTAAAAATAAAAGCTTATAGAATAAAGATATAGAGAAAATATTTTTGTGCAGCTGTATAATGTTAGTGTTTCAAGTTAAGTGTTATTACAAAAGAGCCAAAAAATTAAAAGAAAATTAAGAGTTGTATAAAGTAAAAAGTTACAGTAACCAAAATTAACTTATATCAAAGAAATAAAAATATTTATAAATTAAGTGTAGCCTAAGTGTACAGTGTTTATAAAGTCTATAGTAGTGTGTGGAAATGTCCCAGGCCTTCACATTGACTCACCACTCACTCACTGAGTCACCCAGAGCAACTTTCAGTCCTGTAAGCTGCATTCGTGGTCAGTGCCCCATACAGGTATATCATTTTTTATCTTTTATACTGTATTTTTAACTGTACCTTTTCTATGTTTAGATATACAAATACTTAACCATTGTGTTATGATTGCCCACAATAGTCAGTAGAATAACATGCTGTACAGGTTTGTAGGCTAGGAGCAATAGGCTATACCATCTAGGTTTGTGTAAGTACACTCTAACATGTCTGCACAATGATGAAATTGCCTAATGACACATTTCTCAGAACTTAGAATAAGCAATGCACAACTCTGTGTCAATTTGCCTCTAAAAACCCAGCTGTTTATACTCTTAAAATATTGTTACTATAGCTGTCAGTATCACACTCCAATCTAAGTGAATGTCACAATGAAAAACATTGAGTCATTTTACTATAACGGAAATGAAGATGTAATTTCCTGAATTTAACAGTCAATTTAGGCTACATAGTGAAATATTTTCAAGCTACTTTGAAAACATTAACCATTAAAAACTAATATTCATGGGTAGCATTCACTAAGATGCATCAGGTTTGTTATTTATGATATATCTCTCAAAAACATTTTTAATTCCAAATATAATTAAAACCAAATACAGTTTTCTAATATAAGTAATTTCATGGGGATTATATTCCTGATTAAGGACTAGATGAAAACATTGTCAATTTATACTGTGCTCGATGCACTGAATGGAGGAAAATGTTCCAGCGTGTATATAAGCGAAATTAGGTAGTAGGATATCTTTAGGAATCATGGTGACTAGGTAATACTCAACTGTATAATTTTTATAATTCTTGTATACACATATGTATTTTTAATTAAAACATATCCAACAGTAGAAGAAGTACTTAGTAACAATCTTAACAACAAAATAATTTCTTTAGGTGGACTTTCAAAAGGCCTTTTAGGAGACTTTTAATAAATCTTAAATGTGTTTAGGAAGCTAAATAAGTGATTTTGGCCATATTTTTTGTTTACTATAAATTTCTCTTTATCAGGCATTGGCATTAGATGTAAAGTTGCTCATATTTAAAAGTAAACATTTGCTTTCTGAGTCATTATTTCTTCAGCAACTGTAGTTGTTTTTATGGTTGTTAAGAGAAATATAAATTTGCAAGTCATAGAAGGGGAAAGAAACCATTTGTCACCTATAAAAGAGAAATACAGCCACTTAGAGTTTGTAGAGTAAAAATACACATATACACACACAAACAACTGAGTAGATTTTCAAAGCCATTATTTAGTGATTTCTCTTTGAGGTCTCTTTCTCCCTCGTTCCATCTCTCTTACTTCTGCCCTGCTTAGCTTTAAGGTTATCTTTTCTCTGTCTCTTATGGTAATAATACCCGGAGAAGAGCATTGCTGCCAGTCTCCTGGGAACTAGGAACCCAGAGGAGGGCTGTAGGCAAAGTGTAATACCAGAAGGTGGGGAGCAAGTTTCTGGGGGAAATCATCTGAGAAGCACACCAGGAAGTGCTGCTGGAATGTTTGGGGAAGACCAGTCAGCCCTAACCTTCAGCCATGTCTGTGGCATAACTGGCTGTTGCCCTCTGTGGAAATCATGGGAGGTGGAGGCGCTGCAAGTTGAGGGTGTCTGTACCATTTGAAAGGCATAGTTGGCTTTCCACGAAATCAAAAGACCTGAGGAAGATTTTCCTTTTAAAGAACATGCCGATTGGCTTGTCATGTTTAAGGAATTACAGGGATTACATTATGACAATTGGCATTGAGAAAAAAGTGAAGAAAACCTTGGATAACCTTGCAGCTTATTATTCACGTGTGCTTCCCATGACCATTGACATTTATCTTAAAGAGAAAAGATGTGAAGCCTGTTCGTACGAGCTGAAGCCGTTGCTACTGATGGTAAAATCTCTTCTTAAGAAGACATGGTCTTTCTTGCAAACTTGGCAGAAATGTTGATAAGAAGAAAATAAAAACTTGAATCTTAAAGTTCATTAAAATAATGAAAATCATGGCTTTGATTTTTTAAAAAATATTCTTTGTGTAAATTTCTTTATAATTGAAAAGCTCCTATGTATTCAGATAACTAAAGGAGTTTCAGCACTTTTTTTTTCTTAGATAGAAAGCTACCAAATTTGTTCTTCAAGTAGCACTTTCAGGAAGAAGCTTTACTATCTCTAATGTAGCAAAATAATGTCTTTTTTTTAATGGTTTTGCTTTTTAAAAAATCATGTTTTTAAAGCTGCGATTCATTCAGTATATTGAAATCACATATTTCCAGGTCTTCTGGTCATTTGATACTTGACCTTAGTTATTCAACCTTTTTGACTTGGAGACTCTATTAATAAGTCATATGGTTATAAAGGCATTTGGCATTTACAAGTAAAAAGTAATGACTAATTAAATTTACAAAGTGATAACAAACTACAGTCTATTTAAGATTAGCAATTAGAAACAAGTTCCAACTTGCTGCTGTAAGAAAGTAAGGTAGATGCTACATGGGTAAAAACAGGAAACAGAATTATTTAATAATTCTGTGACTCATAAATAGGATTCAGGGCCTTCAGAATGAAGGTATTGGTGGTATTCACGTTAGGCCACCATCTGAAAGGCATAATTTTAGGTAACAGATAGGGAAATGTATAGATCACTGTAAAGATTCTAATTTAAAATTCTCTTTTACTAGACTTCAATTTTATACCATCTTAACACATCAGTCTCTTCTACTGTAAATAAGCAAAACAGAAAAATCATTTTATGTGCAGTTTTAAGGACATAAATACTCTCCAAGTATTTCAGATGAGGCACTTATTCTCAAAAGGAGATCTTGAAAAGTTGATCTGAGAAGAAATTACATGATTTCATTTTGGAATAAAAACACTTAGGTTCATAATAATATAGCTTTATAACCTTAGATTAATTATAACATAGACGTCAATGATTTAGCTCCTGCCATGTGTCAGGTACTTTGTGTACATTAACCCCTTAAAACAACCAAGGTTGGATGTAAGTATTGTTAACCGTACTTTACATATGCAGCTGCTGAGGCCCAGAAAAAGTTCTTACATAACCAAGATCTTTCAGCTAAACAGCTATGAAACCAATAGCATTAAAACTTGAACCCAAGTCTTCCTAACTCTCCATCGTGTGTTCTTTCTTTCAGCATTACCTTCCTTTGGGCTAAGAATCACATTCACATTTGTTACCCTACCCTGCATGTGTATTGAAGTTATAACAATGAATATTCAAAGATTTTACAAAATAGTAGTTAACAGAAAGGTAGAGACAGAGCCCTTTTTTGGTGTGGAATCTCAGTTTATTAGTTTACACATGTGGCTTGTATAGAAGTTGACATCCTTATAAAATATTCTTATAAAAATATGTGTGTGTAGGAGAAATATATGTCCTTGGTGAAAAGGGGTCAATGGAGAACATTTGATTCAGGGTTGTTTTTACATAAGAGGTGTAAAAACAAAGCCAGCCAGAGAATAATTTTATAGTCAATCATTCAGGGAAAGAAAAAAGTCTTGAGCTCTAAGGAGAAAGATCAAGTCAGAAATCTGTTAAGGTTTGACTCTGGAAGAGCCAGCTGGGAATGATGGCCGGCTAGTTCAAGTCACTAAGCAACAGAACAGCAAACTGCTTGGTAACAAGATCTGGCCTGACTCACAGGCTCTCTTTGAGTGACCTAGGTGGCCAGATAGAGGAGGACCAAGACCCATCTTACCTCAAAACAATATCCTTCCATTTCCACTTTGCCAGCCTTCATGCCAAATTCCACATTATAGAATAGTCTCTTTGACTTGAGATATTTCCTTTTAGAATGGAAATATCTCTGGGACTAGAAGCTAATATTGTTGTCTTTCTTCTCAGAAATAGTGTTTCAGAGATTGTTTTCTGTGATTCAATATATTATTTAAAAAGTGTAAGCTTTAATAAGAGCAAACAAAGTGGAAACATTTGAGTTGGTGGTCTGACTTTTGGTTTTCGTAAGCAAATGTATACAGGGCCAAAACTACCTACCTTCATTGGGTGCAATCTTTCTTTCCTTGGGCTCTCAGACTGAATGTGTTGACATTTATTTGTCATTTTCTATGTTATGCTGTCTTCTAGTTCATGTTTGTATTTCAAGTATGTAGCTGGACTGTAAGTTCCTAAAAAGTAAGAACCGGCCGGGTGCGGTAGTTCATGCCTGTAATCCCAGCACTTTGGGAGGCTGAGGCACGTGGATCACTTGAGGTCAGGAGTTTTAGACCAGCCTGTTCAACATGGTGAAACCTCGTCTCTACTAAAAATATAAAAATTAGCTGGGCATGGTGGTGCATGCCTGTAATCCGAGCTACTCGGGAGGCTGAGGCAGGAGAATCGCTGGAACCTAGGAGGCGGAGGTTGCTTTGAGCCGAGATTGCACCATTGCACAACAGAGGAGATACCATTTCAAAAAAAAAAAAAAAAAAGTAAGAACCTCCACATTCATCAATCATTGTATCCACTGTGAAGGTACAAGTGCCACCTGTATAATATACATTCAATAAATAGTTGTTTTTTGATCGATTGAGAAACATACCTTCTGTTGCTGTGTCTTTTATGCTGAACACCCAGGGGGATCCATACCCTTCCAGACTAGAAGTCCTGGTGATGTTGGTTTTGATTGCCATAGTGGAAAAAAACTTTGAACTCAATGATTAACCATTTGTGTGGACTTTGTCACCATGACTCAGTGTGTGTCTCTGTGTGTGTGTGTGTGTGTGTGTGTGTATGTTTTGGGTTTACATGCACATAGATTGGTATAGTTGGCTTTGGTGTATATGAATGATTCTGTATCTTATTATTCTGTCACAATAATTTGTCAAATACATGCATTTTAATATTTAGCTTATACTTTGAAAATTATTTATGCCTGTTATATTTCTGAAAAAAATCTGTGTAAATGTATCTATGATTCTTGGGAAATTACTGAATAACTAGCTTGTTAAATTCTGATGACTAATCCTTATCTTTTAGAATTCATAACAGTTAAATTATATATCAAGACCTAAGCTTACAAAAGAAATGTCAAGATTTTGAGAAATTTGCAAAAAAAAACCCTTCATAGTTTCATTTTCAGTGTTTTAATTTGGAGAAATTTTAACTGGCAGAAATTAAGTACCATTTTTCCAAAGTAGATCTTCAGAAGAACTAAAATAATAGAAAACCTTTTTGAAGGGGTTTAGCATAGAAATATTATTTTAATATAAATATTTTTATACAGTTAAATATTATATATATCATTTTTAAATTGCAGTAATTTGAGACCAATTTTTCCCCATTACCCTTTTGAGATAACCCTCTGATTAAATTAGCTATTATTAAAATAAAGTGGCTTCCTCTTCATGTTATTAGTAGGGTACCAGTTTTTTGGTTTTTTTTTTTCATACATGGCTAATTTCACATTTATAAATGGTGAAGTGTGTATTGTTGACCTTTTGAAGCAAGCAACTTTCTGACTTAAGATTACTTGGATTATCATTCCTGCTTGTTTGCCTTCTTTAGGTTAATAGTATTTGTTTTACTTTGCTTTATTTTGTGCAGTGTGATTTTTTTTATGACCTTCTATTGAGTGATTGCCAAATAGAACAGCGTATGATTTATGGATACTAATAACTAAAATATATATGAATTGCAGGCTGATAATGCACAAGGCTGATTTCTACAGTTCTCCTCTGAATAGAACCAGGCTTCCTTTAATAAAGCCTTCTTACTAATAAGAATAGCAGTTTCACTAACACATTGATCATTCTTGAATCACCTTCACAATTTTAGGTGCAACTGTGGGCCATTTATACTGTTTACATTTAATATTTCTAGTAGACTTACATTTTTATTTAAAAGGCCATATGTTTAAAAATAAAGCTTTGTATATTACTGTAATTTGGAACTAGCGTCATTTATTATGCATAGAAGATAATTGAAAAAATATACAATAAACAAGGCAAAATAGATTCAAGTTTAGCTAGATAACCATGACCTTCCAAAGACTCTGAGCCTGAGGTCTGTTCTCTGTTTAAAATGGCATTTAGCAAATAATATAGACATATGAAAGACCACAATTAAGTCTTTCTTCTTAAGGTAATAAGAATTACTGAAAGGGATTTGGAAAGGAAATAAGCTTCTCCTTATTTAATTCAACATTTTAAAATTCAATAAGCCACATCAGCTATGCCAAACACCATCTTTGTACAACCTCAAACCATCTAATATACCAACCTGAACCACTGATACTTCCACCATAGGAAGAGGGACATTTGTTCTTGCAGAAGTTCTTCTGTTCTCAATCCCTTAGTTGCAGGTAAACACACTGAACTTGGATTGGGTGATGCTAATCCCTAAGCAGAAAGTATGTTGGTACTCTGTTTTCCCACACTGTAATTATTAAGTTCTTACCTGGTAGCTGCACAGATGCAAAAAAAAAAAAAAAAAAAAAAAAAAAATGTTCTGTGGAAAATTCTGTACCTGCCAATGGTAGATTCCAAGTTTTACTTCCAAAGAGTGTAAACATGGGTGTTTTAAAAAGTATGTCTCAATGCAAATAAATGAGAGCTAAGTAAGGAACCACATTTTTCTACCCTGTAATCTTTTTTACTCTGTAAACTAATTACTTTCCATGCTAGAATGCTCACACAGCACTGGCTACGTAATTTGTAGGGCCCAGGTAAAGTGAAAATACAGGGCCCGTTACGCAAATAAATATTACAAATTTCATGATGGCAACAGCACTGCATTCAATCCAGCACAAGGCCCTTCTGAGAGTAGGATCCTGTATAACTTCATAGGTCACACCTGTGAAGCCAGCCCTGCACCCACAATAGGTCTGATGTGATGCCCAGAAAGTCGACTTTGTAAGCCCTACAGGTGATGTGGAAGCCATACGTTGAGAAACTGTCTTAAAGGGACATCTTTTTAGACAGTCTCACTCTGTTGCCCAGGCTGGAGTGCAGTGGCACGATCTCAGCTCACTGCAACCTCTGCCTCCTGGGTTCAAGCAATTCTCCTGCCTCAGCCTCCTGAGTAGCTAGGATTACAGGCATGCAACACCATACCCGCCTAATTTTTATATTTTTGGTAGAGAGGGGGTTTCACCATGTTTGCCAGGCTGGTCTCGAACTCCTGACCTCAAGAGATCTGCCTGTCTCAGCCTCCCAAAGTACTGGGATTACAGGCATGAGCCACTGTACCTGGCCTTAAAAGAACATCTTTATTCATAAGCTCCTCATTTTACACTGTTGATAGAAACTTCAGAAGACAATGATATGCGTTGAAGTAAAAAAACAGAAGTTCCAAGAAAAGTCAGAGTTGGACCAGCTATAAATTAAAGAGAAACATTATCTTACATTCATCTTGAGAGTTTTCTTTGCAAATGAACACGTACATACACAAACAAACTTAAAGCAGCATTGCCTTTGCATTTAAAGTCACTTACTGATATGCACAGTATTAGTCATGGCAAAATATTATTAGCATTTGAAATTGATGCTCATCCCTCTTTGTTGATACTGTCTCATTTACTGGATTAACTTTATTCATATGAGATCTCCCTTTTCTTTTCATTGTCTCTGTTTCCAGCACCTTAATTGAAAGTACCCCCGGTTACATAATTATTCCTTTGACCTTATTCAGTATGTTCCCTGCACCACAAGTGTCTCTCCTCTGTTCAATTCCAACTGTCAGCTCTTTTAATAAACCCTACTCTTAAACCTCATTTCCCAGGCTCAAGTTCCATATGCCTCCTCTGGACATTTCCACGTGGAAGATCCACTCTTAATTTATATTTAACACGCACAAAACCAAGCTTACTGTGCCCCCCTTTTTGATTTTTCTACTTCTGTTTATCTGGCCATTATCTTCCCAAAAAACCAGAAAAAATCATATTTGACTTCTGCCTTGCCCTCCTTCTGCCTAGGCCTATGGATTATTTCACCTATTATCTCTTGCTGTTCTGTTCCCTCCCAATACCACCAGGTATTTTAATACTTAGATTTGTGTTTGATCTATTTCAATAACATTCTAACTTGTCTTTGTGCCACTAGCTCCTTCCCACTAAGGATGTCCTACTTATACTGTCTCATTAATTACCCTACAGTTCTGCTTTGATTGTCCACTATCTATAGCAGAGGTGAACAAAAGGACCAGAAAATAAATATTTTAGGCTTTGCGGACCCTATGGTCTCTGGGGCAACTATTCAACCCTACCACGGTAGTGCAAAAGAAGCCCAGATATACAAATGGACATTAGCATGTTCCAATAAAACTGTATTTGCAAAAACAAATAGGCTGAATTTCGCCCACTGGCCGTAATTTGCCGATCCCTGCCCTGTAGGATAAAGTTCACACCTTTAACATGGCATCTAAGCATCTGTCATCAGTTCTGCACCTATCTCTGCAACCCTATGTGTTATTGTGTCCTATGGATACTTCACATCCTTCGTTTTGAAGCCGAATCTAGAGCAGGGTTGCTCAACCTCAGCAGAACTGATGACTGGGCCAGAATGATGCTTTGTGGTGGGGGCTCTCCTGTGCATTGTAGGAGGTTAAGAACATCCCTGGCCACTGCCCACTAGATGACATTAATTTCCACCATGAGGTGAAAATTCAAAATGTCTCCAAGCACTGCCAGTTTTCCCTTGTAGGGGACGAGGGATTGTTTTCAGTTAAGAACTACTGCCCTAGGGAGTAAATTTTGTGAAGGGGAGAACCAGTTCTACCTCATTCACAGGTGTATCCCTAGCACCTAGCACAGTCTTGTGATATACAAAGAGGTTCAGGAATCTATTGCATAGTCCAACTCTGCTACTCACTGTGGGATCCTAGGGTTATTTAAATTCCACAAATCACAATTAAGTTCATCTGTAAGTGGAACTATTACTAATTCATACATGTTTCATAAAATTATTTAGAAGTTCAAATGATATATTTAACAAAAAGACCTCTTGAAAGACAGTAGTACTTTCAAATAAAAGGTAAACATACAATTGATAGAACACTGAAGGTGATCTGAGCCTATTGAAATCTAGAAGCTTAATTTGACTCACATACTCTGTCTACACTGTACAAATTACTATATGGGATGTTATTGGGGCATTGTCTTTGTTCTCAAGGATTATGACCTAACAGGTGTTAGAATATGATTACTCAACCATAAAACAATAGTTGCCATAACTAAGCATAAAGAGTGGTTGGAATTTATGGGAGGGAGACATTGTATCTGGTACTAGGAATCACTTAAGACCTCATGAGTGAGATGAAATAGTCACAGAGAAGTCCCAGGCACCCTACTGAGCATTGTCTTAGATGATCTCATTGAATATTCACTGCAACTTGATTAGGTTTAGGTTTTATTATCACATTTCACAAAGAGAGAGGGGCCTAGGAAGGAATTTGATATGAATGTGAAGCATGGGAGATTTCAGCAGGGAGAGAACTGCAGTGAAGTGTGGAAGGAGGGGAAGTGACAGGAGGTGTTTTCTCACCAAGGGAATAGTGTGAACAAATATGGGGATTACATGGGGTTTAGGTGAGTTTGAGTGCCTCTAGGGAAGGTAGGTTGGAATCAGATTTTGAAGGATTGCTAACATCTCTCTCTCTCTTGCTCTCGCTTGCTCGCTCGCTCGCTCTCACATCACACACACACACACACACACACACACACACACACACCAGGGATTTATATGTATAAAAGAAACATGATGATGTTATCTTTCCTAACAGCTTCACTCCACATAACAGGAAGTGACATTTTGAGTTCTTACCCCATGCTAAGCTTGCTAAGCCACAAGTATGTGCACTGAACACTTTCAATAGTTGGACTTTGAGACTCAGTTCAATTAGACCAATCTATACCATCTTTCAGCTAGCTACTGCTCTTCTACTTTTCCCAAGATAATCCTTCTGAAATAGATACACAATGCTGTTTTCATTCAAATCAGATGTGTTAATTCTACTAGTGGCACTTGTGTTCTGATGCATAGAACAGAGGCATTATTTACGTGAGGACTGTGCCTTCCTTCTTACTGAATTGCAAAAGTATACAATTCTTAGAACACATCTAGCAGTTCTGAGGGGCTGGACACAGAAAACCATCTTACTCTGAAGGTAATTTTCTCTATTTTATCACTAGCTCACCAAGGTGAGAGTCAGGAGTGAAATATCCTATTTTCTTTTCATCCATTCAAAAAATAGTTTGAGTGTTTCCTGTGTACCTATTGTTCTTCTGGAGATAGAGAACTGAATGAAATAGACAGTCTTCCATACATTGGGGCATACTTTTTTTTTTTTTTTTTTTTTTTGAGACAGGGTCTTACTCTTTTGTCCAGGCCGCCTAGAGTAAAGTGGCATGATCACTGCTCACCTAAGCCTTGACCTCTTGGGCTCTGGGTTCAAGAGGCCTCCCACCTCAACCTCTCAGGTAGCTGGGACTACAGGCACATGCTACCAGGCCTAGATAACTTTTTATTTTTTGTAGGGATGGGGGTCTCACTATGTTGCCCAGGCTGGTCTCAAACTTCTGGGCTCAAGCCATTCTCCAGCCTCGGCCTTCCAAAGTGCTGGGATTATAGGCATGAGCCACTGCATCAGGCTAAAGAGCACATATTCTAATAAAGGAGAAGACAACACACAAATAAATATTCCAGTGGGTCAGAGAAAGACAAGTACAGTATAGAAGAATAAGTCAGGGTAAGGAGTTACAGAGTTGTATGTAAGACATTTCAGCAGAGATCTGAAAGAGATGACTGAACGAGCTATATGATTATCCAGCAGAAGTACATTTCATTGTGATTTCAAGTACGCCAAATGTGGTTGGCGTATTTGAGGGAGGGGGGAAGTTATAGAAAATGAGGTAGGAGCCACAGAAAGGCATCAGATCACATAGTGCTTTGAGCCTGTAGTAAAGACTTGGGTCATTCCTTGGTGATGACTGTGATGTATTGAAGCAAAAAGTGTTAGTAGTAGGAATGTCTGTGTTAGGAAGGGACACAGTCTATCATAAGTTTTGGAAGAATCATCCCGGCTCCTGTGTAGAAAGTAAAGATGTGGGGAAAATGGAAGCAGAGACCAGTTAAACTATTGAAGTAACCCAGGTAACATGTATTGGCAGTGTGGACTAGAGAAATAGAGGTAAAAGTAGTTAAAAAAAAAAAAAAAAAAAAGGTCATAATTCTGTCTACCATTTGAAGACACAGCCAACAGAATTTGTGGATGCATTGGATGTGAAGAGTGAGAAAGAAGAATCAAGAATAACTCTTAAGTTTGTGGACTTAGCAACAGGTAGAATGTAGTTGTCATTTGTCAAGCTGAGGAAGATTGTGGAAGGAGCATTTTTAGGGGAGGTGGATCAGGAGTTTAGTTTTAAAAAATTTATTTTGGGGATGCCTCTTAGATTTCTGCATGGAGGTTTCACTTAGATAACTGAATGTATGAGTCTGAAGTTTGGAGCACAGATTAGCACTTGAGATGAACACTTGAGAGTTATTAAAATGTAGGTGGTATTAAAAGTGATAAGTCTGAATGAATCACCCAGGGAGCAAGTATATATAGAGAAAAGACCTGAGACAGTTGGGGCACTTTAAAATCTAGAAATCAGGAAAATGAGGAAAACTCAGCAGAGAGGCCAGTGAGGTTGAAGAAAAATTGAGAGTGATATCTGGAGGCCAAATGAACAAACTGTTTCAGGAGAAATAAGTGGCTGGGCATGGTGGCTCACGGCTGTAATCCCAGCACTTTGGGCGGATCCCCTGAGGTCAGGAGTTTGAGACCAGCCTGGCCAACATGGCAAAACCTCATCTCAAATAAAATTACAAAAATCAGCCAGGCGTGGTGGCAGGCACCTGTGATCCCAGCTACTGGGGAGTCTGAGGCAGGAGAATCATCACTTGAACCCAGGAGGCAGAGGTTGCAATGAACTGAGATCATGCCACTGCACTCCAGCCTGGGTGACAGAGCAAGACTCTGTCTCAAAAACAAAGAAACAACAACAACAGAAAAGTGATAAACTGTGGCAGATGCTGCTCATAGGTCAACTAAAATAAGAACTGAGAATTGATCATTGCATTGGCAACATGCAGCCAATTGGTGGCATACAACACAAGTCGATCAGTAGAGTAGTGATGATACAGGACTGACTAGAGTGGAATATAACAAATTTCCCCAATGCTTAAACCAACAAGCATTTATTATTGCATACAGTTTCTGAGAAATCAGGGAGCAGCTTAGCTGGCTGGTTCTGACTAAAGTTCCTAGAAGAAATTGCACTCAAGTTGTCAGTGAAGGCTATAGTCATCTGAAGCTGTATCTGGGACTGGAAGATCAGTTTTCTAAGATGGTGCTGTCCGCAGGCAGCCTTGCTTTACACTGGCTGTTGGCAGAAGACTTCAGTTCCTCACTGTTTGTGCTTCTCCAAAGGGCTGGGTGTTCTTTTTTTTGTTGTTGTTTTAATACTTTAAGTTCTAGGGAACATGTGCACAGCGTGCAGGTTTGTTACATATGTATACATGTGCCATGTTGGTGTGCTGCACCCATTATTAACTCGTCATTTACATTAGGTATATCTCCTAATGCTATCCCTCTCCCCTCCCCCCACCCCACAATAGGCCCCGGTGTGTGATGTCCCCCTTCCTGTGTCCAAGTGTTCTCATTGTTCAATTCCCACCTACAAGTGAGAACATGTGATATTTGGTTTTTTGTCCTTGCGATAGTTTGCTGAGAATGATGGTTTCCAGCTTCATCCATGTCCCTACAAAGCACGTGAACTCATCCTTTTTTATGGCTGCATAGTATTTCATGGTGTATATGTGCCACATTTTCTTAATCCAGTCTATCATTGTTGGACATTTGGGTTGGTTCCAAGTCTTTGCTATTGTGAATAGTGCTGCAATAAACATACATGTGCATGTGTCTTTATAGCAGCATGATTTATAATCCTTTGGGTATGTACCCAGTAATGGGATGGCTGGGTGTTCCTACCTCAGGCACAGGAGTCAGTGATTCAAGAGAGTGCAAAGTAGAAGCCACAACGACTTTTATGACCCAGACTTGGCAGCAACACACTATTACTCTGCCATATTCTTCTGCTCACATGTGCCAACCCTGGTACAGTGTGAGAGAGGACTACTCAAAGTTGTGAGTATCTGGAGGTGAAGGCCTCCTTATAAAAGGACTAAGTCAAGTGGATTCAAGAGATGATGGGAAAAGAAGTGGTGGCAATTGTTAACTCTTGGAGTTTTGTTGTAAAGTCAGTTGGAGGGGATAGGAAGAAAAATGAGATATGGGCAAAGGGTGTGTTGTCAATTGTATTATGTTTGTGTGGTTTTGAGAAAGAAGCAGCAGAAAGGGGACATTTGATCATGAGAAACTGGGGACAATTGCAGGAGCAATATTCTTGAGGAGGCTTTGGGGGAATAGGGGTAAGGAGAAGTTCAGATAGTGCACAAGCCAAGGAGTTGCCCTTAATGGGAGTGCTGATTGTTCAGTCCTCACAATAAATGAGAAAGAAGAGTAGGACAGTCTGAGAGTATAGGAGGTCAGTATCTTGATAGATCTGGTTTCAGAGTGTATGAAAAGTGTCTCTTAATTCCTTCTATTTTGTGATAAAATAATAAGCTCATCAATGTAAAGACAGAGAACAGATGTTGGAGGTTTGAGGAGAGAGAAGGTGAGAAATGATCCATCATCTCTGGGAGGAGAGAGTGCTTTGTCTAGAGAAATGTGAAATTCCCAGACGGCACTAAGGAGCCACCTCAGGCCAGTAGTTACAAATTCAAAGTCATCATGGTTGTGTTTTTCCTCAACTATCATTGACTGCTTAGGCCACAACAAGCACGGTTTGAAAAAGGTTGGTTTAACAGAGATGAGATATTTCAGTGAAGTCTGAGTTTTAAAAGGATATGCAAAGAAGTGATTATGCTGCCATATTTACTCTAAGCTCACTAAGGAAAAGGGGACATAAGTTTGGTGAGGGTCAGAACAACTTCTAAGGTCAATGCACTGGAGGACTCATTGGGTTTGGAAGATTTTTGGAGTCAGAATACTGGAGGGGATGAGCTAGAAAGAGAGAAGGTAGGGAGAGACGCTTAACAGTGGTTATGGGGCACCGTTATCTGTCATGGCAAGGCCTTGCTTATGGTAAGGAAAGGAGGTTTCAGGTAAGATTATCTGAAGGGAGATCCAGAAACTGGGAGACCGTGGGAGGAAAAGATAATTATGAGTTATGTAAGAGTTTGCGCTGGAGAGAGACAGGGCTAAAATGTTTAAAGACTGAGAGGAGAGACCTTTAGGTCAGTAGAAAACTGGATTAGGAGGGGAGCAGATTAATGATGTGAGTTACAAAGACATTTTAGGGCAAGGAAGAGATCATGGTCTGGAAGCAGCAGAGAAGAATGAGAAAGACTCCTACTTCACTAGGGGCAGAGGTACAAACATGTGGAAGGAAAAATAGCCACTGCATCAGAGGGCTGAAGTAAATCCGTATTCTCGGTGGGCAGCCAGTAGTGTCAGAGCAAGATGGTGCAGGAAAGTCAGAGAACATGCTGAAGATACAGGAGCATAAGGAGATTTTGCTGATGACAGACTGAACGCTAGGAGTCACGCTGGCGAGTTTGCAGGAATTGGGGAAGGCTGGGGATTTCAAAGTAGGGGATTTACAGAGCCATCTGGTGATGAGCAATGACCTGGCAGTCTTGGACTTTGTGTGGTGACGGTTGTGTATTCAAGACAAGGACCTTGGTTTTAAGACCATGTAGTCAGACAAGCACAAACTCCTCTGCTGGGATGGCCGGTTTCTTTGGTCTATTTAATTAGTTCCAGAAACAGTAATTCATCCTCACTGCATTTATAGAAATTGAGGGGAGAGGTGGTGGGTACCAGACTGGCCAGGTCTGCCCAGTCATCTTCACTTCAACATTCCTGTCTGGTAAAGTCATATTATTCTCACATCTTGGCCGTGTGTGTATGCTCCAAGAATGAGACAGATGACAGAAGATACAGAAAAACAATTGGGAAATTGCTAGTTTGCAGATGTATAGCCCTGGCACAGATTTTCTAATATGAAATTGCCATTTTTTCCATGATTTGGACACAAAATCCTGTTCTTGAATATGATGTTCAGCCTAGATATTGAAGAACTGAAAAATATTTTTGAAAAAATATATATATTGCATTTGTCACAACAGTTTATACACATAATTATCACAATGATATTGCTTTTCTTAAATAAATAGGTTTTATGTGTTGGCATGAAATACTTTTACAAGATGATGCCAGGTTTTAACATTTATACAGGAATATTTTCATTATCATAATTGTTAATAAAACAAATATGAAATGTATAGCTTTCTCTTTGGAGTTTGAATTGTTGGTTCTTACTGCCTGCTTGCATATTTATATTAGTTGTACTGGCTGGCAGTTATTAGGAAATACGATCTTCTGTGTCTTAGGAGTGCGCCCTGCAAGCAACATGTGCAAACATTTTTTTCTTTCTTTCTTTTTTTTTGCCCTAAGGAAAAGGGTAAGCTCTGGCACCTTTTAACCTGTAAGGATTATGTGGCTCTTGCTGTGATTGATTGGTTGGCTTCTCCTCAAGAAATGCTCCTGGTGCGTATTTTATGTTCTCACAGAGCCAGGGCTTTGCTGATCAGCACGTCACCCCTGTCAAGACGTGGGCTTGCTTTTGTGCATTTGCTCTTGCAGCCTGGGAAGCATATTTCAACACACTGTCCAGAATTGGCTAGAACATGCCTGTCACTCCCAGCTGACTCTGATGACGCTCTTGCCAACGTAGATTTACATCAACACAGTTCTTTACTGGAAAAAGCTCATTCAGAATATACAGGGTGGCCCATTTAAAAGAGGCATAGCGTCAATTTGAAGAGAAATATATTTTAAAGGGAGAACTCTAAGAAATACACAGTCAATTGAAGGCTCCATGGAGCATAGAATTATAACTAGCATCACCCGAGAATTTTTCCCCTGGAGATTGTCCTAAGCTCTAACTTCTAGAGACTGGCTTATCCTGAAAAGAGAACCTTTCTGTTCTAGACTTTTTCTTTCAGCATGCTAGATATGTAGGCATTTTTAGCCTCTTCTTTCCCTAACCATATAATCTGAACACCATATTCATTGAAGAAAGCATGAGATGTGAAAGCTGATAAGATGCAGGATTATGTGACACCATTGCTTTTTACCTGTGCAAAATTCAGTTTGGTAATCAATGGAAATACAGATTTTACCCTTCACATAAAATTGTTTGGCATATGTCCATCTTGTTTTTTGACTCATCCTTGATATCACAATGAATGTTTGGGATAGGCATATTACTCAGATGTGTGGGTCTATAGACAGGAAATCAGGCATTCAGAAATAAAGCTTGTTACCATAGCTATCCAGGAAAAAAATACAACACTGTCTTTGCTGTACAAAAGAAAAATTCAATACTACTGTCACATGATATGTGATTACTATTATTATGACCCAATGCTACTCACCCTTCATTTTCATCATTCTAGTCTATTTCAGGTCATTACAGTAATGGATACAACTGAATGGGTTTGTAATTTTACCCCTTCTCTCATGACAACCAGCAGGATTCTCAATGACACATGCTTTGATCTGTCTGCTTTTAAATCTCTTAAGCAGGGTGGCTCTAGATAGCTTCCTCTCAGAAGATTTTATGATTCTAATAGACCTCATGATGAGTTCTATATTTGTGCTTGTTTAGATACATCAAAGTCAGGCTTTATACTAGGGCCACCTGGAAAGTTAAGGTCATCAGCTTTTTGTTATAGTCATTGGATTACTGTGATGCTCAGCAATAACAAAGTTTGACCTTGTAAAGTGATCAAAAGTTGTGGGTTACAATATAGGAATATTAAAGTATATTCTGCCATGATGTGTCTTCTGTTGTAGTTTGTCTAGAATTAATATTACAGTCACAATTAACTCCAAAGTGTTCTATACTGCTTGCATACAGTACAGTGGGAAAGAAGAGATGTCAAAATCAGAGAAATAAGATTCCTCCATTATGAATTAACATACAAAATCTACACTTAATGCATCAGAACTAAGATGCAATGTTTTAAAGAGATTGAGTTGACAGGTCAATCAGATGGTAGGACTGGTAAGAATTTGAGCAGGCATAAACAATTGGCAGTATGTATTCAAACACTGTTTATGAGAGTGAGGAACTATTGGTTAACAAGCTGACATTAAGCATTTAGATTATATAAATCACCTTATTAACTGCATTCTATCTATGGATCTATTATCGATCTGTATCTATCTATCGATCTGTCTGTCATCTTTTGTTTTGTCTGGTTCCATGCTTCCAAAGACATTTTCTGATCTTCATTGTTACATAGTACTCTCTACTGAGTCCTAAAGAACACAGTTCTGTGTCAGGCTGATTGAAGTGTAATGATTTGAGTGATGATTGTAGTGCTCAATGAAAGGAAATAAAGAATATTTGGACTCTGTTCAGCAGTCATATGGGCTTGTACAATATGAGTCTGCTTTTGAGAGAAGAAACTTGCACAAATGTCTCTTTAAGAGCCTGCTTTTAATTCTTTTGGGATATATATCTAAGTGTGTCTTAAGATAGTTCTATTTTTAATATATTTTTTCATACTGTTTTCCATAGTGGTTGCACCATTTTACAATCCTATCAACAGTGCACGAGGGTTCAATTTCTCCATATTCTTGTCAACACTTACGTGTGTGTGTGTGTTTACAGTAGCTATCCTAATGGGCATGAAATTATATCTTATTGAGGTTTTGATTTGTATCTCTCTATTAGTAATGTTGAGCAGCTTTTCATGTACTTGTTGGCCATCTGTATATCATCTTTGAAGAAATGTCTGTTCAAGTTATGTACTCATTTTTTGGTGGAGTTATTTAATCTTTTGTTTCTAAAATGTTTTGAATAGATCAAGGTTTAACAGTCATTCCTCTGTGTGCTTTTATGTCATGTTTAGAAATGTGACTCCATTTTAAGCTTCTTAAATCTTTTTTTACTTTACCATTTTTTGGGGGCTCTCTTTTTTTATATTTAACTTTTGTCTATCTGTAATGTGTTTTGATTATGAAGAATAAGGAAAAAATTTAGGGTTTGTTTAGCTTCCCAAACCCCACTTTATAGAATAATCACTGATCATGTACTAACTTATAATACTTGATCATTTTAAGTAGGCTTTGTTATTGAGTTCCACATTTGGCACACCTACTGGTGTAATGATTGCTCTAGTATTAGTGCAATAGTATCGTGTTAGATTTTGTTTGCAGTGTGCTAAGTGGTAAACCTCAGCTATTAATCTACCTTGACTAAATATGTAATTGTTCCCTTTATTAAGCCCTATTTTCTTTCAAAATAAATATTAACTATGTTTCCCACTCATTCTTTTTTGGGGGAAGAGTAAATATAAAGAAATGTTTCCAGCAATGTGGGAGGCCAATGTGAAAGAATACTTCTATATTATAGAATGACTATTTTTGCAAATGCAAAATGATAACAGAATTCCCAGATAAGGAATAGCAATGACTGTTTCAGGGCATTACCTAAGTGTGTTTCTTGGGCTAAATTTAGAATGCCTGATTACTGCACACCTGGTATGAAAATAGAAAACCCTTGTGCCTACATCACATAATGCTTACCACATTGAGGTACAGATAAAAGAAGTTCTAGAATTAGGGTTGTTCAAAGCCTGGTTTACTATATTTTGGATATAAAATGGAGTAAATCTCATAATCCTTCTGAACATTGGTTTTCTCACTTGCTAAATAGGAATAAATAACATGCATGAATAGTATAGAATGGTTGTCCATGTGTCTAAACATGATAATTTGTGGGGTATGTACTTTATAAATGATTATATGCAAAAAGGATGGCCAGACGCAGTGGCTCACGCCTGTAATCCCAGCACTTTGGGAGGCCAAGGCAGGTGGATCACCTGAGGTCAGGAGTTTGAGACCAGCCTGACCAACATGGTGAAACCCCGTCTCTACTAAAAGTATAAAAATTCACCAAATATGGTAGTGCATGCCTGTAATCCCAGCTACTCAGGAGGCTGAGGCAGGAAAATTGCTTGAACCTGGGAGGTGGAGGTTGCAGTGAGCCGAGACTGCGCCATTGCACTCCAGCCTGGGCGACAAGAGCAAAACTCCATCCACACCCTACCCTCCCCCCAAAAGAAGATGATGATGATGATGATGATGATAATTGATATCAGTAACAACAACAGTAATACTGGTGATAGAAGATCCTTCTGGTGCAAACCATTCTCAACAATATGTTTGCTCCAGAGAAGGTAGGGCCAGACTCCTAATCCCAATGTTGTTTAAAAGCCCATTCAGATTATGAATTCATTTGAAGCATTTTAGGACCCGAGAGACTACTAGAAGTTTACCGTTAAACTTAGATGACATACAGTTAGAAAAATTTTCCATAGTCAGCTTTTTCTTCTCCTGTTATCTTCTGTATTTTACTAAGAGAATGTTTAGTTTTAACTACTAGAAAAACGTAATTTCAGGTTGATTAAAAGAGAAGAACCTAGATATGTAAATAAAGATGAATCTTTTAGACATGTAGTCAGTAGCTTTCATGTTACTAATGAAAAGTTCTTCATATCCTATGATTTGAAAGAGGAAAATCAAGTTTTGTGGAAGAAAATACGTGAAATTTTAAATAAATATACGGCAACTTTATATAGCCAGAGTTAATTCTTCTTTTTCAGTAAATTGTATTACCCTGAAACACCAAAATGTCAATAGTACAATTATGGTCATATTGAGAGCACTTGTTATTAGACACACCCTTTAGATTTTTTTCTTTTGAATAGAAACTGCAAGAATTTTTAAAAACTGGGCTTATTGACTGGACGAAGGGTTTTAAAAAGAACAGAAAGACAAGGCAGGGCAAATCCTGGTGTATTTCACCTGCGTAGTGACATATAGGAAGAAGGGACCTTTCAGAGATCATCTTGAGTTTTGACTAGATGATAAAACTGAGGTTCAGGATGGCACAGAAAAGTGTCCAAGGTCACACATTTAGGAAAATGTGGGACATAGACACAAATTGTTTGATGTAGTTCAGTAGTCTTTTTAGTCTGACCCAGAGCCTTTGGGGATGGGGACGGAAGGAGATTGGGAAGAGCTTGTCATTGATTCAGTATCTCTGCTCAGTGCCCTCTTGAGGTTTTTGTTTGTTTGTTTTGTTTTTGTCTTTCTGGTATTTTTCTGTTGTTTTGATCCTGGATTTGGAGTACAAAGAGACTAAACCATTTTCCATATTGCATACCTGACTTTGACTTACACTAGGTGCATTGAATGCAAGAAGCAGTTATGTAGAAATGAATTAATAGATAAATTTACTGTAAATCTAGACCTTTATTGTTGTTCCTCCTATGCTACTAGTTAGCTGAGTGATCACAGGCAAATTACTTAAATCCTCATAGGCTCAGTTTCCTCTAATTTAAAAGGAGAGTGTTGGGTAGTTGATCTCTAAAGTCCTCTTCAGTGCAAAGTGCTGTGCTTGCCCCTCTTTACCTGAATAATTCCTAAGATTGCTGAAGCATCATTATCTCCTTGTTCTTAGCTACTGATTGTATATTTAATTCCACAATTGGGTTTATCTCTATTTTCATTCATGCATCTTTGTATCATTAATTCCGAAGTCTCATATAAAATCTTTAATTCAAAAAATTGAGTGATGGTACAAGAAAAGCAAACTGCCTATGAATTCCACGTGATTGTGCCCCTATTTACAAGGTATAAATGTGTTAAGAACTTAAAAGTTTTTGAGTATTGATTATTGTTGCCAAGTCGTCAAGACAATGCTTATAAAGTAATCCATTATCCTTTTCCACACTCTTTTCCCTTTTAGAACAAAAATACCAGCAAGAAAAAAAAGGATGACTGTTCCAGGTCATCAAGAAAGTAGACTACTTGGTCATTATCAAAAATATTTTGAACATGTGGGCACTTTATAAAACAAAGAATAAACAATAGAAAATTATGTACTTAGAAAGTCCAGACTGTTAATAATTTTCTGCACTTAACACAGTAAGTGGGCCCACAGACATTAAGGTACTAAATGATTTATAGATGAATTTATTATTCAGTTTCAGGACACCAGCAGCAATAAAGTATTTTCTACTTTTATAAATAACTCATATGGAACTTTTATCTAGTGATACACTAACTCTTGTGTTAGAATGTGTAAAGAAAATATTTTATAATGCAATTGTACAGTGTTGGAGTGATTAGGATTCAAACCTTCAACTTCCAATGAGAATTTTAATACTTAGTCTTTAAAAATAGTAAACTGAGATTTATATTTATGTTATTTCATACCATCCTATATTCCATAATCTTCTATAACATGATTTTATATTCCTACCTTTTATTCAACCATTCTCTTCATATTGGACATTGGCTGTTTTTAATTGTTTTAAGATAAGCATACTTGAAGGTCAATCCTGGATTGGTGCATTAAGATGCATTCTCAGAAATATGATGTATAGAGTTAAAGAACATTTTAAAGGTGACATCGTGTTCTGCTTTTCAGAGACTGTTAGCAGTGTGCTTGTAGCGTATTACACTGCTGTATCGCTGTATCACTGCACCATCTCAAATATTGAGTTTTTTTATAGTTAAGTATTTATAAAATTAATATGTTGGATAAAATCTAATTTATCTCAATTGATTAACATTGAGGCTGCAAATATTTTTATAGTGTAAAAGAATTTTCTATTGTGAATTGTACATTAGTGTCTTATTGAGACATTAACATTTCCTGTCTTTGTTGTTGTTGCTGTTGTTGTTGTTGTTTTGACACAGAGTCTCATTCTGTCACCCAGGGTGAAGTGCAGTGGCACAATCTTGGCTCATTGCAACCTCTGCCTTTTGGGTTCAAGCGATCCTCTCATCTCAGCCTCCCGAATAGCTGGGACTACAGGTGTGCACCACCACACCCAGCTAATTTTTGTATTTTTAGTAAAAATGGGGTTTCACCATATTGCGTAGGTCAGTCTCGAACTCCTCACTTCAAGAGATCTACCTGTCTTGGCCTCCCAAAGTGCTGGGATTACAGGTGTGAGCCACTGCACCCAGCCCTTTCTCCCTCACACTTTTGGAAAAAATATTTTTCTCAGTTTGTTGCTTGCCATCTAATTTATTACATTGCTTTTTAATATACAACTATAGACAAAAGAATCACTTTTCTTTTGGAAAATTTGATCTATGACTTTCATTCATATAAAAGCTTTCCTCACCCTCAGGTCAATGTTCACCTTTATTTTTTTCTAGTTTTTTTTAAACTTTGTTTTTAATCACTGTGAAAATAATTGAAAGATGATATTTAGATAAAAATTTGTGTAAAGCTCTACTATTTTGATACAGATTGAAAAGGATAAAAAGAAATGAGTAAGAAGTATGCGTAGTGTTTAGAATGAACATGAATGATAAACTAATAGGTATTATTTTACAAATTATAGAATATTAAAGATAAATATACTCTAGAGTATAGAAATATATTTTATATTATTATGTTAAAATATTAAATATTTCAGGCATGTAAAAATAGATGATAGTGTAGCCATTTATGCATCAAAGAGTTCAAACCATACAACACTAAAGGTAAAACTGGGGCCCCTAGTGTACCCTTCCCCAATTCTATCACCTTTCCTTCCCACCCAGAGGTAACTACTATTATGTGTTTACTTTTCTTGAGTATGTTCTTGAATAGGTGTGTATTCAAAAGAGACAGTTCCTTTTTGCACTTTGGAAAACAAATAATTCTGCCTTCCCCCCCATGATTGCATTTTATATGTTTTACTAAGATATTTATTATAATAAATATTACACCACTTTTCTCTGTCCTATTCATGGGGAAAGGAACTCTTTTTGTTCAAAATTTGTCATTCTTATATTGTACTGCCCCATATTCTGCAAATCTGACAACAGAATACATTGTATGACAAATGTGATGTTTGGTACAAATATGTCAGCTTATGTATGCTGTTGCATGTGTTGCTCAGCATTGCGTGTATTACTGAGCATTGCATGTATCACTTAGCCTGTCTATAAAAAATTGAGACATTTATTTAAATAATAATTGTCCCACAATCTATTCATGTTTATGCATGTGGATATTTGAAGCAAAATATGCCATAGAAACAGTATCTCTTGCTCACTGAATTTTAAAGTATTTTAACATCAGTAGCAAGTGCATAATAAATCTTTAATGTATAATACGAACTGATAGAAAAATAGGGCTCTGCATATTTTTTCTTGAAAAACAAATGTGTTTTGAGAAATATAGCTTTGTCTAATGCTGCCTTTGTAAAACCGGGAAGTCAAAAGACAAATAATATTTTGATTCTATATGTTATGTTGATTATATATAGTATGTATGTGAATGTGCATAACTATATGGATTCATATATGCACATATATACACATTCATTTATACTCATGAAAATGGTAAAAATCCAGCTAATGATTTAAACATTGGGTCAATAGCAATATATAAAAATAATATTAAACATTCAGATCTTTGCAAAATCTAA
The DNA here is from genome assembly GCF_000001405.40 of Homo sapiens. NCBI lineage: Eukaryota > Metazoa > Chordata > Mammalia > Primates > Hominidae > Homo > Homo sapiens. The sequence goes on along the minus strand of NC_000005.10, from coordinate 59,737,682 downwards.
ATGGGCTTGTTTTTAATTTTCATGTGGACATTTGAAATTTTATAGATAAGACTAACAATATGTTTTACTGTACTGTGAGAATTTAAGATTAATGAAATATTATGTTATTAATTTCTTACATTTGTAAAGTTGTTTTTCACAATACCGTGGCCTATTAGATTGCTAAGAAATTATGTATGTCAACTCTTTCTTTATACAAATATTGAAAATGATAGTAAGATTAAGGAACTTGCCCAGGTCACAATTTTTTTCTTTCAAATTTCATGGCTGATTTCTAGGCAAAAATTTCAGGGGCCTGTCCAATACGCATGAATTACCCTACTATAAACAAAGCTAGGGAATTTAATACATACCGAAAGGCATTTTGTAATATATCAGAAACTATACAAAACCAAGAATAGTCATAAAATAACATTTTAACATTTTTAAAAAAAGATTATTCCAAATGCCCTCACTTCCAGGAATGCGACTTTAAAAGCCTAGGCTTTATGTTATGTCATCAAAGTCATTGTACTCAATTAGACAATAGTGCTATAATTAATTAAATGTTATTATGTAAATGCAGAATTACCAAAGAGAATTTCAAAGAGTATAACAGTATTAAGTCGTTTCCTTAGTAATTTCTCATTGCTGTGAAAAACATCTGTAACCTAATACATTTATATTCATTTTTCATATTATATTATGCACATATTATTTTTAAATATTTGTTAACAGGTAATTTTCTGATTACCAAAGTAATACTTTTGTATTAAATGTTTGAAGACTGCCTCCAAAAATTGCAAAGAAGAAAATTTTAAAACCGTTATAATCCTACCTTTGAAATAATTATTCTTCAAATGTTAGATATTTGGAATGTTTCCAGGTGTTTACTGGTATAGTTAATGCTGCTGTGAACATCTTTATTGCACATACCTTTTAACCTCTGTGGAACTGATTGCTTCTTTCATGATTTCTCCTATATTTTGTCAATCATTTCCTTTTTTTCTTTTTCTTTTTTTTTTGAGACAAAATCTCACTTTATCACCCAGGCTGGAGTGCAGTGGCATGATCTCGGCTCACTGCAACCTCTGCCTCCCGGGTTCAAGCAATTCTCGTGCCTCAGCCTTCCGAGTACCTAGGATTACAGGTGTGCACCACCATGCCCGGCTAGTTTTTGAATTTTTAGTAGAGACAGTGTTTCGCCATGTTGGTCAGGCTGGTCTCAAACTCCTGACCTCAGGTGATCCACCCGCCTCAGCCTCCCAAAGTGCTGGGATTATAAGAGTGTGCCACTGCACCCGGCCAATTGTAAGAATTATTTTCAAAGGAATTTATATCAAGTTACAGTGCCCCAGAATATTCTGTTATTTTAGCTGTATTGAATATCATAATTTTCTTAACATGTTTTGTCTTTAGATGGTATAAAATACTATCTCAATATTATTTTCCATTTGTTTGTTTACCCTTTATATTTCCATTTGCTTGAACTCTCTGCTGGAATCTTTCAATATCTACCTGATGAATCAATGTTTATCTGTTGGTTTGTTTTCTTTTTTTTTAATTAATTAATTTATTATTATTATACTTTAAGTTTTAGGGTACATGTGCACAATGTTATACATGTATTTTATTTCTTTTTGTCACATAAATTTGACTCTTTATTTTAAGCAACTATTTCTAGTCTTTTGTTTTTTGTTTTTTAAATTTTTATTGTAAAGAAGTTTTGTTTTGGCCAGGCATGGGGTGGCTCACACCTGTAATCCTAGAACTTTGGGAGGCCGAGGCAGATGGATCATTTGAGACGAGGAGTTCAAGATCAGCCTGACCAACATGGTGAAATCCCGTCTGTACTAAAAATATTTAAAAATTATCTGGGTGTGGTGGTACATGCCTGTAATCTCAGTTACTCAGGAGGCTGAGGCAGGAGAATCACTTGAACCAGGGAGGTGGAGGTTTCAGTGAGCTGAGATCGGGCCACTGCACTCCAGCCTGGGCCATGAAGCGAGATTCTGTCTCGAAAAAAAAAAGTTTTGTTTCTGTGATAGATATTTTGCTTAGCATGCTTGCTTTTTATATTTAGAAAAACTAAATCTATTCCATCTAAAATATATTTTGGTGAATAACGCAAGATATGTAATCTCAGTGTTATTTATAAAATGTACCATTCTCACTTTCTTATTTTGTAAAGCTTGTTTAATTTCAGAGTTTGATATATTGAAGAGTCCTATTCCACTGACTTAAAAAATTGAGGCAGAAGGATCCCCCTCAAGTGTCACATCTTAGAATTTGTTTGATGGTACTTCAAGGCAGTTGGTGAATAATTTAGAACTCAAACTTTGGGCTGCAGATTGCCTGAATACAATTAATAGAAAACAAAATATTTCCTCAAATTACATTCTTTGACATTAGTAATCATTCCTTTATATACATCTCAAGTCTAAACTCCCAATCTGTTTATATGCAGAGATTCACAGCTTTAAGATTTATGTTTCATAACTGCAATATCACTCTATGATACATTAATGGGATTCTGTACTCAACTATTCCATTGGCATTCAAGTGAATAATTTTTATACAAAACTTCTTCAGGAGACAGGCCCAACTGAAGTGTATCACTTTAAAACAAATATCCTATGGGCAATAGATAAATCTGATATTTTTCTGAGTAGAAGAAACATAAAACCTCAATATAGGATTAATAGGGTTCAAGGGGTTTTATAAGCACAGTGCTTGTGAAAGTATGTAATTCCTATTAAGGCTTGCATTCATGAGCACATCATGGTATATGCTCTCTCTGGGAATATGTAAAGCCAGTTTAAAATTCAATTACAGACATTGCAGTCTAGACCTCCGCAAGCCTTTGCACGTGACTGGACTCACTCAGGTTAATCTCTGAACCAGTTGTAGAGAGCTTTTTTCATCTCTCCCTCACACATTTCCAAACTCTTTTCTTTCTGTGTTTTTTAACTGTGACTTTTCTTTACAAAAGGAAAAGAGAATTTTTTTTAAGTCCATGACATATCCAATGAAATCGAAATGATTTAATACATGGAGTTATCTTAATATCTTTTGCTTCTTGACAGTTCTCTCATATCTATCTAGAAAATATCTGGCCAAAAAAACCCACTTTACTTTGTTTATGAGATATTAGATTATTTTGTACATTTTCACATTCCAGGGCTACAAGGAGACCACAGTAGACAAAATCAAACCGTCTTCCTTTTCTTTATAGGCTTGTCTCAGCAATGCAGCACTGTAATGTCTCTTACTTGAAGGAACTTCATTCTATTGTAAATTCTTAGGACAAATAGAATAAGGAGATAGAAGAGTTGTGTGAGTTATAACTTATATGTAATTTTCTGTATATATTTGGAAAGTTCAACATCAGATATTGAGTCTATTTCAGTCTGTTGCTGTGAATAGAATACACTATTTTATCCTATTGGTTCTTTTCTTAAACTGTCAACCATGGTTTGAGCATAGTTTAAGAAAAAAAAAATGAATGCTTTAAATAAAACCAGTACCTGGGTTGGAGGTGGCAAATATATACAAACCTGTGTATGTGTGTTTGGGTGTGCGTGTAATCTGAGGATTATAGCCCTGTATCTGTTTCAGGGAGAATTTTTTTTACATCAGACCATGAAATTGAAAGGTGATTCTGATAATCTATTTCATTAAATAGAAGTTTATGATACCATAGACTCTGGAATAAAAAATTCCTTAAAATTCCCTATTTAGATTAATGCAGATTTAATCCTTAACCCATTGGTTCAAAACTCAAGTTTACTCTTTCAGTAATAACAAGAAGTGGTTGTCAATAATACTCTCATTAAAAATAATTATTTCAGCATTTAAAAAGTAATAAAATTGGTATTTTCTAACTTATATGCTTAATACTCATCCACAAAGGTTAAATAATTAAGAAATTAAAGACTGTGAAGAAGAAGGGAAGAAAGAGGAAGGAAAAGATGGTAATATGGATGCTATTACCATTCACAAAAACAACATTGATGATTAGGCATATGTTGACATTTCAATTTTTTGAATCTTGGTAAAATAGTCATTTTAATAACATACTTACCAGATTACTTAAAGTAACATTTCAACTCTGTTTCAGCACAGCAGATAACATTCTAATCCATGTAATCATAAGTAGAAAAAGCAGAAAGAAATAGAATCCTAACACTTTCCAAGCTTCCTTCTCTTTTGTTAGATTATAATTCATGTACATCCTTATTGGGGTATGGGAGACACTGGAACTTATTATACTACATCTCATCCATTTGTTCTGTCTCCATGACTGACTTCTCAAAATAATCTAAACTCTTCAGTGAGCCCTTTAAAGTCATGGTTTTATCCTATATCTGTCCAGGATTTTATCTCACGTTTTGCATGTATCCCAGCTCAAAAGGATTACTTTTCTGAACTTTCATTGCCCTTGGATTTTGACCTTCCATATACTTGAAATTCTCTCTTTTTAATATCACCACCAATAAAAATCCATCCCTCAAGACCTCACCCAATTATTATTTCAAACTCTAAATGCTGATCAACTATGTGGAGCTGACCTTTTCATCCTGTAAATAAGTGTTATTTTCTCCTTAAGGGATTTGCCACATGAAAACTTTGCAAACAAGGACAGTGTCTTATTCATTTTGAATTCTCCATTGTGCAATTTCTAGCTCACTGTCATACAGAACATTACTATCATATTTAGAGGCTGAATAAATCATTAAATGGATACCATCACTGGGCCCATGGAATTGACTTACTTAACTCAAATCCATGTGAAAGTCACTTAATAAATATTAAATACCATCAATTCTCAATTATTCATGGGGTTATTATTCACAACTTACTTGTGATATGTCCTTAAAGGTCATATTTACATAATGAATGATTCTGCCTATTTCATTGGCATAAATAGGTTCATTTAAACAGATTTCATTATTTAATTAGCTCCAATTTTTCCTTTACCATCTTTTTCAGAAGGCAAGATTTTGCTTTTAGCTGTCTTGCCTAAATCTGAAAGCTCATACTGATCATTTCCATTTAATAAGGGAAGATGAAAAGGGCCGGTCAGGGGACTGGGATCCAAAAGGTCAAGAGTTTTCCATTCCTTCTTCCATCAGATCTTCATAGTGGAGTTTTGTTAATTTGTGAATTTAGTTCAATGAGCCAAAAAAAAACTTGCTGATCAAAACAAAGCCCCTTTGGTAGGGAGGAAATTCTGTCTCTTTGTTTTCTCTTCCTTTCTCTCTGTGCGTGAGTGAGTGTGTGTGTGTGTGTGTGTGTGTGTGTGTGTGAATGTCTCCTGACATTTGAAATTCACAGTGCAATTTAACAATAAAATAATAAAATATAGCTTTTTACAAAAGGTGTAAGCATAGATTAATGTACAGGTTTTCAGAGAAGGACAGGTTAGCTTGCTTCATTTTTAATCCTTAGGTAAAACAGAGGAAGAGGAAAGTGAATTTTATTGAAATTCACACTATGTACAATGAATTACAAGAGAACTATAGGAAATGGTTAGATATGATTAAATAATAATTATTTTGAAATTAAGATAAATGTCAAATGGGAATTATTTGCTTTTTCATTAGGAACTGCAATGATGTTTGCGCAGCAGTGATCTATCTAGACAGATTTTGGAAGATGTCAGCAATTTTGTTTAGTCTGTCAGCATTTGCAGTGGCAATGATTGGGATTTACTTGATGCATTCACTCTGGAAAAAACCTTTTGTGCACATTAGCATGACAACTGGTGTCCATGAAATACAAGAACAACATTCAGTTATAATGCACTTTACACCAAATTAATGAATAGTTTAGGAAGGGAAGCAAGAGCTGACTTAGATGACTTACAAATATCTGCTTTTTTGCATTTTCTAAGGTAGATAATTTGTGTATATTTACTTTAAAAAGTATTTTGTAAGCAAAGAAATGACTGAAGGAAACATTAACTCCAACAAAACCTAAATTAATGTGTGTCAATGTAATAAACTTAGGAAGAAGGCGGTTGCTTGAAATATTGTAGTCTGGCACCAGCTCCTTCAAAATGGCCATGTTTTAAAAGTATGGCAGGTGTGCTAAAAAGTCTTTATTGCAAAATCATTAGAAAGTCTTTTTTTGTCAGTTTAAAATGCATTCAGCTATAAGCAATAGAAAACTAACAATGGTTGAATCATCTAAGGGTTTGTTGGTCTTGTGGAAAAGGATATCAGGAGGTAGCAAACTAGGGCTAGTACAGTGATTCTATGATACCCTCAAATATGTGATTTCCTTTTATTCTTTCTTCTGTGCCAGCCATCCTCAGCATATGGGCCTGTCCTGTGCTTGTCATCTCACGACCATTGGCGATACTGCTCCCACGGCACTATCTCCTCATTCCAGGGTAAAGAAGAGAAATGGAAAGGAAGTAGGAAGGGATGGTGTCTGTATCAGGGAAACAAGGATTTCTTAGGAATCCTCAGCTTATATAAACCCAGCTACCTTGCCCCTCTCTGACAACCTGTTCTTTGGCAAGAACAATTTCATATACTTGCCCCTACCTTCCAGGGAAGCTGAGGAGCTTGTTTTTTTTAACTAGACATATTATTGGGTGATTAACATTAGGCTTATATAAATAAGAATGAAAGGGAGAATGGATATCGTATATACAATCAGCAGTGTCAGCCACAGTCTTATAGTTAAGTGGACACCACTAAATTTGGTGGGATTAGAAAAGCAATTAGTTGGTGAGATATAAAAAGCAATATAACATAAGGGTTTTCAAACAAAATATCAGATGATATTACCTGTATACTATTATGTTAGGGGTATAATACCATAAATATGCTAAATTCAGATTAATAAAAAGTTTTTCACTTTCTGCACAATCATGACCTCCTTTTATTAAAATAGACAAATAGTCTGGGGTTAGTCACACAAAGTCTATATGGCACATGACTACAATAATTGATCTGCAACCTCTCTGTTCTTTAAAGTGATTCTGTGATATCAAGGAGTGTTGAAATTAAACCCTGGAAGCCACAGAAGATGCCAAATGGACACATTTTGTGACTATTTATAGCTGATCCAAAAATGAAAGGGGAGAATGAGGAAACTGATTGATAGTCCCCAATTCTGTTTTGATCTGAAATAGCTTGTTAAATGAATCTCATTGTCAGAGCTAGTTTAAATAATAAATGTCTCTACTCTCCACTATTCCGTGCATATGTGAGTCTGAAAGTAAAAGTTTGTAATTAAAGTGACTGCATTTTAAAGTTTAAAAATTGATCTCAACTAATAGCTAATACTAATAAAATAAATAACTGCATTCTAATTTTTTAATTACCCTGGTTTGGAAGCAGAAACATGTTTTGTACATAGCTGTAATGTTATTTCACTTTAACCTGGTTGTCCCCAGTTTAGTATCTACGAAGCTTTGCACGTATCGGAACTCCATACCTGCTTCTCCCTTGGTTTCTCTTCTCAGTGATAAAGGATTTGACTTCTTTCTTCCCCATTCCAGCTTGCACATTCCTGAAGTTTTCCGGCTTGGAACAAATTATATTACTAGGTCTGCAGTATCATTTAGATTGAGAAGTATTGTGATAGAGCAAGGTTCACCCTAAGTATTGACTCTTAGAATCTGCTCATTCCATAGTCTGTTGAGTGCCTTTACCTGTCACTGTTGTCCTAAGCACCAGGAGTGTAGCGATGAAGGATTTCTAGTCCTAGTTATCTAAGGACTCACAATTAGGTTTCTATTCTGGGGCTATTTTGTACATTTGTGTACAAAAGACTGCATTTTTAAGGTGTCTGACTTTTGACTTGGTTTCAGAAGGCATAAGAAGTTGGTTTCATGGTTACAACCCCATGCCCAGAAAAGTTAAGAGTGGTATTTTTAATTAATTTGTAACTAGAATTAAATATAGCTAGAATTATATAGGAATACAACAAAAGATTAAGATGTATATACATCCCTCTGAATAATATAAATATTGACAGGCTGATATTGGGTTTTCTAGACTTACTTTCGTAGGTATTTTCTTAGTATGAAGATAGTTAAAATATACTAAGTGAAAAAAAAATACTCAAGTCACTGTATTAGTGGTTCCACTAGTAAAACTACAGACCTCATCTGTTTCTGGAATTTGCAATTTTAAATATTGATTTTTGGAATGTGGCGACTTACACTGCCTACTTTTAGTTTGCCAGGTGAGCTCATTTTTGAAAATATCCTATACTCTGCATTTATCCTTTGATAAAATCATGGCTATTATAAATTTTAAAAATGGTAAAGATCATGTCAGAATAATGAATCGTGCTTCTAATTTGATAAATGTAGCTTAATCACAAATATACGAAACTTTCTGTTGGTCTGGTGCAAACTTTCTCAAGGAGAAGATTTAGTGTTTCAGAACCATTGGAGTAGATGCTATATTAAACATTGAGGCTCTCTCACCTTTAACTTTATAAAGCTAAATATAGTCAACAAATGAATTGGAAAGACATATTAGTAAAATCTACCGAGTCTAGGCAGGCCTATGTGTCAGGCCAAGATGCTTCCTGGAATTATTCTGTTCAGAATGATTCCTCTTTCTTTCTCATTCTCTAAAGATAGGATGTCAACAGTTTCTTCATAAATGTAAGGTTATAAACCATGACATTTGTGAAACTATTGCAATAATCTTGGGTTGTGTAGGGATAGGATGACATTTTCAGAGGAAATTCTCTAAACACTTTCACATTAATAACATCTGGGAGCCATAATATTATAAGCATAAGAAGTGGATCTCATATAAAAACATAAAATATTTTTTTCACATTTATATGAAATAACATATGTACTTGTAACAACTGAGAGTCCCTGATCAAATTAGGAAATCTACAGCCATTTATTTTAAATCTTGCTCTACCAAAATTGGATTGAGAGACAAATTAAACACAAATCATTAGTTACATTTTATAACTATAGAGGATGTGCAGAAAACAAATATTCAAACCCAATTTTATGTACTATATTGTGCCATATAGTCACAGGAAATCTGTTTTCCTTCTAAATTATTAATAATTTAAAATCATGAATAATTGTTTATGTAAGACAGCTGGCCAGGCTATTAAGGGAGTACAGCTACACAGTAACACCAAGAGTGAGGTGTCCATCTGAGCTACCACATGGAGAAAGAGCAGCTGGCTTTGCCCCACCATATTCAGTTGAAAGCTGCTTATTACTGAGCATTTGAATAACTTGAAAGGAGAGAAAAGGAAAGAACAACGTCAGGGTAGAATGTTTACTTGTTTGAGCCTCCCAGGAGAAATGCCATACAAAGATTTGACTTGATTTTTAAATCAAACCAAAGATCTTTCAGATTACATTGGAGGGCTGAATTGAAAGTTAACATTGTATAAGTTGTATTATTTTTATGTTCTTTTGTATTATACTATGTTCCCTTTTATATTATGTTCATATTACCATGAACTTTAGAGTCGGGATAGATCAGAGCTCAAGTCTTAATGTCATCTCTTCCAAACTGTGTGACCTGGGAAAGACATTTAACGTGTCTAAGCCTCAATTTCCTCATCTATCAAATGGGGATAATATGTTTACTGACTACAAATTAAGTAAAATAAGACCTACAAAACTGGGTGCTACTGTATGATAACACAACAGTTACTACAGATGCTATTATTATTAGGTCACGTGTGTGAAGAGAAAGTAAAAAGAAGACAAGATGCAAAGATAAAGAAGGCAAAATGCAAAGATCCTATTTCAATGAAGCCAATAGTAGTCTTTCAAGTTGCTGTTCCTTCTTATTTCTCTTCCTTCCAATAATAATAATTCCTATTGTCTACCAAGTATTGAGAGCCTGTCATAGGTCAGACACATGGCATGCATTGAGAGAAAGAGAATTCAAATTATTCTCTTGAACTTTTGAGCAACTCTATCAATGGGTCTTATTTGGTTCCATGTTACTGCTGAGTAAAAGAACATGCTCACAGAGGGTAAGAAACCTGCCCACCAGCACCTTACCAGTAGACATTAGAGTCAGGACTTTAAACAGGCTTTTGGACTCCAGAAACCATGCTCTGCCTACTCAAATTTAGTAGCTGTTCTGAGGATCTCATTCTCACTTATTTCCCCTTTTTTATTTGTTTGTTTATGTTCTAACCACTGATTTGAAACAAATTCTCAGACCAGAAATTTTTACTCCTGTGGAAAGAGTAATTGGATGTTCTCATTACAATATTTTTTTCTTCATGAATGTAATCAAACATCAGCTGGAAGCTTGCTTTTAATGCGTGGATAAACCAGCCCACACATTTTATTTTCCCTGAGGCGTATTGCTGGGAAAATCTATTTCTGATTTTAAGAAATCAACATATGCTGAACCAACTGTCTATTTTCATTTAAATTGACAGGAGCTGAGACTCAAAAATTATGTTGTATTTTCCACTTCTAACATTGTTGATAGAAAAGTTGAGGTAAACACTTTATTCTGCCTTAGATGCCTGCTAAATTAGTCTCTCTAAGTAAAAATGTCAGGAGGCTATTGTTGGATTAATTTAGGTGGAGTTGATACAGTTTTAGGGAAGAACCGTTCTACAGTATGAGAACAACTTTTAATATTATGTTAGTTATAATCTGGAGCATTTATCATACCTTATTATATATCGTATGTTTTGACTTTCTCCTCTATTGGGCTGTGGGCTCAATTAAGATAAGAATGTATCTCCCTTATCTTTGTATATCGGTGCTTAGTGCATTGCCTGGCACATAGCAGGCGCTCAACTCTGTTGAATTAAATGATCAATGAGTTAAACTAGATGGCTATATAGTTGATCTTCTATATAGTTGATCTTCTATATTCAAAATATAGTTTACATATATGTATGCAAGTGTATATGTGTGTTTATGAATAAGAAGAACTATATCTTCATACTGTTGAAAAGTTATATTGTTTCTCATACAGATTTTATTCCTTTAGCTAAAGTTGTATCAATATTAAATTTATAACTAAAACGATATTACGTTGGCACATGAGGGTTTTAGTCAGCTCCAGCTGCTACAACAAAATACTATAATCTGGATAACTTACACAACAACAGATTAATTTTCTCACAATTCTGGAGGCTGAAAGTTCTGAAATTAGGGTGCCAGCATGTTTAGGTTCTATTGGGGGCCCTCTTCCTGGCTTGCAGTCAGTGCCTTCTGACATGGTGGAGAAAGAGCAAGCTCTCTGGTGTCTTTTCTTATAAGAGCACCAATCCCATCATTGCAGGCCCCACCCTCATGATCTCATCACCTCCCAAAAGACCCATCTCCGAATACTATTACATAAAGGGTTAGGGCTTCCACAAGTGAATTTTGAAGGGGACATAATTCAGTGCATAGCAATGAGTATCTTGTAGGCTTATGACCATATAATTTGAAGCTATGATTTATGTAGAAGTTGGACAAAAATGTTTCACATAATTAGTTATGTTCACATGATCTAATGCCTGAAACTCATTTTTAAATATGCCTGAAACTCATTTGTTAAAATTATAGTGTTGGGAAAAGAAGCATTTAATATTTGTTAGCATTGAACTTAAAAAAAATTAAACACATTGACTTTAGAGAAATGTATATGTTGAAGAGTAGGTGTGGATGAAATGAAAGAAGAGAGCTAACCCTTCTCAGTGCCAGACACAGTGGTGTGGGCATTAATAATTCAACCCTCATAGCAGTCCTTAGGGTGGTCTTAACCATTTCATGGGGAAATTGAGACTCAGAAGTTTACTAATTTGGCCAAAGTCACATAATTGTTTAGAGACTGATTCAAATCAATGTCTTCTTTATTCCAATCAATCTTTTAGGGACCTTATCTGTTATTTATATGAAAAAAAACAACTAACTTTAATGTTTATGGAGTTTGTTTAATTAAATAAAGCCCTTAGGATTTCAAATTGTTTCCTAAGTCCAAGAGATCCCAATGAGAAGGAACACAAAGTAATTTTTAATGATTTAAAGTAAATGCTTTAGACTGAAATGGTAGCTTCTTTTTAAATAACATTTCAAATTAGGTTTACTATTAACATTTACAAAGAACCAGGGCTATAAATCAACTTTATATGCAGTGCATTCCATTGATCTTAATAGTTGTATTTGCAAGCTGAGTAGAAGAGATTTACAGTTCTCTCTCAAGGGATAGATCTCCTTTTTTGGGCAATGAATATACTCCTTCAGAAAGTCCTCTTGCTCTTTTACGTACTCTTTTTTGCTTGGTATTTCAAAGGCTTTTTGTTATACTTTAAAAATATTCAACAAAAAGTCACTGAATATCTACAATGTGTTTATATCTTGGGTGTAATGCCTAGGTTAATAAGATGCATAGAAATATGGACCCAGTGCTACAGGCCCAGCAGTGAGCAAAACTCAGGGAAACAAGTGACACTAAACAGTGTGGAGAATGCAAAGGCTAAAGGCTATATGAGTCCTGGCATGAGCACGGAGGTATGGGCTGAGCAGCGCTGCCTGAGGAGGTGATGTACAAGTGGGTATTTATCCCCCCCGGGCAAACCAGAAGGAAAGGTAAAGCCAAGGAACAAAGTAGACAATGGAGATGGTGGGGAATGGAGGGAGAAGAGGAAAGAATCTTGGAGAGATAGTCAGTCTTAAGGTCCAATTAAACTATTTCATGGCAGCCATTATTATCCTGAATTTTATGGATGAAGAAGTGAGGTTCAAAAATATTACATAACTTGCCCTGTGTGACAAAATAAATGAAAAGCAGAGCCAGGTTCAATGAAAGTATGTTTGACTTAGGTTTTAAAATTCTAGTCATAAATGGCAATTTAATGTTGTTATATATTTGTATTGGGCTTCAGCAAAAACAAAAATAAAACCTCAAGTACACAAAAGCTCTAGTAATAGAGCCATGTTTGTGCAGTTATTTCCAGCAATCCTTGGAACCTCCAAAATTCTCCTCAGCCTGACATTATATGCCCTATGTGTCATTTCATTATGTCACCACCTGGTGGTGCACTCACACCCACTTTGGGAGAAAGGGGGTTAGAGAAGGGAGGACATCTGTGGACAAGCCAATAAAAGCATTTACTGGCATCGTGACTTCATAATTTACACTTTTATTTATGCATAATTAAGTATAAATAAACAAAAACATGTATTTTCTAACTGCTACCTGTTCTGTTTCCAGTCTTGCTTGAAAATCATCTTTCTCAAAAAACTACCTATCATGTGCTATGCCCATTACCTGGGTGACAAAATGATCTGTACACCCCTACAAAATGCAACTTAGTCATGTAATAAAGCTGCTTATGTTCCCTCTAAACCTAAAATAAAGGTTGGAAAGGAAAAAATAAATAAGATAAAAATTATCTTTCTCTATCAGAGTAATTTGACATCTTGAGGAAGTGATCCTGGGACTTCATATTCTTTAGGATTCAGGTGTCCAGATAATCCCAGAAGTAGCCAGCAATTTGGCCATTTGGGGTGTAGAAACCTTCATACCTAGGTTATTGTAATACCTCAGGCTATTCTCTCCAGGTTTCCAGTGATTAATTAGCTGTGAACCTCAACCAACACCTGACTCTAGAAGAGTCTTCAAATAGGTCCTAGAAGGACCAAGTAAAATCACCATCCCTCAATCCCTCAATTTTTCCTTTTTCCAAGTCAAGAATAAAAGAAGTCTGGGAAACATTGCCAGGTCAGCTTCTTTTTAAGCTCATGATTTTCTGCTACCTGAGGGAAGGAGAGAAGGAAAAAGAAAAGAAAAGAAAACCTCAATGAATGCTCCATAACCTGGATTTTAATCTCTCTTTCCCTTTTTGGGATAAAATTGTTTAATGTAATTAACTACAAGGAGAAAAGTTAACCAGTGGCTTCTGCTTTTGCTGAAAGCACTTTTTCAAACCCAGCTGTCATGTCAAATGCATTCAATATTAGTTTGGACAACTCCTTACGTGGGTCTCAGAATGCATCTCTAAAGAAAGTGTTTAAATATTTTTTAATGTGAAAACCCATATGGGTATTTTGGTGATAGGATTTCTTCTATGATTCAGGAATAAAGTATAATGCCCAAATAGGCCCTTGCCATTCCTATCAGGGACATTGCATCCATAATCCATTTTCCATATCCGTTTGTATGTAAATGAAAAGTCTCACACATCACAACTTCTGTTTTTCTCATTGTAGGATCGCCTCATCTGTATTTATCCACATTAGTAAAAATTATCCAAATCCCAGAAATATAACAATAGTCCGTATTTCTTGAGCATTTACTCTGTTCTAGGCTCTGTGTTAAATGCTTTGCATGTAATGTCTCATTTAGTTTTACCACATTCTATGAGGTATTTACTCTCCTTTTCTTATATGGGTAAGAAAACATGTTGAGTTATTCAGGTAATTTGCCTATATTCACATACTGGTCATGAGAAAACTAGAGGACCCAGGAGATTGAAGCCCATATTTCATCATTTGACTGTCCTAGGAAACGCCTTGTATACTTGTTTTTTTAAGGTATTCTGTCACCCAAGAACATTGAAGGTATATGCAGATTCTCTTTTCCTGTTCTATTCCACTAGACCTGAATATGAGGGATGAAAATTGCTTTGGTTTTGATGTGACTTCAGTACCTTCTGTATTTGACACAGAGGTGAGTCACATCCTGATCAGTGTTGAAAGCATTTAGTAAGATTATTAGTTTATAAAGAAGGCTGAACCATGACTATATAATAATGAAGCAATTGTAAAAAAATCAGAAAGCATTCACATTCATTCCTTGAATTTCCAAAAGCATTCAACAACAGAAAAAGGGCAAACACGTTTATTCCATGTATATATACTGAATTCCTACTATGCACCTTCAACAATAAAGGCTTTTGGTATATAGGAGTATACTGAGCCCAGTTAGATTCAAGTGAAATTCCTAGTAATGTCCTGGTATACAAGGAGCTTAAATGTTCAACATATAACATTGTTTCTTATGATAGGTTTCACCTATAAGCCCTCTAAACTGTTTGTAACTCTATAAGAAATAATTAATAAACCCCAACAAGGTCTATTTAATGTCTTGAGACAGATCATTCTACTCACTTTAGATTTCTTATAGATAATAACCAGCACCTAAAACAATTTTTAAAGACATAGGAAATCCAGAATAAATATAACTATCATAGGAACATGGAAAGAATTAAAGAAATGGCAGAAGTTGGGAAAAAAACTACTGGAGGAAAAGGGTGAAAATGTGTGACAATGAAGATTTGCAAAGGTTCTAGAATACTTTAAATTAAGTTAGAATAAACTTTTAGTTGCACTGTGCTTTGACTTTTTATTCAGCCTAAATTGTCCTTTTAAATTCAGGTTGTTCATCTCCAAGGATGAATGTAATTTAACTGAATCTTGTATTAGAGACTTGCACATTTCTCACTCATTAATATGATCAAAAGCATCTTATTTATGTCAAAAGACGAGAAACGAAGGCCATTTTTGGCATTGTCCTAAAGTTGTGCTTTCTTGCCTTATTAGCATTTCATTTCAAGCAATAGATTGAACAGAAATGCTTGTGATTGAATGAAGATTAATTATAGGGTATGGGAATATTCAAACCTTTTTAATTGTTCTGAGTAGTGTCTTCTGCTGTTTTGTTATCCAAAAGGGAGTAAGTATTTGGGGAACAAAGATTGTGACACATCTGGTAATATTCAAGATGCACACCCCCTCACTAGACTGTCAAAAGGCTGGGCTTGTCACAGATGTCGAGGCTGTGATGTATTGTCACTCTTGCTGCACCCATGGATGCGCCTCTCCTGATATGCGACTCCCATTGGGAATGTGAAGACACAGAGGAGATTTTTAATCAAGAGCATAGGTAGGAGTCAATGATGCATAGCTGGCAGATGCAGATTTCAGCCTGGGAATATTTAGAATAATTTGGATTGCTTTATAGTTTATAGTAGCATCTTTTATGCAGGACTCTGACCTAATTATTTCAAAAATTATTGCTACTGATTATAATCTCATTGTTGCTTTCTTTTATCTATTCATTGTTTAAACAGCATTTTTAGGGGGCAGGGTAGGGAGAAGCAGTGTAGCTTGGTAATAAAGGGCATATGATCTGGACCCAGCCTACCTTGGAAAATGATTAAGCCCCAATTTTCCTATATGTAAAATGGAGACAATACTAGCATCTACCTCACAATATTGTTGATTGAATGAAATGAGATAATATAAGTAAATTACTTCCAGTAGTCCCTAGCACATAAGCACTCATTAAATGTTAGCTTTTAAAATTGTATTCCAGATTAACATGCCTAAAAACTAGGGCTACGTACTGAGAATTCATAGAACCAATTTTACTTTGTGTCTGTGTTCTTATGCCTGCATCAGGCATTACGAAGAATACAGAGAGACAAACTTTCTATTCCTCAGGGTTGACAATAGAAGAGAAATAATAATACACAGGAAATAAGTAAAAGTATAATTCAAACTCCAAGTTTAATGATGTATAAAATGAAGAGGTCAGTTTGGGCTATAACAATCAGATAAGATTCACTAGGTGCTAAACTCGATCTAAACTGAGAAAAATAGACAAGACTTATAAATATTAGTTTAAAACATAAATCTGAAAGTGTTACTCCCCTATATTTTAGTAAGACTTCTCTGTGGCCCTTGCTCCTATAACAGTTTCTTTAAGGTTAAAACTGCTGGGTTTCTGAGCTCTTCTCCATCCTACTAAATGAGAACCTCTAATACAAGAGGACAGTGCTTGGAAATCTACATTTGTATAGAACCCAAGTGATTCTTATCAAGCAAATAATGGAAATTCTATCTTAGAGAAGTCTAAACATACTAAGGCCCTTGTTTAGACTCTATGTAATTTCATTTTCAGCCACTCTGGGCCTTGACCCCTGAGAACCAGCAAAAGAGAACTTTCTTCAGCACTTGGCTTAGCCCTCCCCTCTTTTGTGAAGGAGTTTCCCTTCACTGGTCAGTGTTCCTTGTCTTTAATGATGGTCTTGAACACCACTATGTTGTTGTACTTAAAACACAGAGTTGTAACTGTTTACAGGTTTATATCCATTAAACCACTTGATCTTGTGTTTCATGCTCTCTTATTCTCACCTTAGCATTTAGTTACCACTCACTAAATCAGTTGATCTTGAAACTTTAGAAATCTTACCCTTACCTGAGGGGTCCTTGTTTACAAAGCAGATTTCTAGATGCTCTTGCTCAGGTACTCTTATTCTGTAGTTGAAATGGGCATTTTAGGGCCAGACACTTTGGCTCATACCTATAATACCAACACTTTGGGAAGCTAAGGCAGGAAGATCACTTGAGTCCAGGAGTTCAAGACAGGCCTGGGCAGCATAGCAAGACCCTCTCTCTACATAATTAGCCTGGCATGATAGCACATACCTGGCTACTCAGGAGACTGAGGTGGGAGGATTGCTTGAACCCAGCATTTTAAGGCTGCAGCGGGCCACAATCATGCCACTGCACTCCAGCCTGGGCAACAGAGCAAGATCCCATCTCTTAAAAAAAGTGAGCATTTTAACAAGTGTGTAAATAGTCTACCATTCTCTTAAAACACACACAAACATACACACCTTGAAAATGCAAATGAATGAATGTGTGACAGAGTGGAAGAAACAGCTTCAGAAGGGAGAATAAACATAGCATTTACAGAAGATAGTGAGAATACCACTGATTTGGTATGTTGGATGCTGGTTGGGAGAATTTTATGGGAAAAATACCAGTTGAGTGAAATTATGGATGTTCTTGAGAAATAGCAGAGTTTGAATTGAATGTGGCTTTTTGCATAAAGTGGTAATTTTGGAATTTTGGAATAGGAGAATGAATAAAGATGGCATCCCCAATAGTTGTCATGGCTAGTCTTAGGAAGGGTTGGATCAGATGATCTCTAAAATATCTCTTAACACTGAAATGTATAGTGTTATGCTATAAAATATGTAGATATTGAGTTGTATTAATAAAGCCTTAGCTTGTATTCATGGGATAAAACTTCTACTTAAATAATATTGTAATTTCATTCATTAATGCATGTGTATAAAAGTGGATCAGTATTGTGGAAGGTTTGCTTAAGGTGAGATACATGCAATGGTAGCCTGGAGCCAGGTAGTAGTACCAGCTCAGGAGTACTAACTGTTACGTATTCAATGATTTTGAGACCTGGTTGGAAAGCACAGGCATTATTAAATTATATAAACCCGTAATTAAATAAATTATATGAAATGCAAAGGTAATCAATACTCAAAACTCATTAGTTCCCAAGTACTTCATTATATTTTACTATTATCCATGCTCTTGAGGTTATGTAGTCCATCGTATCTGTGTCGTGGAAATACTATATAATGAGGTGCAGCTACAAATCTCTTCCCAACTCCACATTCAGGGCCATCACATTGGTAGCTTGAAATAAGACATGCTGATAGTAGTTACACCATGGAAATGGACATACTGCACAAATCAGGCCTTTTTTTTTCTCCTGGAGAGCCAACTGATAAATATTTACCAGCATACCAATGGCTCATGTTTAGAATAGTCCCATTGTTTTGGGGTAGAAATTCATTTTGGTACATGGCCTGACTCAAAAGTTCACCCCTTTAGTGTTACCTCCTGTTCAGCATTGAAGCCACTTATGTCTCCTTATATGAAACCAGAAACAAGAGGCTTTTTTTTTTTTTAATTCTAAGAGTGGCTGGCTTTAGTTGTAACAGAAGAGAGCAGGTACCTTTATTGTACTTCAATTTAAACTCCTTTCAAAAGGATCTGAGAACTTTTTCAAAAAAAATTTATTCCCCCAAATCTGATAAATATGCCTCTATTTTACAATCTTTTACAACTTTTCAAATTACTACAATCTGAAAGACATTTTCAATCTTTCTTGAAAGACAGGGAGAATATTGCCATGGATGAAGAAAACAATGACTTGTTTCTTTCATTGTATAAAATCATTCTTCATCACTGTGAAAATAAGAAAATGAATTTTTTTTAGTTGAGCACAATCTCGAGATCTTTCTAACAGCCTCTGTTCTTACAGTATGGATGTTACTCTTGGTTTATAGCTCTGCAAAGGAGTCAAAGAATCTTCCTTTTATGAGGGCCCTGAAGAAAGAAAATTGTGCTGATAAAATTACTTTATGTGCGTTTGAATGATGATATGGCCAAGCATTCTTCAGAAACTTCTGAATTTTTCATGTATGCCTTCAAGAGTTGTAATCCTTACTTAAGCAAATGTCTGTTTAGGAGAGATTCCAGAGATTTTCCTATTTAGAGTGTTTTAAAAATTAAGGAAGGTGTTCACCAGCTTACTAGAGGTTCCTTGTGAAAAGAGAAATGAGTTTTCTTCAACAGTCTTATGTCTTTGGTTCAAGCTGACATAATTAAGGTGTAAACATATCAGTATAGTTTGTTTTGATTAAACTTTAGATGGACATAGAATAGGTAATCAAATTCATTGGATCGAAATAAGTATTCTTACTCTGAAATGAAACAAAATGGAATCTTCAGAAACATGGAAACAATGACCCAAACATCAGAGAGGCATTGAAGATAAATGGGAATATCACTGGGAATAGTGTAATTGGAGCAGTGTTTTCCAAGCCCAATCCTCAGACCTCTCGAAAATGGAGATTGTAACACTAGATTGTGGGCAGTCTATACCAAACCAACAGTACTGAATCAGAGTGGGTTATGGGAATGGCTAGAGCATTTGCAATTTTACAGCATATTCAGAAGATTTTTATGTACACTGAAGTTGAGACGTGCTGATTTAGCAAAGGTAACTGACAATTTGCCTCAATTCCCTCATCTGCAAAATGGGGATTATAAAAGTAGGGTTGTTGGAGGACTGAATGAGTACATATATGTATAGTGTTTAGGACAATGTCTGCTGTTTTACAGTAAGTGCTCTATTGTTGGCTCTTGCCACTATTATTGTTTTGTCAAGGGCTTGTCTGTGCTAGCTGGAATGGAAACTTAAATGTTTCTAATTATTGCAACTGTCAGATTTCTTAAATATCGTAATGAAGCCAGCACAGTGAAGAGCTGTCCTCAGTTTAATGTAACATTGGATCTATCCTAATAATTTTTCTTAGTTTCCTATTGCATTTGTAACTATTTTATTTAAATGTTTTATTTTTCCACAGGGTTACATTTATTTTATTACTTCAGAAATATTAGATGTCATTCTGAAATTGTGGCTGTGCCTTTATCTTGCATGTGGAATTCAATTTTTTATATTCTTTACAAACAGTATTTATAAGAAATAAAGATAAGGTTACAGTGAGTTGTTGTATGAGATGGTAATTTACATGGGGTGCTCCATATGCTTAGCTTTTCTCTGAAGTTATGCATCCCCACAGCAAGGGAAATATTTGCATTTCTGAGAGTGAGAATTTATGTTCATCCTCTACTAGGAATGGTGGCAGCTTTTCCAGGTCAAGGCCCTGCAGATGCCTGATGGTCATGGTAAATGAAGGCTGGATGCAGGGAAGGCAGCAAAATGAGAAAATCTCCTGGGATCAATTAATGGGAGTCATCTGAGAGAGAATAAAGGCAGGAGAACATTTTCTTCTAGTCAGGAATTCGCATCAGTTTTGCCTGGTAATGGGTTTCATGAAAGCCAAGATGAAAGGGTTTTATCCCTAAGGAAAAAAGGGCTCTCCTCACATCCTCTTTCTGTGCTCTTTTATCAATGACTAATAATAACATGCTTGCATCCATGACAATCTTTCAGAAAACTGATGCAAAAACAAGTCCAAAATTAGAGTGTACAGCTGTCGTGATTTCCTGGAGTTTCTGGTGTGTGCTTAGTAGGCACACAGTTTGAGTTACATGGCTTCATTATATGATTACACACTACTTTGTTGCCTCATTGGTGGTTAAGGTGATTTTAAACTTTTCAGTACCCAAAAGCAGTGTCCTGGAACATACCAATGAAGACGGAGAATTGTTTCAGTCCCAGAGATATCCCAAGCAAATACAGCAGTGAACTCAATGGATATTTGTGAAATGAATAAATAAATGAATGAATGAGTACTACTGTGAATATTCTTGTCATGTTTGCTTGTTCTCATTTGGAGAGTTTCTTTGAGGTCCGTGACCAGAGGTTGAATTGCTGGATCTTAAAGTAAGAGGATTACCAACTTCCCTATACGATGCTCAATTCCTCTCCACAATGGCTATACTAGTTTACTGTCTGGCAATCGGTGTATGAGGGTTACCTGTTTATCACATTGTTGTAACATTTGATTTTGTCAGATGTCAGGTTCTAACTGAGGTCCAAGGGGAGTTGGTGGGCAAGTGGCGGGTAGCTGGAAAAACACGTGAGGAACTGTAGACAGTTTCAACATGGATTTACTCTCTCTCTGGCCATGAGCCATGAGCGCAAGATGTATGTACAGCGTCAGCAGCGTAGTTGTACCTTTTACAGACAATAGTGGCTCCAAGCCAAGCACAAGCTTACATGGGTGATCACCTAATGTGCCTCACGTGGCGTGGTTACATAATGTGCAGAGTTGTGAGCCTGTGCTCCAAACTCACTGAGTCATGCTGGACCGGATGTCTGCTTCGGCCTATTTTTGAGAGCAGCACATCCATTTTCCTTACACTCCACCCTCAATGCCAAAGGAGACACAGGCCTTGGACACACAGGTCTAAGACACAGGCCTTATACGTACACTCTGGGGACAAAGGCCCTGGACACACAGGTCTGACACATAGGCCTTAAATTCTACTCCCTAGGCTGAAGGAGTCTTTTAAATGGAGAAACATGCCCACAGGGTGGAACCCCAGACCCAGAGGCCACAGCAGTAATACAAGGAGCAACAACTCCAGGTTATGACGGGCAAACACCCCATGATGATGTTACCCGAATTTACTTTATGCATTAAGCCAGGTTTTTATTTCCCTACCTTTAGGGGCATTGGGGCATGCAACAACAGGTTACCATCCGTTTCCATCCTGGTCATAGGAGGTCATCCTTCCTCCCATAGGTCTTGCCACATGGCCTAGCCCCACATGGGCCAGTGGCCAACTAGCCACTTCTGTATTTTCCAGGTGCCTAACCACAAGGTTAAGCCTCGATAGACCACACAGCTATTGGTGCAGATTATCATATGTGTCACCTCTTTGGTGATCACCATTCATATTGCTCTGACTTCAGCCCATTGACTACTTTGTCCATACCCGGTATGAAACCATATGGAGTCAGTACTAGGCTGGACTGTGAGCAGTCCAGGCAGTAGCAGCACCCCAGCTAGACCCATCTGTGTACCGTGCCCCATCGGGCATAGGGGGGGATGCCCTTCCTTAAATGGTGAAGGCTCAGCATGTAGGGGTGCTTCAGGCCCCATGTCCTTAGGCCCCATGGCCTTATCTTGCATTAGGACTGCTGGTCTCAAGACCTCTTGCAACTCTGCTGCTAAGGGACTTGTACTCAGCGTACTCTGTTGCTTCAAGTAGGTGCCCCACTTTGCTAAAGTGGATGTCTGCACTGTCCCAGTCCGGGGGGTTGTTATCAATGAACACATCCATCCTGCTATCAGGTAACTCGTCTACACGACAACTGTAGCCTGTCCTGCCATGCTCTCATGAGCCCGAAGGGCAGCATATGCAGTTACTAACTGCTTCTCTATCAGTGAATACTGGAGCTCAGCTTCTTTCCATAGTTGGGACCAAAAGCCTACTGGTGTTCTCAAGCACTCCATGCTCTGCCACAGGCCCCAGCCAAAACCATCTGTGGTCACATGCACATCCAACTCAAATGAGCACCCTTGGTCAACTACCCATAGGGCTTGTGCCTGCTGAATAGCCTATTTAGCTGCCAGGAAGTCAGTCTCAGCCACACTATCTTAATTCTAGGCAAGAGGAGCATTGCCGCTTCTAAATCTGCAAGAGAATCAGAGGTTAACATAATATTATCAATAAGACCATGACATATGATGGGGCTATGCATATATCCCTGCAGCAACACTATGAAAGTCCACTGTCACCTTCCCGTGAAGGCGAACTGTTCCTGGCTCTCTAGAGCAATGTTAATTGAAAATGCATTAATCAAGTCCACCACATAGTGGCACTGTCCAAATTCCATCATCAAGCGGTCCATCAAATCTGTAATAGATGGGATGGCTGTCAGGCCATGTAAAACATCCACCCCCAGAATATATCAGCGCTGGTGTTTACCAGTGCCAGCACTTGCTGTATGTTGGTGGAGGACCAGTGGATTGCTAATTTCACATGTGGCCTCTATTTGTCTGGTGTCCCCCCAGGCCAGGCACCTCAGCCAGTTCCCTAATCAAACAGAAAAAGCTCAACATTTCCACCTGGCTGCAGCAAGTAGTCTTTGAGTTGAAGCACCTGAGTGGGACCAGGTCATACAGCAATGTCCTCCTTCCCCTTCTGCATTTCCTGGAATTGCTGCTCTTGAGACAGTTATCTCCACAAAGTTAAGAGTACTTCATTGGGCTGCTTATCGATTTTCTCTCAGTCAACCCTGGCCAAAGTCAAATCTATCCACATCTGTGAGTGGGTCACTTGTTGGGGCCCCCTTTTCTTCCATGATGGGGAGGCTCTGCAGGTGGGGCATCTTCCCCTTTTTTACAGTGCAGACCCAGACCAAGCAGGGGTCTCTGGCTGAGATGACGGACCCAGGCCTGCATTCACAACAGCCTCTAACTCCCTTTCCAACCCTATGCCAGGCCTTCAGGCACCCCACCTGCACCTGGAGATCCCCATTCATGGCAGCCTCTAACTCTTTTTCTAAGCTGTGTAGCTGGGCCTCCAGGCACCCTGCCTGTGCCCAAAAGGCCCTTTCCTGCACTGCATCCCTCAGGGATTGGGAGTGTACTTCTTGTAGCACAGAAAAAATGCCCATCCAACTCTGCTGTCAAAGGCTCATTCCTTCTCGGTGCTCTGCACTTCCAGCTGCTTCAGTGCTTTCTCCGTGCTCGTGGGGTACCCATCTACTGCTGGCCAGGTTTCCAACAGAGTTCACCCTTGCAGCACAGCTGTGACCAGGTACCACAACCCATGTCGTGGCCACATTGCCAACCCAGAATCAGCAGGGACCAAAGGCTCGCCCACCTTGGGATCCTGTTCGTGATGCCAATTGTCAGGTTCTAACTGAGGTCTGAGGGGAGTCAGTGGGTGAGTGGTGGGTAGCTGGAAAAACACTAGAGGAATCATGCACAGTTTCAACGTGCCTTTACTGTCTGAGTGTGAGCCGTAGGTGCAAACCATAGGTACAGTGTCAGTCCGGTAGTTATACCTTTTACAGACAATAGTGGCTCTGAGCCAGTTACAAGCTCATGTGGGTGATCACCTAATGCGCCTTACGTGGTGTAGTTACATAATGTGCAGAATTGTGCACCTGCACTCCAAACTTGCTGAGTCATGCTGGACCTGATGTCTGCCTCAGCCTATTGACTGCAGCGCATACATTTTCCTTAAATCAGATTTTTAAAATTTTTGCCTGTCAGATGAGGTATGTCTGTCACTATTGTTTTAATTATTTTTTCCTAATTGCTAGCAAAGTTGCCTATCTTCTCAAATGTTCACTTATTGTTTTTTTTCCTGTGAGTTCTTGCATCCAGTTTGAACAGTACTATTTAACTTTGTTTTAATGCTGTCAAATTCCTAAAATAGTTGCTTATGTCACAGAAGTTCTAACCTCAGAATGATGATATCCATGCCAAAGCAGTTGAAATTTAAATTCTTAGATAAGTAACTTTAAATATTCCAGTGTTATAGTAAAACATTTATACTGGACTATTCACTCAAAAATTCTTTAAACAGTTGTCAACCTTATTTATTTCATTATAATAATTGTAACTTTAAATGTGAGATATGATAACCACATCTCTGAAATGTGACAACCTTGTCCACCAATGTTATTATGCCTGAAACATAAATCTTGGGCCCCTGCTCAGAACCTTTGCCTTCTAGTTTCAGTAATTATGAAATTAATTTTGTGTTTGGTGTTTTGCAAATTAAACTTACCCTATTAACCCTATAGCGTATATACATTATAGATATATTATTATAATTATTATATTTTTAAAAATAGCTTTATGCTCATTGGGCAGAATCTGTATCAGCACATTTTTTGGCAGAATAGATTCAGTAGACTAATAACTCTGTTATAAATCCCTGGTAGCAATGTTGGGTAAATTCAGTGGACTAATAAATCTGTTATAAATCCCTGGTAACAATGGTGGGGTTTTAATGAGTAACATAAAGAACTTAGAATAAAACAACTTAAATATATATATATATATATATATATATATATATATATGAATAATATTAACCTTTATTCTTATATTTGTATAATGTAGTTATCTGATTTGCAGAGGGAGAGAAAGAGACAGACAAATGGATAGACAGACAGAACGAGATCATTTAGACCATAAGGTTAGAAAAATATTATGAGACTATGGAAAGGTAATGAATATGGTAGAGAGAGATGGAGCTGAAGATTATAATTCTTTACTTATGGACTGCTCTAGGATAACTTTGTTTGATGTTATTTTAGCCTTCTGATATCAGTTTATATACTCTAAAACGAGTAGAAAAGAAGCATCAGTTTGTATAAATATTCTATTTAAATATTGTCAAAGCAGGTCCATGCATCAGAAGTCAAATTAAAACTCACTGGGGAAAACTTTGAAAAGGCCTGAAGGAAATGTACTTGATTTTTATAATGTAATTGGCAAAGGAAATTGTAGTCAAATATGAGAGCTAATGAAAGAGTGAATGGATAAGTAAAATCCACAAATAAGCACAAATGTCATTGGGCTGTTTCCCTTTCCTTACCAAAGAAAATTTCATGAGAGTTGCTAATGAATAAGATCTGAACATTATATAACCTTTATAAGCATTTTCCTCAACCATTTTTTTCTGGTTGAGATGTCAACAAGAAGTAATATATCATAATATACAAAAGAAGATGCATAGTGTATTAATAATATGCTACCAATTAAAAATCGCTGGAATAATTTGGCATTGGAAATGATGAAGGCATAAAGAGCAGATCTTGTATTAGACAAAAACTAGGAAGTTATAGTTAGGTTGTAGTAAATGATGAACAATCCATTTTGATTGTGATTCCCAACTAGCTTTTAGGCAGAGCCTCAACCACAGAAACTCAATCCTAGTGGATAAAAAATATGCAGACAATTTGAAGGGAGTGAAGAGAGCAGAAGAAAGTATGATGAAAGAATTGAAAGATTATGCAACAGAGGAGTATTTACAGCCTGGCTAGATAAATGAATGGATATATTATTTTTTTTAATTTTTTTAGCTAATTTACATTGTTAATTTTTATTTAACTATTATTTTTAAAAGAAGATAAATACTGCAGTGGAAAGAGACTTAAGGGATTATACTAAGGGCAATTATGAGAACTCTTGGGACAAAATAATGGTCTTATATCAACAAAAATTCCCTGGAAGTGTGATATGTCAGCTTGCAGAAAATTTTCCCAATGTAGTGATAAGAATTCTCTGAAGACATAGGCAGATTGAAAAGACATGAATAAGAAACAATGTGAGATACATTTCCATACTTACTGCAGAGGTAAAGCAGAATGGAATTTGTATCTTTTCCTCTGCAGGTCCTATTAGAGAAGACAATAGAGAACCCTCTAAGAGGTGATTGTCAAATTGGTTAATATGCTGTGGTTTGGAGTGCCTGCATTGTGAACAAGGGCACATTCATTCAACTTTCCACATCTTCCTTTCCCTGTAAAATGTACATGGAGTTATGGTACCTTATTAGGCTATTGTTAGTATCACATATAAAACCATGTAAAATTCCTACCGTATGCCTGGTTCAGTCAGTGCTCCTCAGGTGGTAGCTATTGGTTAACCCTATTCTTTATAACATAATTGAAATTAGGTTATATGACTTTTAAATATCCAAACAGTCAGAATAGAAATATTGATGAGAAATTTTGCTTCATCTCAAAAACAGTGTTAGAACTACACCAATGGAGTATTTTTCTCCTAAAAGGTTAATCAGGATATGACATTTATAGGATTTACAATCACAATCCTGATAACTGTGAAATATAATATCAGACTGTTTCTTACTATTTTATTTTTAACATTGACATTAAGTTAAATAATATATTTTGTTACTGTAGCCTAGGATTTTATTTTCCCTGTTATGAGAACAAGGATAATTATTTTACAAATGAAATTTTAAGGGATTAGAGTGCCATAGACATGCTCATTGCATTATTAATGTGCAGAATACTGGAGTTCTGCCATCTTCATGAATCCCCACATTACATTTTGGATAAAGAATAAGTTCTGTATATAAATGTAGGCTTCAGAAGCTTTTGTTGATTCTTTCACCATATTTTATACAAAGGCTTTCTTGCTTTCCTGCCTCTCATGCTAAGTACAGGCCCTTCCTGTACTTTCGGCTAAACGAGATGGCCTTTCATGTATAAAACTCAGCTGAAAAATTGACTTCTTCATAAAACCATTCCTGTTTCATCCCTGACTCAAGGTCCTGACTTGAATTCTTCCGACTTCCCTGGGCACTGAGCCAGCATAGTTCTGGTTCGTTGTATAATTGTTTATATCCTTGTAGCATATTCAGATGCACATAGTCACCATGTCTCACCCAGAATCAGAATCTCTCAAGGAAAGAAAGCATGTCCTCTCTTTCCCTAATAATCCCCAAAGCTCTCAATACCATGCTGTGCCCACAGAAGGGAATCAGTTAAATCTGCTGCAATTGATTGGAAACTTCTTTTCCCCCAGATTTTCCTTAGGTGGTCTCCTGCAGAGTTCTGTCTAAAGTAATGGAGACTTGGGATTTGTATTCTCATTATGCTAATGGTTATTACTTCCTTTATTTTTGAAAACTGGTTGTAGGATCTAAGCTAACCATGCTATTTTCTGCATACCACCCAGCGATTCTCATTTAGCAACTGCCTTCAAATCGTCTACTCCCTTTGGTCTCCTCCTCCCCTCAGTAGGAGAAGGATGAGAGGAAGTTGGAATATTTACACTGAGATGAGATCCTTGAGCACTTGAGCCCTGAGGCTGCCTCTGGACTAACGTTTCTGTTCAGCTGTCCCCAGGTTTTTCAACAAGAGCTGTCAGAAACAAGTTTGTGACTAAAGAGCAGCTTCATCTGTAACTTCTGTTTCTTGCTACTCCCTGCTGTGTTTCTGGCTATCTGGAAGCTTCTCAGCAGGGTAGCAAGTTGTTGGCGCCACTAACACCTTTCCTCTTTCAAATTCATATTCTTCCTTGGGAGGTGAGTTTGCATTTCAGAAAATTCTATTTTAGTGAAACCACCCAGGAATCAGTGTCAGTTGGCTTTCAGCTGTGAAATAACTGCAGAGACTTTGTTACAGCTAAGGGGGTGCGATTCTTTTGGAGAGTTTAGATTTTCTGTTTATAGAGAAGAGTTCTTAGGAATTTTATGCTTAGCTGAAAGTATTAAACACTTTTCCTTATTTCCTCAACATGAATTCTTTTTCCCGGGGCTGCAGGGGAAAGGGCTCTGATCCTGGTTCAGTCTCTAGCTTGATCATTTTAGTCGAGTTCCTTTACTTCCATGCAACTCTGTTTCCTCAAGTATAAAACTATTAGTTGAGTGGGTAGAAGAAGTAGATGATCTTTAAAGCACTTTTTAAGTCTAAAATGTTATGATTCTGCTATCAAATTCACAGCTTCTCAACATCAGATAAGGGTTGGCATGAGTGTTGCTGAAAATATATTTGGGTTGGAGGAAGGGATATCCTCGATTAAAAAAAAAAAAAAAGCCAGATGAGAAATTAAGACTTTTCAGCCAATGCTATTGACATAAACTCAGGGTGACTTTCACGTCCTAAGTAGAAGTGGAACGTTCATTAATTAAAGCTTAGGTAATACCTCTTTATCAAAATTAATAATTTATGTTCAAATTAATCATCATGAATTGACATAGCTAATTTGACCCTTCATGGTTATCAGAGTCTTTTTGGTGAATATCATAGTCTACATTAATTGAAAGAGGATAAGGTACATAGGTGTCCTCTCCCACAACTAAGCCATCATGTCTAATGTAGTAATGAAAGCAGATTTTGGACTGAATTTTGTTGACTGGCAAGCTTTTGTTACCAAGGAGCCACAACTATCATAAAGCCTATTCTCATAAGCTCCATAGACTCCCAGCTTTCTGTCCCTTAGACATTGTGATAAGCGTCTTACATGGAAGATCATTTTTTATTATGTCTGTTTGATTCTTCTCTCTTTCTTCCTTATTAGTCTAGCTAGTAGTCTATCTATTAATTTTTTCAAAAAATCAGCTCCTGTATTCCTTGATTTTTCAAAGGGCTTTTCATGTCTATCTCCTTCAGTTCTGTTCTGGATCTTGTCTTCTACTAGCTGTGGGGTTTGTTTGAGAGGACATGAACAGACACTTCTCAAAAGAAGACATTCATGCAGCCAACAAACATGAAAAAAAAGCTCAACATCACTGATCATTTGAGAAATGCAAATCAAAACCACAATGAGATACCATCTCACACCAGTCAGAATGGCCATTATTAAATAGTCAAGAAACAACAGATGCTGGTGAGGTTGTGGAGAAGTAGGAACGCTTTTACACTGCTGGTGGGAATGTAAATTAGTTCAACCATTATGGAAGACTGTATGGCGATTCCTCAAAGATCTAGAACCAGAAATAGGATTTGACCCAACAATCACATTACTGAGTATATACTCAAAGGAATATAAATCATTCTGTTACAAAGATACATACACAGGTATGTTCATTACAGCACTATTCACAATAGCAAGGCATGGAATCAACCCAAATGCCCATCAATGATAGACTGGTTGAAGAAAATGTGGTACATACACACCATGGGATACCATGCAGCCATAAAAAGGAATGAGATAATGTCCTTTGCAGGGACGTGGATGAATGTTCTCACTTATAAATGGGAGCTGAACAATGAGATCACATGGACACAGGGAGGGGAACAACACACACTGGGGCCTGTCAGGGAGTGGGGTTTAGTGAGGGAAAGTATTAGGAAAAGTAGCTAATGCATGCTGGTCTTAATACCTAGGTGATGGGTTGATAGGTTCAGCAACCACTGTGGCACACATCTACCTATGTAACAAACCTGTGCATCCCGTGCATGTACCCCAGAACCAAAAACAAAAAAAATAAAAACCTAAAAAAAATCTTATTTCAAAAACAGGCTATGGGCTAGATGTGGCCTGAGGGCCATAGTTTGTTAAGGCCTGGGACTAGACCAACATATGCATGTGACCATCTTGTGGATGAGTTTCCACAAGACTGAGAGCTCCATAAAGGCAGAGACTGTATTTTCTCATTTTTTATTCCCCTCAGTGCCAAGAAAAACAGTAATTCAATAAATGTTTGTTGCATTAAAGAATTTATTCACGAAGAGTTATAAAAATCAATCCACTGTTTTTCCATTTGCTATCTCTGAACATGTACTATGTCATTTTTACTTGAAGATATTTATATTGAAATCTCTGGTTAGTGATGTCTCACTTCTGTGTACAGCTAAGAAGACGTACAGTTTTTAAAATAATGTTACTAACTGTAACAAAAACTATTTTATCAAGAAATATAAAAGAAATTCTTTAACAAGGTTGAGAGGTTACTTCATGCATTAAGTTTCTGCTATCTTGCTGATGTTCTGCTATAAAACCTTACAGACACTATGTCTGTATTACTGGTTTCATTTGAAATTTTGCCTTATGATTAATCTAATTTGGTTTCATTGTCCATAATAAAAAGCAATTGAGCATCACTGATGTGGATACCATTTTCTTTAGGTTTTAAGAAAACCACTCTAATATTTTTTCAGGGCCATTATTTTATCAAATATGTATATATGTGTGCATAAGGAGAAGGAGCTCGGAAAAGGATTTATATTTCCTTATAGTCAATTTTATGTTCTTTCTACCCTACCACTAGCTCCACCATATTGAAAATATCTCTATAAATATGGGTTATGTCCTATAAGCAAAGGATACATTCTAGAATTCATTTCTCTCTAAACCATGAAGCATCATCCTTAAGCAAGATGCTAAACCTGAAACCTCTGTAGAGCACATTTGGGTAGACTTATGTTCTCATTCTTGCCTAGAAGAGAGATATTTCTAGTTTTCTTATTTGCTAACCTTATAATTTGAGCACAGAATGTCAGATTTGTTTCAGCCCTTCGATTTAATCACATCATGTCTGATATCCTAGCATTTAATTACCCAAATTCCCAGTGTTGTTCAAGAAGGTAGGTCTGTGGTGGGTTAGCCTTAAGCTAGTGGCTGAAAAGGTCTTGATTTGCCCCCACATCTAACCTAGTCACTTCCTGAGCTGAAACTCCCATATCACCTGGGGACAAGCGACCCTGAAATCCTCACTGGCCACAGCTTCTTCTGAGGGAAGCTGCAGGAAAAAGAACAAAAATGAGCTTTTGTGAAAGGATTAACTTGGGTGAAGAACATCCTCCATAACCAAATAAATGGAACCTAGTAACCCACATGGCCAATCCCCAGGGCACTAGTGTCTTTGGGGATATCAGGGTGTGTATAGAATTTCGTTTTTGTCATTCTTGAAAACATAAAAAAATCTCTGAAAGAGTACTAGTGGTCAAGGTACTAGTCTAGAGATGGACCAAACAATCATATTAAACCTAATTTAATCTCCAGAATTTATATTTTGAGATTGGTAGCACTACTATCTTCATTTTGTACTTTCCCCAACTTCCTGCAGCTAGGATTCAAATACAGACCATCTAACTCCAGAGCACTGCCCTTTAACATTGTGCTATAATCCACCACTTTGCATAGTTGATCCTACAAGAGGATAAGTAGAGATCAAAGTAAGAAGTGATCAATGGATTACTATGTCAAGCATGATTCCCTCAAACTATTGGGAAGAATAAATACCATAACATGTATAGGGTGCTGTGTACAATTCCTGGCACAAAGTTAAGTACATGATAAAATGGAACTATTAATATTAGTAACCCAGATAGGTTCTGGGCACATTAGCAGGAAAGGTCTTCTTAATTTAAGTAAGGTGCTAAAAGCATCTAATTTTATTAGGATTGTTATGAAACAAAAACTAAATGTGCAAGAAAATATATTTACCGTAGCCTGGGGAAAATTGTCATGGTTTCTCTTTTCAAAGAATTCAATTTGGTAAGAAACAGCCTTCAATGGTCCATGAAAAGTGAGAAGTGTAGGGAATAAGAGGCTCTTTCCTATGTTTGCATTTCAGGCTTGCCTTCTTACTTTTAAATTTATCTTTACAATTGCCTTCCTGCTGGGTTTGTGTCTTCCTCAGTTTAGGGAAGGTGACAAGAAAAGTCCTGTTTGTGTGTAATTGACATGAAAAATGGTAGGCTTTTAACTCAAGGAGGCTCCAGACAACAGTTTGGTTATTAAGGAAGGGGAGGACCTAGGGGAACAATTGTTTCTGGCCTCTCTTCTTCTCAGGCCTGGAACAATCTTTCATTTACTATATTCTTGCCACAAGAGCACAGTCAATATTAAATTCCAAAAAAAGAAAAATCCCTCACAGAAACAGCTGTGTTCAATATACAGCCAGTTTACTCTGGCGAATTGCTAGACATGGAACAGTTTTCATTTCTTTTTGTGTTTATCCCTGATAGTTGTCTTGTAAAATCTGCCTTTTGTAAATAAGGGAAGGCTGGTTTTAAACAGCTTTGACTAATATTGGTAGTTGGAGTATTCAGTATTACAGAGTTTTAGAGAACTAAAATAAACCTGATGGAAACACACACATATTTCAAAGGAAACATTTTAAGGTGTTCTGGTTCCATTTTTTCCATTTTGTATGTAAGTTGGATTATGATACTTTTATGTCTACATTGTCTCTTAGTCAAAAATGTGAGAGACGCCATTCAAGTCTAGACTTGGACCCTACTGAATGCCTTGTTCATGGACACCACACAATCTCGATGTAAATGTTTATTGCTGATCTGTACAAAAAGGGGAAAAGTAGTTTTTTGAACAACAGAAAATACCAGTTAATCTCACTGGATTCAGGAATTATAGCAAAGCAATCCAATAAGTGGATTCTCTGAGAGTAGGAACTCAAGTGTGTTATCTCAGTTTTTATCCAGTTTCCAGCACAATGCTGGCACCATTTAAATTCTCAGTCAATGCTGGAGAATTGAAAAAGAATCCTCAAAATTTGGATGACAAAATGACAAAGGTGTCCCCTGATACAGAAATCTGTCCATGGCAGAAAGATTAGTGATTTGAGATATGGTGTCATCATTGTAGATGATGGTGTCCCATTAAGCATGTTTTCACTAATTACAATAAATGTTGAAAGAAGGAGTTTCACCTAGTATCCTTACTAATATCAGGGAATGGCCTGGGCTTTGGGGAGATGAGAGTCCTCTGCTTTCAGTTTAATAAAGTAGGATATTTGTGTTTTTGTTTATATTGTTAAATACGACGGGTTAGCTTGTCACCTACATAATATTGTGTGGCATAAATAAAGGTGAATTCCCAAATATGTGCTCCATAGTGTTGACAATGAGTAAATGTTCATTCTAATAATTGTAAGGGTTACCTCCCTCGCACTCCTTGAAATATCTTTTTATTCAAATTTTTCGAGCTGGAGGTCATGTGTTACATTTCCTGTTGTGTAACATGGCCTCCCTCTCTTTCTCTGTCTCACTTTCTCACTTTCTCCCTCTTTCTTTTACTCTCTCTGCCTCTACCTCTGACTCCTTCTCCTTCTTCCCAGCTTTGCATCAGAGCCATGTAACTGACATTTTCTTGGTTCCCTCAGGACCTGTCATAATAGCAGGCAAATATTAGATGATGATTCAATGTTTAATGAATTTTTCTTGAATGTATGTATGTTGCTTCAAGTCATTCATGCACACATTGAAGAGGACAGACAGAGCCCTGCTGAACACCACTAGCAAATCTCTCTCTAGTAGACCACAACAAGTCAATCTGTGCTCTTTGATTACAGTTGTTCAACCAGTTACTAATCTAACTAATTGTAACTGGTTGAACAACTGAACCCAAAGGGTGCAAAGTAGAAACATTTCATTGTGAAGTCGGCTGGGGACAAAGAAAACACCACCAGAACCCCCTTCAATATGCAAAGGGAAAATTCCTTCTCAAGTACAAGCTACATGGTGCCTTTTTGAATTATCATCAATTTGTAATGCTGTATCAATACATATGTATTATCTGTTCTTTTGGTAAGGGTTGTTTGAAGTATAAGGTACTTCCTCCATTAAGGTGATACTAACCACATGTTAATTATTGTCTGAAAGTCACCAAGGATATGAATAATAAAAAGTTTTAAAAATAAGACCTGTTTCTTTTATTGATAGTTGTACCTCAAGGCTGAAGTGAGGTTTGCAATGTAAGTTGTAAAATGTGATGTGAAATAGACAATTCTTTGTAGTTTATATAAGGCAATATATCCATGTGCAATTATGGTCAAAAACAGCAGACTTTTAAGTGATTATTCTAAAGTTATTTTTTTCCAAAATAACTTTATTACTCTTGATATCATACCATATTCACAAAACATTCTGGTAAAGCTATTGCTCAGTGTGTTGTCCCAGTGAGACTCAGGGAACATTTCTATGTGACGCTTTAGGATTGAAGACAGTTCCACGTTTTCTGAGTAATTCCAAACTGTGTAAGAGATTATGTTCCCTTTGCATATTGGCTGCTAAGAAGCTCACTTTTTCACTTATGATACTTGGATGCATTTTGGCTTTTTGGGTTTTTGTTTTTTGGTCTAATTTTTTTTTTTTTTTTTTTTTTTGAGACAGGGTCTCACTCTGTTGCCCAGGCTGGAGTGCAGTGGCACCATCATGGCTCACTGCAACCTTGACCTCTCCTGGCTCAGGTGATCCTCCCACCTCAGCCTCTCAAGTAGCTGGAATTACAGGCATGTGCCACAACACCCAGCTAATTTTTGTATTTTTTGTAGAGATGAGGTTTCGCCATGTTGCCCAGGCTGGTCACAAATTCCTGGACTCAAGCCATCTTCCTGCCTTGGCCTCCCAAAGTGCGGGCATTACAGGTATTAGAGGTAGGAGCTACTGCATCTGGCCATGGGAAACATTTTGAATGATAACTTTGTTTGTTTGTTGTCTGTTGAGCAGGCTGGAGTGCAGTTGCATGATCACGGCTCACTGAACTCTTTCCTTTAATTTTTTTATTCTCTCAGCACGATTATAATTTATTTTAAAAGTAGGGAATAATTGGCCAGGCGCAGTGGCTCACACCTGTAATCCCAGCACTTTGGGAGGCCGAGGCAGGCAGATCACAAGGTCAGGAGATCGAGACCATCCTGGCTAATATGGTGTGAAACCCCGTCTCTACTAAAAAATACAAAAAATTAGCCGGGTGTGGTGGTGGGCACCTGTAGTCCCAGCTGCTTGAGAGGCTGAGGCAGGAGAATGACGTGAACCTGGGAGGGGGAGCTTGCAGTGAGCCCAGATTGTGCCATTGCACTCCAGCCTGGGCGACAGAGTGAGACTTCATCTCAAAAAAAGAAAAGCAGGGAATAATTAGTAAGTGCCTAACTAATCAAAAATTGTTTCCAGGTGATGTTGCTGTTGATGTATGAAAACCTCTTTCACCTAGCTTCCCTCTTCATTCTTTTCTGTCATATTTCTATTGACCAGTGCTTTCTTGGCCCTTGGAAATGTGATTAACTTTTGCCATGACCTCTATGTTAGTGCCACACCTGACACCTTTATGCCACTCTCTGCCTCCAGAACTCTGTGTCCATCTTATATGTTTTTACCTTCTGCTGGGCCTCAGGTCTGGATGCAAAGCTGTAGAGGAATTGAGCTGTTTTTCACAAGGGATCCAAGAACACATAGCATGTGTGAACTGTACTAAAGCTTTGAGAAGTTGTGAAGAAGATTCACATCAACTATGCACCACACAGCCTTCTTGTCTTGCTGGTACCATCTCCTCACCTCTGTGTTGCTCCTCTTGGAGTCTTCACCTTCCACAACCAGCACTTCTATTCTCACTGTCTGAGTGTGACTTTCCATAATTGTGAAACTCCTTGGGCTTATCCCTCACACTCATTCTTGAATTCTAAGGAATGGCATTTTCTCCATTGTGCTTACATTTGCTTTTCAGTATTAATTGTTCTAGAGAAAAGCATTCATTCACTCACTCACTCATTCACTCATTTAACAAAACCTGTATGGGTATCTACAGTACTATGTTCTAGGTATACTGAAGACACTAACATAAATAATACAAATAATAACCTTTTCTCAGGGAATTTAGATTAAAGTAGTTCAAATTGGAGCAGGGGAAGCAAATATTTACGTAGATTATCAGGGAAAATGTGTAGTGAGTGCCGTGATTAGCACTATGCAGAAGATTTTATGGGAGTGGCAAAAAGCAGAACCTAACCTTTTCTGGGGTGAAAAGTGTGACCTAAACTGAGTCTTAAAGAATGAATGTAGGGTGGAGAGAGGAATAGGAAGAGCATTTCAGGGAGAGAGGAATAGCAGGAACAGAGACACTGATGCAAGGAATCCCATGGTATTTGTGATGAAGGGATGATTTAGTAGTTCAGTGACAAGACATGAGCCTGGAGATAAATAAGGTTTAGGTTCTGGGGACCTTGTGAGCCAGGTTAAGGACTTTGGGTTCATCCTCAAACCATGAAGCATTCCAAGCAATTATGTGACAAGATCAGATTCTAGGGGCTGAATGGAGAATAAATATGTAAGTGGCAAGATTGAAGGCTGGGAATGTAAAAGGTGGCTCCTGCTGTGGCTTGGGCAAAACATCACATAGGCTTGAGCTAGCTTTGTGATTCTACGGGATTGAGAGGAGAATGCTAATTTCATAAATGTTTAGTGGATATGATTGGCATGTGATCTGAATGCAACTGGAGAAGGGGACCAGTCATTTACTGAGTTGATATTGGTAATTGATAAATAAGACCAAAGAAGGTGAGGTTTGGGGATAGGCAGTGTAAATTTTGGAAGTAATAAGGGGATTGAGGTTCTGTCCATGGCATTGGTGGGGAAATCTAGCATGTAAATACATGTAAATAGATAAGTAAATATGCCTATACATTTATATAAGATATCTATACACTTATTCTCCTTCTTTGTTCATTTATTAGGTGTGAAATCTACGTGATTTTTTTCTCCCATATTATTTTTGGTATTCAATAAATGTGAATCATGAAGAGATAGCTGTTTTATTTAATCTCTGCAAAGTCACATTCTTACCCATTTTGATTGTAATAAAAGGCCTATGTCGTTATTTAATTTTTTAACCTTTGTGGCATGATTTATAGAAGGAAAATAAAAGTGTCATAGGTATGATAGGCCAAAGTTGGGTTGTTGGTAAAATAATAATACCACAAAATGTTTTTCTATTTAGCCAACTACTGCAAAGTTACTTTAATTGTGTTTGCAATTAATTGATTTCACTTTAAACCAGAAACAATAGAGACTGTAATCACACAGCCCTGCAGTTCTGAATGTTTTGTTCTTCCTTTTATTGGTTTTCTAGATATTCCTAGTTGGCAACAGGATAGAGTTCAGTAATGGTTATGCAATTTCATTGTGCAGGGTATTAAAATTTGTGACCAGGGATCCCAGGAGACCAGCTATTAGATTTTCAATGCACTATTAGATTAAATATATCTACTCAAACTAAAGGGATCCTGCCTGAGGCTGTCTGATCAATAGTCTATCATTCCTGTGCAAATGAAGCTATTAAGATTCTCTTAGGAGGTAGACTATCTAAATTGGATCTAACTAGTAGATGGTGACTGAAATGAGGGATATACTGATACTTAATTGGCATCAATCTGACCTTGATAAGATTTTGAAAAAATAAATACCTTTTTGCTACAGGTTGAAAAAGAGGTGTAAAATAGTCCCTATTTTATATTATTGGTTCTTAAGTACTTATCAGAAAAATGACAAAAGTCAGTGTCCATAAACAAAGGTTCCATTGATCTTTGATCACCAAATCATCATTTCTATCTTCCTCTTTTTTGTTTAGGTCACTGCAGTCACCATTACCTCCACCACCATCATAATTATATATAGCTACCACTTCTTGGACACTCAGGTCTGCTTGTGTTTGAACCAGACATTTCTAGCTCCAAAGCCTGCATTCTTAATTTCCTGCAGTCTTAATACCATCTTTTTAATAGAAGACCCCCACAGGAAAAGCTGATTCTATAATTTAAAAATGATTTGGGGATCCAATAAGTCATGATTCTATTTTATATAATTTTGGAAGATGTGGCCAGAGAGCTAACTCTTTTTATTTTATTATTTTTCTTTTAATTGTTGACGTACTTATAACCACCAGCTATGAAGCTATAATTTATTGCCACATTGAGTATGTTAAATTGTTAATTTACATAATTTCTGATTCTTATTTCTCCCCTCTCAAATTCAATTTGATAATTTAACATACCTGCTTCTGTGTGTTCCATGGAACTATTAATATAATTTTTTAACAGAATTATGAGAGAATTACATTTCCCCAGCTGTAGATCAATTGAGAAACAGTAGAAATGAAAAGGTTAAGAAATTCTGCTTCAAAATCTCAAATGGTCAAAGTCATTGACATTGTAAGCTCTTCTGTTCGACTCAAGCCTGGTGGAAAATGTAATGAAGAGGTACAAAGTACACTGCATAATCCAGCAAGCTAATTGCCCACTTTAAGGCCTCTTGAGCCCAATGGCCAAGTGAAACCTCCACTCTCAGGGAAATTAGGCAACTGCTAAGGTGGTTTTGCAGTTTTCAGAGACACAGAGATTAGGTTTTTCAGCCTTATATAGATCTGTGATCACTAATGATAGTCTGTGCTAATGAAGGTAGTTTTTTGAATCAAATGCATATTGACTTAGGTCTTCAGCGCAGAATGTTGATTCACTGCTGTCATCCCTGTCAAGAGAGCTGCATATGTAATTATGGTTTTCTTTTGAATAGATTTGCTTTGGGACTGTCACGCAAATTCCATTTCTTCATGTTCTTGCTATCTTTCAACCTCAAATAAATAAATAAATAGAAAAAATATCTCTAAGCACTATGTGTGGGCTGTCATTCTTTTTACATTTAGTGTTCTAATGTTTTTAAACAAGTCAGTTTACAGGTAAAGTTTGCTGTAATAGGATTGAATGTGGGTGTATGTGGTGGTGCTTCAGATCTCTTTCCTTCTGCTTGACCCTTCATGTTGGGTAATAGTTTTAAAGCGCTCATGCCAGAAAGTAAACCACAACATAGTCAACTTCTCAAATATCCATGCAATGTAGAAAGTCCGGGGTCAAGATGATTACTATGTGATCTGCTTAAGTGGGAACAGGGCCATTTCCCTCGCCTTCAACACACTCAGATACATCTCAGCCAACCAACATTTTGCTGTTTGAAAAACATGGCAGACTTTATCTTGTCCCTAAAGAGAATGCTTTTCTCCATCCCTCTGCTTAATATCCTGTGGCTCCATTTAACCTCCAAGCCAAAGTCCAGTTTCTTTTAGAAGACTTCAGGCAAAATTAGGAGCCTCTTATAGTGGGATGAATGCTTTCTATACTGTTTTTGTAATATTTTTGTAACATTTGCCATATTAAACTCCATTTATTTTATGGGTCTGAATCTTCACTAGACTAAACTGCTTGAGAGAGGAGCATGTATAATTCATTTTCATGTTCACAATGCTGAAACTGATGTCTATAGAGCTTCAGTATTTGTCCACTGCATAAAATCAGTAAATAAAGGCAGGAAAGTTTGTTACATCAAGTAGGACCAAGGGCTAGATCCATTGGGACAATTCAACAGGGCTTTTCATTGGTTATTCTAGCTGATATCAACCTGCCCTGACCTGAATCAACTCTGAGCCCCTACCTAGGCTGTTGTTTCTTAGCAAGTACATAATAACAACTCATCAGAATAGCAGAGATCTTGGTAACAGGTTGCCTGACACTTGACTGATATGGGAAAATCCTGAACAGGTTTGGACTGGAATCTTGGCTCACAACCTGTGTGACCTTGGTCAAGATATTTTATCTCTCTGAGCCTCAATTTTCTCTTCTGTTAAATGAGCATAGTGAAACTTTGTTCATTGGTTTGCTTTGAAGAGTAAATGAGATGGTAAGTGTTGGTGTATGTAGTGCAGGAACATAACAATTCTTGATAGATATTCATTGAATACCTGTAGTACATAGAACATAGAAAGTTCCTGTTATTCCACTCCCACCCCCACACACTTGCCCTTCAGGTCTCAGGTTCTCCTTCCTGGTACCCCCAGAAAGATTAAGCCCCTTTGGCCCTCTATGTGCCTCTTTTATAGCATTTAACACAATTATAATTAATTGATTATGTAACTTTTTTATTTAATAGCTGTCTCTTGTAGAATATAAGCACATAAATTCAGGGACTATCTATTAATGAATTTTCCTCTAGTGCCTAGTACTTAGGTGGCTCACAGTAAATGCTGATTCAATGGATGAATAACTTTATTCAGTCTGCTCAGTGTGGCCTTTAATTTAGATTCACCCCAAATTACTCCCCATCAGGAAGGCTTTCTTATTCAACTTTCTCATCCTCAAGATTAGCAAAACTACTCTCTTTCTATTCCCAAATATCTTCTCTCAGTTTCATTACCATGATCAGAAAGTACTCTTCCTTGAATTTATTTTCTAGACTAGATCTATTTTGGGGTTTTCTTACCAGTGATTGTAACTATTGATGTGGTCTTTTTTCTGTTTTTTACTTCTCATATGTGTATCTCTTTCCATTAGTCCTTCATTCCTTCAACAGATACTTTCTGTTGTGACAGCCACTCTTCTAAGCACTATGGAAGGATTTAAAGCTGTGTGAAGCACAGTTATTCCGGTCAAGGAACTTAAAAAAATAATACAAGTGACAAAACATGTGCAAGTTTGACTAAAGTATGAGACTGGAATAAATACCTTATAAAAACCAAGAGCTTCAGTATTTTCCTGCAGTTTTTTGCTCTATTGTATTCTCAACTTTTACTGGTTTCTCATCAAATAAATGTGTTAAAGTATAACTCAGATCATTGCTTAGATGTACTTACTTTTCCAACAAGGCCTTCCCTGAACATCCTATTTACCATTGCAAATGCATTCCTCTCCACTAGCGCCATTCTTACCCTCTCTTTCCACATCAATGAATTTCATAGCACTTGTCACTTTTTTTCATGCTGTATAATGTATATTAAGATATTGCTTATTGTCTGTCTCCCTTCAATAGAATGTAAGCTCCATGTGGGCCAGGATGTGTAGTCATTGATGTATCCCTAGAATAAGTGCCCAATTATAGTAGTCATTTGATGGACATTTATTAAATGAAATTATGAATGAAGTAGGGATTGGCAGTTATACACTAAGACTCTGGAAAAATGGCCTGAGTTGAATCCTGGCTTTACCATTCTTGGCTATATAATCTCATATTATTTACTTTCAGCCTTTCATTTCCCAGATGCCCCTACCTTCTAGGGTTGTTGGGAGGATGGAATGCATAATACATGTAAACCAGCAAGTTCATAGTAACAAAAGTTGACTTTTTAAAAAGTTAACTTACTCTTCTTTCCTATATATGTGTAAATCATATTTTATTTTCTCATTTTAAAAAGAAGACAATAACTAAAGGTATTAGCACATAATGATTCAAAACATAATATTTCCACATGTCGAGTTGAATGACTTTGAGCCAGATAATATGAGTTGAAATCAGTTTAACAATAATTAAATCAGCCAAGAGCAGTGTCTCATGCCTGTAATCTCAGCACTTTGGGAGGCTGAGGCAGGTGGATCACTTGAGCTCAGGAGTTTGAGACCAGCCTGAGCAACGTGGTGAAACCCCATCTCTACAAAAAATACAACAACAAAAAATTAGCCAGGTGTGGTGGCTCATGTCTGTAGTCCCAGCTACTTGGGGGGCTGAGGCAGGAGGATCACTTGAGCCCAGGAGGTCAAGGCTGCAGCGAACTGTGTTTGTACCACTGCACTTCAGCCTGGACGACACAGACCATGTCTCAAAAAGAAAAAAAATAGAATAAAATCAAATACACACCATTTTTGAATATGTCACCAGTCTGTGTAGTTCATCTTGAAAGGACTTCAAGGTCCAATATGCATCATGCAGAGAGTTGCTAGGGCCCAGACAAGAGTGACTTGACCATTGGCCTGAGTAGTTAAACTATCAGATAACTAGTGAAACAATTCGGCTATTTCAACAAACATGTTGCATACATAACGTGTTATGCACAGAGATGACATTTGGTATAATATTATGGCAATAAAAGGTGCAGTTCCTGCCTTGGGGAAGCAATTGTAATATACTGTGAGGAGCTAAGAGTAAAGAAGGGGCCCTTGTAAATGAGGGGTGGGTCAGTAGGGTAGCAGTTGGCAGAAGACTCACACTGGAATAAATGCTCCTTGACTCGATATTTTTTTTTTTTCAAAAATGCAGAAGCATTATTGAAGCCCGGATGTTTGGGTTCTATGATAAATAAAAGATATGGATTTGAGCTGCTCATTAAATTTTGAAAGAAAAGATCCTAAAAGGTTAGAGACCATGGAGATTTCAAAGTGGCTGACCTTGATTAGATATAAGTGTAAGTCAGATGGGTATTCCTGGGGGGTCCCGACTTTAATACAATTTGAAAGTTTCATGATTATGAGCACCTCTCTGTGCCTCCTTGGTGGAGAGCTGACCTATGAGTAGTTACTGTGTGAATTAATGAACATCCTTCAGCAAAAGTTATTAATAGTAATGTTTGGTAAAAGTCCTTTAGAAGTAGACTGTTATGTGTGTTACTAGTTATAATCAATTAATAACCTGTGATTTGTAGGAGCAAATGGTCATAGGGATACAGTATACATTTTAATCTTGCTCTTCAAACATCACCGTAGATCCATGGTCCTTCTCAAGACATTGGCTTTGTTCTGAAGCAGCTCCCACGCTCTTCCAGAAATCTCTATGCGGGACTCTGAATGTGGTCAAGAAGAAGATGTACTGGATGCACATTCCCTATCAGGAGTCTCTTAATAGTCTCCCACCCAGTTACAACATATTGCTGTAATCCCACACAACAGCTGAAACATCTTTTCTTCATTTCTTTTAATTCCTGTA
Organism: Homo sapiens; assembly: GCF_000001405.40. NCBI lineage: Eukaryota > Metazoa > Chordata > Mammalia > Primates > Hominidae > Homo > Homo sapiens. The sequence goes on along the minus strand of NC_000005.10, from coordinate 59,694,525 downwards.
GCATTTGATGTCTCCACCGTGTAATTTACATTTAATTGTAAGTTGTTTTGCATCATTTAATAGTTGTTTCAAGTATGAATGTCTTGCCTTCCCAAGAAGATTAAAATAAGATTCCTTTAAGAACAGAGGCTCACTGCGCAGTGCCAGACATAGACATAGAGTAAACCACAACTACTGACTTCACTTCAAGCTGACCTAACCATCTTCCCAGCGAAGACGGCCAACCTGGTGTATAACTCATTCTTCTGATCTGCACTTACTTTATAGAGGAATAAATACACTGAGTTATTGGGAGTTTGTGAAGGAAGTGACTAGAATTTCAATAAAATAATAAAGTTTTGTTTTGTTTCATTTCGTTTGAAAAGAAACTGCTGCATGGCCAAGATATTTGAAAATGGAGGCTGGGATTGGACAGGGGTGAAGAATTGTGTCACAGACTTTGTACTGGAAAAATGTCTGCCTTAATCTAGTGAATAAATATGACTGTTCTTTGAAGTCCTTTTTTTCCTCCCCGAGTATAAATTCAAATGCTATTCATTTTCTGAGTTGCCTGTATTTCTTTAGCCCTTAAGGCATCAACCTTTGATGTCTTATTTTCATAATATTTTCTCTCTTAGAACTGATCCACATATTCAGTAGAATGGAGGTATAAATCCTAATCCATAGACTACTCCGAGCTTATTGAAAGTGAATCTTATTTAGATTCTTTCCTTTATCTGCTCACTGACAGATCTAATGTTAAACAGAACCTTATTATCATCACAAGGAAGTAGATTAAAAAATACTTTTCAGTCATTCGTATTCAACAAGTACACTCCATCAAATCTTGCCTAACTTTTTTTGCAAATAACTTTGCTCCTTGGATCCTCTCCCAGGTCTTTATCAAAATGGAACCACATACATTTGTAACTACCTCATAATTAAAGTTTTGAGTCATTAAGTTCAGTTATCTTTAAGGGTAAACATTGAATTTGCTGTAAAAGTTCCATTTGTTTCACTAAAATTCGCAAATAGTTGTGATTTTCTTTGCAGATCTGTCCAGTTTGATCTTGAAACAAAACTGCTTAAAACTTTATCAGCCTTCCTTCTTTTTGGCTTAGCTTTAATAACCACTTTTAATATATAACTCAGATCTATAAATAATACTGAGAAAAGCAGTGGAAAACATTGCAGGTATAAAGACTTTTCATGTTGACTATTTTTGGTAAAGATTCTGGACATTTGAGTGAAGTCTCTCATGTTTTATTGGTTTATTTTACTCTGGCACCGCTTATGAAAAAGGGGACTTGAATTACTAGAGGGTAATTTTCTTTCTTTATTTTATTTATATATTTTTTACTATTTTTTTCCTTCAGTTATGTTGTTTATTCAAAACTTGAAAACATATACAATTTCAGGGTCTTCTAGAGTATATTTACATCATTCTGATGAACAACTTTATAATTTTTAAATTAGCAAATATTCTCAACCCTGTCAGCTTTAATATTATAATTAATGTGCACAAATCTGAAAACTTTTCTTGCTCATACTATAATACATTAAATAGACCTTAGCAAACAACTTCTTATTTGAATACTTGTCTGTCCCTGTCACTCTTCTCATACTTTAGCCTCATAACTTTGGTTATAATTATGTAAATGGTTAATATTCATGTTCTCATTGCAAAATGAAAAGTGAGGAAGAGAAATTAAGCCATTTGCCTAAGGTCACAAGTCTGGTAAAATCAACAGAGGCACTCAGAATACCTCCAAAATCATTTCCATGATGCCAGAACCTTTAAATGCTACAGAAACAAGCTAAAGCGATGCATTTAAATGTGCTTCTATGTAGGGCTTGAGCTGTATCTAAACTTAAATTAGAGCTCAGCCAACATAGAATCTAGTTCAGCAATACTCTACAACATGAGATAACCATACTGATGTTTGATATAAAATGAGATTGCAGAGGAAACACATTTTAATACCTGAGGTGTGTGCTTAATCTTCTTGATGTATATTAAAAGCTCAGTACGTGAGAGTAATATGAGGTGATGGGGTTTACTCTTAAAGAGATTACTAATAATGTTTATTTGGAAAAAGATGAAGATTTTAGAGGCTATTTAAGAAACTGGTTCTGGGAAAACCAGCCATAACTTAAGAGTTCTTCTTTCACCCAATCCCCTTGGAATTCTGCTTTGCTATAGAACCATGGTCAAACCAAGGCAAGCAGCACAAATTACATGAACAAAGAATACAACAATAAAAAGCGGATCCTTAAGACCCTCCCAAGAAGACCAAGAGCTCTCTCTTTAAAACTCTGTAAAATACCTAGGTTCTCAAGTCTTCCTATGTCTTATTTCTTAACTAATTGCACTATCAATTCAAAAATGGAACAAAGGATATTCTACGTATCAGAACCTTTTTTCCTATACATTAAGAAGAACTTTTCCCACATGAATAGGTAATATCACAGTCTAAAGCCAGAGGATGAAACCTATGAATTCTTCCTATCATATATTTTAACAAGAAACGTAAATATCTATGACCTACTTATAGCCAATTTATATTTTGCCCAGGTTGTTTTGTTTCTAAACTTACCCCTCATATGGCTTAATAATGAAGGCCATAAATGTGCCTCTTTCCTATCTCACCCCTATGACTTGACATGTATTATAAAATGAACTTCCTATATAAAATAATATTTATTGAATGAAAGGAAAGTATTACATACAACTTTCATTATTATATTATTAAGCTTATTTTTTGCACATCATGGCTAGATCATCTTAAAATAGTTTGGCTCTGTCTCTTTTCCCATTTTTTTTTTTATTATACTTTAAGTTCTAGGGTACGTGAGCACAACGTGAAGGTTCGTTACATATGTATACATGTGCCATGTTGGTGTGCTGCACCCGTTAACTTGTCATTTACATTACGTATATCTACTAATGCTATCCCTCCCCCCTCCCCCCACTCCATGACAGACCCCGGTGTGTGGTGTTCCCCACCCTGTGTCCAAGTGTTCTCATTGTTCAATTCCCACCTATGATTGAGAACATGCAGTGTTTGGTTTTCTGTCCTTGCAATAGTTTGCTCAGAATGATGGTTTCCAGCTTCATCCATGTCCCTACAAAGGACATGAACTCATCATTTTTTATGGCTGCATAGTATTCCATGGTGTATATGTGCCACATTTTCTTAATCCAGTCTATCATTGATGGACATTTGGGTTGGTTCCAAGTCTTTGCTATTGTGAATAGTGCTGCAATAAACATACATGTGCATGTGTCTTATAGCAGCATGATTTATAATCCTTTGGGTATATACCCAGTAATGGGATGGCTGGGTCAAATAGTATTTCTAGTTCAAGATCCTTGAGGAATCGCCACACTGTCTTCCACAATGGTTGAACTAGTTTACAGTCCCACCAACAGTGTAAAACTGTTCCTATTTCTCCACATCCTCTCTAGCACCTGTTGTTTCCTTACTTTTTAATGATTGCCATTTTAACTGGTGTGAGATGATATCTCATTGTGGTTTTGATTTGCATTTCTCTGATGGCCAAGTGATGATGAGCATTTTTTCATGTGTCTGTTGGCTGCATAAATGTCTTCTTTTGAGAAGTGTCTGTTCATATCCTTTGCCCACTTTTTGATGTGGTTGTTTGATTTTTTCTTGTAAATTTGTTTAAGTTATTTGTAGATTCTGTGTATTAGCTCTTTCTCAGATGGGTAGATTATAAAAATTTTCTCCCATTCTGTAGGTTGCCTGTTCACTCCAATGGTAGTTTCTTCTGCTGTGCAGAAGCTCTTTAGTTTAATTAGATCTCATTTGTCAATTTTGGCTTTTGTTGCCATTGCTTTTGGTGTTTTAGTCATGAAGTCCTTGCCTGTGCCTATGTCCTGAATGGTATTGCCTAGGTTTTCTTGTAGGGTTTTTATGGTTTTAGGTCTAACATTTAAGTTTTTAATCCATCTTGAATTAATTTTTGTATAAGGTGTACGGAAGAGATCCAGTTTCAGCTTTCTACATGTGGCTAGCCAGTATTTCCAGCACAATTTATTAAATAGGGAATCCTTTCCCCATTTCTTATTGTTGTCAGGTTTGTCAAAGATCAGATGGTTGAAGATGTGTAGTATTATTTCTGAGGGCTCTATTCTGTTCCATTAGTCTATATCTCTGTTTTGGTACCAGTACCATGCTGTTTTGGTTACTGTAGCCTTGTAGTATAGTTTGAAGTCAGGCAGCGTGATGCCTCCAGCTTTGTTCTTTTGGCTTAGGATTGTCTTGGCAATGCGGGCTCTTTTTTGGTTCCACATAAACTTTAAAGTAGTTTTTTTCCAATTCTGTGAAGAAAGTCATTGGTAGCTTGATGGGGATGGCACTGAATCTATAAATTACCTTGGGCAGTGTGGCCATTTTCATGATATTGATTCTTCCTATCTATGAGCATGGAATGTTCTTCCATTTGTTTGTGTCCTCTTTTATTTCATTGAGCAGTGGTTTGTAATTCTCCTTGAAGAGGTCCTTCACATCCCTTGTAAGTTGGATTCCTAGGTGTTTTATTCTCTTTGAAGCAATTGTGAATTGGAGTTCACTTCGGATTTGGCTGTTTGTCTGTTATTGGTGTATAGGAATGCTTGTGATTTTTGCACATTGATTTTGTATCCTGAGACTTTGCTGAAGTTGCTTATCAGATTAAGGAGATTTTGGGCTGAGACGATGGGGTTTTCTAAATATACAATCATGTCATCTGCAAACAGGGAGAATTTGACTTCCTCTTTTCCTAATTGAATACCCTTTATTTCTTTCTCCTGCCTGATTGCCCTGGCCAGAACTTCCAATACTATGTTGAATAGGAGTGGTGAGAAAGGGCATCCCTGTCTTGTGCCAGGTTTCAAAGGGAATGCTTCTAGCTTTTGCCCATTCAGTATGATATTGGCTGTGGGTTTGTCATAAATAGCTCTTATTATTTTGAGATACATCCCATCAATGCCTAGTTTATTGAGAGTTTTTAGCATGAAGGGTTGTTGAATTTTGTCAAACGCCTTTTCTGCATCTATTGAGAGAATCATGTGGCTTTTGTCTTTGGTTCTGTTTATATGCTGGATTACATTTATTGATTTGCATATGTTGAACCAGCCTTGCATCCCAGGGATGAAGCCCACTTGATCATGGTGGATAAGCTTTTTGATGTGCTGCTGGCTTCGGTTTGCCAGTATTTTATTAAGGATATTTGCATCAATGTTCATCAGGGATATTGGTCTAAAATTCTCTTTTTTTGTTGTGTCTCTGCCAGGCTTTGGTATCAGGATAATGCTGGCCTTATAAAATGAGTTAGGGAGGATTCCCTCTTTTTCTATCGATTGGAATAGTTTCAGAAGGAATGTTACCAGCTCCTTTTTGTATCTCTGGTAGAATTCGGCTGTGAATCCCTCTGGTCCTGGACTTTTTTTGGTTGGTAGGCTATTAATTATTGCCTCAATTTCAGAGCCTGTTATTGGTCTATTGAGGGATTCAACTTCTTCCTGGTTTAGTCTTGGGAGGGTGTATGTGTCCAGGAATTCATCCATTTCTTCTAGATTTTCTAGTTTATTTGCATAGAGGTGTTTATAGTATTCTCTGATAGTAGTTTGTATTTCTGTGGGATCAGTGGTGATATCACCTTTATCATTTTTTATTGCGTCTATTTGATTCTTCTCCCTTTCTTCTTTATTAGTCTTGCTAGTGGTCCGTCAATTTTGTTGATCTTTTCAAAATACCAGCTCCTGGATTCATTGATTTTTTGAAGGGTTTTTTTGTGTCTCTATCTCCTTCAGTTCTGCTCTGATCTTAGTTATTTCTTGCCTTCTGTTAGCTTTTGAATGCGTTTGCTCTTGCTTCTCTAGTTCTTTTAATTGTGCTGTTAGGGTGTCAATTTTAGATCTTTCCTGCTTTCTCTTGTGGGAATTTAGTGCTATAAATTTCCCTCTACACACTGCTTTAAATATGTCCCAGAGATTCTGGTATGTTGTGTCTTTGTTCTCATTGGTTTCAAAGAACATCTTTATTTCTGCCTTCATTTCGTTATGTACCCAGTAGTCATTCAGGAGCAGGTTGTTCAGTTTCCATGTAGTTGAGCGGTTTTGAGTGAGTTTCTTAATCCTGAATTCTAGTTTGATTGCACTGTGGTCTGAGAGACAGACTGTTGTAATTTCTGTTCTTTAACATTTGCTGAGGAGTGCTTTACTTCCAACTATATGGTCAATTTTGGAATAAGTGCAATGTGATGTTGAGAAGAATGTATATTCTGTTGATTTGTGGTGGAGAGTTCTGTAGATGTCTATTAGGTCCACTTGGTGCAGAGCTGAGTTCAATTCCTGGATAACCTTGTTAACTTTCTGTCTCGTTGATCTATCCGATGTTGACAGTGGGGTGTTACAGTCTCTCTTTATTATTGTGTGGGAGTCTAAGTCTCTTTGTAAGTCTCTAAGGGCTTGCTTTATGAATCTGGGTGCTCCTGTATTGGGTGCATATATATTTAGGATAGTTAGCTCTTCTTGTTGAATTGATCCCTTTACCATTACGTAATGGCCTTCTTTGTCTCTTTTGATCTTTGTTGGTTTAAAGTCTGTTTTATCAGAGACTAGGATTGCAACCCCACCTTTTTTTTGTTTTCCATGTGCTTGGTAGATCTTCCTTCCTCCCTTTATTTTGAGCCTGTGTGTGTCTCTGCACGTGAGATGGGTCTCCTGAATACAGCACAGTGGTGGGTCTTGACTCTTTATCCAATTTGCCAGTTAGCATCTTTTAATTGGAGCATTTAGCCCATTTACATTTAAGGTTAATATTGTTATGTGTGAATTTGATCCTGTCATTATGATGTTAGCTGGTTATTTTGCTCATTAGTTGATGCAGTCTCTTCCTAGCATCGATGGTCTTTACAATTTGGCATGTTTTTGCAGTGGTTGGTACTGGTTGTTCCTTTCCATGTTTAGCACTTCCTTCAGGAGCTCTTCTAGGCCTGGTGGTGACAAAATCTCTCAGCATTTGCTTGTCTGTAAAGGATTTTATTTCTCCTTCACTTATGAAACTTAGTTTGGCTGGATATGAAATTCTGGGTTGAAAATTCTTTAAGAATGTTGAATATTGGCCCCCACTCTCTTCTGGTTTGTAGAGTTTCTGCCGAGGGATCAGCTGTTAGTCTGATGGGCTTCCCTTTGTGGGTAACCCGACCTTTCTCTCTGGCTGCCCTTAACATTTTTTCCTTCATTTCAACTTTAGTGAATCTGAAAATTATGTGTCTTGGAGTTGCTCTTCTCGAGGAGTATCTTTGTGGCATTCTACTAGAGGGTAATTTTCTTTTAGGGTGTTATAATTATTTTAAAAATTGATTCATTGGAATATGTTATCAATGTCAAAACATGAGATAACTTGATGATTATCTCTTTATGAATTTGAGGTGCTGAGTATTTCTTGTTTTTCAATTACAGCATTCTTTCAAATAGCCAGTCTCATGTTTCTATTTCTCTCTTAGCTGCTTCTTTCTTTAATATTTTGTTGCTAATGAGAACCTCTACCAAAATGAGTAACCAAAGGGCTGAAGAAAGTTGAACTGTTAAATGGTGTTTGTTAATTGCTTCTTCAATTACAGAAGGATTTTATATGTTGAGTAACATGCCATTTGAAGATTTGACAATTCCATCCTCTCCTTGGTAACTCCCCAGTCATTTGGTCTAGATTGATCCATCATCTTTCTCACTTAAGAGCATTTAGTTCTCACCTTCAAATAATCAGCAGATTAAAATAGTGGTACATAGTCATCTGTAGGAAGAAAGAAATAAGCTGTACAGTAGAGTGCTCTGTGGGTAAATATTTGTTGTGTTGAGATATAACCTGTGTATATTTATTAAATATCAGTGACATTTCTTTGCTTATTCTTTCATTCACTCAACAGATATTATTGAACAGCTGCTGTGTACTAGGCATTGTTCATTTTCCCAAATTCTAAAATTGTGATCATTTCTATTTTTAAAATGTATTATTTAACAAAGTACTGGTAATGATATATATCTTTATTTCCCAGTGGGTTTTGGCAATATAGCATAAAGATCATGAAAGTGGGCTCTAGAATCTGAGAGCCTGTGAAAACTTCAGCTCCAACACTTTCTAGTTGTGTGAGCGACTTTAGGCAAGTTAATGAACTTCCCTAAGCTCATTTACTTCATCTTTACAATAGGTATAATAATAGTACTTACCTCATGTCCACTATCTAAAGAGTAAATGGGAAAATATGCAAAGCATATTGCACTGGGCTTGGCAGGCAAGTAATCCCTCAATAGATGTTAAATTTGCTGCTGTTATTAAATCATAGTTCTTGCTTAGTTGATTGTTATAATCTTTTTCAGTATTTATTGAACAAATACCTATGAAGTGTACTCAGAGTAAACTTGGACAGTGAGAGACACCACCATCTGGCCTGTTGTGTCATAAACAAAAGCCTTAAAACTGGGTCTTGGCAATGGTGAGGGGAACAGATGCTCTAACTGCCTTCTAGAATGTGTTTTTCACTATGTGTCTAAGCTGCGATGAATGTCACTAATGTCATCTCTCTTTCTATTTTAGGTAAGTACATCACCATTTTTGAAACTCTGTGCAGATGGGTAAGTCTTGCTGCTGGAACTTTTCCTGTTGATTTGCATACTTGGAGGATCTGGATCAGACAGTGTGCTTATCGTGGTCAGAAAATGCCTTTATTTTATTCAAGCAGAGATCTGGAAAGGTAACAGAATTTCCCACACATGCTTTCCATCTCTGTTTCAAATCTTTGGCAGAAAAAAAAAATCTGTTATTTTTAATTAGATAAAATGCTATGTTAAATAATTGAAGATTTAATTTCTTACTCTGTCAATAGAAGGCAGAGTAGTTTAAAAGACTTGAGAAAAGAAAAACAATTGTTTGCTTCCTATTAGAAATCACAAAATCCTCTCTGAAGTAAACATACAAATCTTTGTTTTTCTGCTTTCAAACAGGGAAAATTTTTTCAGTGCCTAACAAACAGGTGTTTCATGATTAGATTATTAATGAGAAATAATTTTGTATCAAATAGAAAAAGTGACAAATGGCCCTGCAAGACCATGTGTGCATAATATTGTAGAAGGAATTCCTGTTATGACTAAGAGTTGATGTAGTTAATTTAGTATGTCTAAAGTTGGCTGTAATCTATCACCACAGAAGAGCTGGAAGAAATGATCTTAAATCACAAAGGATTTAGTAAAGACCTACGTGAGCTGTGAAAGATGATTAAACTATGAAATAGTTCTCAAAAGGAAGTTATAAATTCCTTGCCACTTGTGAAATCTAAAAACTACATAGACAGTTATGTTCGTATTAGAAAATAAAGATTTATCCTGCCTTGGCACAATGTATTGAATTGGCATGTTGTTCTCAGTAACAAAGTCCCAATTTGCTTCATCAGCTTTAATTCCCTATTTACTCCATACATACTCTATACTCTATGTGTTAGTCTGAGTCTTGCAAGAAGCCCATGCCAAAATGGGATTAGAAATGCAAGAATTTTAGGAAATGCCCTTGTAGAGGAATATAAGGAGGGAGCCAGTTAAGGCTGAGGGAAACGTCAAAGCATGATCCAAGTTTGACTCTGAGTAAAGAAGGGAGAGAGAATTGGTGAGAGCATCCTTGATTGGGCTAGCCAAAGGCATATGGGAGTCCTCAAGCCAAAATCAGCCATCAGAGGAATCCTGTTTCCCAGGAATGTGTCTGCCACAACATGCCCTCTGTGCTCAGTAAATACCAGGAAGCAGGGCATGGGAGGTATGGCCTTAGCTAAAATGTTGCAGTGAATTTCAGAGGCATCAGTTGGGGCCCTTTGCTGGTTATAGTTCCTATAGTTGGAGGTCTGCAGCATATCCTCACGGCCCCACACAGAGACTGTTAGATCTTGGTTCTTTCTGTTTCTTATTTTCTATTACAATGCCTTCTATCTCCACATCTTACTCATTCTTCATGCCCAAATCAGTTACCACTTCCTTCATGAAGGTTACTCTGTACAACCTAGTGGCTAATAATTACCATTCTCTTTTGTAATTCAAAAATTCTTGTATTTTTCTGTGATATTTATTGTTTTTTGTTATCCATTTATTCAAAAAAATGGTATCGAGAGCTGCATTTGTGCTAGCCACTTTTCTATGCTCTGTGGGGGAGAGGATCAGAAAAAAATGATAAAACATGACAGTCTAATGGAAAAGATAATACTGTAGAATACATTAAAATATGACAGAAATGTTTGAAGTATGAGCAAAAGATATGAGGAGACAGAAGAAGGAAGAATAACCTTTTGGGAAAGAAGGGAGGGCAGTGCTCAGGGAGGGATGGAGGATTTAAAGCAGGACTTGACATTGAGTTTTGTCTTGGAGGGTGACTAGCTCGTTAGGAGTTGACAGTTGAATAGGCATCATTTTCAAGTTCATGGTTATATGAAGGAGCATAGAAAAGGTTTGTAGTACAGAGAGCCTTGCATGTCATAGGGAATTTATGGGATTACGGTCAAAGAGAAATCTGCAAAATTGGCCTAAAGCCAGATTATATGGGGCATCGGGTCTTGGCAAGTAGTTTGGACTTTATTCTATGAGCCCAATCCAATTCAGAACATCTCAGAGTCATGTGGGCCAGGCTGAATGACAAAAATATTGATGTATATAATTCTGTTATGGCATACTAAAATGGTATGATTCTACCAAACAAAAAAGATGGTGATACTATATATTTAAATATGTTGTCTATATCTAAAAACTACTAATAAATTACAATGAAGAAATCACATTTTGATAAAAGAAGATAAAAATATAGGGCATAAGGCCAAAATGTAATGGAACGATTTAGCAGACTCTTAATCTCAGGTGTGAGATTTGTCACGAATAGCTATTTTCTGCTCGATATATATTTACTTTCTGTACAGTGTGGTTATAAAGACATAACTGAAAAATCTAGTTGTCCTCGAAATATGTAAGGTATCAAAAAGCAGGATTTTATGCTGAGTGTGCTTTATAATATTTGGAAAATAGTTATAACTAGTTGAAGCATTCACCAGAATGTCACTTGACAATTCTAACTTTAAATATCTATAAGCCATAAAGTTAATATATTATATTGATTTTGATTTTTAATTTGATGTAATTTCAGATTTACTGTAAAGTGGCAAGAATAGCACAAGGAATTCCCAGATACCCCTCACCAATATCCCCCAAATGTTAACATTTTACTACATTTACTTTATTCAATCTCTGTCTCTCATATCTACCTTTCTGTCTATCTAATCATCTATGTATCCGTCTACCCATACACACGTTTCCTTATTGATACACATTAAGAGCAAGTTGCAGACATGATACTCCTTTGCTTCTAAATACTTAAATAATTCCTAAAAACATGGAATTATCATACATAGGTACAGTTCAGTGGTTAAAATTAGCAAATTAACATGGATAAAATGTTGTTATCTAATCTACAGACTTTATTCTAAATTTCAATAATTGTCCCAATAATGTTCTGTGTAGCCAATGAAATTACAAAATCATGCTTTTCAATCAGTTGTCATGTCTCTTTAATATCCTTTAAACTGGAGCAGTTTCTGAGTCTTCGTGAAAGACTATTTCATGACATTTATATTTTTGGAGAATTACATGCCAATTGTTTTGTACACTCTCTTGATTTATTTGGGCTGCTATAACAAACTACCATAGTCTTCATGGTTTATAAACAACAGAAATTTATTTCTCATGGTTCTGAAGGCTGAGAAATCCCATGATCTGTGCTAAGCAGATTTTCTGTCTGGTGAGGATCAGCTTTCTAGCTCATAAATAGCTGTCTCCTTGCTGTGTTTTTACATGGCAGAAAGGAAGAGAGAGTTCTCTGGGGTCTCTTTTATAAGGGCATTAATCCCATTCATGAGGGCTCTGTCCCCATAATCTCATCACTTCCAAAAGGCCACACCTGTAAATACCATCATATTGCTGATTAAGTTTCAACATATGAATTTGGAGGCAACGTAAACATTCAGTCTAAAGCATAGACTATCTTTCAATTTGAGTTTATTTTGTGTTTCCTGGGGATGATAGTCAGGTCATACAACTTGGGCAGGAATATCACAGTAGGGATGCTAACTCCTTATATCCAGAGGTAGATGCTGTTGTTTAGTACCATTACTGACAAATTTAGCTTTGATCATTTAGTTCAAGTGGTGCCTACCAGATTTCTCCACTGTAAAGTTACTATTTTCCTCCTTTGTAATTAAAAAGCATTTTGTACCATGATAATATGAGAGCATGTAAATATGCTGTTATTCCTCAATTTCTTACCCAATAGCTTTGGAATCCGTTGGTGATTCCTGTCTAAATCAGTTACTTGTGTTATTATGATGGTTGCTGTTTTCATTGGTTTAATGCTGCTGTAACAGATACCACAAACTGGGTAATTTATAATGAATAGAATTTATTTGGCTCATGGTTCTGGAGGCTGAGAAGTTCAGGATCAAGGGGCTGCATCTGGTGCAGTCCTTTTTCCTGCTGCATCATGACATGATGAAAGGTATCACATGGGCAAGAAATAGGGAGAAGGGGGCCAAACTCATTTTTTTTTTTTTTTTTTTTGAGACAGAGTCTCGCTCTGTCACCCAGGCTGGAGTGCAGTGACTCCGCCTCGGCTCACTGCAACCTCCACCTCCCGGGTTCGCCATTCTCCTGCCTCAGTTTCCCGAGTAGCTGGGACTACAGGCACCCACCACCACGCCCGGCTAATTTTTTGTATTTTGTTTAGTAGAGACGGGGTTTCACCGTGTTAGCCAGGACGGTCTCCATCTGCTGACCTCGTGAGCCACCCACCTTAGCCTCCCAAAGTGCTGGGATTACAGGCCTTAGCCACCGCACCTGGCCCAAACTCATTCTTTTATAAGGAACCTACTCCTATGATAACAGATAAAGTAATCCATTCATGAAGGGAATGCTCTCATGATCTAATCATCTCTTAAATGTCCCAACTCTTAACACTGTTGCGTTTTGGTCTAAGCTTCCAAGATGTGAACTTTGGGAGACATATTCAAACCATAGTGGTTTGCTAAGGGGAAATCTTGTAATTTCATCATTTCTTCCTCTTTTATTAGTTGGCTTTCTATTATGCATAAAAATGTTTCTTCGTGCTTGTTTCTGTGTGGAGTCATGAATTCTTTATTTAGCAGGTTGTTATCCTTTAATATTGTTGGTTAATATCATTATTTATCTTAATCCTCATACTGTCCTGGATTTGGACAGTACAAGGTACTTCTAGTTGACTCCCTTGTCATTTTAACACGTTACTATCATTCTTTGAGTACTTTTTTACTTTTTGGTTTTAGATATGAGACTCTTGTTCTTTTATCCAAGCCTTGGAATCAGCTACTTTTATAGGGCTCTCTGTTTCCTTTCAGTAAAGAATGGTTTTTAGAAATCAAAATTTGGAGAGTAGGTGTGCTTTTGCTTCTAGGTCCTTTTAGTAGACATATCTAGGGGGAAAGTGTATGTATGTACATACTCATATATAAATGTGTGCATATATATGCATACCCACACATACCTATATCCATGGGTATATTCAGATATTTGTATACATTAAACCTAGGATTTCACAATGATAATCCATCATTGCAGTGCTCATTCTGTTCTTCTCCATTTTCGTATCTGTAACTCTGTGAGAAGTTACGGTGAGAAGCCTGGCTCCCATTATTCACAATATATTATATATTGCATAGGATTTTCTTACCTGTGGAATGTGGTTTCAAAAATTACTTTCAGAATTACCCACTCACGCCTCTATGGAAAAAGAGAAGTAAGGCAAAGAAAAGTATTTCAGTAAGTAGACTTTTAGCATTATTTATGTTTTATATGCCTAATTCTGTACTCAAAATTCACTTGGTTAGTTCTTTTCTCACAGCCACTTCCACTCACTTCACGGTTCTGTTACTTATTTTAAATATGGATCAGTTAATTTGTTTTAATATATAAATTTGTTTTCATCTAGAGTTGAATCGATTAATCTGGAATGATATTTTCTGTTTCTATGTTTAAAATATCAACTAATAATTTCCTTTCCTTAATAATAAGAAATCTCTAGCACCATTTAAGACTCAGTTAACTGAGGTGTAGGTATCCATGTTTTCCTAGAGTATAGAGCTGTGATCTAAATCAGAAAATCTGAACAAGTTTGTCTTGGACCAAACTTCAGGATAATCTGGAAACAACGGGACAAATGTTAGTGCATGAGTATTTTCAAACATAGTTCTGAGTAAATTCCAAATGCATATGTGGGTTTGTGGCTCTTCATATCTGGTTATTTGTACATGATCACATCTTTATTGTAGATAATAAAAGTTGGGTATAAAAGCAATGCCATTAATTATGTATTTTTTATGCTTTTTGTTTCAAAAAAGGAATTAAGCAATCCTAACTTTAAAAATGGATAAAATGCCTATGTAAAGCTAAGTTAGAAACACAAATGTAAAAGTGTATTTCGTACTTGGAGTTAAGTTTAGGTCTTAAAATATTAATAGCTTCCTCAAAGATACAGCAAATAGAGAAACCTGATAATATTTATGTCTTGAGAGAAAATTATCTTTCTATAATTAATTATAAGACTTTTCATTAGGGTCTTTGTGTAAAGTAAAGCAATAATATGTTTAATAGTATTTTTATGTGAGTTACATACATGTACATTATTAATCATGAATAAATAGTGATGTTCTTATACTTAGTCTTGTTATAAGTCAAAATATTAAATCATTATTCCATGAAAGTCTTCATATAGTAATTTAAATCATTGTTAAGTCTGGTTACTTGATGTTGAGAAAGAGCTTAGTACACATAGTAGAATGACTTGCCAGCCTTGCCATTAGGTTATCTTTCTCATACATTACTTACCTTAAGTTGGCAGGAGCTTGATTACAGAAGATAACTGTCATTTATCTCTTTGTGTGGAGTGCATATATTGTGGGATGTCTATAGGAGTATTACCCAAAGGGTTTGTATTACAGAATTATAGTTAACAAAATCACTAGGAAATGTTTATGGAGGGAAGATAACCACAGATATATCTGATTACCTATTTGGAGGACTAGCAGTGGAATTTCTTGCTGTTTCTCATGTGGCCAAAACTAATAAAATAAAATAAATTTAGAAGAGTTTTGTTGTACCAAGATAATCCATATATTTCAGTTGGTATGGAAAAACATCTTTTCTTTCAGCCATTGTTACTATGACACTTAGACACTCTAGTCTACAAAATTATCCTAGGTTTAGCAATATTGGAATTAAATTTTATTGTTCCTTCCTGATTGCAGAGTTATAAAAATAAGGATTGAGTTATTATGAGAGGCCGATTGTGTAATACATATCATGAGTTAAAAGTAAACGTTGACTTTTATTATAATTGCCTTTTGCCACATGAGAGAAAATAAACTAAGTGAATAAGACTGTCTCTAAGTCTTCTCTGAGATTAATTTGACAATTTACTAGAAATAGAAAGATTGGTAATGCTCAGTCTAGGAAAGGGGTAAAGAAACAGGCACACATATATTACTTGAGAGATTGTAAATTTTGTACAGTTACAATGGTAACACTCCATGTCAAAATATGCATATAACAATGCCTCTTGTAGACATTTATCCTCAAGTAACAAGAAGTAGGCAAAGATTATTTTATGTATTTTGACCGTCAATGAGTTGATAATAGTAAAGGACTAGGGAGGGTTGGTGTTTAAAACAGGCCAGGTGCGGTGGCTCACACCTGTAATCCCAGCACTTTGGGAGGCCAAGGCGGATCACTTGAGGTCAGAAATTTAAGACCAGCCTGACCAACATGGTGAAACTCCATCTCTACTAAAAATACAGAAATATCCAGGCACTGTGGCAGGTGCCTATAATCCCAGCTACTCAGGCGCCTGAGGCAGGAGAAGTGCTTGAACCCCAGAGGTAGAGGTTGCAGTGAGCCGAAATGGTGCCACTGCACTCCAGCCTGGGTGACAGAGCCAGACTACATCTCAAAAACAAACAAAAAACTAAAACAGACTAAATTGTGGTACTTCCATATTTTTTTTAATGATAGAGATATTAGCATTGAAATTTGTCACAAAACTACACATAATGTAATTCTTTACACATTTTTAAGTATATGGGCTAAAGTATGAAACCAACTCTGAGTAATAGGATTATAAATATTCTTTATCTCCTTGTATTTATATTTATTTATACCTTAATTAAATTTTGAAATAATGTTGTTACTTTTACAATAAGAAGTTGTGAAAAACTATTACCATGAAAATAATCTAGCAAGAATTTGATTTAACATTGCTCATTTCTTGAAAGCAAGCCAAGACATTTTTTTTTACTCTTTTTGAGACTGAGTTTAAGGTATTTGATCAATTGTTAGAGGATGAGTTTATCATTTTAGTGCCTTGCTGATTTGTGCAGGCACCTCAGTTTTAAGTAATCATGGGATTATTTATTTGTTGATTTAGCATTTGTTCAGTACTTATGTGCTTAATAGCACTTGAACATACAAAGAGAAATGAGATTTTTGGTCCCCAAGAATTAAAAATTTAATGGAGGAGATAATCATAAACTTACAGAGAAGTATATGATAGGCTGTGTCAAAGTGGGAACAATGTAGACTAGGGAAATACAATGCTTCTCTTGGATGGGTCACACCTAGGAGGGGCCAAAGGGGACAACTCACTGGGTATTGGAATGATCTGGATCCCTGGATTACTTGGTTGGTGCTGGGCTGATTCGGAAACCCTTTCTATTTTCAACTCTTCTGCTAAACATCATTATAGTAACATCAGTACACATCCTGCTGTTACCAAGTGTCAGTGTTTGGTCAGTTTGAGTTTTACAGGCATATAGAACTGCCATTTTGTCATTTCTGTCTACATTGTACAAAAAAGTAATTTAACTGAGCTTTATAACTTATGATTTGGAGAACTCCACAGCTCCCGTTGTTCTTTCTCAAAAAATTATTTTCAGTGCAACTTAGCTTTCTGTGTATCTCCATTGCTCATCTGCCCTAGATGGTTCAGGTTGGTTGCTGTCTCTATTAGTGTGACAAGAGTTAATAAAATGATTAATTAAAAAGAGCCTTAAACGTCTACTTAGAAAACACTAGATAAATGCTAAGTAGGGTGCTTTTTGGTGGATCAAGAGAGTCCAGATCACTAATATATGGATGGCGTATAAATTAAATCACTGTGTAAGACTGCAAAATGTCAGAGAAACATTTTAATATGTTCCCCCCAGCATTTGCCTTTCTGTACATATGTCTTAGAATTATAATGCCTACATTTTAACTATGGTTTTCTGTGGGTATATATACAAATAGATAGCAACTGATTAAAAAAAAAGATCTCAACTTTTTTTTTTCAATTCACAAGATTGGAGTATTTGGAGATAGGGCTGTTTTTTCTCTTTTTTTCCTTTTAAAGCCATCCACATTTTCTTTTCTACTGCTTTCTCACTCAAAAAATGTAAGCTAGAAAAAGTTGATCTCATGGAAGTAAAAAGGAGAACAGAGATTACTAGAGGCTGGAAACAGTAGGGAGAAGGGGAGGATAGAGAAATATTTGTTAAGAATACGAAATGACAGCTAGATAGGAGGAATTAAGTGGTAGTGTTCTATAGCACTATAGTATGACTATAGTTAACAACGATATATTATATATTTTCAAATACTTAGAGGATATTGAATAGTCCCAAAGAAATGAAAAATGTTGGAACATATGCTAATACCCTGATCTGATCACTATGCATTGTATGTATTGAAACATCCCTACGTACAATTATTATGTATCAATTTAAAAAATATCTAAAAATATATGTGTACCTAAGTGTATACACCTTATATATCCTTTGATTTCCTTATGAAACACAGCATAGTTTGAGATTTAAAATGAATAAAATGGTTCTTTATGCTCTGTAAAATTAGAAAATCCTTCAGCTTTTAGAAGCTCTCTGTTGGTTTATTAGTTGATCACAAATTAATATGTCCCTTTGGTTTAATCTGTATCATAAAACAAAAGTTGACTGTTCCCAAACATGTGCTTGGATAAGAGAAAGCTGTTAATAAATATCTATTGACTGAATGAAAGTATAAATGAATAAATATTTTTAGCCCTTAGAAATATGTGAAAAATACCTAGAAAATATTAGACATACCAAGGTCAATGCTAAATGTAAAATGTATTTCTAAGAAAACTCTAAGTATGCAACCATATGGATTGATTAAAACTAGTTACTTAAAACCTCTTATGACTGTATTTTTCTTGTTTTTGAAAAATAAATGCAGTTTGCACTCTCCTTGCTTAGAACTTACGTATTCTATTTCACAAAAGTGCATGCTTGTGTTATTAAATGTGTGTGTGTGTGTGTGTGTATATACATATACATATATCTTGATCCCTAATCTCAGTTAGCTCCAAAGGTGTTCTAAATATATAAATGTTATAGGTCACAGTGTGATCTCTTAACACTATATTTTTTGGTTGAGTGTGGTGGCTCATGCCTGTAATCCCAGCACTTTGGGCGGCTGAGGTGGAAGGATAATTGGAGCCCAGGATTTTGAGATCAGCCAGGGCAACATAGTGAGACCCTGTCTCTACTGAAAATACAAAAAAATTATCCAGGTGTTGTGGCACGTGCCTGTAGTCCCTGCTACTTGGGAGGCTGAGGTGGGAGGATCTCTTGAGCCTGGGAGGTCGAGACTACAGTAAGCCAGGATTGCGCCACTGCACTCCAGCCTGGGTGACAGAGTGAGAGACCCTTTTTCAAAAAAGCCTACGTTTTTCACCAACACATTTCAAAATTACTTTTAAAATTATTATTGTTTTTAAAGATAGGTATGTGCCAAAATTAGAACTTTGGGTCCAAGAGCATCTCCACATTCACATAAAGAAACTTAAGTTCAGTAACTTGCTCAGGCTATAAAGTAGAAGAGTTAGGATTTGAACCCAGGTCAGAGGGCTCCAAAGCCCTTTCACTTTCCATCAAAAACATTTGATATTTTGCCAAAAATATCATGACTGTTTGTCCATTGCCATTTCATATCCTTCAAACAGCTATAAAGTGTGGAGAAATGATAACTTCATAACTCACGCTACAGCTCGCAGACACACTTAATTAGCTTAGGGACAAACAGTTGTGACATTATGAGTGGGAGTTGCAAGGCTGAGTTGAATGTACTGATGGGGATGTTGGTTAAAAACAAAAAGCCATTCTATTCTACATCGTGGCAATCTTTGTACTTCAAAAGTAGTAGTATTCTGAGACGTTTACTGTGTATTATAGATTTGAATCACAATTCAGCAATACTAGAGAAGGAGAAATCTACTTTTTCTAAATTTTCTCTACAGTGAAATAAAATGCTTTTGGAATATTTACTTGAGGAATGGGTTATCTGAATGTTCTCACTGAAACTCATTACACCGTATAGTGAAAATCTAGTTACAGGTAGTTGAAGTGTAGGTATAGATAGTATGTGATTCATAATGACGCATGTATGCCATGATTTACCTCAGTCACTGGACAGTAAGAATGTGATTAAGGAAGTTTCCTCTGCAACATTTCAAGATAAGTTAGCTGTTTTGAGCCACACAAATATTAAACTATGCATTGTGGCCAAGTGCCTATAATGCCAAAAGCACCTGTTTCAAATTGTGAGTAATATCTTATGTGTTACACTATTGAAATCTCCTTGTTACAGAATATTAATACTACCTATTGAAAAGAGTAAGAAATAAGAGTTTCTCATTTCCACCCTTTTGGATTTATTTCATCAAATGATGTGTTGATGAATAATGCCCTTTCTGTAAGATGGATAACTCATGGAAAGAAAGCCATTTGGACATGGATACTCAAGATTTTAAAGAATTTAGGAGGTGGCAGTGTGAATATCAAATAAGGTGCCACTTGTAGAGAGAGTATCTCAGAAAAGGAGCAGAGAATCATACAATAGAAAAGTGAAAAGCTGTTTCCTGTGGTAGATAGACTCTAAATAATGATTTTAGAGACAGACATAATAAATTAATTTATTGGTTCATTGAAGAAACATCCTGAGTTCCTATGACATGCTAGGCATTGTGCTGGTGGGGGCGAGGGTTGGGTGAGTAGTGGCGTATGGAGATGAAAAGATGCATCAGACATGGTCCTTGTCTTCATAGAACTTTCCACAGGGTAAAACTGGAAAAACCCTGCTGGGACAGAGTGGGCATCTATTCCGGCTTAGGCAAGCATATCTTATCCTATTGATATCTGTACAATATTATCCTTAAACTAGAAATACAATAATATGTTTTATTCTGACAATGAGGAATAATTTTCCATATTAAGGAATAGGTTAATCTCTAAATAGTATGCTATTTATTTTATCTTACTTTTTCCTCTGTGTTTTTAAATATTTAACAATTTAGGTAGCATCCTAGCAGGGCATCACTAGAGAAATAAAATGAAGCATTTTTAAGTAAATATATTTTACAGATCATTTGGAATTGTTTCAAAAACTTCATTAACTTTTAATGAACCAAAAATATAGTTCATTGGAATTAAATGTTCCATGTGAAGATATTTATTTCGGAAACTACATGACTAAACCAATGGTAAGTTGAAGTTAAAAAAGTGACCCCAAGAGAGGGACAATGTCATATTATTATTGTTATAACCCATATATGTTTAATAATGACCATGCAGGATGGTGCATATAGCAAATAACTAGGTAAAGTTTCTAGGAATTTTTATTCTATTTCTCTTCTTTCAATTCTAATGTATGGGCCAACTCATCATTTTAATACAGAGCTTTGAGAGAAAATGCATAAATGTAATTTTCTGTATGATCACTAGATGGCGCCATGCTTCCCTTAGAATGAAGCTGCTCAGGAATTTGCAAGTGCAGTTCTGAGTATTTCACATAGAAACCTGGAAGATGAGACAATTGTATTTCCCATAAGGTTTTGATTCACTAATATCATCAAAACAACAATTAGCACGTGTTACTTTGCATTCAAAAAGGGAGTAACGATTGGGTTTGTAAACAGTATATTGAAATAATCATTACTGAGGACAAAAGTGAAGCATGCCTCTAAGAGGTAATTCGGAAGGTCTCTTTTGCTTTCCAAAAACATACTAGTAACAAGGAAACATCTTATACTTGCTTGGAAAACTGGGTCCTAGTCAATGAGCTATGTCTTAAGGAATGGAAATACTGGCAAATGTGGTAAAGTTTACATAGCCATTTTCTGCAAACCAAGAAGATAAATTGCATTCTGCCTAGTCTTAGGCAAACAGTTGGGCCATTTACTGTTCCATCAAAAAAAGGATTGTCAGATCCCCAAAAGCACAAGGATGCATATAGAGTGTCCATTTAAACTTCCTGATCAAAGATATACACTCGTGAAGGTGGAGTGGAAGACTTCTTTATAGGAGTATGATTCATGTTTATAAAATTGGAGACACTTAGAAAGTTGAGTTAAAAGTGACTCAAAGGATATCTTTTCATTGCCCTTTTTATAGATGGAAAAACATGGATGTAGCTGTTTCATACAGCTAAGACACTAGTGCATCAAAACACAATACATTTGTGAGACATCTTGTTATGATTTCAAAGCAGTTTGTCAATAAATGTGTATGTTCAATGGTTACAGTTTGGGATGGTAAGACATCATCAGCTCAGAATAGTAACATCCTTCCCTTTATCTTTTTTATAGAACTTTAAACCTGGATGCAATTTTAAGATCATATGCATCATTTTTTCTATATGGTGATTACATTCTAGATAAATTAATTTGTGATACACTCTGGACTTTTTGTATTACATCAAGTTGAAGTTTCCTTTTGTGGACTTAGAAACAAAAAATTTGCAGTAATAAAAATGAAAAGAGATTATGCAAAAATAATTACTAATGACCATGTTTCTTAGGTGATGAATTTAATTGAGTGTTGGTATTTTAAGAATACGTGCATCAAGCAAATTATAATGTAACCAAATATCCAGAGATTTGAGGAGGAATATCAGGTTATTATCACATTTCAGAGCTGAATTTTTCTTCTTTGGTTCATTGACTGCATTGAATCTTTGTTTTGTGGGTGATATAAACTTTTTCATTTCATTCCTTGCTCTAGGAGTGACTCTGGGGAATCATTAGGTACATGCTTGTTGGTTTTCCATAATAATTATCTCTGAGCCCTAATGGTTTCTGGATTTGGCCTCTCTTCACTTTCTCCAACTTTAGGCAGGAGTTCAGAATGGCCTTCAGTTGCAAAGAGAAGTATAAATCCAACTTACCATCTAGTCTCTTTCTGTGTGGTCTTGGCAAATTTTTTAATCCTGGCTAGGCATGCTGTTACTGGCAGAAATGAGGTTCTGCCTCAACTTTAGCTCCAGCCCTGCCGTTAGCCTGAAGACTTTCCAAGATTTAGGGAGGGTCCATGAATATCTCATCTTCAAGAGTGTGCTATAGAGTTATCGAGCAACTCAGATCTTTTAAAAATCTTGAGTTTAGGAATCATACATTTAAATGTCAGTTCTCCTAGAAAATGAAGATTTTAATCCTTTAGAAAAAAATCTAGGGACAAGGAATTCTAGCATTTCCTAAAGATTCCATCATAAGTAGTGCTTTTAATGTAAAGGGTTTCTTTGAAAAAAATTATTTCTTTACTTTTTTTTTTTTTTTCCTTGAGACAGGGTCTCCCTTTGTCACCCAGGCTGGAGTGGAGTGGTATGATCATGGCTCCTGCAGCCTCTACTTGCTGGGCTCCAGTGATCCTCCCACCTCAGCCTCTCAAATAGCTGGGACTACGGGCTCACACCACCACACCTGTCTCATTTTTGTATTTTTTGTAGAGAAGGGGTTTGGACATGTTACCCAGGCTGGTCTTGAATTCTTGGGCTCAAGTAGTCCTTCTGCCTCCATCTCCCGAAGTGTTGGGATTACAGGTGTGAGTCGTCATGCCTGGCTGTAAAATTGTATTATATTTCTAATATGAAGAAATACTTGGTTTCTCTTTACTGTTTAGAAAGATAATTATCATGATTGTTTTCTTTATTAACTCCTATATGATACTTTGTATTTTTATCCCCTGCTACTCACCCCAAGCTTATTTTTATAATTAGAAAGGAATCAAGCTAGCCAAACAGGAGTTATCCTTCCTTAAGGTAGAGAAGTTACTATTTTTTTTCAAATGGCGATCTGCCTGCCTGAGTTGCTATTTGGATCTCTGATGATTTCTTCCTTTGATCCCCTAACTCAAAGCAGGCAATCAAGGCTATGCTGTTAGTTGTAACCAGATGGAAACCTGATCTCCATTTATACTTTGCCTCTTGTATTGATAACAGGACATGAACCAGGATAGATACACTAACAGTATTTGACTCTGCTGCAGTTGCCAGGCTAAATAACCAGAACTCATATCTCATTCTACTCTACCTATGGAAACACTCTGTATAATGAAAATGTGTGTTGAAAGTGTGTGGGTATATGTTGTGTGTATATGCATTAAAATTCTCATTAGCATGGGCTGGTTGTAATAGTGCATACCTGTTATCCCAACTACTTGGGATGCTGAGGCAGGAGGATCATTTGAACCCAGAGTTCAAGGCCAGCCTGGGTAACACAGCAAGACCGCCATCTATTTAAAAAAAAAAAGTAAAAACTCTCATGAGAATAATAATTAAAGTAGCTATGTTGATCATTGCAGTAATTAAACCAAAATATTAATACTCATACCTGATATAGTTTTTTCCACTTTATTATAATTACATTTCTCTCAAAAAATTTAAGAATTAGTATATGTTTAACATATACAGGTTGAATATCTCTTATTGTAAATGCCTGGGACCAGAAGTGTTTCAACCTTTGAATTTTTTTTTTGGATTTTGGAATACATGCATACACATAGTGAGATATCTTGGGGATAAGACCTTCATCTAAACACAAAATTTATTTATGTTTCGTATATACCTTATAAACATAGGCTGAAAATAATTGTATACAATATTTTAAAATGCTTTCGTACGTGAAACAAAGTTTTGGCTGTGTTTTGACTATGACTTGTCACATGAGGTCAGGTGTGGAATTTTCCACCTGTGACATCATGTCAGCACTCAAAAAGTTTTGGATTGTGGAACATTTTGCATTTTGGATTTTCAGATTAATGATGCTTAACCTACCTTGTGAAATAATGGAGTCCTTTATTAATAACAAAACAATAATAGATGATACTTACAGAGTACTTGTGTGTCAGGCTCTACTCTAAACATTTTATATGTATTAAACCAATTAATCTTCACAAAAACTCTGAATTAGATATATTATTATTATTTCCATATTTTAGAGGAGAAAACTGAGAAACAAGTAATCTAGTCTGTACTCTACCATAATGCTATGTTACATTCTATCAACACTCCCACTGCCTCTTCTGAATTCATTGATAGTGGTGTGGTGGCATAGAGTCCACAGAGTGGAGCATTAATTAATTTTGCATAATGTGAAAGTAAAACTTAAGAAAATTTTAAGGAATAGACAGTGTGCAGTGTTATGGAATCATAACTATACAATTAAGGGGTTAAATGAAATCATGCCCAAAATGCTGTGTTTTAAATGGTGGCACTGACTGATAAAATGTAGATTTGAGTTATTTATTGTTTCTACATTCTCAAGTGAAAAAGGAAGAAAGTAGGAATAAAATTCTGGACTATTGGGGGGGGTGTCTTTAGTCTTGCAAAAAGTAAAAAATAGAAATAGAAGAAAGTTTTTATGGTTCATATTGTAACATCAAAATATGGAATGAAAACTGTGGTCTCCCATGAAGTATTTCAGGTGCTGGAAGGAAATCTCCTAGACTAGGACTCTCAGCAAGTCCATGGTTCCTATTATGTCCAGCATGCCATAGAAAAACTCCAGAATTAGTTAAATTTTAATAATTTAATGGAGAAAACTAATTTTTCAAGGGGCAGCTAGTTAACTTCAGCATGAGTCAAAAAGCACTTCATCTGTCAATATTTATGTAAATATTTATTTTGAATTATACATTTATTTAGAGTATTTATTTACATTAGAATAGAGGGAACTAAGGCCGGGCACGGTGACTCATGCCTGTAATCCCAGCATTTTGGGAGGCCGAGGCGGACAGATAACCTGAGGTCGGGAGTTTGAGACCAGCATGACCAACATGGAGAACCATGTATCTACCAAAAATACAAAATTAGCCGGGTGTGGTGGCAGATGCCTGTAATCCCAGCTACTTTTGGGAGGCTGAGGCAGGAGAATTGCTTGAACCTGGGAGGTGGAGGTTGTGGTGAGCAGAGGTTGCAGTGAGCCAAGATCGTGCCATTGCACTCCAGCCTGAGCAACAAGAGCGAAACTCCATCTCAAAAATAAAGAATAAAGGGAACTAGCCATCTGATCATATTACAACCAAAGCCTTTTATTTTCTTCATAACCTAACTGAATGTGTCAAACAGTTTGTGATTCTGTCCTCCAAATATGCATGTATATTCCAAAAGAATCTGTGACCCTCAGTAGGCCTGTTTTTAAGTCAGTGAACTAATTCTTTCTTTCTTTCTTCTTCTTCTTCTTCTTCTTCTTCTTCTTCTTCTTCTTCTTCTTCTTCTTCTTCTTCTTCTTCTTCTTCTTCTTCCTCTTCCTCTTCCTCTTCTTCTTCTTCTTCTTCTTCTTCTTTCTTCTTCTTCTTTCTTCTTCTTCTTCTTTCTTCTTCTTCTTTCTTCTTTCTTCTTCTTCTTCTTCTTTCTTCTTCTTCTTCTTTTTTTTCTTGAGGCAGGGTCTCACTCTGGACTCTGTCCAGGCTGGAGTGCAGTGGTGCAATCATGGCTCACTGCAGCCCCAAACTCCTGGACCGAAGTGATCCTCCTGCCTCAGCCTCTGAGTAGCTGGGACTACAGGCATGGGCCACCATGTCTAGCTATTGTTTTAAATTTTGTAGAGAAAAGATCTCACTATGTTGCTCAGGCTGGTCTTGAACTTTTGAACTCAACCAATCCTCCAGCCTTGGCCTCCCAAAGTTCTGGAGTTACAGGCATGAGCCACCATACCTGCTAACTAATTCTGAAAGATAAGTCATAGTATTGACCATAATAGTGATGAAAATAAGTGGAATCCCAGGAGGAAGCCTCATCTGCATGTGGTGAATATGTAACAGTAAAGAGGATGATCATAGTAAGGCTTTCTACTGTGCATAGCATGTTAGCTTTTACTCTTGCTTTTACATATTCATCTCATTTAAAGTTTTTGCTCATTTTAATTATTCTATGATAGATATGACAGAGGCAGGGAAAGTATTATCCTCTTCTCCCTTTACTCCCAATTACAGAGGAGTACCTGAATCCCACAGAATTGACATATTTCCTCAATATCAGTTAGTCAACATCAAAGAGACTTGAACTGCTATAGTCATTATATGCAGTCTTAAGGACACACTCTCCACATTTTAAGGTTTAAGGATGGATAGGATTTCCACAGAAGTATAAACAGAAAAATTGAAGACAGAGGAAAGAATACTGGACAAGGGCAAAAAAACAGGAAGTATGGTACAACTTGGAGAAAATGCCAGTGAGCTGCTAAGCTCAGGTACAGGATGAAGAGAATTAGCAGGCAGATGTTGATGGAATGCCGCAGGAAGATCCATCTTGAATGGTTTCGTGGGAACATAGACTGGATGTGTGATCTAAGAAATATAAGACTAGTGGGTTAGACTCAGCAAGGGGTAATGTGGAGCTAAGTTTGATGACTATAGATATGGAAAGACTCAGGGACAGATGCTACAGAAATTTCAAAGTTTTGATACCATATTACACAAACTAATATGGCGCTTGAAAAAGAGTGAGACATCTAAGATGATTCTCAGGTTCGGGTCTGAATGACTGGGAGAATAATGATCCAGGAACAGAAATAGGGAAATCATGAGAAGATGCTAAATTGGGAGGAGATGCTGGGTGTGATTTGCTGAGTTTGAGTACAAGCAGACCATGCAAGTAGTTATGTCTAACTTGGAAGCAAAGTAATGGTGTGCACCTGTAGTCCCAGATATTCTGGAGGCTGAGGTGGGAGGATCAATTGAGCCCAGGAGGTCAAGGCTGCAGTGAGCCATGATCCCACCACTGCATTCTAGCCTGAGCGACAGAGTGAGACTCTGTCTCAAAAAATGTAATGCAATGCAATGCAATGCAACGCAACACAGCAAAACACAACACAACACAATAAAAATAATGCCTTCAGAACCTCCCCCCCAAAAAAAAATTCTAGGAGGGAAGTGGGGTAAGCCTAGTGAAAATTCTCAGGCTAACTGACAATGTGTATGTTTTGCTAAATGGACTTCAGTTGGCAAATCAAATTTTTGAGTTAGACATTAATAATATTGAAATGTAATATCCACCCACATTGTCCATTTCATAGAATTACTCTGTTTTTGTTGTTCATTTTGACATTTCCTAAGCTGTCACTTGACCCAGACTGACACATTATCATCTGCATGCACCTAGGCTCTGCCTTATATATGTTTACAACATGCAATGAAGCCTAGTGCCTGTAATCAGAAAGAGGGTGCTGCAGTCCATCATGTGAAAAAAGAGCTGGACTATGAATGAGGAAACAGATTTTACTCTGACATCAAGGCTGGCCGACAGCATCTGTCATGCCCCTAACACAATCATGCTAATTATAAGCCATCACTTTCATTCTTCTTGGAATTCAGAAGTCAGGAGGGTTGTAGGGGCAAATTTCTAACGGGTTGTGGAATCTATCATTGCTAGGACCTTTTACAATTCAGTTGCTTACTCTTTTTAAAATCTGCCATTCAGCAGTCTTTTTCAGTACCAGTAAGCCACGCTATGCATTCCTATGAATAAAGTGCACAGCAACAGCATCCAAATGCAGTGACGGAACTGTATGGCTTCTCCTTGGAATAGCTTTTAAAAACCTGCTTAGGCAGGGACACTTTATTGCTTGCTGAAAAATTCCAAAAGATTTGTGACTATGTTTAATAAATTATCAAGAACTATATAGAATTCCTTAGACCTTTTTTCTAAAATAAACTTTTGGAGATTTTTTGTTTGTTGGTTGTTACTATTATTTTTAGAGAAAGGACAATTAAATTATCTTCAGATCCCAGGGAATGGTAGAATTAGTCTTTTTGGCACTGATAGTAAGGTAGGTCATGTCTTAGTCCATTTGGACTGTTACAATAAAATATCATAAACTCTGTAGCATGGCTGGGCACAGTGGTTCACGGCTGTAATCTCAGCACTTTGGAAGGCCGAGGCCGGTGGATCACCTGAGGTCAGGAGTTCGAGACCAGCCTGGGCAACATGGCGAAACCCCATCTCTACTAAAAATACAATAATTAGCCGGGCATGGTGGCGCATGCCTGTAGTCCCAGCTACTCGGGAGTCTGAGGCAGGAGAATCGCTTGAACCCAGGAGGCAGAGCTTGCAGTGAGCAGAGATTGTCCCACTGCACTCCAGCCTGGCCGACAGAGGGAGACTCTGTCTCAAAAACAAACAAAAAACTGGGTAGCTTATAAACAATAGAAATTTATTTCTCATAGTGCTGGAGGCTGGGGAGTCCAAAGTCAGCATGCTACAGATTTGGTGTCTGGTGAGGGCCAGGTTTCTGGTTCATTAATGGTGTCTTCTTGCTGTGTCCTCACTTGGAAGAAGGGGCAAGGGAGCTATAACTTGGAAGAAGGGGCCTCTTTAATATGTGCATTAATCCTGTTCACAAGGCTGGAGGCCTAATGACCTAATTACCTCCCAAAGGCCCTACCTCCTAACACTATTGCATTGGTGATTAGATTTCAACATTTGAATTTTGGGAGGGTGCCAATGTTCAGATCATAGCTGGTCATTTCAGCTTATTTGTACTCTCTAAGTTATGCTGCAATAATTGTTGGCTTCTGTACATGGGCAATATGGAAATTAAAGCAATCATAACATTTTGGTAGAGGACCTGAGGAGAGATTATTCTGAATGTGATGAAGTTATAGTCTTTTTCCTCAGGTGGATTAGATCACTTTTTGGATAGAAATTTTATGTTGGGAAAAATAAAAATGGTTCAGTGACCTGAGGCAGAAAAAGTCTGTTCACAGGAATATAAGATAATTACTCCATCAACTCACAGTTGTTTGGAATGTCAGGATCAATAATAGTCCTCAGAACATTGTAACCTTACTCCAGCAACTATGCTAACATAAAGCAGAGAAGTCTGAAGTCTGTCCATTAGTATTGGTGACAAGGTCATGGTTGCTTTTAAACTTTGCTTGCCAAAATACCTGGAGGGAACTCAATGTGCATACTCAAGTTTCTGCTGTGGCAAATTGACTGTTGCTACCCCAGGAGACCCTAGGAAGACAATCAGTTCATGTCTGACTGGAGACATTGCAACTTTATTTGTATGAACTATTTGGGTCAAATTTCAGGGGGACATGTCACTACAGAGGGGCAGAGGGTCATGATAATGAAAAGAATCATTACGTTATATTGGTAATTAGATGTATGACTCTACAAACTTGTTTTTCCTTGGGTGTTAGTAACATTCTTTTTGGAGATAGATGGCATTTTACAAAGTCTATCCACAGAAAACTGGAAGTATCTAAAGATAATGATAATGACGAGAATATATTCATTGTAATCTGGCA
The DNA here is from genome assembly GCF_000001405.40 of Homo sapiens. Classification (NCBI taxonomy): domain Eukaryota; kingdom Metazoa; phylum Chordata; class Mammalia; order Primates; family Hominidae; genus Homo; species Homo sapiens. The sequence goes on along the minus strand of NC_000005.10, from coordinate 59,664,834 downwards.
TACAGAATTTTCTCTGCCATTTAAGAAGCTGAATTTCTTTTAAGTATAGAAAGGTTAGACTTATCAACCTTATTTGCAGATACTATTTATGTTTTTCATGTTTTCTCTCTGTCCTTAAATATTTTCTGAGATTTAGGCACTGAGCTCTCTGCTAGACATTTTCAAATTTTATCTTTTAAAAAATCAGAAAACCTCTCTTTATGAATGAAATTTTTCACAAAACTCTGATATATAAAACAGGCAAAATGAAACCATTATGGCAGGAATGAGTCTGGGATTTGCCTATTTATTTTTCTTTCTTCTTTCTCCTGTCTGCTAAATTTTCTACAAGCAAGGCAAGCAGTTCATGAATCAACTGTTGACTACTTCTGAAACCTAAAATGAAATAATATATATGAAAGCTGTTATTCAGTGATTTATACTTATCAAAATATACTTGTCAAAATATTAACTGATTTGTGTTTGTCAAAATAAATATATTCATACATAGCACCTTGGTAAATCACAGATCTAGTTGTATTGTAGGTGCCTAGACCAACATGACAACTTGATTATATGGCTTGAGATATTTACATCACTCTTACCACAAAAACGTCAATAAACAGAGCTTATTAATCTTTTGAGGAGGAGGAAATGAAGGTGTAGGAAAGCATGTATGAAGTTCTACAGCATTTGTATACATCCATCTTTGGGAACTGAGTGAGCAAAAAAGAATAAAATGTTGATATTAGCATGAAAACTCTCACTAACTCTATAAATTTCTTGTCAATATTAGGCCTGTTTCTAAAGCCAATCAGAATGAAGGAAGAGCTTTTTAAAAATAGGCAAATGTTGGTTACATTGGCTTCAATTTTAAAACAAAGTTCTACATTCTCTTCAGAATGCGAAGGAGGTTGAAAAAGGAGGCATTTCCTGCATATATTTTGAGATGAGACGAGGGTGAGAAAAGGAGTAGAGCTGAATGTTATGTTATTCTGTTAACCTTTGTCAGGCCCATCAGGCTTTATATGGTTCAAATTTCTGCTGTATATTTTGATACTTTCTGTCTCCACAGCAGTTACTCAGGAATATATCCCAATAATGACACTGAAAATGCAGTGAATTTATAAATAGATCCCGCTGCTGCATAGATTCCATTATTTAGAAAATTATACAGCGTTCTGTAGGAGGTTGAACATACAGTAAAATAGTTCATTTGCTTAGAAACAATTATTATAATTGTTATTATAAAATCTAATAGATTATTAGAAATATCACAATATAATCAAGCAAGCATCAGACTAAATAAAATGATTATTTAATATTTGCTTCATATGATAAAGAAAAACTTAAAATTGATTTTCTATTTGAAAAATATCAACAGAGGCTGGGCACGATGGCTCATGCCTGTTATCCCAGAACTTTGGGAGGCTGAGGCAAGCGGATCACCTGAAGTCAGGAGTTTGAGACCAGCCTGGCCAACACAGTGACACCCCATCTCTACTGAAAAAAAAAATACAAAAATTAGCCAGGTGTGGTGGCAGGCACCTGTAATCCCAGCTACTCTGGAGGCTGAGGCAGGAGAGTTGCATGAACCCAGGAGGCAGAGGTCGCAGTGAGGCAAGATCACGCCAATGTACTCCAGCCTTGGAGACAGAGTGAGACTCCATCTCAAAGGAAAAAAAAAACAAAGAAAAATATCAGCAGAAATAAGTGAGTTGAGTAATTTCTAAATCTTATTTCCTATGTAAGTGGTTAAGAAATAATTAACTTTTGTTCTAGAAGTATTAAGGAGACAAATTGCAAAATTTAATGTGAAGCCTTGGCTCACAATAAATACTTTCTTTAAACTTAGGATATATTTAAAGTGGAATAATATTTTCCAACTTAAAATGTAACCATTTATTTTTTTCTTTAATGTGTTTGTGTATACATCTCCTTCTTTGTCAAAGGTTTGAGTAGAATTAGAAATAGCTGCAATTTACAAAACTCTATTTTGAAAGGAAGAAAATTAATAATAAATAGCAGAAGTAAAAGTTATCTTTCTGGAATCTAGGACTCTCACCCACTCTCATCTTCAATATTTACCCCATTGTTTCACATATGGAATATTATAAAATTAAAATATAAGAGAACGGATATGTTATTATTCAAATTATTTTCATTGAGGGTGGTTTGCCCAGTTTCTTAGAAGCAATTAAAAGGAGAGGATAAGGTGGTTTTCTTAAAATAGTGCTTTCTTTCTGCTGAATTTATGTAACTTTTTTAAGAATGGCAATCTAAGTGTACAAATGATGTTTAATTCTCATGAGATTTCATTTTAAACCTTGCTTTAGAGTAAACTTTATGAGTAATAAGATTATACGTGTGGGAAACTGAAACTAAAAGGATTCAAATGGTTTTGACAAACAACAGATATTCAGGGTCAGTGCAAATAAGGTTACAGATAATCACTCCATCTGCTCCATTGTCAGCAAAAATGAGGCCCAGGTGTTGCAGTATACCTTGTCCTTTCTCCTGAATTGTGACCATTGACAAATAAGATTTTCAAAGAGAAGTCTGAATTCCTTAGGGTTTAGCCTGAGCTCTTGTAAGAGTTTCTTTCCAGCCAAAGTATTTTCTTGTTTTCCTGTCAATTCAATGGGTTAGACCATTCCATCCATTAGAAGAAAGTAGAGGAAATGGCTCAACCTTGCCCAGAGTACAGCTGGTTGGAACTCTGACAACGGAACTGTGGCCCAGGGTAAAGAGCAAGAGGCTGGGGGAAGCACGTAATGCTTCTTAAAGCCTTTGATCTAAAATGACAGACTGTCATCTCCACTCACATTCCATTAGCCCAAGCAAGTTTGTGGCTAACCAGACAATGGGTCTCAGCAATATATCCCCCCTCCCAGAACGCCTGAACATTCAAGTGGCAAAAGAGTGAATTGTTGAGAACAATAATATAGTCTATAATAGCATATAATGTTCATAAAATTAGCACCCCAGGCAAACAGGACAGAATGCCTATCCCCAGCCACAGCTTTATCCTGGCCTACAATGCTCATTTATACTTTCTTTCCTGTGTGAAATGAACTACACTTAGTTTATTTTAACCTGATTTTTACAAACCCATAAAGAATGCAAGAGATGCAGTGGGCCAGGAAGAAGTGAGAATGTTGCCCTATGTGTGATTTTTTCTAGAATCTGTCTAAGTTCTGCTTTATTCCTGGATATCTTGATATGGAAAATTAATAGGATTGCATGGTAACTTCCTTATACACAAGTTTATTTACCTAATTTAGCTCAGGAGTATGACTCAATTACTAGCAACCTAAACATGCAATAATGAAGGGAATCTCCATGTTGCTTATGCAAACATCTAGAGTCATATGTCACTTTGTAAGTAGACAAAATGTAGGGCATGTGGGCTGGACATGTCAACATGCTGCTGACTTTATCTGTCATTAATTTTTGTTGTGTAAATTAGCATCCTAATGACACACCCCCACTGTATTCATTCTGTGCCCTGTCTCGCCCCTTAACTTGGAGCAGGTAATGGAGTTTTTAAACATCATTTGATAATTTGCCCTCTTCAGAAAGTAATACTAAGGAAAAGCTATTTAAAGTGAGCAGAATTCCTTTTATCTGTTGATTTAGAAATATTATTTATATTGCCAGAAATTTAAAATGTTCAACATGTTTATAGTTATTAAAACTTTGTAAAAGTAAAGTATGTTAAATCTTCAGGAGTATCACTGGAGGAGCTAGATGACAAAATATATATATATATATATATATAATATTATCATGAAAATGCAGTGCTGGCAAACTGCTCCTGGGATTATAAATATATCAGTAAAACCACCCTTTCTCCTGTATCCTTTCAGCATTAGCCATAAAATAGACTGGCCAGTAGGGGTTACTCTTGGCATTATGATCTAAGAGTGGTAGATTAGAGTTTGAAGACATAATGAGTGGTATTTTTAAAAATAGCTATTATCGTTGTGAATTTAGGTGCAATATTCAGAATTCAGAATTGGTGATAACTTGCTTTGAGCACTGTTTCAGCAGCTTTTATCCTATTCATATGACTGTCAGACATATTCCAGGAACTATTTTACTTAGCCTTGTTGATTGTCCCTCATTAAATAAAATCCACAGGTCAAAATTGTAAAGTAGCCTTTTAGTTCAATTTGGCATCTTTTTTTCCTGGGTGATATTCTCAGTCCCAGGGGTTTGAATTCCAGACATCCTTGAAAACAAAGCCTTATATGAATGTAGTCAGAACTAACTCTTTAAAAGGCAAAAGCACAACCACATTCAGTTACCCTAAAGTAACTGTAGTCAGGTGGCTCTTCAATTTTAGAAAATAAATTACTTTCAAAAAGAAGAAATTAGAAAAGGGAGGAAAAAAATAATGAAGCCTCATGGACATTTGTTTTTGAGAGAGAAAAAATAAATAAAAGGAAGTGGTTTTAAATATTGGTTTCATAAAAACAAAACTTAGAAAAGCTTTTTGTCTGAAGCCCAAATGGTTACAAATGAGCTCTGCTTACTAAACATGGGGCAGAAAGAGTTCATTAGAATAAAATACTATTACCTTCAGAAGAAATATGTATTACCAAGGGATGAAATGCAAAAGTTACTAATTCAATATTTATTTATTTATTTATTTATTTATTTTGGCGACAGAGTGAGACTCTGTTGCCCAGGCTGGAGTGCAGTGCTATTATCTTGACTCAATGCAGCCAGCCTCTGCCTTCTGGGTTCAAGTGATTCTTGTACCTTAGCCTCGTGAGTAGCTGAGTCTACAGGTGTATGCCACCACACTTGACTAATTTTTGCATTTTCAGTAGAGATGGGGCCTCGCCATGTTGCCCAGGTGAGTCTCAAACTCCTGAGTTCAAGCAATCCACCCATCTCGGCCTCCCCAAGTGGTAAGATTGCAGGCATGAGCTACCATGCCCGGCCTACTTCAATATTTATTTTTTAATAAATCAAGTTTGTTATGAGAGAGTTGTCAGAGAATAGGAATCTTCTAACTGCTGGTATCTTGATGCATTCAGAGCTCAAGGATGTGTGGTGTGGTTCAGACCATTTCGTGCACACTGTAGCAGAAGGATTGCCCTTTGATGGCTGGGCAAGGGAACATTATGATAGATGAGTTATCAAAATATTGCTAAAATTCTTTAGGCAGTTTGATATAGATGTTACTGTAGCTGGACACTGTCAGAGAAAGGAGATAGCTGTAACAGAGTACCAAATGAAAAACATTTTTGAATAGACTGTCCTTAAGACTTCTTACCTACGAAGACTCCTAATCTCTTCTTATGACATAATTATCGGAAAGGCCTGGAGGCCACACCTTGAGAAGAAAAGCACTTATCAGTTGTGATTTTCATTTTCTTCACAGTTTTCTCCACTCAGCTAGCTTACAGAGGAAACCAAAATGCAGTTGGTTGTTTCTCTTTACTAACACTCAGTTCCTAAGTGCTTAGCTTTAGAAGTTTTTTCTGCCTGTTTACTTCCACTTCTTGTGTGACATAACAATATTTTAGGGTTTTATTTTTCTTTTCAAAATTCTTCTGGTCTTTGGAAAGAAAATTAAGACACTATTTACTCTATGTTTGCTGATGCAGAACCAGTAAGTTTGTTCACCCACCCAAGTGATTCATTCTAAGCAAATTCTCCCATTAGGCATTTGTTGCAAATCTGCAAAAGTTGCTTTTATTTACTGATTCAACATATCCCTTCCCAGTATAAGGATCTCCTTTGACGGTGAAAATCTCCTTGGATTGCATAGGTTTTCATTGTACAGAGAAGGCTTGACCTTAAAAATTTAAGTTGCATTAAAATTTCTTTTATGTTTTAGAGAGACAGAGGCACTCTGTTGCCCAGACTGGAGTGCAGTGGTGCAGTCATAGCTCACCGTACCCTCAAACCCCTGGGATCAAGTGATTCTCCCACCTCAGCCTCCTAAAGCATTGGCATTACAGATGTGAGCCACCTGCTTGGCTGAAACTTTTCTTGAAACACACACACACACACACGAACACTCACACACACTTTTTTATTTATAAAGATCTCAACCAACTTTTTAAACCATGCAATAAAGGAATATCTTTGGCATTGGCAATGTATATTTGTTGACTGCTGGAGTCCTTTGGGCAACATCAAACACCCAATTGCTCATTTTAAAATCTGGCTTTCCACGCCTGTAATTCCAGCACTTTGGGAGGCCGAGGCAGGCGGATCACCAGGTCAGGAGATCGAGACCATCCTGGCTGACACGGTGAAACCCCATCTCTACTAAAAATACAAAAAATTAGCTGGGCGCAGTGGCGGGCGCCTGCAGTCCCAGCTACTCCAGAGGCTGAGGCAGGAGAATGGCGTGAACCCAGAAGGCAGAGCTTGCAGTGAGCCGACATCGTGCCACTGCACTCCAGCTGGGGTGACAGAGCGAGACTCCGTCTCAAAAAAAAAAAAAATCTGGCTCTCCATTTTGGGTTCTTAGGTAGATGGAATAGAGTTTCCAGACTTGAGGGTTTTAATTCAGCAACCCAGGATCAACACTTTCTAGGTGTGAGACTTTAGTAAATAATATACTCAGAGATTCATGGTTTTTTTTTAATCTATAAGTTGCAGAAAATAATATCACTATCATGCTTTTTTAAAGGATTAAATAAGATATATTTAAAAATTTGTTATCCTTATACCTGGCATAGAGTAAGCGAACAGTAAATGGTATATTTGTAATTATTCTTTTTTACGTTGCTTTCTACTTAATATGCGTTTATTAAGCTTCACCTTAAGTATAATTTAGCAAAGGATTATTTCAGTTTTCCCTTAAACCAGTTTATAAGTTTACATAGGGAGGTTAAAGCCAACAGGAATTTTTATGTAATAAGGAAATTCAAATATTTCAGTATCTGTGATAAGAGTTGTGTTAATTTGCAGAGGAATAACACAAAACATTGATTAAATTTGGATTGCTAAATGTTAAACAGTGTTTGTACAATAAAAGTGTGATTCAGAAAAAGCCTTATTATAACATGCGGAATGTATTAGCACTCTTTGGAGACTTACTATCTTTTAATTTATTTTATTAAGCTGCTGTTGTGAGCTAACTAATAACATAAGTGTGAACTAGTTTGAAGAAGAATTGCGATTTTATTGAATAATATTCTGCAAGAATTAAATATCAATAGGTTAGCAATATCTCCTCATTGAGTTAAAGTATATAGATTGTATACATGTTCTATGTATATACTATATATAAATGTTTAGATAGTATATATGAATGGCATAATTACTATAAGCTTACAGGGAAATATGCAGAGTTGCTGTTATTTTTAGAAAGTAAATGATGACATTTATTTTTTATCTAAAACTTTAATCTGTTCAGTGATTTAGATTCATTTGAGCTCTAATGATTTGGAGAGTAAGGCACAGGCATAGCCTTAATTTATTGGTGATGAAAAAAATCTACTTATTGGCAAGATGGGGGAAAAAATCACAAGCCTTGTATGGAATTGTATGATTCTGCAGAGTTGCAATGGTGTTAACAATTGTGACAAGTTACACTTTCTGAGACAATCTTCAATTTTAGCAATTAAAATAGCAAAGAATTATTATTTATAACAGTATTCATAACATAGCAAATGGTCATATTCCTTATAGAGACAGCACTTCCGAGTAGTCTTTATTTTGTTTTTCAAATTTGTCCTTTCAATATCTCAAAATATCTTGTGTTGCAATTACATTTCCAAGTATATATTTGGTTGGGATGAAAATAGCTGTAATAGTAGTAGTAGCTACCATTTATTGAATTCTTGCCACGTGCCTCATATTTTATGTGGTGTATTTGATCTTAGGCCTTAGGACAACTGTAAAAGGCAGGTATTGTAGAAGACAATGTTTTCTGAGAGACTGAAATGACAAATTAGAAAAAAAGTTAAAGACTTCTTGGAAATGCTATCTCTATAAGGAATATGACCATTTGCTATGTTAATACTGTTATGAATAATAATTATTTGCTATTGTAATTGCTAAAACTGAAGAGTGTCTCAGAAAGTATAATTTATTTGTCACAATTGCAACTCTGCAGAATCACCCAATTCCATACAAGACTTGTGATTTTTTCCCCTAACTTGCCAATAAGTATTATTACCATAATAAATATGCTGACGTTTCAAAGTTTAAGAAACTTCCTACAGTTCTCACACGTAGTGGTGACAATATGGCTAAGGGGTTAGGAATGCCCACATCCTCCTATGCTGCATCCTGCCTGTGGTTTAGATTTGAGATAGGGACCCCTACTTTCTTTCCCCTAAGAGCAGATCTGTGTCATTGGCTATAACTGCTTTCTGGTCAGCCACATGACACGTGGACTTAACAGATGGTTTCTAATAAGATTGAAAGCATATCTTGACTCCACTTACCTGGCCAGCACTGGAGAAAGGAAGATTAAGAGAGATTTGGATGAGTGTCCTTGTCACATAACTTCCCCTCCCTAGAAAACTTGGTCCAATACGTTGTAATCTGGTGGTGCAAACTCACAACTTTTCTTCCCTTCTGTGAGTGTGTATATATGTGAGTTTATTGTATGTGTGTGTAAGGTGTGAATGTGTATGTGAAGTCTGTGTGTGATGTGTGTATATTTGAATGTCCTGTGCATGAGTTTTTTTGTGACTGAAGTGTGTGTGAGGTGTCTGTATGTGGGATGTGTGTGTCTGTGAGGTGATTGTGTATGAGGAATGTACATCTGTGTCTGTGGTATATAGAAAACGTGTGTGTGGTGTATGCACTTGCTGTGTCTGCATATGCATGAATTGAGTATGTGACTTGAGTATTGTGTGTGTAGGAGGAGGGGGGAAGTAAAAAGGCAAGGTGACAGTAGAGACTGGACAAATGAACATAGCCGGGCACTATTCCTTTAACTCCTAGAACAGACATAACTTGAAGTGATCTAGACTTGAACTTTGGAGTATGAAGTTCCAGCCAGCTGTGTAACTATCTATTTAATATTTGGAAGCGCTTAGCCTGCTTAAATCTTGATTTTATCATTTCTATTAGAGAAGTTTTAACTTAAATGCTCTAAGGTGGGGGTGTCCAAGGGAGAAAATACAGTCATGGGTTCTTAGTTTCTGTTTCTGGTTGGGCCAGAAAAGCTCCTTCCTCATCCCTCTTTTCCACTTATCAACAGAGACAGAAGCTAAAAACCATGGCTTCTGGCTGCTAAAGCCTAAAATAAAACAAAACAGAACAAACTCATCAACAATAACAGCAAAATAAAGCAGGTTGGAAATGACTGCTCTAAGGGTGAAGTGAATATGTTCAGGTTGGAGTTACTGATAAGTTGTAAACAATTACAAGGATGTAAAATATTGCATATTTTTATTAGTGGCATTACTTTTCCAACATTACATTTTATATTGAAGTTCCAGAACAACAAAAAAACACTAAAGGTATTGCAGTGAGGAACTTATCAGTAAGTGCTTCTACCTTCAAGGAATTAAGTTAATTTTTATTGGCAATATTTGGAACATTGTATCAAGAAGAAAGACTAGCTAACGAATCTCTTTTGCACATCAAGCTCTTACAGTGTTAATTCATTAAACAACTAAGACAATTTTAAGTAGGAGCTTTGGTCTAAGATGTGTGGCCGCAAACTGAACCAATACTGACAGAATTTGGCATTAATTTTTTTTTCAGAGAATTTTTTTTTTAATATATGGCAATGGTTGAAAAAAAACATAGAATATTGTAGTTCCTCAAATTGTTAAACACAGAGTTATATGATCCAGCAATTCTACTTCTAGGTATATACCCAAAAGAATTGAAAATACATAGACAAATGTTCACAGCAACATTATTCTTAATAGCCAAAAAGTGGAAACAATCCAAATAGCCATCAGCTGATGGATAAACAAATGTGGTATATTCATACAATGGAATATTATTCAACAATAAAGAATTCAGTATCAATGCATGCTATTACATGTATAAACCTTGAAAACATTATGCTAAATGAAAGAAGCCGGAATGACATAATTTCATGATTCCATTTAAGTGAAATGTCCACTATAGACAAGTCTATAGTGGATTAATGATTGCCTAGGGTTGGAGGGGGTATGGGGAATTGAAGATTGAGGGTCAAAGGGTTTGGGGGGTGTACTGAAAATATTCTAAATTGTGTTAATGGAGGCACAACTCTGTGAATGCACTAATGTCACTGAATTGTACATTTTAAACAGGCAGATTGTGTGGTATTTCAGTTGCATCTCTATAAAGGTGTTAAAACTAAATATAGAACAATTTTCCTAAGTAGTGGCCCCTCCTCATTTATTGGACCAATAGTTTGGGAGGAACCAGTCATGACCTTCCTGATACAAATCAACACCTACAGATAGGATGGGAGGCAATTGTGCTAACAAAGTACCTCAAACCACAAAGTCTGTCAGTAAACTGATGCTTTTGTCAAGGATGAATGACCAGGGGCAGGTAATAGGTGAGCAACTCTCAACTCTTTTGTATATGGTACTATAGTCTGGAACTAGCAAGTACTGAAAAACGCTAGATGATAAAAGTCATTGTTATTTTATTCTTCCCTCTCCCTTCCTCCCCTCCCCTGTGCTCCCTTTCCTCTTCCCATTTTATTTATTTATTTGAGACTTGGTCTGGCTCTGTTGCCCAAGCTGAGTTCAGTAGCAGTATCTCAGCTCACTGCAACCTCCGCCTCATGGGCTTAAGCCATTCTCACACCTCAGCCTCCAGAGTAGCTGGGAATACAAGTGCATGGCACCATGCCTGGCTAATTTTTACATATTTTGTAGAGACGGTGTTCCACCAGGTTGTGCAGGCTGGGCTTGAACTCCTGGGCTTAAGGGATCTGCAGGCCTCACCCTCCCAAAGTGCTAGGATTATAGGGGTGAGCCACCACACCTGGCCTCCCCTCCCTTTTTCCCCTCCCCTCCCACCCTTCTCCTCTCCCCTTCTCTCTCTTCCCTTCTTCTTCTTTCCCCCTTTTCCTCTTCCTTCTTCCCTCCTGTCTTTCCCTTTCCACTCTTTTCTCCTTCCCCACTCATAAATAGATATTATAATGAATTAATTTAGAATTATAGTTAAGCATACATTTGAAGTAATTGTTCCAATTTCATAATTTTGAAGTATTTTCTGAGAATAAACTGGGCAAATGCAGAATTGGGACAAATCCTATGTGCAATAATTGCTAATAGGAAGTGTTCTGAAGTATGAATTCTCTCCTCCTTTCTTGTTTGACTTGTCACTGAATCTCCAGTCCTACAGAGTACTATGTCCTGCTTATTGTTTATTTATACCACACCCCACTTCTACGTATAAACATCACTTTCACTACGGTGGATTCAAATGATCTCTTAGGAATTTAGTTACATTACAGTCTCACATAAAATTACTGCCCTTAAAAACATTTGTTTGCTGGGCAGGGAGTGGCGAAACCCCATCTCTACTAAAAATACAAAAATTAGCCAGGCGTGGTGGCGGGCGCCTGTAGTCCCAGCTACTCTGGAGGCTAAGGCATAATTGCTTTAACCTGGGAGGTGCAGCTTGCAGTGAGCAGAGATTGTGCCACTGCACTCCAGCCTTGGCAACAGAGTGAAACTCTGTCTAAAAAAAAAAAAAAAAATTTTTTTTTTTGCTAACATTATTTGAAGAATAGTCAGTTCAGTATGCATCTATGTAGACCTAACCAATAGTTGTATTTTACAAGTTTCAGTTTTGAAATGTTGGATGATATCTTTCAGTTTAAAAAATTAGTATTTCTATAAAGTGTCTTTTTTTGGATGGAAATGTTTCTGGAATGTGACACTTAAATTTTAATTACTATTATTAAATATCAATGGATTTGTTTTGCATAACCAAACAGTTGGATAAGTTCAGTTTATGTGCTGTGCAATACTAAGATATTTACTTGGCATGGAGAGAATCACTGGCTTACTAAATAAAAGAATTCAGCATTTTGTTTGTCAATCCTATGTTAATTGCATTTATATTTCTGACAGTTTCCTTGATGGAATTAAAAAAAAAAAACATGCAATAAGATCTGAATTGAGTGTTGAAATGAGTGTTTCCTGAGCTCCAATTAGTGAAAGTATTGAGATTTGAAGAATGGTTGAGGAGACAAGGTTTTATAATTGCCCTTCTGGGAAAAAGAATGAGTAAACAATAAAGTCTTGAGATCTCTCAAACAAATATACAGTCATAAGGAAAGTTTAAAAGCCACAGTGAAATGCACACCTCTTAATTATGTTAACATTGATATCTATTTTAAATTGATATCAATATTAGCTGTGAAAGTTTCGTATATTTTGCAGGGACAAATTCTCTTAGTGTACTCCAAATGCTTATTGTTACACATCCTGAGCACACAACGCAAACATATTGGGCAAGCAAAGAATCTAGGCTGATATGTGTGAATGCTTATGTGGCATTCTATCAAAGGAGATAGATGTACATAAGGGGAATTATGGAGAAGTGAAAATTTGTCTAAGGTTCATTTTTTCAGTAGCTTAATTTTAATAGTAAACTCTTTTAAGGAATGAATGGCCACAGGCAGAGACTAATGGTGTACTTTCAGTGTTCTCAGTGAGTGCTTCACAGATTAGGTTTCCAAGAGAAGAAGATTGCCTCTGAGGAAGAAGAGATGGGGTAGCAAGAGGCATATATGAGACCGTTCTTGGGACCAACACCTATGGAGGGGAGGGAAGAAGGCAGAATTATGGGACCAGATAGAAGAAGTTGGTCTGCAATGCAGTCTTGAGGAAGGCCTCAGCAGAGCCAATAGACAGTTCCGAAGCTGGCATGCCCTTGAGAGTTGTCCTAAATTCGGGTGAGAGGGTTAGGCCTTTATATCCTTGGTCACTTGATAGTAGATGCTGGAACAAAATGGTGCTCTTTAGCTAAGGCAATTTACAGAGGGCTGACAGCTGAGAGCACTTGTAGAATCTAGGAAAATGAGTCTTTCATTCTTGAAGGGGAATCTTCACATCATCCACTACAAATGGTGCTATATTTTGGAACCAGCAGACACTGAGAAATGCCAGGTGGATAGAATCCTTCCTTCTTTTATTCTATCTTTTTTTCTTTCTTTCTGTCTCCTAATCTAGTGCTTCTCCAAAAATACTTTTAAGAATTAGAATTAGGCCATTAGTTATTATAAGGAAGGAAGGGAAATAATCATTTTCATAAAACTCAGCAATTCTTTTAATGTCAAGATATGGATTATTATTACACTCAACAATTATAATTATTAATATTTTCCACGGAAAAGTTTCATATATTGAATGACCCAAGTACTCCATGTGACCTTCCCTGTCTATGTAAGCCTAGCATTCTGTCAGCCAAATAAAATTTTGGAAGGAAGGTCAGATAAAATTATTTTTTCACTCGGTGTTAAAGAAAAGAAAAAATAAAGAACATTTATTGAGCATGCACTAAATATGACATAAAAGATCTTTGTTTTCTGTATTAGAGGTTGAGAAAGAATGAAACAGTCTATTGATTTGAAAAGCTTTGCTCTCATTTAGCAATTATTATTATTATTATTATTATTATTATTATTATTATTATTATTATTGTTGAGACAGAGTCTCACTCTGTTGCCCAGGCTGGAGTGCAGTGGCGCGATCTCGGCTCACTGCAAGCTCCGCCTCCTGGGTTCACGCCATTCTCCTGCCTCAGCCTCCCGAGTAGCTGGGACTACAGGCTCCTGCCACCACGCCAGGCTAATTTTTTTGTATTTTTAGTAGAGATGGGGTTTCACTATGTTGGCCAGGATGGTCTCGATCTCCTGACCTCGTGATCCGCCCACCTCGGCCTCCCAAAGTGCTGAGATTACAGGCGTGAGCCACCGCGCCCGGCCAACAATTATTTTTATAAAATAAAAGTTTATTAATGAATTTATACAAATAGCACTTTATAAAAACTACAACACATTCATTTGGGCTGGGCTGTTGCCTGGTTAGTCACATTTTTTCTTCTTTATTTAGCTATTGCACAGCTTCTGAGGCAACCACAAAAACATCAAATTATGGAGAAGTGAGTGCATAGATATATGAAATCAACATTTCAAATTGGTAATAGAATGACCTTACTTATTAAGTAGTGATCTTTTATCAAGCTGCTACAATAAAATCGACCATAACATTAAACATGGTAGATGTTACTAACCAGAAATCTTAGGTATTTAAAGTTATGTTTACTTATTTTTTTTAATAAGACTTGGAAGTGTCACTTAAATCACACTTAAGAATGGATATTGGCTAAAGGCTGCTGAGTCTTTTAAGATTCCTGTGAATTTTTTTCAGATTGTTCCTCAGTCAATTCAGGATACTTGTCATTGCTGGCTATACAGCAGAGTGCAGAGTTAGCCCTTGCAGACACACAAAGATAACTCAAGGCACTGATTTCTGCATCTTCAGCCTCCTCATTTCATTAACTATTAAAATTAATTCCCTGTAGAGATAATTTGCATCAATCAACAGAATAGAAGAATTAGAAGAGCTTCTGAGGCTTTTCTATGACTAAAAGAGCAATTCTTTTATTGACTACCATAAACATTAGATTTACTAAAAGGAAAAGGTGTTTTAAATTGAACCACCCCTCTAATTTATTCATCTTAGTTCTGAAAACATGTAGGTAAGAGTTAATCATGTTACTGAATCTAATTTAAAAAGTGAGAGGGAAAGTACTGAATATTTTTCCTCTTTGAAATTACATGTTGTTTGCAATATTAGCCTGCCTGTATTTTTCATGTAAACCTTTTGTACATTGAAAACAAATTCAAAATAAAGAACGTTTGTTTTCAGGCTCAGACCTTAAGAACTGATGGTCTTTTCTTTTACTTCTACACAAAAGTCTAAGCAGTTCTGAAGAAACACTACAGTGACATTGGGTCATTGCTAAAAAAAAAAAAAAAAAAAAAAAAAAAGGTTCACAAACTATCAACATTTTAACAATCTAATAGTTGATTGTTGTTTCCCAAATTGGTGATTTTGAATGATTATTTTATGTAGAATGGAACTGTGTCTTTTTCTTCATTCATGCAACAAACATTTCCTGATGGATACCAAGCAACGGTGACAGGTAAGCATGCCATCCTAGATCAGTGTTATATAACTCCCAAGCTTCAGTGAAGGCCTCATTTTTGTTATTACAAACTGCCTCTCTGGGACCTCATGAAGGTACTATTCCTGTTTCGGGAATAGGTCTATCCATCCTTGTCTTTTTGTTTCCTGTCTTGATTCTACAATCTCCCCTTTGGCCATTACCATCTCAAAATCCTGCTTCCCAAGGTAATCCGTCTAGCTTTTCTAATCTTCTGGCTTCCCATTACTCATTTCAATTCCTTCTTCTGGCTCCCTGTTGCTTTCCTAACCAATTTCAATTACTTATCCTTATCTTGAAGGCCATTCACCACTCTGCCCTGCTGACGTGTTTTTCTTATCACCCAAGATTCCTCCCCCGGCTCACACTTCTGCATGCAAGCACGTTCCCAAAGTATGAAAATGCTTTGGATTTATATCATGCTGTTGCCTTGAAGAGTTTTATTCTCTTCCTCATATCTTCTCAGAGAAGAAAGTAATTTGGCTGTGGTTCAAAATTCACCAAGGCAGTAAAATCTTGTGTTTTGTACACAACTTCCTTTCTAATGACCTCTCCCTTTCTTCACCTCACATTGGGCATTCACTCATAACTATTTAAGGGCCTTCTCTTAGGCGGCTGCCCTGTTTTCAGGTTGTGCCCTATGTGGTCACAAGTGGCTATTCTTAATAAATCATAGAATCGTAGAATTTAAGTACTGACAGGGATTTCCTATATATAAGAATCCAACTTCCTACTCTGCAGAAATCCATCTCAGAACATTCTCAATGCTTAAAATTGCCTTTTCGGGAGAGAACATCAACTCGTAAGACAAGCTCTTTCCTTGTTGCCTAGGACTCATTTTTAGAAAAATATTCTTTGTAATGAATTGTTTCCCTGCCACTTCCTCCCTTTGGTATGAGGCATGTTGCCAGAAAGATACAAAATAATTCTAATAATCTTTCTTAGCCTTGATAATGCAAGAGAATACAGCAATAATTTCCTCCATTAAACCTTATTTTTTTTTTTTTTTGAGGTTAGATGCCTAAATTACTTCAAGGATTCTTCTTGTGGAAGCATTTTTGAGAATTTTCTTGTCTTTCTGCACCTCTGATTTGGTAACTTGACCAGCAGACTTCACAAGAAGCTTGCTGTCAGTGTTAGTCCAAACACAACCTATCAGTTAGTGTGTTTAGTCATTAATATTTAAGAGTGTTTTCATAACCTTTAAATTAATAATTAGTCATCTTTATTCTTTAATGACTACAGAAGCTCACATTCATAGTATTTTGGTAACTAAGGTATCCATAGGCTCAAAAACTCTTCAAAATTATTGTGTAATGAAAATGTTAACCATATTTAAGAGAGTGACTTGGAAAAAGGCCTTGTTTTTCAATCTCATATTTTGAAGAACTATTGAGATGTCACTGAATAGTATTTTTAGAATTTTTGAATTGCTCACACATGAGCACTTGGGGAATTGGTCAGTGAATATATCTCCTGAGCACTTTGTTCCTTGAAATTATCAAATCCTTCTTGGAATTTCTTTTTCTCTCTCTCGTGATGTGTGGGTGGGACTGGGACATTACCAACACAATTAGAACTTCATTTCTTTTTCTTCTTAGTGAAATTTATTTTCTAAAAGGTTTGTGTGTTTCACTCTATTAGCAGTTCTGGAATCATCCAAGAGTCTAAGTAGATGTAGCAGAGCTCTTATGGAAACTCTGGATATATACATAATCACACAGAGAATTTGTATTTAATTTTAGAGTTACATGTACCACTGGAATCACATTCATATTTCTATTACAGTGTAGTGATTCTGGGTTAAGAATCACTGATTTAGTTCTACCTCATTTTACATATACCTTTTCCTGCAAAGATATATAAAAATAAAATCATATGAATAAGTTATGTGTTTAATAGTTCCATTCAGTCATCTCATAAGACAAAATTACTTTCTAAGTTAATTTTAATTCAGATCTTTATAGAATATTGAGGTTTTAAATGTGAACACATATATATAATTTTATGATACAACCTTTTCTTCTGAATACTTAAAGTGTTTTCACAGTTGGAAGTATCAAAAACTTTGTTCTCTGTAAACCTTCAGCTTCCATCCTTCTTCAGTCTTATCTGCAGTTATCTCCTGCACATGTAAATGATGTGGTAGAAGATACGGTTTAAGATGAATTTTAGTTATTTAAAGTGTGTCATAACCTGAACATTTTACAGATATATTTAAACAGGTATAGGTATATTTAAAATCACTATTTTAATTAAAAAAAAAAAAACTTTGAAAAATCCCTAATTTCAAAAATATATTTAAAATGTACATATATGAATAATATATAGAGAAAGATAGGAAATATTACCATGAATTATACAGACCTCAGTTTATCTAAATTTACAGTTTTAAAATAATAATCTTATCCTTATTATCTGAAGATGTCATTGATGATATGTTTCATTTTTATATTTGGCTTTAGTTTACCAATATTAACATATAAATTATTAAACAATTGTACACCAGCTTTGTGGTCTCTCCTTTGTCATGTGTGATTTGTGTAATTTGATGAACTTGATGAAAGCTTCCATTTCAACTTGAAGGCTGTGAATATGCCAGATTATGTGCATTTTGTAGTAAGGATTATGGAGCTGAACAAGTATGACAGACTTGTTAAATATGTTGTCTACAAATTTTTTTTTGTTTTTGTTTGAGATAGAGTCTCTCTCTGTCACCCAGGCTGGAGTGCAGTGGCGTGATCTCGGCTCACTGCAACCTCCACCTCCCGGGTTCAAGCGATTCTCCTGCCTCAGCCTCTCGAGTAGCTGGGACTACAGGCTCGTGCCACCATGATCAGCTAATTTTTTGTAGTTTTAGTAGAGACAGGGTTTCACCATGTTAGCCAGGATGGTCTCGATCTCCTGACCTCATGATCCGCCTGCCTTGGCCTCCCAAAGTGCTGGAATTACAGGTGTGAGCTACCGCACCCGGCCTATTGTCTACAAATTTTATCACTTTTGGTAAGAAATGCACAAAGCCTATCATGATGTCATTGCTAGTTTATATGTTTGTGAATTTTAAGCCAAACAAGCGTTCAAAACGTTTGCCACAAATCGAGGACCTAAAACCCAGTTTTATATATAAAGATATTTAAAAACATATTTCTGGAGAACTATGCATATACTACCAACACTTACAAGGCAAATTAAATTAAAAATGTTGTATAAGGAATATAATATTTTAAATTTTTAGTGTAATCAAGAAAAAGATACATTGTTTTATCAATTGATTAATTTATTGGTCATAGGATTTGGCCTATTTATATTTCTGAGTATCCAACAGAATCAGTCCCTTAAAATGCTGAATATCACAATTTGCAGTTCGGCTAATACATTTATATCCATTTTATTACTTAGTTGTAATATAAAGGAAGTTACCTCTTCATATCCCAGGGAAACTATGGTAGTTGACAAGGAGTGGGTCCAGGCTTTATACCAACTGATGTCTTATACAACTCGAGGAGTCCCTTTTAAGAGAAATGGATACATCATTGGAATATGTATTGAATGTGGAGATTGAATATTTATTTAGGATGTAAAACTAAATCACACCAGATTATAAAATTAATAAAGCTGACAAATTCTACAAGGATAACAAAATTTATAAAATTAACTTCATTTTCAGAAAATTAATTGCTTGATACATTTCTATGATTTTTTTGGCTCTGTAGTTTTGGTTGCTTATTCTCTGATTGCCTCTTCATTTTACATGATTCTATTATGTTTTCTATGTTGAGAATAACAAGATAATGCAGTCTTTTCTCTAGTATAATTGATTGTAATCTGTCATTTTATTACCGATAGTTTAGAAAAGTTACATCAAGTTTCTCAATTTTTGGGGGTGATTTCATATACATTCTTAGGACTGTGACCAAACTTGGGAAATATCTCTATCAAATGTCTTTCATTTGTGAACTGTAAGATTTGGAAGAATTTTCAAAGAGCAGTTCCTGGCTTTATATGTTTTGAACATTGTGTCTCCTTCACTCCACACAGACTTGTGGTGCCTGAAGCTCTGGGCACATTGATTTTGGAGTGATCTCTGGGCTTGCACTTTCATGTTACCAGCACCATGGTAATCAGGTGTGTTCGTGGAAGCTACACCCAGACAGCCAGCAAGAACCTAAGGGTACAGGGAAGAGACTGAGAACCACAAGAATATAATCACACCAAACTGAAACTAAATGAATCTTTAACTCAGTTTCTAATTAGCCAGATCCCAAAATGGCCCACAGTCACCCCAGTGCTAACTAACCCAAGGGAAAAGTGTGATATAGGCAAAATCAGTACGTAGACATTGATCTTAAACTTCTGCAGTTAAAATGTCTCACTCATGCAAAATTCTAAAAGCAAAGGAGCATGCCATCCCACCCCTCGAGCCTTTTCCAGTGCCTTAGGAAGGAGCTTGTGCAAGTGAGGGGCCCTGAAGCTTCACCCTTCCTAGCCTCACGGTAAATCCACCTCTGTGGTAGACAGAAACATTTCTAGACCACAGGAAATCTGTTTGCCTAAGGAAACACAGAAGCTGTCCTTACAGTTAAACAGAAATAGTTCTATTTTTTTCCTAGAGTTCAGCACCATTTCTCAAGGGGTATTTCTTAGAAGTTCATTTTATGAAGTCTCCTCCACAAGTTCTTTTTGATAGCCAATAATTCAAATGTCATGCTACTTCTTTAAATCACTCCAGTCATTGAATAGCATAATCTTTTCAGGGGGCAAACAGCTGGGCTCCAGTAGGCTTTAAATGTTCATTTGTTTTCCAATTTTTTGACTTGCATAGGAAGAAGTAATCCCTTTCATGTGAAATATTCCCCTCGATTAATTTTAAAGAACCAATGGCATTGTCTGATAATGGGATGAAAGCCCAATTCACTGAACAGAATGTGCTATTTGTAACCTGGATTATCCTTTAGGTTTTTCGGCATAGTCCTCGAGAAGCTGAGAATCTGTCATTTTATTGATTAAAATACACGTACAGATACACACGTTTACATTAGAAATAAAAATGTTGTAAGCTCAAATAGGCAGGGTATTTCACCTGAAAGCCTGAAATAAATGTGATGAGAACCTATGAACTAAGTTCCAGTGTAAACAAGTGGGTTAAATTCTCATTATAGAAACTTCCAGTGAGCAATGCAGCATGACTGTGGGACCATAATTCAGGAACAATCTGCAGAGCAAAATATAGAGGCACTAATTTTGTTATATTTGCAGCCCACATACTGTAATACCAGATTTGCTCCTGTTGTTCTGGCCAAAGATGAGTCAGGTACCTCTGATATAACCATTCCTAAAAGACAACAATGGATTCAGAATGTGAGACTGAGAGAAATCCTAGAAGTCTGACCTTCAGATCAGTTTAACTGTAGATCAATAATCCATTACTCAGACCAACACAGTACCAAAAAATCTCTTCAGCTGGCTGCCAAGGTACTATTTTATCTTAAATAAGCTGGTTGAGAGCAGTCAATATAGATACATTTTTCCCACTGACAATTTGCTGATTCAGAGAACATGCAACATCCAGCCACGAAATAGATAAAGCTCAGGCCTGCCCTGTAGAATATGGTCACCTGGCTTTCCTGTTCTCCTACAAATGTCCTACTGGAAGAATAGCCCTTAATCCCTTAATGTTCATCTAAACCAAGGCTTGTTCTAAATTCTCTAGACTCTATCTCATGCATTATTACATCTCTCTTGGCATACTTCTCTTCTTGAAGTGCATAACATTTATATACCTTCTACAAATGTTGGTATTATTGATATTGAGGGAGGGGGCAGACCCAGGTCTATGGCCTTATGTATTATTAGTGAATTACAATTTCTTAGAGTAATAGGCCAATGATTAAAGTCACATGTTAGGAAAACTTTAATCCACTAGGGAAAACTTCCAATATTTTTCAAAGTAATTTACTACATTTGGATGCAAATTATATAGGTGTTTTTGGTGGTATCCATACTTGCTTTCTTGTCAACCTGAAGAGATGTAAATGTAAATCGATGCTAATTGTACCGTGCTTACACAAAGAGCTAATTTGAGTAATATCCTATCCCATCAGTTCATTTTCACCATACATTTTTTTCTTTACAAAATTGTTTTTAAAACTCCACTGGAAAAAAATATATAATAAACTACATGTAAATTACACAATTTAGTAAATTTTGATATAGGTATACACATCTGTGAGAAAATTACCAAAACTGAGATAGTACACAAATATATATCACCCCCAAAAGTTTCCTCGTGTCTTTGTCATTCCTTCCTCCAGCTTTTTCCCAGAAATTTCACCTTCCTCAGGCTGATCAACACTCAGCTGAAGACTCAAGAGGGGGCCTGTGCAGATGTCCCTGAGTTCCCTCTCTGGGCCACTGTCTCCTCTCTTTTCAGCAAATTCTAGTTACCTTGACCTCCCTGAATTCCCAGCTCCATCTCCTCAACTTAGGGAGACTTTCAGGTCAGGCAGTGATCCCTCCTCCTTATGCTGGGACCTGGAAGCTCTCCAGCATGTACACTGGGGCAACCATAGGCGTCATCTCATTGTATTCATTTTCTCTAATCACCATGCTAAGCTAACTGTTGCCTAAGGTCTGAAAACTGTTGTTTCATTCATTTTGTCCAGTTTTTCCATTCTTTCATGAGCAAGCATAAACCTGACTCCTTTGGGCAAGAAGCAGAAGTCCCTATAGTGACTTTATTTACTTTATTGTTATTGTCAGCATTTGGAAAAAAAAATGTAGAGATTGACTATTTTATACTATTTAAGTAATTTTTTGTTATATTGATTTTACCTAAACAAGAGTTTATTAGAAGTATTTTGTTATACAGCTTATAACAAATAATTGTACAAAAATTAGAAAAATCAGATGAACAAATTTTTTATAAGACTTCTCGTGGTTATAGAATGACTCTAACACCTTGTAGTGTATTTTTTAGGATTTTGTTCTTAGTGCATGTGTTAGTCTGTTTTCATGCTGCTGATAAAGACATACCTGAGACTGGGAAGAAAAAGAGGTTTAATTGGATTTACAGTTCCACATGGCCGGGGAGGCCTCAGAATCATGGTGGGAGGTGAAAGACACTTCTTACATGGTGGCGGCAAGAAAAAATGAGGAAGATGCAAAAGTGGAAACCCCTGATAAAACCATCAGATCTTGTGAGACTTATTCACCACCACGAGAATAGTATAGGGGAAACTTCCCCCATGATTCAAATTATCTCCCACCGGGTGTCCCCCACAACACATGGAAATTATGGGAGTATAATTCAAGATGAGATTTGGGTGGGGACACAGAGTCAAACCGTATCAGTGTATATGTTTAGAGGGACATAGAAAACTATATAAGTTTAATAAGAATATATACATATTGTTATTAAATGAAAACATTTGAAATTATAAAAGTAGTAAATATTTTTTAGTAAAATTAAATATATATATAGTAAAAAGTGAAAGCTGTTTTACTTCCATTCCCAGAGAAAACTTTACTTAAATTTTATATAGTTTTTTCCAGAGTTCTTCCTACACCTGAAAAACACAGTGGATTATTTTTGTGTACAAAAGAAAAGAAATCATTCTATATGTATCTCCTTTACTTCCACTCTTTTTCTTTCCACTTAATTCATACAGATAAACTTTACCATTTAAATGGCCTCTGGTGATTCCTTTATAAGAATGAACCATTAGATAGTTAACCAGTTTACTAATGACAGACATTTATATTGCTCCCAAGTTGTTGCCATTGTTCATTTATTTATTTCTTTAGTATTAATTCCTAGATAAGTTGCTACATCAAAAATAATGTACATTTAATATTGCAATAGTTACAAGGAAATCTGTACTTTTTTCAGTAATATATTAGTGTCTACTTTCAAAAAGCTTTAAATTCTGAGCATCATATTGTCTTCTAAATCTTTGACAAAAATTAATGTAAATGAATATGCTATTTTAATTGTCATTTATTTATTTGATTATTAGTAAGATTTAGATTTAGATTTCAGTCTTTTTATTAGCCATTTCAGAGGGATGAGCATTCTCTGCCTATGGACTTTGCCTGGTTTTGTATTGATGTGTTCATTGTTTTCTTATTTCCTCATTTGTAACATCATTTTAAAGTGCTTTTATTTCTGGACAATGTTTTTACATTTTTTAAGACTCCTATTGTGATTTTTATTAAAACAAAGTTAGATCTATAGAAAAGCTGGAAAGAATTTGAAGTTTTAACGATATTCGCTCTCCCTTTCCAGAATATGTGGCAAAGGAGGGAAAAGAAGGGATTCTGAAGGAACACACGGGAAGTCGGCAGTGTGGGAGTGATGGATATGTTCATTCCCTTGCTTGTGGTGATGGTCTCACTGGTGTATACATTTGCAGTAATTGTCAAGTTGTACACTTTAAAATATGTGCAGTTTATTTTATCTCAGTTACATCTCAATGAAACTTTTTTTTTAAGTGGCACCAAACATACATTAAATAGCTTTCAGCCAAAAGTAAAAACTGAGTTTGGTCAGAATATTTTTGTGCTATTTTGGTTAGATTTCTTCTGTCACAGTTATAATGGCTTTCTAAAATAAACTAGGAAGCCGGAGAAAGTCACTTTAACCTTCAAGAGTAGGGAAACTGAACCCATAAAAAAAGTGCTTCCAGGTCAGACTCAGCCTAAAAAACCTGAAAAATAAATGTGACTTCTGAGTAGCAGTATATGGGAAAAATTTTCTATAAATCTCTGAGAATGAAGTTGACTGGAGACTACACAAGAGACAAAGAGATATAGAATTGCCTTAAATCTGAACCATGGAGTTACAGAATGATAATGGCATTATGATAAATTTTTAGAGAACACTCTTGATAAACAGGCACACTCAAAAATAGCTTTTTGTTTGTTGTTGTTGTTGTTTGTTTTCTGTGCAAGAGGTGACAATTGAATGAGGTTCCAAAAAGTAGTGTGGGCTTGCATTGCACACATATTATCAGGCAGGATTTGTGCAGTAGAGAAAGGTGACTGAAGAATGTAGTGGAAGGACATGCTACTGGAAGAAGCTGCCAAGTGACATACACAGGGCTGTGAGTCAGCCAGGGTTGAGGCTCTGTCCAGTGGGACAGCAGGCTCTGTCTCCACAGTGGGGACTGCCTGAGAGCTGGGTGCTCTGGTTCAGCCATTGTAGCACAAAGGCACTTGTATAAATTTCCGTGAAATGGCTTGAAACCTACTTTGCCATAAGAATGAGATAAATTTTTAATTCAAAACTTAAAATATCTTGATTAGAATAAGGAGGAGGAAGAGAAAGAACAGGCAATAAAAAGTTATTTATTGATTGATTGACTTAATGCAGCTAGCTGAAGGGTGAGAGGAAGAACTCCGGCTCCAGAGTCTGAAAGCCAGGGCTCAAGTTTCAATTTGGGCATTTCCCAGCTTTGAACAACAGAAAAACACTGTTTACCTTTTCAGAACCTCAGTTTCCTTAGATCTGTAAATTAGCAATAAAAACTAATGTGCCTTCCAAGGTTATGGTAAAAATCAAATATCTTATGCCTGTGTAAATCTTTTTCAAAAAACAATAGACACTGCAAATATTGGGCATTCTTATGATGATGTTTATTCTTCACTGGGAGCATTGATGGATTGATTGTTACTTTTCAATAACTTTTTCCATATTTGCTCTAGTTTTAAATTTGCAAATTTTAATTCAGTATTGTTTATAATAAGACAAAAGCTCTTCTTTAAGGTTGGGGCATTAATGTTAAAAAAAAAAAAAGAACTGTTACATCAAATGTACATCAAATGCAGTGACTGGACAACAACCAAAGAAACTTCCTGTGTAATCCCCATCCCATCACACACACACACACACACACACACACACACACACACACACACACTATAGACACTATATTTAAAATTGGCAGGGGTGATATTATGAACTCCTGTAAAACCAAATTGATTTGTGTTTGTCAGGAATGTGTGGGTCTGTGTCCTGGAATGCTATATATTTCCACTGTGCACTGCCCATTGACCATTTCTACTAGGATGCCTTGAAGGCACCTCAGACTCAACAAGTTCAATTTGAAATTCATTATGTACTCCCCAGTTGTTCACGCTAGGAGCCTTCAGGCCACCCGTGACTTTTCTCTCTCCTTGAGTCTCTCCTTAGCTTCCCATGGATCAGTCTCTGTACCATGTTGATTCTACCTTCTGAGTATCCTTTCTGCTCTCCCTCATCTGCACTTCTGTTACCACTGCCTGAGTTTTGGTTATGGGCTTCTTAGTCTTTTAGTCTTTTCTCTCCCCCAACCCAGCCATCGCCACCAGCAAGAACTATCTTTCTAAAGCACCAATTATCTTTCCAAAACAGAAGATTTTCTCTTCTTTGTAGGAATTTAACTTTAGGGCATAGTCAGATAAATTAGCCAAAATATATGTGAAGAAGCTGTTCATCACAATATTGTTTATTATAGTAAAAAAAGGAAAAAAACCTTAATATCTCAAAAATGGATCAGTAATATCGAGACTATACACAATAGTCATTACATTGGTATTATAGATGTATAATAATTTGGAAATGATATTATAAAAAATTATTAAATAATGTGCATAGAAAAATTTGTGGAAAATGTTTTATGCTATAAAAATATTTCTAGGTAATGGAATTTAGTAAGAATTTTTCTCTTCCTACTTCCCACCAAACAAAAGCAAAATAAAACTAAAATAGAACAAAAATTCTGCTATGTAGCCCTTTACAAAAGATAGTGCTTCTGGCAAGAAACTGTGACTGACCAAAATCCTGCAATTCAGTACCTGTGAAATGCCATATAACAAATTTACTCATATCCTAAAAGTTATGAGAACTGGGGGCTTCAGGACATCTCATACCTGCCTCATTTTTTCAAGAAAATTTGTTGTAGAATCTTTTATATAAAACACTATACACTGTCCTTAATCCACTATGTCCTATTCCCTCTATTTACAAATGTGCTTTGTCCTTACATTTCTTTAAAAAAAAAACAACAAAAAACTGTGTTCACACGTATCTTTGTAGGCTAAAGAAAAGTGATACTATAAGGATTGGGAGGTAGAGGGTGGGGGCACTGAGGAAGCCCTGCTGCCCTCAGGTTAAGCTCCGTATCTCTCTCATTTAAGGTCCCTGATAGGAGTTACTTGTTCTCAAACATGTGTGTTGGCTCTTTACTGTCTTTTAAGTAGCATTTATGATGAATTCCCTTTTTTTAATGGTGGTATTACAGTATCTGATGTTAGGCATAGAACTGCTCAGGCAGCAAGTCACCTTTTCTTTTTCCCCTTTTTTGATAGACTTGAGAGACCAAGGCAGCACACACACACTCCTCCAACTAGCTTTGCAATTTGCATACATTTCGATTCTGGTGGTCTATTCATCATTTTTATAGAAATGCTTTTATGAAATTCGATCTCATGGAGTGAGTTAGGAGTTTCTTTGTTTTTTGCTTTATGATAACCCATTGCCTCAGTAAATATCTTAATTATTCCCAGAAAAAAATAAACCCAACTGATTAGACCTAATCCCTTCTCAAATCACTTTACTTTCTTTGTCATTTCCTATCCATCCTCTCTCTACACTCAGATGTCTTTGTTTTATTATGAAATATATTTGGCATGAGTAACAACATTAAGTAATATGAATCATTTTATTTGGTTAAATGTCTACACTCAAAGATTAGTGGAGAATTTGGAAAATATAACGAAATAATACTGGAACTTTTGATATTTCCCTAGCTACTTGCCATATTCAAAAGATGTGTCTTTGAAGTGAAGAGCAGAATAGTACCTTATTATAGTCCATATTAAATCATATTTATGGCTTTCAACAGAAGTATTGAAAACCAGATTCAGTTGCTGCACCCATCAACTCATCATCTACATTAGGTATTTCTCCGAATGTTATCCCTTCCCTTGCCCCCAACCCCCCGACAGGCCCCAGTGTGTGATGTTCCCCTCCCTTTGCCCATATGTTCTCATTGTTCAACTCCCACTTATGAGTGAGAACATGCGGTGTTTGGTTTTCGGTTCCTGTGTTAGTTTGCTAAGAATGATGGTTTCAAGCTTCATCCAAGTCCCTGCAAAGGACATGAACTCATTTTTTTTTTTTTATGTCTGCAAAGTATTCCATGGTGTATATGTGCCACATTTTCTTCATCCAGTCTATCATTGATGGGTATTTTTGTTGGTTCCAAGTCTTTGCTATTGTGAATAGTCCTGCAATAAACATACACGTGCATGTGTCTCTATAGTAGAATGATTTATAATCCTTTGGGATTATATACCCAGTAATGGGATTGCTGGGTCAAATGGTATTTCTACTTCTAGATCCTTGAGAAATCGCCACACTGTCTTCCACGATGGTTGAACCAATTTACACTCCCACCAACAGTGTAAAAGCATTCCTATTTCTCCACATCCTTTCCAGCATCTATTTTTTCCTGACTTTTTAATGATCGTCATTCTAACTGGTGTGAGATGGTATCTCATTGTAGTTTTGATTTGCATTTCTCTAATGACCAGTGATGATGAGCTTTTTTCATATGCTTGTTCATATGCATAAATGTCTTCTTTTGAGAATTGTCTGTCCATATCCTTCGTCTGCTTTTTGATGGGGTTGTTTGTTTCTTGTAAATTTGTTTAAGTTCCTTGTAGATTCTGGATATTAGACCTTTGTCAGATGGAGACTGCAAAACTTTTCTCTCATTCTCTAGCCTGTTCACTCTGATGATAGTTTCTTTTGCTGTGCAGAAGCTCTTTAGTTTAGTTAGATCCCATTTGTCAATTTTGGCTTTCGTTGCCATTGCTTTTGGTGTTTTAGTCATGAACTCTTTGCCCATGCTTATGTCCTGAATGGTATTGCCTAGGTTTTCTTCTAGGGTTTTTATGGTTTTAGGTCTTAAGTTTAAGTCTTTAATCCATCTTGAGTTAATTTTTGTATAAGGTGTAAGGAAGGGGTCCAGTTTCAGTTTTCTGCATATGGCTAGCCAGTTTTCCCAACAGCATTTATTAAATAGGGAATCCATTCCCCATTGCTTGTTTTTGTCAGGTTTGTCAAAGATCAGATGGTTGTAGATGTGTGGTGTTGTTTCTGAGGCCTCTGTTCTGTTCCATTGGTCTATATACCTGTTTTGGTACCAGTAGCATGCTGTTGTGGTTACTGTAGCCTTATAGTATAGTTTGAAGTCAGGTAGCTTGATGCTTCCAGCTTTGTTTTTTGTTTGTTTGTTTGTTTTTTCTTTTGCTTAGGATTGTCTTGGCAATACGGGCTCTCTTTTGGTTCCATATGAAATTTAAAGTAGTTTTTTCTAATTCTGTGAAGAAAGTCAATGGTAGCTTGATGGGAATAGCATTGAATCTATAAATTACTTTGGACAGTGTGGCCATTTTCACTATATTGATTCTTCCTATCCATGAGCATGGAATGTTTTTCCATTTGTTTGTGTCTTCTCTTATTTCCTTGGGCAGTGGTTTGTAGTTCAACTTGAAGAGGTCCTTCACATCCCTTGTAAGTTGTATTCGTAGGTATTTTCTTCTTTTTGTTGCAATTGTGAATGGGAGTTTGCTCATGATTTGGCTGTTTGTCTATTATTTGTGTATAGGAATGATTGTGATTTTTGTACATTGAGTTTTTATCCTGAGACTTTGCTGAAGTTGCTTATCAGCTTAAGGAGTTTTTGGGCTGAGACGATGGGGTTTTCTAAATATACAGTCATGTCATCCGCAAAGAGAGATAATTTAACATCCTCTCTTCCTATTTGAATATATTTTATTTCTTTCTCTTGCCTGATTGCCCTGGCCAGAACTTCCAATACTGTGTTGAACAGGAGTGGTGAAAGAGGGCATCCTTGTCTTGTGCCAGTTTTCAAAGGGAATACTTCCAGCTTTTGCCCATTCAGTATGTTGTTGGCTGTGGGTTTGTCATAAATAGCTCTTATTATTTCAAGACATGTTACATCAATACCTATTGAGTGTTTTTAGCATGAAGGAGTGTTGAATTTTATCGAAGGCCTTTTCTGCATCTATTGAGTTGATCATGTGGTTTTTGTCATTGGTTTCATTTATGTGATGGGTTATGTTTATTGATTTGCATATGTTGAACTAGCCTTGCATCCCAGGGATGAAGCCGACTTGATCGTGGTGGATAAGCTTTTTAATGCGTTGCTGGATTTGGTTTACCAGTATTTTATTGAGGATTTTCACATCGATGTTCATCAAGGATATTTGGCCTGAGATTTTCTTTTTTTGTTGTGTCTCTGCCAGCTTTTGGTATCAGGATGATGCTGGCCTCATAAAACGAGTTAGGGAGGAGTCCCTCTTTTTCTATTGATTGGAATAGTTTCAGAAGGAACGGTACCAGCTCCTCTTTGTACCTCTGGTAGAATTTGGCTGTGAATTCATCTGGTCCTGGGCTTTTTTTGGTTGGTAAGTTATTAATTACTGCCTCAATTTCAGAATTTGTTATTGGTCTATTCAGGGATTCCACTTCTTTCTGGTTTAGTCTTAGGAAGGTGTATGTGTCCAGGAATTTATCCATTTCTTCTAGATTTTCTAGTTTATTTGTGTAGAGGTGTTTATAGTATTCTCTGGTGGTAGTTTGTATTTCTGTGGGATCAATGATGATATCCCCTTTATCATTTTTTATTTATTGTGTCTATTTGATTCTTCTCTCTTTTCTTCTTCATTGATCTGGCTAGTGGTCTGTTTTGTTAATCGTTTCAAAAAACCAGCTCCTGGATTCATTGATTTTTTCAAAGGGTTTTTTCTGTCTCTGTCTCCTTCAATTCTGCTCTGATCTTAGTTATTTCTTGCCTTCTGCTGGCTTT
Organism: Homo sapiens; assembly: GCF_000001405.40. Lineage (NCBI taxonomy): Eukaryota > Metazoa > Chordata > Mammalia > Primates > Hominidae > Homo > Homo sapiens. Next base: position 59,634,853 of record NC_000005.10, on the reverse strand, counting down.
TGAATGTGTTTGCCCTTGCTTCTCTAGTTCTTTTAATTGTGATGTTAGGGTGTCAATTTTAGATCTTTCCTGCTTTCTCTTGTGTGCATTTAGTGCTATAAATTTCCCTCTAAACACTGCTTTAGCTGTGTCCCAGAGATTCTGGTACATTGTATGTTTGTTCTTATTAGTTTCAAAGAACTTATTTATTTCTGCCTTTGTTTCGTTATTCACCCAGTAGTCATTCAGGAGCAGGTTTTTTGATTTTCCATGTAGTTGTGCTGTTTTGAGTTAGTTCTTAATCCTGAGTTCTAACTTGATTGCACTGTGGTCTGAGAGACTGTTTGTTATGATTTCTGGTTTTTTGCATTTGCTGAGGAGTGTTTTATTTCCAATTATGTGGTCAATTTTAGAATAAGTGCAATGTGGTGCTGAGAAGAATGTATATTCTGTTGATTTGTGGTGGAGAGTTCTGTAGATGTCTATTAGGTCCACTTGGTCCAGAGCTTAGTTCAAGTCTTGAATATTCTTGTTAATTTTCTGTCTCGTTCATCTGTCTGATATTGACAGTGGGGTGTTAAAGTCTCCCACTAGTATTGTGTGGAAGTCTAAGTCTCTTTGTAGGTCTCTAGGAACTTGCATTATGAATCTGGGTGCTCTTGTATTGGGTGCATATATATTTCAGGTAGTTAGCTCTTCTTGTTGCATTGAACCCTTTACCAATATGTAATGCCCTTCTTTGTCTTTTTCTGTCTTTTTTGGTTTAAAGTCTGTTTTATCAGAGACTAGGATTACAACACCTTTTTTTTTTCTTTCTGTTTGTTTGGTAAATCTTCCTCCATCCCTTTATTTTTGAGCCTGTGTGTGTGTTTGCACATGAGATGAGTCTACTAAATACAGCACATTGATGGGTCTTGACTCTGTCTAGTTTGCCAGCCTGTGCCATTTAATTGGGGCATTTAGCTCATTTACATTTAAGGTTAATATTGTTATGTATGAATTTGATCCTGTCATTATGATGCTAGCTGTTTATTTTGCCCATTAGTTGATGTAGTTTCTTCATAGTGTCAGCGGTCTTTACAATTTAATATGTTTTTGCAGTGGCTGGTATCAGTTTTTCCTTTCCATATTTAGTGCTTCCTCCAGGAGCTCTTGTAAGGCAGGCCTGGTGGGGACGAAATCCCTCAGGATTTGCTTGTTTGTAAAGGATTTTGTTTCTTCTTCAATTATGAAGCTTAGTTTGGCTGGATATGAAATTCTGGGTTGCAAATTCTTCTCTTTAAGAATGTTGAATATTGGCCCCCACTCTCTTCTGGCTTGTAGGGTTTCTGCAGAGAGATCAGCTGTTAGTCTGATGGGCTTCCCTTTGTGGGTAACCCAACCTTTCTCTCTGGCTGCCCTTCACATGTTTTCCTTCATTTCAACCTTGATGAATCTCACGATTATGTGTCTTGGGGTTGCTCTTCTCAAGGAGTATCTTTGTGAGGTTCTCTGTATTTTCTGAATTTGAATGTTGGCCTGTCTTGCTAGGTTGGGGAAGTTCTCCTGGAAAATATCCTGAAAAGTGTTTTCCAACTTGGTTTCATTCTTCCCATCTCTTTCAGGTACACTAATCACATGTAGGTTTGGCTTTTTACATAGTCCCATATTTCTTGGAAGCTTTTTTCATTCCTTTTCATTCTTTTTTTATCTAATCTTGTCTTCATGCTTTATTTCATTAAGTTGATCTTCAATCTCTGATATCCTTTCTTCCACTTGATCAGTTTGGCTATTGATACTGTGGTAAGCTTCACGATGTTCTCGTGCTGTGTTTTTTCAACTCCATCAGGTTATTTATGTTCTTCTCTAAACTGGTTATTCTAGTTAGCTATTCCACTAACCTTTTATCAATGTTCTTAGCTTCCTTGCATTAGGTTAGAACATACTTTTTTAGCTTGGAGGAGTTTGTTATTACCCACCTTCTGAAGCCTATTTCTGTGAATTGATCTAACTCATTTTCTGTCCAGTTTTGTTCCCTTGCTGGCGAGGAGTTGTGATCCTTCGGAGAAGAAGAGGCATTCTGTTTTTTGGAATTTCCATCCTTTTTGCACTGGTTTTTCCTCATCTTCATGGATTTATCTACCTTTGTTCTTTGCTGTTGGTGACCTTTAGATGGAGTTTTTGTGTGGTCATCTTTTTTGTTGATGTTGATGCTATTGCTTTTTGTTTGTTAGTTTTCCTTCTAGCAGTCAGACCCCTCTTCTGCAGGTTTGCTGGAGGTCCACTCCACACCCTGTTTGCCTGGGTATCACTAGCAGAGCCTGCAGAACAGCAAAAATTGCTCCCTGCTCCTTCCTCTGGAAGCTTCGTCCAAGAGGGGCACCCAACAGATGCCAGCCAGAACTCTCCTGTATGAAGTGTCTGTCAACCCCTGCTGGGAGTATCTCCCTATCGGGAGGCACAGGGGTCAGGGGCCAACTTGAGGAGGGAGTCTGTTCCTTAGCAGAGCTTAAGGGCTGTGCTGGGAAATCTGCTGTTCTCTTCAGAGCTGGCAGGCAGGAACATTTAAGTCTGCTGAAGCTGTGCCCAAAGCCACCCCTCCCCCCAGGTGCTCTGTCCCAGGGAGATGGGAGTTTTATCTGTAAGCCCCTGACTGGGGCTGCTACCTTTCTTTCAGAGATACCCTGCTCAGACAGGAAGAATCTAGAGAGGCAGTCTGGCTACAGCAACTTTGTGGAGCTGCGGTGGGCTCTGCCCAGTTTGAACTTCCTGGCAGCTTTGTTTACACTGTGAGGGAAAAACCACCTACTTAAGCCTCAGTAATGGCGGACACCCCTCCCCACACCAAGCTAGAGCATCCCAGGTCGACTTCAGGCTGCTATACTGGCAGCAAGAATTTCAAGCCAGTGTATCTTAGCTTGCTGGGCTCTGTCAGTGTGGGATTCACTGAGCAAGACCCCTTGGCTCCCTGGCTTCAGCCCCCTTCCAGGGGATTGAATGGCTGTCTCACTGGTGTTCCAGGTGCCATTGGGTTATGAAAAAAAAACTGCAGCTAGCTCAATGCCTGCCCAAACAGCCACCCAGTTTTGTGCTTGAAACCCAGAGCCCTTGTGGTATAGGCACCCAAGAGAATCTCCTGATCTGTGGCTAGTGAAGACCGTGGGAAAAGCATAGTATCTGGGCTGGGTAGCTTCGTTCCTCACGGCACAGTCCCTCATGACTTCCCTTGGGTAGAGGAGGGAGTTCCCGAGCCCCTTGTGCTTCCCAGGTGGGGAGACGCCCCACCCTGCTTCTGCTTGCCCTCTGTGGGCTGCACCCACTGTCTAACCAGGTCCAGTGAGATGAGCTGGGTACCTCAGTTGGAAATGCTGAAATCACCTGCCTTCTGTGTTGATCTCACTGGGAGCTGCAGGCCGGAGCTGTTTCTATTTGGCCATCTTTATTCTCTTACAATTGAAAAATAATGATCTTAAAATTTTTGTCTCCACAAACAAAAGCAAGTAAATTATCTCAGTAATATAGTTTTAAGAATAGTTGCTCTTTTTTAACTGTTGGCAGGGGCATAAGGGATAAGAGAAGAAATAGTTAAGAACACAGGTGGGTTCAAATCTACTCTCTGGCACTTACTAGCTGGGGAACTTTGGGCAACTCACCTAAACCATTTAAGCACTACTAGTTGCCTCTTCTGGAAGATGGCAGTTGTAATAATACATAATTGATAGTGTCATTATGAGATAAAATGACATAATGCAAATAAAGTTATTGGCCATGTGCTTGGTACAAAATAAGTACTCAAAAAGTACTTCAAAGTAATTTTTTATTCTAGGAGCCATTCCTTACAGGTGGAAAAATTGTGCCTTTTGCTTACATTTTACTTTGCATTTCACAAGATGTCTTCAAGAGTATGACCTCATTTTATCCCTTCCACAAATATGAGACATAGAAATTGTTAGCTACATTTTCTAGGGAAAAAAAACCGAGCGTCAGGAATATTAAGTGACTCAGCCAAGGGTCTACACCTCATAATTAGCAGGATCAAGACCAATGAAAGTGCCTCTTGGTAAGATCATACCTGAAGCTAACAGACACGTGCAGGCCTCCTACAACATAGGTAGCCATGTTTAGTGTAGGCAGCAGTTGGACTTCTGTATATTCATTTCTGGCACTGGAGACTGCTTCTATTATAGAAGTTGTGACCTTGTCACTCATCAAGCAGATGGCATTGCTTGATTAGAGTCAGGCCATATTTAGAACATTTCTATAAAGCCATTCTCATTTGGGCAAACATTTTTGCCAATTGAAGTGTTTCTTTTCACTAATTGAGCAAACAAATCATGGGCTATCCACTCACAAGGGCTTTCCACCACCCATATTTTCAGGAAGGCAGGTGTTGAGCTTATATTTTCAGAATATATTTCCAGCTTCATACACTCTTAAGAGAACATTGAAGCCTCTTTGATGAAGGTGAGGGTCTATAAACATGCTTGTATTCATTATAAGGGGATTGTGATTGTCCTCATAGAAAAATGACTTTAAGAAATAGATGTATCCTGAAGCAAGATAATATGAGTGTCAGGCTGGACACGTAAAATACAAGGGAAGGTAGTGGGGAAAAGGCTGAGAAAAGAGTACTGTAGACTTTACATCACAATGCTTAAATTAATCTAAAATGTAAGCTATAAAATAGACTAAAATTATATATAGACGTATGTGCGTATGTGTGCATATGCATAAAAGTGTATGTATCTCCATACTTCAAAGGCTAATATTCACAGATAGATTCAACAATCAAATACGGAGTTAGTTTTGAAGGAAAAGCCAAATAAGACACCTTTGCTAGACTTTAAAATTTTATTTTAACTGAAACTACGGTATAGACATAACCATATAAACTAATCTATTTACTTGTAAAATTAATTGTTTCATTGTCATTGAATCAGATGTGAGTGTATTTAGATAAGTCAAGGTAGTAAAAGAGTATAATAAGAAACACTGAGACCCAGGGATCATGCTAACTCAGACTTCTGTCTTGAGTCTGCCACATAAGAGCAATATTTCCTCAGGCAAATTATTTTCATAGTTTTGAACTTGAAATTCTCATCTGATAAATGGACACACCAATGCCTAACACATAGGGTAGCTGTGAGGATTAAATGACATGCGCAATTTGCATGGCTTCCTCATCAAGTTGCCACTTGTATTAGTCGGCTAGGGCTGCTATAGAAAATACCACAAGCTTGGTGCCTTAAGCAACAGAAATTTATTATCTCACCGTTCTGGAGGCTAGGAGTCTGAGATCAAGGTGTTGGCAGGGTTGGTTCTTTCCGAGGGCTGTGAGGAAGGATCTGTTTCAGGTCCTTTTCTTAGCTTGTAGATGGCCTTCTCTCTGTATTTTCTCTTCGTCTTCTCTCTGTACATGTCTCTGTGTCCACATTTCCCTTCATGTCTCTGTGTCCAAATTTCTCTTTGTCTTCTCTCTGTACATGTCTCTGTGTCCAAATTTCCCTTTTATTACAAGGACACCAGTCACATTGAAGTAGGGTGCATCTTACTCCTATATGACCTCATCTTAACTAATAACATCTGCAAAAACCCTATTTCCAATAGGGTCCCATTCTAGGGTACTGAGAGGTTAGGCTTCAACATTAATTTTGATAGGGGGACACAGTACAACCCATAACAACACTCAGAAGTCACTTTCTCAGACAGACCATGCTTGACCACTGATGTAGTTTGGCTGTGTCCCCACCAAAATATCCTGAATTGTAGTTCCCATAATCCGCACGTGTAGTGGGAGGGACCAAGTGGGAGGTAATTGAATCATGGTGGCAGTTACACTCATGCTGTTCTCATGATAGTGAGTGAGTTCTCATGAGATCTGATGGTTTTTTAAGGGGCTTTCCCTTTTTTGTTTGGCACTTCTCCTTGCTGCTGCTATGTGAAGAAGGACATGTTAGCTTCCCCTTCCACCATGGTTGTAAGTTTCCTGAGGCTTCCCCAGCCATGCTGAACTGTGAGTCAATTAAACCTCTTTCCATTATAAATCACCCAGTGTCAGGTATGTCTTTATTAGTGGGATGAGAACGGACTAATACAACTACCTTTTCTAAGAACAGTCTTACCCTTTCCTAGCACACACAGTCCCTTGCCCTATATAATATGCCAAAGTAAATCATAGAATCATTTATTTTCTTATTCTTTTTCTATCCCCCACACTAGTCTGAAGTCCATGGTGCCAGGGCCCTACTTGTCTTGGAGGTTGTTCTATTCTGGGCTTGGAGAACAGTGCCTGGTACAAAATAGATCCTTAACCTCTGGCTTGAGGTTAGGGCTCAATAAGTAATAGGTGGTATAAGTATCTAAAAAAGAATCTCATTCTCTATCCAAATTGGTATTCACTAGCCATATGTGAAAGAAACTAAATTTTCAATTTTATTTTAATAAATCTAAATTTAAATATCCATTAGTGGCTATTATATTGGACAGCACAGATATAGAACATTTCTGCTACTGCAGGAAGTTCTATGGGACATTTCTAGACATAGAAGCATAGATGAGGATATAATAGTGATAATTCAGTTCAGACCCGGTGCTGCCTGCCAAATTCCACAACACTGCCCTGCATTGCTGCCCTCTCATGACACCACACAGCTCCCAGTTGATTTGTTCTTCTTTATGGTACCAGGTGTATTGGGTGTATTGCAAGCATTTTCTTCTTCCATTATTAAGTTAAAAATACCCCTTGAAGTTTTGAAAAGCTGTAAAGGGGTTGTCTTGAGAGTCCCATTAACATTTATAGTGAATTCTGTGGCAGCAATTTTTTATTTTAATTGTTGTTGTCTTTGCTATTCAGATAAGTAAGCAGTAGGCATAGATAATTAATGTACAGATTCTGTTTTACACAACTTTAAGAATGACTCTTTGAGAAACATGTCTTTAAGGACAATGAACTGAGATATCCCTTACTTGAGGATAAAATATGGGTGCAGGTACAAGGAGTCAGCAGGTGTCACGTGTGGGCTCATTTCTTCCCTCAACCCTGGAAAGTATATAGATTCTCACCATCCTTGTTCAGCCTCTGCCTTAGGGATAAGCAGTGCTGGGGTGATTTTATGCTCAGGAAGTAACCAAAGGCTAGCAAACATCTCTCATTGTTGGCAGTAAAAACCATTGCTATGAATAACAATCTATATTTTATAAAACTATTTTGGCTTCACATAAAAATCTGATGCTTCAAGGAACATACTCCAATGTGCCTTGAAGTATAGCACATACTCCAATGTGTTACTGAATCCTGAACCACACCCCTAAAGGAGGCATTCATTGATATCACTGGCTTAACAAAAGGCTTTGGGGTGGGGTGAAGGGATAATACATAATGCAGTTAGAAAGTGATAGAAAGCATATTGCTTATATAAAATTCAGTGCTAGGTAAGAATAAAATATGAAATACATGTGGCAATGAACTTAGAATATGCTCCAGTTTTGGAAAAAGAATAGTAAGATAAAACCCTAGAATTTGGAACATTTTTAAATAACCTCTATTACTATCATTTTAATCTTTGAACAGTGACAAAATATCCCACCTGCTTTGTGACTTTTCTGAAAAGAATACATGGTCACAGGGTATTCTCTATTGGAATACCATTCACACCTTCAAACTTATCACCATCCAGTTAAATTTGAGGAATGGTAATTGATGACCTTAAGTGAGTCAAGTCACAATTACCTGAAGAACTAAAAATGCTACTGGAAGGACTAGACTCTAAGTTGGTACCTAACTAATTCTTATTGCCTGAATGTGGTTGTAGAGTAGACCCTTCATTAGGAAGTGAATAGGGGAAGTATGAAAAATTAAATGTGTACAAAATCCAAAGCTTCCTGATAGGTCTTTTGGGCTATTTTGAAGAATAAGACAAACAACAGAAGCATTATAATTGGAGGATTATAGAGCCAACAAAGGCAAAGTAGGAGCATATTTATCAGACATAATAAAGACAGAAATTAAAGATCTTATTTATGTTTGAGGCATAGGAAGCAATAGAAGCATATATATTTGCAAGGTCTAGACATGCCTCTATTCATCAATGCATTTTAGTATTTTAGCTCAGCGTTCATTAAAGTTATTACCTTAATTTATTTAATCAAAATATTGACTCTATTCTCATACTGCAAATAACTTGTTACATGATTTGGATGTTAATATGATTTTTTTACCACTGAAAGTTAAACTAATGCTCATCCTTTCACTATTAAAATATTAATGTCTTCTATTTTAGTTTAGCATTTAAAAAACAAATTTGTAGAGATGGGATCTCACTGTTATAAAAAAGCTTTCCATTTTTGTAAACTGCAAACTTGCAGTTAGCTTAACTAAAATTACATAATAGAATTTCCAAATTAAGAAATTAAGTCACTCATTTGTTCTGTAAAGCAGTCACCCTTGAATAAAGAAATGCATGGTTCAACATATTTTTTAAGAATTCAATAGTACTTTCAGCTTTATTGGGATATAACTGACAAATTGAAATTGTATATATTTTCAGTGAACAACTTGATGTTTTGATATACACATAAACTTTATGAAATGACCATTACCATGGTTCCATATAACCATTGTGTTTAAACCATCTAATTCTCTTGTTGACTTTCATTTAAATGTTTGATGTATAGAAACCTCATTTCATTAAATACTTCAGAGGCCAACTGTTATTTTATAGAATCCAACAAACATTACTTTAATGTTAACGGACCCTAAAATGGAAACCAGGCATTGGTTTTTTTTATTTTGTTTTGTTTTGTTTTTTTGAGACGGAGTCTCACTCTTTCACCCAGGCTGGAGTACAGTGGCACAATCTGGGCTCACTGCAAGCTCCGCCTCCTGGGTTCATGCCATTCTCCTGCCTCAGCCACCCAAGTAGCTGGGACTACAGGCGCCCGCCACCACGCCTGGCCAATTTTTTGTATTTTTGTTTTTTTAGTAGAGACGGGGTTTCACCGTGTTAGCTAGGATGGTCTCAATCTCCTGATCTTGTGATCCGCCCGCCTCAGCCTCCCAAAGTGCTGGGATTACAGGCATGAGCCACCGCGCCCAGTCATTGGTTTGTAATGCCATAAAGAATCCATGAATAATATAGTCGTGTATTTATTTTTGAAAGAGAATGTTCTTTTAATAAAGCATATGTTTTCTAATTTACACTTGAGCAAACCTTTATTTTAAAGAAAAATTGAGAAATTTATGTTTCAGAGTTATGAGACACCGTCTTCTTATCTAAGATATGAAGGATGCAGCAATAAATTATCCAGATGTTTTGGCTATAGTCTTTTTTTATTGTTGAGTAACAAATTTCCATACACTTAGCAACTTAAAACAATATCCTTTTTTTTTTTTAATGTCGCAGCTCTTTAGGTCAGAAATTCAGGATAACAGGGCTGGTTTATGTGCTCAGAGTCTCAAACTCAAGGCTGAAATTAAGGTGCTAACCAGCTGTGATCTTATCTGGAATCAAGGTCATCTCTCAAGATCATTACTGCCACTGTTGGAAGAATTCAGTTTCTTGCAATTATAGGATAGAAATCCCTCTTCTTTTGCTAGCTGTTGGCTGTAGCCCCCTGTGACCTTCTAGAGGCCACTCTTGGATTCTTATCCCATTGGTCATCTTCATCTCAGCCGTGGAAGACCTCCCCTCTCACACTTCATCTCTCTGACTTCCTTTTTTGCTTCTAGCTAAAGAAAGCACTCTGCTTTTATAGGTTTTATAGGACTCATGTGATTAGATTAGACCCACCCTGATAATCTTATCTTAAGGTCAGCTGATTAGTAACCTTAATTGCATCTACAAAAATTCCTTTTTCCATGTAAAGTAATATAACCGTGGAGTAACACCAGGGCTGAGGGTAATAGGAGTCATCTTAGAATTGTGTATTAGCCAAGATGTGGAATTCCTATCAATAAATTTAAGCAGTGTTTCCATTATATTTGAAAAGGAGAGAAGATTAGGGTGGCTGATCATCTTGTATTTAAATGCTAAGAAAGACAATAATCACAGCCAAAAAGCTTGGTCACATGTTGACTTTTTAGGAACTCAATTATAGCAATCAGAATTGATAGAGGCAGAAATCATACTGCAAAGGCTTAAAGGAATGCTAAGAGTTCTACCATTTGAGAAATAAAGAACTACCAGGCAAAATGAAGAAATAACCATGTAATTGAAAAACTGCCAGAAATAATTCTTAATTAGATGTAGACCAAATGTCTCAATAGTTGGATAACAAGGCAGAGGCCACATAATTCCTCTGTGCATCAGTCTGCTCAGACATTCTCATCCATTGCAGATTAAAGCCGAGTACTACCACGTTTGTGCCACAGCGTCTCTGTGGCCTCCTCCCTGATGGCTGCCTGGGAACATGTTCCTCACTGCATCACACTGCCCTTCCCAGTCTCTCAGGAAGCTTAAAGGGGTAAAGCAAAGGGAGGAGACTGAAAAAAAAATGACAAATTCGGGAGAAGATCTTTTAACTTTCTGTTCATTAAGTGAGAATTTGTAGATAGAGTGGAAAGAACCATTGTGATCGGGGCAGGAGTATGTGAAGGAAAGGAGGGATAGACTGAAGATGTCAGAGACAGAGAAGGCCCCAAAGGATGGAACAGGGGATGGAATTAGGAGAAACGTCCTGAAGGATAGAATGGGGATAGAATTAAGAGCGTGCATGGATCCATTTAGTCTGGAAAGTGAAAATCTTATTTTTCTGAAATACAGGAAAAGAACAGAAAATGAGTAGTGGTTTCAAATGAGGGAGAAAAAGCAATTACATGTAAGAAGGCTTCTATCCTCTCAACACAACGGGGCTGCTTTATATATATTTTCTCTTCTGTAAAGTGATAAAAAATAGTAAGGCCAAATAATATTTATGATAGTTAACTGATATGATGCATATAAACTGCTTAGAGTAGCATATACCACATTATAAATGCACAGAAATGTTAGCTATTTTTTACTATCATTGCCATTATTATTTTCTATTGACAGTAAAGGAAAGTGAGGTAATGTTGTGAATTTAAAAGTAACATAAAGCTTTTCAATCACTTGTTAAAAATAGCATTGCAGAGAAACATTGAACCCTCCTTAAATGTAAATAGCACGATTCATTGAACATCTAGTCAAGATGACTAATCTTTTTTTCTAGTAACGCTCAACAGTCTAGAAGGTACAGAAGGCGGTGGGTATCAAGGTTTATAAAAGGTCAGGAATTGGAACTCTGGGGACCTGGTTGTTCTCATGAGGGCACATACCAAGATCAGGGTGAGCTAGGAAGTTTAAGTGATAGGAAGATAATAGATTTATTTAGAGAGGGGAAATTGAGACAGTTTCAAGCCTCGGAGATGGAACAGAACAACAGAGCTCCAAGCACTGGGATGCAGGGCTGGAGGTGACCAAGTCCACGACTTTGTCTTTCTAAAGTGAAGTGGAGGTGAGTCTGAAGAAATTATCACTGTGATTAAGGTTGTTATTGAGGGCAACAGGGCAAGCTAGCTTAGGAAGAAAAAGTTTGGCCTAGGTGTAAGATGTAGTTGTCTAATATTGAACAGCACAGATTTTAGAACATTAGCATCACCACAGAAAATTCGATTGAACAGCACTGTACTAGAGGTACAGGAAAGTGAGAGGGTAGGGTCTTACAGAAAATGTTGGAGCAGAAGAAACTATGCCAAATGAGGATGTGAGCAAGGATATTCTGTATTTTTGACAATTTTGAAGCATTATTTATTATTTTAACGTTTCTGAAATTTGGATGAGTCATGCAATTGATGTGCTCATTTAATAAGGTTAGTGTTTATTTTTGTCCTGAAAAACCATTAAGCAATTAATAATGCATCTCACAATCAGTGTCATCATAATATCAATGAAATATGGTAAGAGCAAGGCCAAAGGAAGGGTTTTCTTACTGGGTGGTGATCACAACGATAAAGAATCAGGACAAAAAGACTGAAGAGATGTGGTGATAATGGGATATGAGCTGAGTTGGAAAAGAACTAGCCCCAAGATATTAGTCAGCACTTTGGAGGGGTGATGAATTTGCCATGGTTTAAAGTACTTCTTTGAGTTTACAGCACCCGACTCTGTGTTCTCAGACCTTATGTTGTTTGAGAATTGGGCTGATGGTGAGTGTCAGGAGAATGATGTCAGTCATTCTAAAATAGTCTCCCAGGTGCTGATGCGCTTTGGCAACTACAGTAGGTCTTCCTTAAGATTGGGCATGGAAGAGACAAATGTCGGAGAAAAATACCCCTCTTGTTTTGAGTGGAGAAAATCAGAAGAAAGGGAGAGAGATCGGGGTGTGCCGAAAGCAAAGCCAATGTGATCATCAAGATAATAATAGCCATACATTAAGGTAGTCAAGATCATAGACTTGAGATCTGAACTTGGATGGAGATGATGAACTACACAGTTTTAGTCTCATCAAAAAGTCAGCTACATCAGATGGAACTGAAGTTGTTTGTTTTGTTTTACTTTTTGATGCTGTAATAACTCTGGCATGACTTTTCACAGCAAATTAGAATTAAGACCTTTTAAATTTGTCCCAAATGGTTATTGATACCTGCAATAATACTTTTCCCCCTGGAATTATATTTTCCTCTTAAAATATATGTGTGTATGCATACATTCGTATATATAGTGTGTGGGTATGTGTTTGTGTGCATATGTGTGTGCATATATATATATAAAGAAAATAGTGTAGCGGAAAGAACTCTGTTTTCTAAGTCAAAATATCTGATTTTGAACTTGGGGTCCAGTGAGCCACTTAATTTCAGGTTTAACTTCTGGCAAGTTTTATCTTCTGAAGCCAGAAGTCATTTTCTTTTAAAAAGAGGCAATACTTGTAACTCTTTTAAAGATCAGATGACATAAAAGATATGAAAATATAAACTATAACGTATAAATATACTGAACTGTAAAGTCATACAAATTTAAGTCATTAATGTTACTGATTGGAGTTCATTTCTCAGATTTCACATAGTTGTTGGGCACAGAAAATTTGGAAACTTTGGCTTTCATTCTTGCACAGACTAATTTAGCATCATATTCTTGTTCTTTGCTGATTTATCAGGTAAGGAAAAAGTCAAGTAAAATGATTTGGATGCCTCACTGCCAGGGAATGCTTGATAAATTAAAAGCCTGGCTTCCTAGGGACATTCTGACTACTGTTGTTTATAACCAAGATCTTTTGCAACCTTAGACTTCCCAGGAAAAGCCTGGGCTTTGTTGCTGCAGGAAGGAGAACAGGGAGGAAAATATCTTTCAGATTTAATCAGTGAGAAACTACTAGGAATTAGCCACTATGCTAGGGAATACCCAATCATTATTTTGATACTTTTGTAAGCTGAAGCATCATTTAGGGGCCTAGCAGGTTTGCTTTCTGATCATATTCAAAGCCTTCACCTGGGTGAACTCCTGTGAGAACCTATAATTCAGGGATGCTAAAGTCACCATGGTGACAAGAAGAACTCAGCTGGCTTCCTATTCAATGCATCTCAGATGAAGGTGCTCACTCCAGGAAACATAAAGGATATCCATTAATTTTTAGCTTTTTTTGTGTGAAGCAAAGGGTATTGCTAATATACAACCTCTGGAATAGACCTGATCAGTTACCCAGTCTCTGGAAGAGGGTGGTAATTGAAAAACTAATAAGGGCAGGCCCTAGTCTAAGAAACTAAATCTAAGACAGCCACCTGAAGTGTGAAGATGGAAATTGCAGAGTTGAGTCTGGAGTGTTTTATAGGCTTATAGCTCTAACTTGCCTAATTGAACTTTTACAATTGAACTTTTACAAAGAAAGTGGGGATTTATTTATACTCCTACTCTAGGGGGCCACAAAAAAAAAAGAGGAAATGAGAGTATAGGAGATTTCTCTAGGTTATCATAAGAAAGAAGTCTGACAATACAATCCTTGTTCCATTTATCTTTTTATAATAAACCACAAAATATTTAAGAGCTGTTGGAATTCTTTGTTTCTTCCCCATGCTGGCTATTTTGCCATTCTCTTCATCTCAATACTTTGCTGAGTAAAAGTCTTGAAACCAAAAATATCCCTACAATTCATGACCTTGAGTGACTTCAAAATTCAGTTAGACAAAACAGACAGCTGAGTTCTGTGGTTCTCAATCTTTGTACTTTTAAAAGTATTCATGCTTTGGTTCTACCCACAAAGATCCTGATTTCACTGGGGCTGAAGTGTTGAAAGATTTTATAGCCACCAAATCACCCTAATGTGCAATCAAGGGTGAGAACCTTATTTTCTCATATCCCCCTTCCTTATATCCACTGATCTTGACTTCAGTTTTACCTTGGCAATTCACCTCCATGGCCACACTCTGAACTTTGTCATCAGCCAGAACTGCTCCAACCAACCTCAAAATCTTAAACTCAAATATCCCACACTCTAAGCATAGTTTTCTTTCTTTCTAGCTCCTCTTATTACGTTAAAGACCTAATAGTCTTATTTCTCAACTGCTTTCTTGCTAACCCTTCATTGTTCTCCTCATAAACCCAAACAGGAGATAACAAGCCAGGATTAATCCACCTGTGTGATCTCCCCATTTTTAACCCTTGTGTTTCCAGAGAAAAACACAACCACTTACACTGGTGCCACAGCAAGTTCATACTCTCCAGACCCAATTGGATGGAGCCTCAATACTGCCAAAATCCCATTCATTTCTCTAGTCAGCCTTGTGTCCTTTTTTCCCAATAAAAACTCTGTCTCTTGGTCACATGGACATTTCCATCCTATTTCTGTTTGAGGTAGAAATCTGCTCCTGTACCTTGAGTCCCACCTGCTTCTGCCTTTTCAGTTGACTTGCTCCTTCACCTGCCACTTGTCTTGGATCACCAGCTTTAGCCATGGACTAAGTCTTTAACATGGGTATTTAAACATACTTAAAACACTTCCTTCAAAAAGCAAAGCATAACAGTGCTAAAGCAAATTTTCATGGGTCCTCCTCTGCCTACTGCCTTCCTCCCTCTAACAGCCAAATAATTTTGCATCTACTCTCAATTTTGCACTTTCCTACACCAAATATACTGACATTTTTAGTGCTAAATCCAGGAAATTTTTTCTTAGTCTTTGTTTTACTCAGATTCTCTTCAGTATTTGAAGAGTGTAGGCCACTCTCTGTGCATAAAACAGTCTATTCCTCCATGGGCTCCTAGCTAACAGCCTGCAGTTTGTCAGTTTTCTTTGGGGTTTCTTGATCCTCTGCCTACCACTGAAATGGCAGTGTTCTTTCGTCAGCACTTTCTGCTGTTACCCCATATTCCAGAGGTATTTAGCCATGGCTATGCATCAGAATCACCTGCAAAGCCTTTTAAAATGCAGCCATCCGCTTGCTATGCTCGATCATCTGAATCAGAATTACTAGGGATTGGGGCCCAGGCACCTAAGTTATTCAGAAATTCCACAGATGATTGTGATATGCTGGTGGTCTTCTTCACATCCATGCCTTCTCAGGCATTCCCTTTATCAGTCTTTCATCTGGATATCCTAGACCCTAGGCTTATATTTTAGATATGTCTGCACAAGATGTCCAAACTCACTGATGTGTCCAAGAGAGCCTCCTTGCCTCCATTCCCTTCCCATCTCATCCAATCTGCTCTACCACCTCCCCCTTTTCTCCTCCCCCATATTTCAGTCTGAATGAGTGACATCAGATTTTATTAAATTGTACAAGCCAGAAACTTGATAATCATTTTGAATTGTTTTATTTATCCCTCATGTCCAATCAATTGTCAAGTCATATCAGTTTCACCTCTAGTATTCTCCAAAGTTTTTTATATACATGGGTATTACTTTAGGTTAAGCTAAGTCAGTCTGTGTTGCTATAACAAAATACCTAAAACTGGGTAATTTATAATGAACAGAAACTCATTTCTTACAGTCTGGAAGCTGGAAAGTCCAATATCAACGTGCCAGCATCTTGCGAGGGCTTTCTTGTTGTGACATCATATGGCGGAAAGTGAGAGGGCAGGAGAGAGCAAGAAGGGACTGAACTTGCCCTTATAAGGGCACCAATGCCTCCCATGAGGGTGGAGCCCTCATGACCTAATTACCTCTTAAAGGTCCCACCTCTTAATACTGTTACAATGACTATTAAATTTCAATATGAGTTTTGGAAGGGGAGAAACATTCAAACCATAGCAGCCACCATCATCTGTCTTCTGAAATATTACCACCACCTCCTGACTGTATCCTCTGTGTTTGGCTTTGCTTACTCCCACTAATCTGTTTTTCACACAATGCTCAGAACATTTTTTTCTAGAGGATAAATATGATAATATATATTTCCTGCTTAAGACTTTTCAGTGACTATCTGTTGCTTTCAGAATAGAGGCCAAGCTGTAACATGGCATATATGGCCCATCAGAACCCGACGCCTGTTCTGTTCTTTTGTCAGGTCCTCTCTTTCATTCTGCACACAGTTTTCATCACAATTCTCTGGCGTTCATGATTCTCTCTTGTCTCTGAGCCTTTGTTTCTTTGCTGTTTTTGCCTAGAACACCCTCTTCCTCTTGGCTCAGGTCTTACATCTTCCATTCCTGTCAAGGTAACTCCTCCTCATGTTCCAGCTCATATCTGATATATCATCTTTTAAAAGGATGTCTGCCTAAACCTGTAGAATGGGCTTAAGAGGGCTTCCTGTTTATTCTCATACTGTGTACAATGAAAATCTACTCATTGATTTACTTCTCTCTCCCACCCAACTTTATGTTCCTTTAACATAGAAACTTTTAGGCATCGAAGAATTCTTTTTTTTACATGACACATAAACTCTCAATGATTGTTGAAGGAATGAAATGAGGAGTATTCAGAACTGTTAGTAAAAAAAAAAATCAGAAAATAATGATCAAGAGAGGCTTTATAAAGGGAAAGTCAGTAGTTGAAAAGCTAGAAGTAGAATGAGCTGACTGACTTGAAAAGAGGCCACTACTTAGTGAAAAGCACTTCATTGGTATGGTAGGAGTTGAAGTCAGAATGCAGAAAATTGAGGAATGAGTGGTGTATGAGTTTTCTGCTGAAACAAAGTACTAGAAACAGAGTGGTTTAAACAGAAATGTGTTGTCTCACAGTTATGGAGGTGAGAATTCTACGATCGAGGTGTTGGCAGGGCCATGCTCCCTGTAAAGGAGCTAGGGAAGGAACTGTTCCAGTTCTCTCTTGTAGCTTCTGGTAGTTCCTTTGCTTGTAGCAGCATCCATCCAGTCTTCACATAGTGTTCCTTCTGTGTACGTGTTTGTCTCTTCACATGGTGTTCTTTTTATAAAGGCGTGAGGCACACTGGATTAGGGACCTACTCTCTTGCAATATGTCCTCATCTTCACTTAATGAATCATACCTGCAACAATCCTATTTCCAGTAAGGTCACATTCTCACGTACGAGGAGTTAGGACTTCAACACATGATTTCTGGGGGAGACGCAATAAAGTGTTGGACTTGGGTTTATTCGTGGTGCTATTATTGTCATACATTCATAGATCAATATTAGCTTTTAATCTCTTATTTTAGAGTCCACATTGTAGCATAATATTTACTGTGGTTGCCATGGAAGAGAAGTTAGTAAATGACTTTCACTATACAGGGCTACCACACTGGTTTCCAAATTGAGCTCTTCAAGGTTGAAGATGGAGGACGATGGAGCTCCTCCACCACAGCACCCTCTCTTTGCCTAATTTACCCATAAGCAAAGCAAGGTTTGAAATCCACCTATCTAAAATAAGACTTTTAGACATGTTGGAGGATATATTTTTAGTCATAATGTTGATAGCAAATAAGAAGAGAAGATACACCCTCAGCAATTGGAGACAAGAAAATCTGATGCATAATTTAAAAGAAGAAAACGACAAAAAGTACGAAATCTTATGTGCACTTATTACCTAATACTTTAAAATCTTGGAGATATATATATATATATATATATATATATGTAATTATTAGGTCTAAGTAATACACAAAGTTAAACCCTTCACTATCTTAGTTGGAATACGTATAGAGGTATAGATATATATAGATATCCTTTCCCACACTTATTTTAGCTCTTGAAATGCATAGAATAGGAAAAAAATCAGAATTATAATCTCCATGGGAGCAACTTTATACCAAAAAACACAGAAGCAATTATATTTGAAACCTGCTAGAGTACAAAATTCTAGATTATCTTTAGCAGTTTACTTTTATTTTCATGGATAAAATTTGAAAAGACAAGGGCCAGTGACTCATTCTACCATTTGAGAGCATCGCTAGGGAGCATGACATTATCACAGAGACAGATATATGGTGACTTGGAAATTTTTTGTAGGTAATTCCTATTCTTAAACTTAATATGAGTTGCCAATTTGGAACACTGCTACATTATATTTATCACAGAGTTATAACTTTTAATGGTTTGAGGGATCATAGATCTGACCACATCAATATTTGGCTCATTTTCAAAATAGAAAGTGCTGAAACACCAAAATACTGAGCTGAATTCTTTAAAACTTTAAAGCTGAAAAACCACTCATGTACATAAAGTGAAATAAGAATCAACCTAGTGTAAATGGCTGCATTTTTGAAATTCCATTGTAAATCTTAATAAAAAATATTGTTTTAAAAAGCCAGCATGTTTGGAAATGGGTGTAATTTGCATTAAAATCAGATGAGATTATTTCTTGGTTTTACTACTAAGACACATGGACACAGGAAGGGGAACATCACACACCAGGGCCTGTTGTGGGGTGGGGGAAGGGGGGAGGGATAGCATTAGGAGATATACCTAGTGTTAAATGACGAGTTAATGGGTGCAGCACACCAACATGGCACATGTATACATATGTAACTAACCTGCACATTGTGCACATGTACCCTAAAACTTAAAGTATAATTGAAAAAAAAAAAGACAGATTGTGGATGCTTATGGAAAATACGTTTACTTTTTCTAGACTCCTAGAAGGCCATTTTGAGGACTTCTGTAATAATTCACTAAATAGATAGAAAACTGCCTAGACCTATACTTCGCTGTAAGATAGTCCTCTTTTGGTCTAACCCTCATTTCTATTTAGCTAACTAGCTAGTCAGGAGTGTAAGGTAGGCAGTATAAAGAATTTTAAACTTACTAGGGTCACATTCAAAGTAAGCCTAGAGTAAAATCAGGAGATCAGATTACCCCAGCTACTGAGACTGAAATGTGAACTGTATTGTTGAAGAGCTTTTCTTCCTCACAATTGAAGAAGACATAAAGACTGGTGATATAAGAGCAAATGCAGACACTTTTGGTCACTGTTAGCTTGTTTTGAATGTGCTGACTGTGTCTGTGTCCATCTTGAAAATATTGAGGAGTCAGCAAAACATATTTGACTCTTTACCCACTTTTTCTTAAATGTTTCATAGTCATGAGTATTTCGTGGGGGAATTTAATCTATGTGCCTATGATTCATTTACACTAGTCTCATCAAAATGGCATAGGGAGATATTGAATGGCTAAGAATCCTTAAAGTTTAAGAGGCCATTTAAGGCTTTTATCTCTGAACCAGAAAGTCATAGTGTACCAGGACTACTCCCAATTCAAACATACCAGGGTTCAATTTTGTTTTGTCTAATATATCCCAGGAAACCTTACTGTTTGATTCATGATTTCTAACCTCAAAATGCTGGTCTAACATATGTATATATATATTAATGAAGTCCAGGTAAGAAGCGCATGGCTAGAATGGGAATGTTCAACATAAAAATATCCCAGCCAGGCGTGGTGGCTCATGCCTGTAATCCCAGCAGTTTGGGAGGTCGAGGCCTGCAGATCGCTTGAGCTCAAGAGTTTGAGACCAGCCTGAGCAACATGGCAAAACCCTGTCTCTACAAAAAATACAAAAATTAGCTGGGTGTGGTAGTGCGTGCCTGTAGTCTCAGCTACTCAGGAGGCTGAGGCCTGAGAATTGCTTGAGCCTGAGAGGTGGAGGTTGCAGAACCGAGACTGTGCCACTGCACTCAGGTCTAGATGATAGAGAGAGACCCTACCACCAAAAAAAAAAAAAAATGAAAGCCACATTTTGAATAACTAAATTTGAATATCAGCACAGTTGCCTGAGGATGTATCAATTTACAGATAAATGCCTTCCTACCAACTGAAGAATAACTAGTGCTTTAAAACTTTTCATCCATTAAAGGAAAGTCACACTGAATTACTCCGTTGGTGTTGTGCGATATTCTATAGTTTTTAAAATGCTTTAAAATACATAATCTTGTCTGATTAGGTAAACAGGATTGGTATTCTCTCCATTTCTAAAAGGGGAAAATACAATTACATAGAAGTTTGTATATTGTTGCTTTATGTGTAGTAACATAGACTCTTACAGTTCTGAGCTATGATTGTATGCAATAATAGAAGCAATGCTGCACATATCTCATATAGCTCTATTTTATTTTTAAATTCACTTTTCTCATACTTGTAAGAAATCTTTGACTTTGGTTTTAGTTAAAAGATAAAACAAAATCATAATTTCTATGATAATACAAAGCTTGAATATTATCATTGGCATAAAATTCAGTTCTAATTTTTCTCCAAAATAAGATGCTTACTCCAATATAATTATCTTCCTTCTTAATTTTACATATTTGCATTTTAAAGTGGCCTATTCCTATGGGGCTAATGTCAGAGCAGAGTGTTCTTTGAACTCAATGTGTGCTCCCCAGTCAGGTCAAGTCCAGTCAGGGCAGTGACTAAGAAATGGGTCAGAACTTACTTAAATTATGCAGTTGCCTGGAAAAAAGTTCAACTTATATAATATATGGGAATATGTGAATGGAGAATGGCTTCCCCCTTAATGTGTAAACTGTAACTCAAAATATTTTTTTGAGTTATAGAAAAATTTTTTTGTAAAAAAATTAAGAAAAAAGTTTTTTTTAAAAATTGAGCCAAATATTAAGATAATCTTCATGGTGAAGCATTACTAAATTAATTTAACGGCAGTCTTAATGTAATGTAATTTTGGTTTACTGATATGTAATCAGTTAATCTTGAAGATTTCATAAGTTCTGGCATTTGTTCTTTCCTCTTGTTTCTCTCTTATAAATTGGTCAATTCTCCAAAATATGCAAATTAAATTTAATGTTAACCTATGTGTAAGTCAAGGCATGTGAATCCCATGACCAAATAAATATTACAAAGCAGGTGTCTCTACACTGATGCTGAATACCTACCATTTAGAGAAGACAACTCTCTTCCCCAGGGTCTCAAGGCATCTCATTCCCCTGGCTTTCCCCCTTTTCCCTTGAGGACTCTGCATCCTCCTTTGCTGCATCCTCCTCAGCTTTCCAAAGTCTTAGCATGGACATGTCCCAAGCTTAGTCCTTGCAGTCTTCTGTCCTCCTTCTGCGTATCTCTTACACCTCATCTAATCACAAGACTTCAAAGTCTATATGCCATTGTTTGTCAAGTCTCTACCGATCTGGATCTCTCACCTGATACAGACTTTCATATTCAACTGCCTTCCTGTCATTTCCACCATGATGTCTCCTCTATACCTGAAACTGAGCATGTCCAAAACCAAAGTATTGCTCTTTCCCAGCAAACTTGCTCCTCCTGGAGCCTTCCTGATCTCAGACCAAACTTTGTTGTTGTCTTTGACTCTTTTTTTCCTCACACTCCCAATTCCAATCCAATCAGCAAATCCAGCCAGCATTCTTTCAAAATATAACCCAGAATTTGCCCATTTCTCACCATCACCATGGCAACCAGCTTGGTTCCGGCCACCAACTTTCCCACCTGTGTTGCTGCACCACCTCCTGACCAGTGTCCCTGCTTCAGCCTGTTTTGCACCCCTCAGCAGAGTGAGGCTGCTCCAGTCTAGGTGGCATTAGGTCACTTCTTTGCTCAGAATACTTCAGTAACTTCTGATTTTCCTCAAAATGAAATTGAAGGTCTTTATAATAATCTACTATTTTTTCCTGTGGCCTCTCAGATTCAGCTCCTACTCCTCCTCCTCTGGTCCAGTCACTCTGGTCTCCTTCCATTCCCACAACTATCCAAGCAAAGTCCTGCTTCAGGTACTTCATGTTCTCAAGTCCTTCAGCCAGAACTTGCATCAGCCTGATATGCCATTGTTTTCTTTCCTCACCTCTTTCCATCCTTTATTTGGATATCTTCAGAGTGAGGCTATCCTTTTATTTTGTTTTTAATAATTATATCTTCACCATGCCTGTTCCTGGCATTCCCCATCCCCTCTTCTTTTTAAATTGTTCTCCCTGCAAACTGTTATCATATAATCCTTATATAGATTTCACTTTTTCTTTTTGTTTATTTTTCATCTCTCCTACCACGACTCAAGAGCCCTAGTTATTTCATAGTTCACTGCTATATCCCTGGCCTTTAGAGTTGTTCTTAGCATATGGTGGCAGTCAATAAAAATTTGTTGAATAGATAAATAATTACTGTCTATCTTCCTCTCCTTAGGTAGAAGCAGGCTATATAAAATATAAATTATTGGATTGTCAGACTTGCCCATATTTATATTCAAATACGATAATCCAACTTGGTTGTTGGAATCTGTAAAAAAAAAAATTAGAACATCCATTTTTAAAAGATTGAACAAGCAGTAATTTTTTTCCAAATCTAAAACAAACAAACAAACAAAAAAAACAGTGTCAATCAAGGAATCAGAATATATATTGAATTAATTGTTTTTAGGTCATTAGTGAACTTGACTGTGCTGTTGCTCTCAAAGCACTAAAAATAGCTGATATCAAACCAAAGGTCCTTCATGATCCTTGAAACTTCCTTGCAGTTCTAAAGAAAAACTCAAGCTTATAGGAAGAAGTTTTAATGAGACATTGTGCTGTTCAGGAGAGACAAAATCATAGTTTCTGACCTCAGGGGCATTGATAAAATAAGAGAGCAGAAGCTCTAGGGAAATTAGTTTTTAGGAAGTGGAATCCGGTGGCTCATTGCACATTCTAAATAGCATCAGAGTAAGAATGACAGTCTGGCTGATTGGCTTTAGTGATGTGGATAGATTTGGCTGCTATATTATCAAAACTGGATTGAAATCCCTCAATATCAATGAAGTTTTACAAAGGTATAAGGACTACTGGGCCACAGTTCATTCTAGGACTTCATTTAAGTGACAAAGTAAGGTGGGCCAAAGTGAGATTGGGACAATAAGCTAAGTAATCTTAAATTTGTTCTTGTGTCTATCCTGATTTGATCAATCCACAAATATTAATATTTATGGAACATTTACTGTGTACCAGGCACTGTGCTAGGGAGATTGTGTAACAGTGACCACAGCAGATGTAAACCCTGCCCTTAAGAAGTTTGTATCCTAGTGTGGAGACGGGCATTCAGACAGATAAATGAATATACAAGTGCAGGTTGTGATGAGTGTTACAAGGGGAAATACAAGGGTGCTAGGGGAGAGAACATGAGCCATATGGGTTAAACCAGGGCTATCATCTGACTGCTTGTGTCCTCCCAAAATTCTTGTTTTGAAATCCTCACCCCCAATATCATGGTATTAGGAAGTGGGGCTTTGGGAGGTCATTAAGTCATGAGGGCAGGGTTCTTACAAATGGGATTAGTGCCCTTATGAAAGAAGCCTAGATCCTTTTCCCCTTGAGCCTTGTGAGCTTGCAGTGAATAGATAGTTGTCCATCAACAAGGAAGTAAACCATCACCAGATATCCAATCTGCTGATGCCTTCATCTTGGACTTCTTAGCTTCTAGGACTGTCAGCAATAAATTTCTGCTATTTCTAATCTACTCAGGTATTTTGTTATAGCAGCCTGAATGGACTAAGACAACCAGGTTGTCATTAAAATCTACCCTGAAGGTTCAGTACGAATCCATGATGTATTTGAATAAGATTTGTATGTGAATCCTCTGTAAGGACATCCAGATTTGTGGTCTAGATCCCATTTCTTCCCACTTTCTAAGAGACCTTGTACCCCTAGCCCCTGTTTCTTTCTGCCAGCATTTTCTGTTTTTCTCCACTGACTCCTTACCTTCTGCCATTATCAAGTTTTACCTATTTTGAAATATAAATATCACATTTAATTATTCTCCATAGCCTTACAGACTTCATGTCTTCACCACTCAAAACCTCATGTAGTCTCCTTTTCCCCCTCGTTTACTTATTGTTTCATTGAGGTGTATTTCAATGGGTTTGAGGCATGATCCCATCCAAAGGACTAATGTGCATATACTCAAAATGTTAATTCAGCTGAACTGCTCACATCTTTGCTTCATTGCCCATGTCTTTTTGCACTGAATTGTAAGCCACTAAGCTTTGAATCAATGAACATTTTAAAATGTTATTTGTATAGTGTCTAAAAACATGTGGCAGTTGAGAATAGATTAATCTGTTCTAGACCAAAATAAGATCCTGGTGAAGAGGATTTTAAATTCTTGAGTTGAAAGCTGATCAAGGTGGAACCATATAATGCCACATGATACAGTGTGATGTCAGATAGATTATTGTAACAAACACATAATTAATTAGTAATGAAGTAATAGGGTTTTAGATGTTTAATCTTCAAGCTGGTAGATATAAATTAGGTCACATTAAAATCAGTTCTCCAGTCTCAATAGCTCTATGCTCATATTCTCCAGCATAAACCTCAGTAACTCACACAACCTCTTTCACTTAGCATCTCTGAGACTCTGGGGGGTGCCTTGCAATTGCCCCTGCATGGATCTGCCCAGGATGTCACTTTGTACTGGTCTCTGCTCTACCAGTGACCTTGACCCATGTTCATTAGTCTCTTGATTGCCTAACGGCAGACACCAACCAGTTTGTTCCAGCTATGAATGTTCTCTGTTGTATCTAGGGCAGTACCAGAACACTATTCACCTGCAGAGTAGAAAGGAGAGTACATCTCCCTTCTTGCTCTCTCAGGGGAAGCCAACAGCTGTGCTGCTTCTGGAGCTCTCAAATTCTAGGAATCTAGTGAAAAAAGTTCTTTCAGTTCTCCACACAACTCTTTGTATTTCCGGGATATGATTAGGAGAGTTCATATGCCAGTCACCACAATCTGCCAAGAACCACTACACCTTTCAGGAAGCTCAGAGTTTGTGGCTGAGGTTCGGGTTATTCATACCAGATTCCTTTTTTCTGTAGAGTGAATTCTTAGTCAGAGACCCATTTTCTGTTTTAGTGAGAATGGGCTACAGGAACAACACCAAAAGCTCAGTTGCTTAGAAGAGTAGAGGCTTATTTCTCACTCAAGCTACATGTTCATGACAGGTTTGTGGTGGAGGGAGAGGGTTCTGCTCTTCACTTAGGAACACAGTTAATGGGAGACACCACAGTCGGGAAAGTTCCCAGTCATTGTGGCAGAAGACAGGGCACTTCATACACAGACCTCAGTGGTTTCCCCCAGAAGTGACACGTATTGCTTCTGCTCACATATCTTTTTTCTTTTTTGTCTTGTTTCATCAAATCATAGTGATATTCAGATTAACTACATATATATATGTGTGTGTGTGTGTGTGTGTGTACATATACAAATTAGAGAGATATACGTGTTTCTCATGCTGCTCACATTTTATTTGCCAAAGTAAGGTTACCATGCCTAACTTCAAAGGGGCAAGAAAGTGCAATCTTGCCATGTGCCTTAAAGAGGGAGAACTGAGAATGGTGACGAATAGCACCAATGATGAGTACACCTTCTTCCTTGAAGTTTTGCATCTATATCCTTCTACTTCCCATCCAATCCTGCCTTTTATGACATATCTCTCTACATATGATCTTCAATCATGTAAATTGCTCAGTATTTCTCTATATTAATTAGTGGTTCTGGCTAAGGGTCTCTCACGAGTTGTTGGCTTGGGCTACAGTCATCTCAAGGCTCAGCTGCTTCCTCAGTGACTCATATAGTTGTTGGAAAGCCTCAACTCCTTGCCATGTGGGCCTCTCTATAGGGCTAACCACAGTATTATAGCTTGTATCCCCCAGAGTGAGAGATGAGAGAGACAGATAGGCAGACAGAGACGGAGACAAAAGACAGAGACATCCCAAGACAGAAGTCAAACACAGTCTTTCATAATCTCTTCTTGAAAGTGACATGTCATCACTGCTGTCTGATAACCAATCCTGGGATAGAGTGGGAGGGGGACTCTACAAAGATGTATGTTAAATGCCAGGAGGTGGGAGACTTCATGGAAGCTGGCTGCCACTCTCATTCAAGAAGGCTACTTACTCTTATGTAAATCTTGGCTGCCAAAAATTGCTGTCTAAATCATAGCTTCTTCCAAGTAGCATACCCAGGACAGGGTAAATGCAATTTAAAACTTCTCTCAAGGGGGTTACTTCATTTAGACTAGTGTTGGTGTTCTCCTATGCAATTAAATGGTTCTTGTGTCTTATCATTTTCAATGTCCAATATCCAAGGAAATACATGCACTCATCCACAGAATATTTTCTTTATTTTTAAAGTTTTAATGCTGTTTTTAAGTCCCTTGTGTTTAGGTGGTTGTTATACTTGAAATGTTAGCAGACATAATACACAGCAAATAAATTCTTGATGGTTTTGCTTATCCTCTTCTCTAGAAGCATGCGCTGTGTGAGCTAAGTGTGACTTTAAATAGGACATAGGGAGGAATTAGAAATAGAGGCAAAGTGGCAGAAACCCCACATTAAAATCCATCCTTGTCAGCACTCTCTGATTTCACATACCAGGGTTCTTTTCGGATTAATCAAAAAATTGTTGAAACGTGTTAAAGGAGAAATGCAATTCTGTAAGGGGAACACAGTTCCTATTTGGAGGGAAGGAATATGTATGGCCACTATAATAACAAATTAGGGGAAGGCATGTGTGAATTTTTATGCACTCATCGTCCTATTGAGCACAAGTAGAGAGGTTTATTTTCTTTTCTTCATTAATTGTTCTTACAGAAATAAACCACACTGTGTAGGAAACTAGGCACTCTTCCCTACCTACTCCTGCTATTGAAAGAGCCTTATCTATGGAAATCCTCAAATCAGCTTCTTCTTATTGTACCAGTGATGTCTCTTGGATTAATTCAGACAAACTGTGCAGTGTAACCAATGCAGACAGTATGTTAGAAGCGCATGGATAGCTTGCTTCCTTTTCATTCCTTCTTCCTTCCTTTATTGTTTCCGCATTGTGGTTCCTTGTATCCTACCATCTTGAATCTCTTGTACCTCTAATTATAGTATGCTCACTATATGCAAGGTTTCTCCTCCCACCTACCCCCTGCTGCCTCCTCTACTGACATCTCACTTCATTCCCAAGAAAAACATTGCCCTCCCCTCCAAGCTCACTGTGTTTGCATTTCTCTGCTCTTTTCCGCTCTCCTCCTTGGCATGCTGGTTTAATCAATTTTACCAAATGACTTTCCTGGCAGCTGTAAAAAGAAAACCCCAGAGCAAGTTAATAGCAATCTAATACTGCACTTTCTGTCATTTCTCTAAAACGTACAGAACTATTTGGTCATTGGATTGATTTTTAATGATCTAAATGATCAGATGTTTCAACGCTGCACTGCAGCAGCCTGATAATAAATAGGAAAGGGGAGGGGCATGGATGCTGGGCACTCAGTCAGTGCTAGATGAATAATCCTAAAACAGCAGCCAAGGAGACAAGATAAAATGTCAGCCTTTGCCAAATCATATATTAGCATTTTTAAACAAAGACACCTCTTTATTTTGATTTTGCATATGGGGAACTAAAACAAAATGTTTTTGATGAGGGTTTAGGAAGTCATCAATAGGGTTAGGAATCAAATTACAGCCTAATTCTACGCGTATCTGTTGACATAAGCAGAACGTCAGTAAAGTGCCTCCCAATATCTCTAAATAGCCTCTTGGCATCTGAAACGTAGGGAAAAATATTGGTTACTTTTTAACCAAAAGGCACTAAAACTTCCAAAGGTATATGAAATCAGTAAATTATAAAACATGTCCCCTTCCCCCCCTTCTGTAAGAAAGAAATAGAAAACAAAAAGAGAGATGAATATGGGGAAAATAAACAATGAAATAATATTATGAATTAATTGTAAGACTTGCTAACTGGCTGTGTAACTTTGGGTGATTTGCTTAACTATTCTGTGCTTTGTTTTCCTCACTGTAAAGTGGACAAACTAGTAGTACTTTTGTGGAAGATTAAATGAGGAAAGGCAAGTCAAGTATTGAGCACAGTGCCTGGCATTTACTACTTACGAAGGTTATGTTCTTTATTACTCCATCTACTCTTTCCATAATTGCATCCCCTCCAACCAGTCCTGTCCAGCCTTCTCCGAATCCACAGGACAATTCTGGTCTCCCAGTATGGTGGGCAAAGGTAGGTTTTGGTGTCCAAGCACAGCTCAGCCATTTACTCTCCAGGTCCATGGGCAAGTAACTTAACCTCTCCAGGTTCCTCAGATTCATCATCTATAAACTGGGGAATATTAGTACATGCTTTATAAGGTTATTGTATTAAAGGAAATAACTTGTCTAAGTCTCAATGCACAAAGTCTTCCCCAGAAGACAGACTTGAAAAAATATTAACTTTATTTCACTCTCCTCCTGCTGCCATTTCCAATGTGCTGTTGCATGTTTCTAAATGGTATGTGGAAGAAAGCTGATTAGTTTCTTTGCTAATTATTAATTGAATTCCTTTAGTTAATACAATGTATTCTTTTGAGAAGCTCAGCTCAATTTATAGTGCTAGAAACATACAAATACAGAATTTATACGAGTTGATCTGGGGTTCACATAGATGAAAGGGTGTTTTCCTAGCACATTGCTCTGAGAATACTGTAACACTCTTACTTCATGTATATTCATGTATATACATATGTATATATCTATATATGTCTGCATCTACATATGAATATATGTATATCAACTGTTCTTATTTAGTATAGTTCTCCCTGAAAAAGAAGGTACTATTTTATTTTTAAATATTGGATCTTATTTTTAATATTGGATCTATCTGTAATAAAGTAGCCAAGTTAGGCTGACTACCTGTCTAATGAGTTTCCCGTTTAGATGGATTAGTTCCATTTAGTCTGTTCCATAGCCCAGATCAGACAGTTCACTAACAAATACACTTAAATTCACATCACTTTGGTCCAGAGGGTGTAACTAAGGCCCAAACCTGCTTCTGGTGAAAGTGACCCAGAGGTACGCTTTGCTGATAATATCAGGAGCATGGTCTTTGTAATTGGAAGACACTGTCTCCCATCTCCCCATTTGTTATTGCAAGAAAATTAGATTCTCATTGAAATAACAGGCCCAAGAATTATAGTAACAGGAGTTTGAACCCCTGTTTGAGAATGTTGGTACTCCTGGGATAAATGAGATCAATTTTAGCCTATAATAACGGTGCTTTCTACACTTTTTAGATGTTAGAGAAAGTCTGGCAGCAAAGCAAAGCTTTGTATATACCATGGGAGGCAGGGTTGGAGAATAAAAGAAGAAAGAGAGACTTAAGAACAAAATTGTGTTTGATGGGATGTTTTGATTTTCTTTAAATACTTTAAGTCTCTAGAAATAACAAATTTATTATCTGAAATACAAATAAGAAATACTTATATTTGGAAAGTTGATAAAACTCAATTATTGTGTAAAATGTTCACAAATTTCCAATGGATAGAAAAAAATAAACTTTTGCATTGCCAATTATTGAATACTTATTTTCACCTTTGGAAATAGCAAGTCAGTTACAAATTTTATAAATCTATATAATTGTCTTTATACATAATAAAAATATTCTGATGTTTTGTCAGCCAATATGCAGTTTTAAGCACCTTCAACCCTGTTACATGTTTACGGGTTTGGAAGTTACTGGGGAGGAGGTAGAAAGGTCTGACCTTCTCCCCAGGAATTTAATATCTGGTCAGAGAGAAAGAAACAGACTTTTGTTGTTGTTTTGTTGGTCTTATAAACAGTGCCAAAATGAATGTGTGTATGTGTGTGTATGTTTGTGTGCACTTGAGCAATCATTTTTGTAGGATAAACTCTTACAAATGTAATTGTTCTGAAATGGTATGTATGGTTTACATTTTTAAAAATTTGCTAAATTGTACTCCAAAATGTCTCTCCTAATCCATGTTTCTAACAACTGTGTATGGGTGTACTGTTTCCCACCCCCTCACAATCTGCATATTTTTAGTCTTTTAAAAAAAATCTTAAACGAATGTGATAGGCAAAATACCTCATTGTAGTTTGATTTATTTTTGGTTATCAGTGAGATTGAAGATCTTTTCAAATGGCTTTTGACTATTTATAGTTCCCCTTCTGTGATGGTTATTTGCATCCATGTCCCATTTTTCTTCTGGGTTATTGGTCTTACTCTAATTTATAGACTCTCCTTAAGGCAAATGATACCAAAACCATACCATGGCTGTTTACAGTCGACCCTCCCAGCTTACGTTGCATTAATAATTGCTTCTTAGAAGCTTATGTTATTCATCCTTCTCCTATTTCTACACTGCTGTTTTCTTGCTTCCCTAATTTAACATTCTCACCATTGCAGTCAGCAGGTTAAATGGCAAACATCTGAGGAATCAAGGGAAACAACTATGCATTGAGTACTTGCATGTGCTACATGATTTAATCTATACCTTCTAATGTAATCCTGAAGAAATCTAGGAGATATGTATCATTGTTTTCCAGACGAAAAAATTAAGATTTGGTTAAGGTTGGGAAATGAGACTAAGTAAATAAAGTGGTAATAAGAGACTCAGGTCTGTCCGATGATACTAAAAGCCTGTGCTCCTTCCAGAAAACCACGCTTTCTTCAGAAAAACTGTTTTTACAAGACTGTATTCAAACATATGGCATGTCTTGATATACATCTAAGTAAATTTTAAAATTATATCTATATTCTTAACTGTCCAATAAAATTGTGTATTTATCATTTACAACATGATGTTTTGAAGTATATATACATTGTAGACTGACTAAATCTAGAAAATTAACATGCATTAACTCACATGGTTATTTTTGTGATGAAAACACTTAATATCCACTCTGTTAACATTTTTCAAGAATACAACATATTGTTATTGACTAGAATCACCATATTGTACAATAGATTTCTTGAACTTATTTTTCTTATCTAACTGAAATTTTGTTTCCTTTGATCAATATCACACTTGCACCTCCATTTCCAGTTGCCCCAGCCCCTGGTAATTACCATTCTAATCTCTAGTTCTATGAGCTCAACTGTTTTAAATTTCCCATATGAATGAGATCATGCAGGATTTATCTGGATATATACCTAGTAGTGGGATTGCTGGATCATATGGTAGTTCTATTTTTAATTATTCAAAGAACCTCCATACTATTTTTTATAATGGCTGTACTAATTTACATTCCCATCAACAGTGTACAAGGGTTCTCTTTTCTCCACATTCTTGCCAACACTTAATATCTTTTGACTTTCTGATAATAGCCATTCTAACAAGTATGAAGTGATAGCTCATTGTAGTATTAGTATGCATTTTTCTGATGATTAGTGATGTGGAATAGTTTTTCATATGTCTGTTGGCCATTTGTAAGTCTTTTGAAAAATGTCTTTTTAGTTCCTTTGCCCATTTTTCAATAAGGTTATTTTCTTGCCATTGAGTTGTTTGAGTTTCTTATATTTTTGGATACAAATTCCTTATTAGAGGTATAGCTTGTAAATATTTTCTCCTAATCTGTAGGCTGTCTCTTCACTCAGTTGATTATTTCCTTTGTTGTGCAGAAGCTTTTTAGCTTGATGCAATCTTGTCTATTTTGGCTTTTGTTGCCTTTGGTTTTGGAGTCATGTTCAAAAAATCATTGCCTAAATCAGTGTCATATAGCTTTTCCCCTATTCTTACATTTATGTCTTTCATCCACTATAGGTTGATTTTTATATATGGTATGAGATAAAGGTTTATATTTATTCTTCTGCATGTGGATATACAGTTTTCCCAGCACCATTTATTGAAGAGATTGTGTTTCCCCAATGTATGTTCTTGGCACCTTTGTTGAAAATAAGTTCACTGTAGATGTAGGGGTTTATTTCTGGCTCTCTATTATGTTTCATTGGTCTATATGTCTGTTTTTATGTAAGTACGATGCTGTTTTGGTTACTACAACTTTGTTGTGTATTTTGAAGTCAGGTAATGTGATGCCTTTGGCATTGTTCTTTTTGCTCAAGGTTGAGTTGGATATTTAATGTCTTTTGTGGTTCCATATGAAATTTAGTATTGTTTTTTTCTGTTTCTGTGAAGAATGGTATTGGAATTTTGATAGGGCTTATAATGAATCTGTAGATTGTTTTGTAGATTGTTTCAGATATGGACATTTTAATATTAATTCCTCCAATCTATGAACACGAACTATCTTTGCATTCATTTGTGTCATCTTTAATGTTATACAGCTTTGTAACTATTATAAATGGGATTTTAAAAATTTCTTTTTCAGATAGTTCGCTGCTAGTGTATATCAACACTACTGATTTTTGTATGTTGATTTTGTATACTGCAATTTCTATTATAATGAATAGAAGTGGCAAGAGTGGCCATCTTTTCTTGCTCTGGATCTTAAAGGAAAAGCTTTCAACTTTTCCTTGTTAAGTATGGTGTTAACTATGTGTTTGTCATATATGGCCTTTGCTTGTTGAAGTACATTCCTTCTATACTTAATTTGTTGAGGGGTTTTTATTATGAAAGGATGTTCAATTTTGTCAAGTGCTTTTTCTGCGTCTATTGAAATGATGATATAGTTTTCGTCCTTTGTTCTGTTAATGTGATATATTACATGTATTGATTTGTGTGTGTTGAGCCATCCTTGCATCCCTAGGATGAATCCCACTTGATCATGGTGAACAGTCTTTTTATTGTGTTTTTAAATTCAGTTGGCTAGTTTGTTGAGGATTTTTGCATCTATATTCATCAGAAACTTTGGCCTGTAGTTTTCTTTTTTTGTAGTGTCCTTCTCTGGCTTTGGTATCAGGGCAATGCTAGATTCGTAAAATGAGTTTGGAAGTATTCCACCCCATCAAGTTTTTGAAAGAGTTTGAGGAAAATTGATATTAGTTATTCTTTTAGAAAAATTTCTATTAACCTAGCAGTACAAGTTAGCTAGTTTACACTTGGGGCTCTGAGGAGATGTAATGGAGAAAGAGCTGAAATTGGGGTTCAGATTTATAAATCTCAAGTTTTGGTTGAGCACGAAAGGAGAGGGAGTGAGACTAATGATAAGAAGGTTAAAGTAATCACTGGATTGATTTGGGATGGGCAGTCTCAAAAGTGCTGAGGATTCAGTTCCTATTTCAGTGAGCTGGAACACACAAACATAGAGGAAAAAGAAAGACAGTTCAAGTATAAATTTGAATATACCTAAATGTGTGTAAATTACGGAAGAAACAACTTCAAAAGAAAATAACAACAATGACATGGGCTACAGAACAGTTAAGATTAATGATCCCTCATTATAGGGTGCCATTCAGACATAGGAGTTAAAAAAAAAAAAAGCAAACCAGAACCACACACTGCAGCAGCTCCCCAGTTGCAAGCACACTGAAATAACAGAGGCCTGCCTTCACGGGAAGAGGATTAGTTCTACTGTGACCTGTTTATATAAAAACAATGTTGTGGGTAGCAAGATTACTAGAAATGACTTCTTGGATTATAAAGGACAATTATGATAGCTTAGGCCACTAGCTTTCAGTACATTCCATCTGGTACGTTACAAATTAGCTCATTATTCTGCTGTTCTTACGAATGTGTTAGTCTGCAAACATATCATTGTCACAAATTAGTCACCTAGTGTTTCTCTGAAAGTGATTTAATATAAGCACACCCACATCATAGGATGGAACAGTAAAATGGGTCCTTGCTAGATCCTCCAAACAGAATTCAGCATAAAGCACAATTCAATTTCCAAAGGTTTTTGGCACATACATCATCTTCTGATTTTCTAAGATGAAATGTGATTGTTGCCCTGGATATTGGTAATACATTGTAATATTAGAAACCTCTTGGGTCTCCCCATGAACTCTAGAGATCCAAGCCTACTGAGAAATGATGGGTCCACAAATTGAGCATAGCTTTTATTTGTTTTTATTTACATTTGTTATCGCAGGTGCTATCACAACTGTTGTTTCAATAATAGCAATTTCAATTTGAAAATTAACTTAAAGATCTTATTTTGAAGTGTGTTTTGTAGCAGATGAGCTCACCCACCAGCTACTTGGAAAGAAGAAGAAAAGTGAGGAAACATAAACTTCCTCTGCTGTCTAACTGGATTACCTACTGAGACATCCCCTTGTGTGGGTTATAATAAATATTTATGGTAAACTTCTTAAGTTAAGATGCCTTTGGTTGCAAGTCTGGAGCCCCCAACTTAATGGCTTAACAAAAACAAATGAGGAAAATGTACTGTCTTATAACATGAATTTTCAAGGTAGGCTATTCCAGGGTAGGTTATTAAGAGGTTCAAACACATCACCCAGGTTCTGCTTTGCCATCTTAGCACTTTGTCCTTTTGCTCAGACTTACTCTCCTCATTTACACAGGATGGACAGTCATAGCCAGACACCAGGACCAAAGGCAGAAAATGCACCCTTTCATGCCTGAGCAAGAACTTGTGAAGATATATTTTTAAGAGAGAGAGAACTGAGTAGTGCCGTGAGTCCAACCCTACCCTCTCTTAAAGCGGGCTGCAGTTATCTAACTCACATTAAGCTCAAAGAGAGACCTGGCCTTCAGCCATTTGATGTCCTTCCCAAGAGGACCATCTGGGAAAGCCAGTTTGGCTCCAAGAGCAAGAGTTGGTAGGGATGGAACCACTAGAAAACCAAGGCCTTGATGGGGGTGCTGGTTAATCAGCAGCAATTGGAAAACAAGGCTCTTGCTTGAGTCAAAGGAGTTGCAGCCAGAGGACCCAGCAGGGATACCAATTATGAACCCACAAAAGTACCATGAGACAAAGAGGCAGCTTTCAACATCTGCCAGGTCTCCAACATGTGATGCCATCTTACGATGGCACTAATTCAGGAAAACAAAACAAAACTCTTTTCTTCCTTTCCTCACCACTTTCTGTGCCTTCCAATCCCAGAGGAGTCAATACCAACGGCTAGCCAGCCTGGATAGCCAAGGAAGGGGAAGAGCAACCCAGTCTCAATGCCACCCACTTACTCCACTGCACACAGAGACTCTGTGGTGGGCCCAGCTGGGAGAGGGGAGAAAATGTAAGTTCAATCAAGTTTAGAGTTTTGGGTTACAATTTGAAATGGACATTCTAATTTCTGGATAGAGTCTGAGATGATGGTTTAGCATGAATGCAAAGGTCTCTATTGCCTAACAGTACCCAGAAAAGTCATAAGATGTTCTTTATAAATAAAGTTTAAAGGGACAGTTTGAAAGCAAATAAAATGTGTTTTACACTTTGGGAGACCAAGGTGGGCGGATCACCTGAGGTCAGGAGTTCAAGACCAGCCTAGCCAACATGGTGAAACTCCATCTCTACTAAAAATAAAAAAAAAATAAATAAATAAATAAAAATAGCTGGGTGTGGTGGTGGTGCCTGTAATCCCAGCTCTTTGGGAGGCTAAGGTAGCAGAATCACTCAAACCTGGGAGGCAGAGGTTGCAGTGAGCCAAGATTGCGCCATTGCACTCCAGCCTGGGCAACAAGAGCTCAAAAAAAAAAAAAGAAAAAGCAAAAAACAGCATTTTGCTATCTACTACATGTCCTCATTTTCAGCAAATATGTTACAATATTGATATCCATTTACAAATATTTTTAACTACCTTGACAATACCATATCATATTTGTATCTTTCTTGCGTGCTTCCCCTTTCTTACTCTAATATTTGAGGGGAAAATTATTTATGCCTCCTAGCAAATATGCTTCTGATCTTTAAAACACCTCTGCTCCAGCAAATGGATCCCAAAAGAGATGTGCATTCAAGGTGTGGAAAACAGCAGGTCACTGGGGGGAATGGGAAAGTTAGGATTTTTATTTTTTATATTGCTAGAGACAGGGTTTCATTTTGTCACCCACTGCAGCCTTGAACTCCTGGGCTCAAAGGATCCTCTTGCCTCAGCCTTGCAAAGCACCGGGATTACATGTGTGAGCCACTGCACTGGCTGAAAATTAGTATTAATAGTAATGTCCTTCTGTCCTAGTCCACTGTTTCACTTTCCTTTTTCTTCACGGCTTCCTCCTTTAGACTCCCTTGGACTGGGAGTTTAGCACTATCACCTGCACACTAGACCTGCAGTCTATGAAGAGAGGCTGTCAGGGATTTGGGGCTATCACAGTTGCTCCTCCCAGAGCAAAAAATATTCAACCCTCCCACACACACAGGCAGCAGCCTCATCTCAAATGGACTGTGCCTCTAATCAGTGAGTGGTTATGGAAGACGAGGAGAAAAGTGCATTTATATTTTCATTAACTTTGTTCCTGCTTCCTGTAGCATTTTCATTTTGAAAATGAGTTGGGAATTTCAAACATCAATAAAACGTGCTGAGGATTCTGACAACAAAATCCTTTTTTGTCATGTGCTATGTTGCCCACTTCCTGCTTTTTATTTTTGCTCCAGTCCCTGTTTGATTGCTAATCTAAAGGGAAAGGGAGGGTCAGTGAGAAAAGAGGAGAAATCTTAAAAATGAATTTACTATTTGATCAGGTTTGCTACTTTATTTTGTGGAAAATTTTAAAGCTCTTTTGTGTCTTTATGTATTTTACAAATCTTGGAACTAAAAACAACAGATAAAATCACATTATATTCCCCATTGAATTATTTCCCACATTTCAAATGTGCTTCCCAGAGAGAAAAGTATAAGATACAGAGCTAGGCAATTCAGTTTCACATTAATAGTTTTGTGTCTCATCAGTTTGGGACGTGTATTGTTCATGTTTTGCTTTGTTGTGCCTATTAAGTGATTTATATAGTCTATTGCGATTTTTTTAGGAATGGAATATGCCAATTATAGAGAGAGGTAGGCGAGTTAAAAGTTTCAAGTGCTCAGCATTATAGATTCACCCTCGAGTCAGAATGTTAAAAACAGCAAGGAAGAGTGTGTAAAATGCTAGGTGAATGAGAGGGCATCTGTCCACAATGGGCAACTAGTATTTAATAACTAGCCTTGAATTTATTCTACACTTGAATGCAAAGATTATTCTACTTAATTATACTACAGTGACTTTGAAACTATTAATTATTCTAAATTATTGGGTTCTAGTTTAAATACATTTTTATATTTTTAAGCTTTCAAATGATTATTTGAAAAAATTTATCTGAATATCCTTTTTTTCCTAAAAAGGAATTCTGCCTTTTGAGTACTAAATTATTCTCTCTATAAATCTAAAAATATCACAGTATTTCTTTTTTTTCCAAAATCTCTCTCTCTCTCTCTTTCTCTCTCTCTCACCTCTCCTTATCTGAAACAAACTGACATTTAATGAAGAAAACTGTGAAAAGGGGTTCGAGAAAATGAGAAGCTAGTATTTTGATTGGAAGTGTAATAGATGTCAGTCAGAGAAAAAGAACAGTCTCCAGAACATCTAGATGTGGATGTAGATGTAGATACATTGTTAACGCCACTCTGTGCATTTTAATTTAAGCCACTTGATCATGTAACCATTAATTCAATGTCAAGTTCATTCATTGTAGCTATTCAATATTACAATATAGCATTAATTTTAAATGACTTTATTTCAGGAGGGAAGGAAATAATTTATGAATAGCAACATAAGGTTTCTTATATGATGACTCATCACAATGTTGATTGCAAAAAAAGAAGCTGACTCAGACTAGCTCCTGTAGAAAAGGGGGAACATAGTTACTATGAAGATACAGAAATTAACAGAAACAAGTATAGCAGGGCCTATTGGATTAGGAAAACTGAAATTAAGGCAGCTACTCTCTTTGGGGCCATACAATCACCGATTTCTTTTTGTCTCTGTGTTTCTGTTCTTTCCTGCCTTCTCCCTGTAATTGCCACTGTCTCTTTAGTTATCAGTTTGCACTGAACCCAAAATGGTAACTTCAGCCCCTGAGTCTACAGGACATTTTGGTTCAACCCCACCTTGAACTGATTAGAGTCTCAATTTCACTTAGGACATTTCACATTCCAAAGAGCAAATATTAATATTTGCTGCCTAGTAAATGAATCAGATGTCAGTGAGTCAAGTTATCATGCTTATTCCCATCAGATTTTATAATGGTGAAGTGTAGGAAAGGCAAGGTCTTTAGAAGGAAACATAGGCAGACATAAGTAATCATGTTTGGTATAGAGACTCATTTATTAAATATTTATGATAATAAAATACTTAACAAAGTCAATGTCAAGATAATAAGGACTCTGAGTCCTTATTATGCACCAGATACTATTCTAGGCATTAGAGGATATACCAAGGACAAAACAGACCAGAAAACCCCACTACCCCTAGAGCATGTACCCCACTACATGCTGATGATAATCTTTAGTCATCTATTTCAAAAATAACTTAAAAATGGAGTGGCAATGTCTCTGCGTAGTCAATTCA
This sequence comes from Homo sapiens, assembly GCF_000001405.40. Lineage (NCBI taxonomy): Eukaryota > Metazoa > Chordata > Mammalia > Primates > Hominidae > Homo > Homo sapiens. Next base: position 59,596,395 of record NC_000005.10, on the reverse strand, counting down.
AGATGCCGAAATAAAAATACATGTATATGTGTCTTCCTTGTGTGTTTCTTTTTTTTTTTGTATTTCTCGTGTTGAACTTGCATGGTTTTCTAAATGAAATATTTTCATTTTTAATGTTTCATATATGTGTCTGTATATATATATGTAATATACATATGTTATAAATATATACAAATATATGTATTTGTAAATAACATAGTCATATTTGCTTTTATACCTAACTCTGTTAACTGCCAATGATGTGTAATTATATATGTGCATGGGTTAGAAGTGGTGGATGGGGCCTTTGGATTTTAAATGGCATTTTACCTGCAGCCTCTGATGCAGCCTCTTCCAGCTTCCTATTAAAGTGACTGAAAACACTGCAAAAATATATATATATATAATTTTTAAAAAGCACTAAAAACCAGTACTGGCAGAATATTAAAGAAGCGTTAAATTAGATTGACAATATATATGGTGGACCACACATTGTATTCCATTCTAAAAGTAGGAAGAATAATTTCTTAGTTTTACCTGGACCATACAATACATCTACTATGTCCTACTACTGTAGTAGTATATGCAGCGATATACTACTTAAGATTTTTAAAAAGAAATATACAAGCAGACCTAAAGGTGGATCAAAACTAAAGAGTTAAGAATAGAAACATCCAGAGGAATACCCTCTTGAGATCATCTACTGGTAAAAATTCATCACAAGAGTTTTAAAGAGAATAATAACTTTTGTAAGCCCCATCTGATTGAACTGCCTTCCCCAGTAAACCTGTGAGAGTGGAGAGGTTTGAGTATTTTCATGGTAATTTCTTTACCATGTGCCATCTGGCAAATAAAAGAGTTCTTTTCCAGGCAGTACTTTTTACCAAATTCAGAGGTCGGTGAAATATTCTTACAACAACATAAAAATCGGTGGTAAACCCACTATTCCTGGAGGGGAGGAAGACTGGAAAGAAGTATACTGACTTGTCTTTTGGGAATGGAATTATGGATGACTTGCTTCTTTCTTGTGTGTTTATTTTATTTTATTTTTGTATTTCCCATGTTGAACTTGCATGGTTTCCTAAATGAAATAATGTTTCCTCTTTAAAAAGAAACTTTAAATGATATTGAATCTAGTTAAAATGAAACTATGTGATAAGTTTCAGATTTTATAAATAGATTGTCAAAATATGTGTTAAACATTCTTGATAAAATTACATCTTTGCTTCAAGCAATTGTAAAGAAAATGGAATCTATTGACATTACAAATAGCAATTTTAGCATCCATAAATTTGAAATTGTATAAAAATTGTACATATTCTGGGTATAAAATGTTAATGCTTGTCATGTAACTTTGTAAAAACTTTATTTTTTAAAGCATTTTTAGGTTCACAGCAAAATTCACAGAAAGGTCCAGAGATATTCCATTTACTCCAACCCCCACACATGCATAGCCACCCCATTATCAATATCCCCCCCACAAAAGTGGTACATTTTTTTTTACAATTGAACCTACATTGATACATCATTATCTCTAAAACATATAGCTTACATTAGAATTTACTCTTAGTATTGTATATTCTATGGGTTTGCACAAATTTATATTGATGTATATCTTCCATTTTTGTATCATACGGATAATTCCAACATCTCTGGCATGTCTAGTTCTGATGCCTCTTCTGTCTCTTTAAACTGTGTTCTTTGCCTTTAACTATGCATTGTAATTTTTTCTTCATAGCTGGGCATGTACTGGATAAAAGGAACTCCTGTAAATAGGCCTTAAGTTATATGGGTGGGCCAGGCATGGTGGCTCATGCCTGGTAATCCCAGCACTTTGGGAGGTGGAAGCAGGTGGATCACCTGAGGTCAGGAGGTTGAGACCAGCATGGCCAATGTGGTAAAACCTCATCTCTACTGAAAACACGAAAATTAGCCAGTCATGGTGACACATACCTCTAATCCTAGCTACTGGGGAGGCTGAGGCAGGAGAATTGCTTGAACCCGGGAGGCGGAAGTTGCAGTGAGCCAAGATTGTGCCACTGCATTCCAGCCTGAGCTACAAGAACGAAACTCTGCCAAATAAATAAATAAATAAATAAATAAATAAATAAATAAATAAATAAAATAAAAAAGTTATGTGGGTGGTGGTGTGGTAAGGGGCAGTGGAGGGGAAGCTTTCTATCATTCCATAATTAGGTTTCAGACTTTTGGTGAGCCTGGGCCTCTGGATTGTGAATCTCCTAAGTGTTTTTCAGGTTTTTTTTTTCTTATACCATAGGTGAGAGAGAATGGCTAACGTGGGCTGGAATTGAGTATTTCCTTTCTCCTTGATGGTAGGCTAGAGTGGGCTGGAGTTGGGCATTTTTCTTTCCCCAGGTCAGTGAGGCTCTAATATAACAAAACAAAATGGAACAAAAAACCCCAGCAGGTTAGGCTCTGATTAACTAGTTTCTCCTCAGGAAGAACCAAGCTTCAGCAGATTTAAAGATGTGTACTTTTTCCCTTCTCTTGCTGGAAGCATGAGAGAATTTTTCTCCAATATTTACTGTGAGAACTTGGTAGCACTCCTGGAGGTAAAACACACAGAATTGTGGGGACCTCCCTATTACTGGGTTCCTCTGGAGTTTTTCAACTTTCAGACTTGCCTGCACTCAGCCTCTAACGATTTGTCAATTATAGTTGAGGTTTTTCTACCCCAGCACTGGTTCTCTTGGAGGTTTCTGCTCCGGTATGTTGTGATTCTCCATAGCCTACTGTCTATCTCACCAGTGGTTTGGGCAGCAGTTTGCCCTGTGACCTCACTTCTCTTATGGATCTAAGAAGAGTTGATTTTTCAGTTTGTTCAGCTTTTTTGTTGTTAGGACAGATTGGCAACTTCCAAGCTCCTTATGTGAGGAACTGAAAGCTGGATTATGTTACTTTTTTACTGGGAGGTTGAGTGATAGAAGAACTGTCATCAGAAGTTTAATTAAATTATCAATCAGTAACAATCAATTAAATTTCCAGTGAAAGCAAATCTATTTTGGATACATCTAATCAGGATAAATGAAAGAATAAGTGTGCATTCTTACAACATTTCTCTTTTTTTTTTTTTTTTGAGAGCCATTACAGGTGCGAACCACCATGCCCAGCTGATAATATGAGTAAGTTTTGAAGTTGGGCTTTATTTTATTACATGAGAAATATTTTTGCTCCTTTGAATTTTCTAAACAAATATTATACAAAGCCTTTAGAAAAGCTTAAGATATAAATGAAATGTAATTCCATTTCAGAAGGTAGTTTTGACATTACATTATTTGTATTTTTTCTTTTTTTTCCATTTTGATTCCAGTAAATTGCAAAACAAATGATCTGTATTTTATTATATTTTACTAAGCAAATTTTAAAGGTATATGCAAACAACATTTAAAGAGCTCTTCTTATTAAAAAATTTTAAATTATAATAAGTTAAAATTATAATAATCTAAGTGTTTGTATTACTTCCATGCTACGGATAAGGAAATTGTGTCTCACAGAGGTTTCATGCGTTGGTCAAAATTACACAAAAAGTAAAAGGCAGAACCTGAAAATAAGGGTTCACATCTTAGGACTCCAAGATGGTATACACATTTGACTTTTTTGTCTTTAAACTTGCTGTGAACATTTTTCCACTTTTGATTCTTAAGTATAAATATTAAGTGCCTTCTTTGTATTTCAGTATTAGGCTTTTAAGTCTTCTACTTCCAAAAAAAAAATTAAAAGTAAAATTTAACAAGCATTCTAAATATTCCAATTATGAAATATATTTCATATTATGAGATTTTTCTTCTGTAAAAGAATTTATCATTTAAGATTAGAAGATTTAACCTTGAGGAGTATGATCCAAAATGGCTTTTTATATTAGTTGAATCATGAAAAGTCCCAACAAAGCATTTGCTGGTTTTAGGTGATGAAACTAGGTGTTTAATGAATTTATTTTTTCTTTTCTAATTGGTGATTGTACCCTGGGTTATGAGAATATGTAGAAATTGAATGTAGTAGCTACTAGCAACTTGCTGAAACATGATGCATTTCCCTGACTCTCAGCAACTGAAACTGCGGCTTCATGAAAGGCTTCTCGTATTTCAGTTATAAATGTTCAGAACAGCATGCCTTCAGACTTTGCTAGAACTTGCCAGGAGTGGAAAGTCATGACTATCAACATCGTTATTAGTTAACATTGACTGAGTACCAACAATGTTTTTGGTGTTATAAATATAGAGAAGAAGACACTGTTCTGTTCCTGGGGGATTGGCTTTCTGTAAAGGTGAGATAGAGAATTTGGTCTTGAATGTTCTTTTCTTGCTGGGAGGTGGGGTTGGAAGCACAGCCACCTCAGGTCTCATTCTGATGGCACACTCACCTCTTTATTAGTTGATGATATATGCAATAAAAAGAAAAAAATGTATAATTACACATACATACACACATGTGAAAACTCATGTAAATTTTATTTTTTATTGGTAAAAAATATATATTTATGGGGGGAGCTTGAGGCAAAAAGTCACATCCTGCAAGATATCCAGGTGACAGTAGCTTCTATATCCTTGTGTATAATGTATTTATACTGTTATTAATAGTATATAGAATGTGCTAAGAAAAGTACATAGAAGTTTTTGTATGTGTAAATATATTTATATGAACCCAATATGTAGAATACAGGGACCAAGTGTTTTGTTTTTGACATCTAAGGGACAAAAGTAATCCAGCCTCTTGAAAGAATGGAGACTTTCCAAAAATATCTGAACTGATTATTGGTATTCATATAAGATAAATAAGTCATCTTTTAGGTCTTTATTCTTTGATGTCTAAATATACAGGAGTTTTATTTCATCAAGTTATTTAAGAGGCAAACATTGACATTAGCTATTGATTATACCAAAATGCAATGATGACAAAAAAATATACCTTAACATTTGACATTAAAGTTACTTTCTGAAAGTGAAACTCAGGGAAAATCAATGAAGTAACTCATCACACCCTCTGATAAGTACAAGTGACTAAAGAGTCTAGGAAATACCCAACCTCAGGAACTAGGGTGTGACTTTATTATACTATGCTTATACTAGCATAAAGGTTGAACTTAATCATTCTTTTATGCTCATTGTGAAGGAAGTGTGTAAGTTGAAGGCATTTTAAGAGGATGAAATACTGAAACTGATATTACAGAGATAAGAATTTGTGTAGAAAGTATTAATTCTGTATTTCTACTGTTACATTTTTGTAATTTTTTTTAAAGAGCCAGACTTTTTTTGTATGTATTATCAAACTTTGAGATAAAACTAGTTAAAGCAGAAGAGCTCTTGTTGAAACAGCACAAAGTACCTGGCTTCCTAGACCCAGCACAAAGTACCTTGCCCCTCAGCTGACCTGATGCAACTTTGAAAAACCATAGGGTTCCCAGAAACTTAGTTTGAAAACCTTCACTCTTATGAGCATAACCCTATAACCATGAGAGAAAAGGGTTTTATTGGAAAAGGACGTGGGACACCGGCTAGTTAATACTTCTGGCTCTGATTCTGGATGCATTAAGCGATCTTTCAATGAAAATGTTGAAAGTATTTTGGTTTGCTCTGAGTTTGTAGTTTATCAATTAATTGAGCTTTTTATTGAATCAGCCTCATTTAAGGGTAGTTAATATAAGTTCACTTACTCTTGTGCTTGCTGTGGGATTAAAATTTAAAAAAAAACACAAAACAAAACAACAAACCAGTCTTTGCTCTAGTAGAGCTGAGGTTATGCCATAGCTGCAGGGACTTCACTGAGGTTATGCCAATTTGTGGTGCCCTGCTAATAATTCGCACTCCTGTATTGATAAAAATAATGGGGCTGAGATTAGCCATAAAGATAATCTTTTATGGTTACTCCTGATATTTCTTTTTAATTTTTTTAGAGACAGAGTCTATGTTTCCCAGCCTGGTCTTGAAATGGGCTCAAGTTATCCTCCTGCATCAGCCTTCCAAGTAGCTAGGACTACAGGCATGAGCAACCAGAACTGGCTTCCTGATATTTCTTAAAAGTTTCATGAAAGGATGATTATCTTTTAGTGTAACAAAATAGATTAGCATTACCCTAACCCAACAACATTTTTTCATTTTTGACAACTTGTTTTTAGATTACAAACCTATTAGTTCTGCCTAACTGTTGTTTCTTGAAGGCCATACATGTAGGAAGTATTAAATTTGTAAAGTATCAGCCTATAAATTAGTAGACATAACTCTTAAGACCCTCTTTCTAATATAAATGGAATAAAATGCTGGAAATGAGTTATTTCTATTTTCTAAGCAAGCCTATTCTTTTATATTTGTTGCCTTATGTCTGCAAAAATATTCAATTTTGGATTGTTTAATAATGTGTAGTCTTGATTCTCTGAACTGTGAAATAAATTACAGTTTTTTCTTTGCTATCTTTCAAGCAGAAATTTGGCTTTTCTGTTATTTATCATAGTTTCTCAGTTGTGTTTCCTTTTGTTCTAATTTGTTAGACTTTATTCTAGACAGTTGCATGTATAAAAATAAAAATCCAACGAAAATTCACTTTAAAAATATTCAGCTAAAATGTCCTCTTAGTTTAAGTATATTTAGTAGTTTAATGGCCAAATCATTTGTATTTTATTTATAAAGTGCTTTGCTTATATCATTGCCCGCAAATGGAAATGTAGCTAACAAGTATTGAATGTTGAACTGTGTGGTAGTGGAGAAAGATTCAGAGGTATTCTTACTATCCTATCACCCATAGGTGATGGTTTGACATATGAACAGAGTAGAATAAAATGGACTAAGAAAATAATGTCAGATAAATGATGTTCATTACAAAGGAAAATATATTTTTACATCTTTTTAAAAAATCTTTGCATTTGCTACTTTCTATGGAGACCTACTCTCTTGTATAAGGACTGAATGTTAGTTTTAAAATAATTAAAACCCATCATTATCATCATCATGATCAAAGATCACTAACCAGAGTCAAATAATTTGAATTCTCTTCCAGATCTACTGCTCACAAGATGCCTGATAATGAACAAATACAATCTTTTTGGCATCTCCAAAATGGGCATAATAAATGTCTTAATCTCCTCAGCATAATTCTGTGATGCCAAAATAATACATATAACAATAATATTTTAGAAAGTATAAAAGTATAACAAGGTGGTATTATTATGATTACAGAGGTGCTAGAATATTGTGGTAATGTGTACAGGCTCTGGAGCCAGACTTCCTTGATTCAGATAGTGACTCACTAGATATTTAACCTCAGACATGCTACTTAACATCTGAGTGCCTCAATAGCCTCATCTGGAGAACAGGGCTAGTAACAGTCCTTAACTCATAGTGCTGTTGTGTGGATTAAATGGGGTAATACTGTAACTATCTTAGAATGGGACCTGGGGCATTGTAGATGTTCCTAGCTCTTAAATAATAATATTTAAATGTCTAATATAATATCAAAATTTTAATTACTTGATTCAAAACATTCAAAGCTTGTTAAAAACAATGTAGGCTGAAGTTTTCTGGGCCAGATTACAAATGACCTTATGGAAGAGATTTAGTCCCTTTAGCAAAAAGGGGTCATGAGGACACTGCCTAGGCTACAGGAAATCTCAACAAATATTCTCAAGATTCTTTTATGCTGTAGTGGCATCTTTCTGAACCTACAAGTTCACATTGCTTTTAAGGAATCACCCAGTTCTTCTTCCTCCTAGGAATCCTCCTTTTAGGATCATCTTTTGATCAAAATGAAAATTCTCCAAATTATGGTGGTTTTTAAGATTAGTTTTCTTTATACTAGGTTTTGAATTTATGGGACATGCCCTCCACCCAATCTTGGGTAATATTTTCTGCAATGACAGGACCTCACTGGGGAAATCCTAAATGAAGATAATAGCATGTTATATTAAATGTTGCCGGTATTCCATTTAATATCAAGCAATTGCGTAAAAGCCTTTTTAAATACCTAAGTTAAAAGTGGTATATTAATGTTGAGTGTACTTCTACTGCAAAGTCCATTCTCCCACTGATTTCAAACAAATACCATTTAAGTGCCAACCTACTATTACAAGAGTTTACTATTTTATTCTTGCTCCAAAATGGCATCAACAGTGATGGGGTGCTTTTGGGGGATTATTGAACAGAATTTTTGCAACAAAGGAGCAAGCATGAAGAAATGCAAAACATCAGTGATAGGGATTGCAACGTTTTATCTCAGCATTCCTCATATCTACACACCCCCTAATCAAACAAGCAGTTTTATGGCATGCGCAATTGCAATTGAAGTACAACTGACTTCTGCAGAACCGGCTTCCATAGGATTTCCTGTCCAAAAATCACCATGTGGTCATCTGCAGCTAAATGGTTACAAATCATCAAGTAAACAAGGCTTCCCCACCCCGGTGCTTTTTTTTTAAGGAGTGAAATCCACCAAACTCTATCATTTGCAAATTATCTCTGGACTTCTTTTATTTCTTTTTTTTTCACTGGGTAAGAAGGAAAACGAGCAAACAAAAAATCCTCCCTCCGTATTTGTTTAAGGCGTAATTTCCCTGTGAGGTGTTTTACAGGCTTCTCCTTGTTTAGCTTTTCTTGCCTGGTAATTACTGAAAGAAGTCTGCTCTTCCAGGGCGAGCTATTCCTTTAACCCCTTTTGCTTGCTCTTACTTGGAGGTTAGCAAGGAGTGCGCGGCTCTGCAATGTCTGGGAACCCACCTAGAGGGCCCCCTTGACGCCAGCACATCCCCTGTCAGGCAGCAGTCTCTGCAGCTGAGCCAGGCTGCTGCAGAGTTAATGTACAGTACCACGGAGCCTGCAAGTGTCCTGAGCTGATCAGAGCTGGGGCGGCACAGCCCAGGGCAGACAAGGCGGCTGCGAGGATTCCAAAGGTTCTGCTGGAAATTCGGCGCTGGGGGACTCCAGCAGGAGCCTGTTGCCATTGTGTTTTAAAAGCATGCAAGGTCTGTATAGCTTGGGCATGAGAATCTTTCAGAAGATGTCAGAGCATCAGAATAAATGACACCTATTGGAAAACTGAATTTGGGGTGAAAAACAAAAGAGATTGAGAGAGGAAAAAAAAGAAAAGAAAGACATCGGGGGAAGAATTCTTAGACAACGTCTGACTTGCAGCTGTGAAATTCATTTTCTTTCCAAGGCAAAATATGAAAAGCTCCCACATGGTTTTGATAATAACAAAATAAAGGGGATTCTGCAGTGAAAAGATCAATAGCTTAGTCATTTTACTTAAAGAGAACAGCCAGCCTTATTATGGGGTTAGGCAGCAGAAATGAATTTCATCGTGACAGCATCTTCTGAAGTCATGATGGTAGTTAATGGTAATCTTGTCCTGCAGAGCAGAAATTACTCATTGCCTTCCTACTTTTGCAGTTGAACCAGCAATTCTGAAATCTGGGAAAGAAGTTGGCTTTGGTGATACATGGTTTCTAGCCCCTCTGCCCAGGCCTTTGTCCGACACGTCTCAGACGGTAGCACTGCGTTAAAGTGACCATACATGAATATGTGCCTAAGAAAGAAGAAAAAGCAATATTCATTTCTAAAGGACAGCATGGCAAAGCAACCTGAAGTTTTCCATTTCCCTTCTAACACTTCTTTAACAAGGATATCAAGAAACTGTCTTTTGACTCCTTTCTTCCCACATTCCAGAGTCCTTCCTTAAGGATGCATTAATTTACACTCAAGGCGGTTAGATTTTACCAGGACAATATTTGCCACCATTTAGGATTATTAGTTGAACTGGTTATTTTAGTATGTTGACTAACTAGTGGAACCTAAATGGATGGACCCATACCTGCAGTGCTCTGTGATGTTTCTTTTTTCAAATCCTGGAAGGCCTTTTGTAATTGCTATTTGTTTTTATTGGTGGGGGGAGATTTTTTTTTTTTTTTTGGGATTCAATACTTGTTGCAATAATTGCCCACGATAGCTGCTCAAACAAGAGAGTTGGAATTCATCTGTAAAAATCACTACATGTAACGTAGGAGACAAGAAAAATATTAATGACAGAAGATCTGCGAACATGATGCACGTGAATAATTTTCCCTTTAGAAGGCATTCCTGGATATGGTGAGTAATCAATATTCCCTTCAGTTTGTAAAACTCAGAATTATCAAATTCCGTGACAGGTACCAGATGAGGATTTGTCTTGAACTAGAGTATTGGTATCAAGTGAGAATGAAAAGTAAACTGTGCAAAACCGAATATTGTCTGAGAAAGTAATGGTTATGCAATAAAAATACTTTGTTAATATGAAGCATCCCCAAATAAGTCAAGCATGAGGACTTGAGAACATTTAAATTGCTAATATTTCATGGAGGAAGAAAAAAACTTTGAGAATGGCAACAATTTAATAAATTTTTTTAAAGATGAGGCTTAGGGTTTGTTTTTTGTTGTTTTGCTATTTTTATTTGAAAATTCCCTGGGGAAGGGCACACATGAATTTCTGATATATCAATTTGTCTGAATTTCTAAAAGAAGGTTAAGGGAAACTTAGAATGTTGACTCAATTTTAAAATAATGCTAAAATGTGTTGGTGCCTCACAGTTAAGGATATTTTAGCTATTCAAGAAATATTTCTACCAGAATGAACCAGTAGAATTCTAGTAGAATTCTAACATATGAATCAGGAAGTGCTCAGGCTCTCATAGAACTTGCTTAGTGCCTTGATATTTGGTCATCTATTAAGGTTCAATGCAATGCATTCAGGTCCCTGGACATGTGATATCATGTGCCATTTCTTGCTGGAGTTTATGACTAAATGTGTGTAGGAACTCATTGCTGAGGGTATTTATAAGAGCAAAAGGTCATTATTTTAAAATTGCTTGTTTTTGCCATACCTTTAGGGTCAGCTGGATTCTGACTTTCATAGCAGAAACTTTGTGAATGCATAATAAAGGCACATGTTAAGGCTTAGTGTCTGCTAACATGGGTTGTTTTGGAAATGCAGTTTGTCTGATTTTGAAAGTATATCTTTCAGGTAAATGTTCTGGCTGGACTCTGGATGAATAATAGATACCTAAATATAGGTTTCGGAGGGCTTTCCAGCTGCTTTTATGACAATGTCTCAAATGAAAGCTCCCTGAGAGCTTAAGGTACCACCAAAATCACCTGCTGGTTTGTTACAGAGTTTTCGGCTTTCAGCTAAAAAATCCATTGCAGAGAAGGATGGGAGGCATCCTCTCCCACTCTAGGCAGGTGCTTATTTTCTAACAACACCAGATCCATCCAGAGTCGATGCTGTGGCGTATCTACCTTTTTTGCTGACCAGAGCTACTATCCCCAGTCTCTAGAATGCTTGGGTGACATGCCTGCAAACCTCGGTGGCCCACTTCCAACTGCATCACCAGAGTTTCCTAGTCAGGGGGAGCCTTGGTGCCATTGCCTTGCTTGTTCTGTTGGTGAGGGTCAGGCATCAGCAATAAGGTCCTCATTATTCTTACAGACAAATTTACATCAATAGTCTTTAATCTTGAGATTAAAAGATCCTGGAAACAGTTCCTGGCACGTAGTAGGCATTTGTCAATTATTTTTCTTCTATGCCTTAGGCTTTTCTTCAGAGTTCATTTTATACCTCTTAAGATTTGCTTGGGAGGGGAAATTACCAGTCTCCTTTCTATCAAGTGTACCTTGCTACAAAGCAACAGTTTTTGTTCTACCTAAGTTCTGCTGTTTAAGCCCATTTGTTTATGTTGTAATACATAGGATCCATGTACTCTTTGAATGCCTGCAATTATAAGCACTTTTTATTTTTATTGCATTAGCCTCACCTATACTTTTGACTGGAAAGAAATAAGCTATTCAACTCTGAAGTTTTGGAAAGAATGCAAATTTGCTTATTCATGCTCCTCTAGATCTGTAATACATATGTTTGAAAGCTGTATGGAGAAGTTGAGAGTCCTGTTGGTTTTCTTTTGTGCCTGGAGTTAGGTAACCCTTCATCTGCTTCACTGCATGTCGTACCAATCTGTTGTTGTTGTTGTGGCCAAACTAAGCCAATGTAGAATGTTAATGCTCTGTATAACTCCTACTCTTCCTGGGCCCCTTGCAGGGATTCATTAATATGATGTTGGACTCAAAGGAAGAAGGTGGTGGTTTTTTTCCAGGTGACCTAATTAATTTTGTGCTTGGTTCTTGACTTTCTCAATGGTTGTTGTTTTCCTCTTATTTATAGCCTCCCCTTCCAGTACTGCAGTAAGAGATTGTAGGGGTTTGTTGACAGAAAACCCTCTTTCCCTTTGTCCTACTGTAAGAGCCCCTATAGGGTGAGATTTCAGGCTCGTGAATTATCGTGCTTAGAATAAAGGTCTCGCCAAATTGCTCTTTTCATCTCCAAAGACTCCCCCTATCCTCATTCTCACATTTAGAGCCTTTTCTTCGTGAAGGGACCGATCAGAAGTTGGCAACAGGCCAGTGCTAAGGAATAATAAACATTGTAAAAGACATATGTGCTTTGGTTTCACGAGCCCTAGCTCATCTCTAGAAAGGCTCTGTACCCTTTGGAGAGGCGGGACTTGGCATGTGCTGGTCCTCTTTCTGTCCTGCTTTTTGAGAAGCAAGAATGAGAAAAAGCTGAGACACAGGAGGTCTAGGGTAGTCTTCAAATTTTACCAGAAGTAGTAATTGAAATAGAAGCCTGTGCACAGAGTTCCTACTTGTACTCTCATCCACCTGCCCTAGGGCTGGTGTGTTGATTATTGAGCAATAGTATTACAAATTCACTCTTTATCAGTTATGAGTTAAAGTTAATAAGTGGTCCTATTACTTGGTTTAATAGAACACTACCCCTTCCGTGCTAAAAGAGTGGTATGAAGAATGTGTGTTTCTTCTTTGAAGCTACATTAGAAATATTAGCTGGAGGATTTTATTGCGAAGGCTTCTTTCCATTACACTTTTCAGTCTTTTTACTGCCAAGCCAAACAAAGATAAGGGTTTGCCTCACTGGATAGATAAGTACTATATAGCTCTTCTTATTTTTCCTTCTGGCTAGTTGTTAGAATGGAGAGATAGCCTGGCATTCAGGAACAAGTATGGCATGGTTGAAAGAAGGGAAATGCAAGTCAGCTTTCTAGGAATTTAAATTTCATGTAGCAGCAGTTAAGAGGACCTTTAGAAGCATTATGACCTGGAATCACATGCCAGGGTCTAACATGAATGACCTAACACAGTGTGACTAACATGTTCAGCTTTTTGCCTGACTTAAAAGATATATAACAACTTTTTATAATCTTATTTGTAAAAATACTATAATTTCATGCCAGAAACATCAAGGCTATGTTGAATGCAATTGAATTTCATAGCTAAACAATTTAGGAGGGCATTTTATTTAAATACCTTTGCATCCTTTTAATGATGGATTCACATGGCTAAAAGGACAGTGGAAGATAGAAGCTAAAGGCCCTGGCTAGGAGAGGCTGTGGAATGCTGCCATGGAGGGCCCCTCTGAGGACACCAGAGGAAGATTTGGGATTAATGATTGTGGAAGGTGATTAATGATTTGCTTATTTGGTGCTTAGGGTTTAATTTTTAAAGGTAGGACATCTAAATGTTTTAAACTGTCTTTGTGATGCTGAGAGGTAACTCCAGTGAAGAGGCAAAATGAGGTGACTGTGGCACTTTCACTCAACATGGAGGCATCTTTTTCCTTCTTCTAGGACCCTAAATTCTTTCATTAGACTGTCCTTTTCCAGGTATCAATTTCTAAAAGGTTTAGTCTAGAAAGTTATTTGTTTGATTGTTCCTCTATAGACCAAGCATTCAATTCATAAACTAACTCATACTGTTTTATTCTGTTTTGATCTAAATCCTTTATGGAATGAAGCAAGATATAAATCAGTATATTGATAATATATTCATATATGTGTTCATAATTTGCATGTATATGTGTTTAAATCTACTAATATAATGAATACGTATTCAGAGAAAGTCAGAATGGCCTGCCTTCTAATGAAAAGATAATCCTTCCTATCTAGCCTCATAGAGTTTCATCTTTTAAGGTTTTCTCCTCTTCATACATTGAAATTACAGAAACTCAATCCAGAAGTGCATTTTCCAGAGTATGTGTTCTGACCAATACATTATATTTTATTAGAATTTTAGGGGGTGGGAGCAATATTGAGTTTGATGACTATGTATACGTTGAAGGAAATGACGTATCAAGTCTCATGTAAGATAATGGAGCTTTGCTCCTTTTAGTTAACTTAAAATTATTGCAGTGTCTGCTTGTCTTCCAGTGAAATTGCAGGTAATAGCTGACCTTGCTTCTTTAACATCTCTTCCTCTGGGTTACAGAACAACCCAGAAATTCTAAAATATAAATACCAGACTGCCAGCTTAATTCTGAATTCCTGTTGGGGCCAAATACAATTTACTTGTAAACACTTAGGACCAATAAAGTTTAGATGGAGCTCATAATTATACAAACTCATCTCGTTCACAAATCCCTAGGGCTCAATGTTAAAGTCAGCCATTGTTTAAGGCAGAAATTCAGGTTTAGATATAGTGTAGCAAAGATTTTCCATTATATGAGATATCGATCCTATTAAACATAAAACTTTTCTCTTGGCTTTCTATTTTACTGTCTTTTGTTGCCATCAGCTGTATGCCCCTTAATTTTTTCTAGTAATACCTTGGAATTTAAAAATGAAATTACAAATGTTTATGTTTTAGTGTTTTTAAAAATAATTCGATTAAGTATGCTATGATAGAGGAGCAAAGTTGTTATTAGTAATATCAATGTGCTTACAACTTATGGAAATGAAAAATAGTCTTTAGTCCTAGCAGCCTTTCTGCTGTAGTAAAATAGTTTGTGCACTTTAAATCGCTGTGAGGTTACATCTTCAAAGGACTGAGTGGCATAAGCCAGGGAGGTCTTAGAAATCTTACAAAAGGAAAAAAATAAGAAATTATTCCTCATCATATGAAAATTATTTACTAACAATGTATGATGTTTTAGCTTCTTTTAAATTCTTCACTTTCCACTCCTTTTTGCTTCTTCCTTTTAGTTGACTATTACTGAGTTACTTACACTAATGTTGAGGTATTTGGGTTCAGAGAAAAATAGGCAAGTAAAGGAAAATTGAAAATAGTTTCAAATTCTGAGATGCAAAGAAGAACCCAAAAAAACTAAACAACCAGTTTTTTATTGCCATAGGTCGAATGTTCCTTTTTAAAAAAATCCCTCATCCTTTTCTCTCCTCTTTCAATCATATCCCACAAACGTTAATGCTCATTAATACTCTGTCTAGCTATAGCATTATCCACATTTTTGCAATAGCTCAAAAATGTCTCCAAGCCATAACTGCTGCAACTGCTTATAACTTGATGGACTATTAGGTGACGTTTCCAGTTGTTTGAGAAGTACCAGCCTATAAACATACCCAAGACAATATATTACAACTAGGGATTATGTTGTGTAAAATTTATACATATATATCTCTCCATATATGATTTCAAGGATAGATAATCTAGAGTCTACATAATCAGGCTATTGGCTGGAAACATAAATAAACTAAAAAAAAATAATTTAAAAAAAGCACTCCAGGTTTCTAATTCAGCTTCTGGAGTGTTAATGTTTTGTGTGACCTTCTGAAAGCTCTTTGAGTTTTTACCACTTTTGAAAACTATTACAGCAGATATTTACCCACTTCATGTTAAGAAGTAGGCTATTAAAGAAAATCTCATAGCACATTGGTAATAACAATTTATTAGAGACCAGCCTGAACAACATAGTGAGACCCTGTCTCTCTCTCTATTTTTTTAAAGGTAGCTGGGCATGGTGGTTCATGCCTGTGGTCCCAGTTACTCAGGGAGGCTAAGGTGGGAGTGTCTCTTGAATTCAGAAGGTTGAGGCTACGATAAGCCATGATCATGCCACTGCACTCCAGCCTGGGCAAGACAGAAAGACCCTGTCTCAAAAAAATAAAAGAAGAATTTATTAGAATGTTGACAATGACATGCCAAAATCTCTTGTATAACTATCATATACTTCATGGAAGAGATCAACACTGTTGAGCACTCCTCTGCATGCCATATGTTTTCACATAAGTTACATCCTTTAATGGCAATATAACTTTCTGAGAATTTCTTATCCAAATCCCTGTTTGCAGATGAGGAAGGTAATGTTCACAGAGATTAGATAACTTGCTGAAAGTTCATATATCTATTGCTAGGGAAGCTGACCCACTCAAAACCAGGCCTGGCCTGATTTTAGAGCCCAATATATTTTTAATCCACCATATTGTTCTTGTGGCAGATGACTTAGCACTCTTGTTTATGGATCTTTTTGAAAATTAGATTAGCAGTAGACCAGAGAAAATAAGCAGATTTACCCTGTTATTTAGCAGCCTGGCTAAGTATGTAGGATGCTTACTGAATGTGAATAGCCTTTCCTTGAGAAACTCTTCCTTTTAATGTTAGAACAATGACCTATACTTAGACTGTGTCAGCAGCTCTTTCTGTATTTTCTCAGAATGAGAAATTTAAAAGGAATTTGTGGTGAACTCTGTTTCCAAGGTCACTGTGGCCTATAGGATCCTTTCACTAAAAAGTGCCTCTCTGGACGATATATTAGGAAAGGTGTCACACTTTGAACAGATGAAGTAGAAATGCAAACTACAGTACTTGGTGAATGGACAGAGCCTCTGTTCAAAGCAAAAGTCACTCTTCCCACTGGGTACACACTTGGTGTGTGGAGCATAGATGAATTCAGCTCTATTCACCATCTCTGCGGGGCATTGTTGAGCCCTGTTCAAACTGCCTATCTCTGGCCCTGCTTTGATACGGGCTCCAGCTTTACTTTGTGACAGATGAAATGGTTTTGAGAATGCTTTGCCAAAAATAAAAGATCATCCACATTTTAGGTTTTGCTGCCATAATTATTACTTTCTTCAAAATATTCAACTAATTGTATGTCTTTAAACTTCATTTTGTGCTCAAGTAAAGAATATTAGTATTATCTGAAATCAGATCCAATTGCCAAAGAAGCATTTTAATCATAAAATAGCCCAATTTCTGAGTTACTGAAAAATGTCATGGTTAGTGAATTATATTGGAACAGGTGGAACACACTGAGTTATTTATTCATAGGGGATGCCCAGATGAATGTAATAAGAGTCCTGCCTTGGAGATACTCATAAACTAGTCTGGAGAACAGCCACAGAAACAAATAATTACAGTATAGTATGGAGCATATTAATATAGATATATACAAGTTGTTACAGGAGTCAGAAGGAGAAACAACTTAACTGACTTGATCCAAATACCTTAAGTTTCAAAGTGAAAATATATTTGATGGATTTGGGAATTAGTAGTTACTGATAATACTTCAGAGAGTGGTTTAAGGGAGTGTCTGGGGGTAAGTTATATTTCAGGGGTAATAAAAGCAGAGAAAAGTTGTGCAAACTACTTCTTTCAAAATTTTGCTTAAGAACGAAGGAGGAGGAGAAGAAGAGGAGGAAAGAGGAGAAGGAGAGGAGAAAAACACAGTAGCTAGTGAAGAACACCAAGCACTTTTAAGAGTAGGAAGCATGTCCCTAAGGAAATATTCTGATACAGAGCTGGGAAACTTGTGGACATGACACCCTCTGGGATAGGGGGAGGAAAAGGAGGGAGAATGCAGATAATGTGGAGATTAGGTAGGTGGAAGGAGAGCCTGAGGGAGTTTTTGTTTTATGCCCTGTGTTTTCTCTGGGAAGTATTAAATGGAATTCAAGATCACATCTCAGAAAGAGGACCAGGGAGGAGCAGGTGGAGGAGCTTAGTAAGATGATGGAACAGCTACTAGGGGGAATTGGAAAGGTTATTGAAGAGAGAGTACAAGACAGTCAAACAAGTTGGAAAAAGGTCAGTGATGTTGAATGAATATATCCAGTCAATAAAAGACGTTTTACTCTACTTGAGAAATTATTTACACAAAGTATTATGTCAGGGAAATGAGTAGAGATGTGACAGAAATGTTACAATTCTTAATTATTAAATTTGAAACTGTTTTGTGATGAGAATGTCTCCTATGGATTGTGTTTCTTGGGATTCCAAAGAATACAGAGTTGATCTTAATTGTTGTTGTTGTTTTATTTGGTAGTGGTGGAAACTGTTTTATGAACATATTAATTAGATTGCAGTTCCATTTTCATGACCTGATTTTTTGAAAATGTGAGATTTCCTGTGCTGCCTTGAAATAACTCTTGGGTGACAAACAGAAGCTTTAAGATGTTTGCTTTGAATTTTATCTTCAAATGAATAAAAATCACAGTGGGAAGAAAAGCCAAAATGATTCAGCTTTGCTCCCTTTTTAATAGGAACCTTTCTGTGGTTTATGTTAGAATGTCACAAATCCATATATATGTAACCTGCTTTTACAAAAATTTCTTCAAAACCGCTATGAAGCTTACTTGAAAGTGTCACCAGTCTCTGAGAAATGTACTGGAAATAAGGAAACATAATATGACTTTAACCAGAACTGATGTAACCCAGTTTAAATATTTATACATTTAAATTCTCTTTTATGTCTCCAAGATAAATAGGAGAAAATGACAAATAAAATATGTAAGTTAAGGGATATTATTAAATAGCCTTATAATTTTCTAGGTCATGAGAATAAACCCTGGAGGATACTGTGACTTTAGCCAATATTATGAATTCCTTTCATCTCTTCTAATCATCTCAGCAGAGCTTCCGCTATTATTGTCAGCATTCAGTGCTCACCACTACTTTATACAGAGCTTGCTTTGTAGAATTTTTGCTGTGGCTCTAAAACTCTAAATAAGATTCTAAAAGTCTTAGTCACTTGTCAGGGAACTTCATTCTTCCTCTCCCTTGAGTCTCCATATTTTTCTTTTCTAAATATGAAAATGAGAAGGTTGACTTAACTGATCACTAAGGTGCTATAAAAATCTATGATCTTATATCTTACCTAGTTAATTTACTCATTTCTGTCTTATTCAGGCATAATTGTTCTTCCATTAAAGGTAATGCAGAGAAACCACACATAAATCAACAAACACCTCCAGGACTGAGCTCTGATGCTTTTCTCAAGTATTTGGCCTCTCCTATGGAATATCCTTAGCCTGTCTACCTTGGGTATTTTGCTTAATTCCTTCTCCACAAAACCTAACTTTAAATGGCAGCCTTTTTCATGGGGAAGACAGCAGCGTTATGCCCGTTAATGCTGATATCCACAGTATTTGAGAAAACATATTCCATATGCAACCTATACATTTCTCATATCTTCCCAACTCTTCTCTTGATAAAGGTCTCAGGCCCTTCCTTTTTCATATATCCTCCATTTAATTTAAGGAAATAACATGATATGAAGTCCTCAATCTTAAGAACCTTGTCATTGGGTTGCTCACTATGTTTAAAACAAATAATTGGCGTAATGATGGAGAGTCCCTTGATGTTCTAGAGAAGAAAGGAAAGCTAGCAATGTGACAGTGGGCAAATTGAGAAAACCGTAGTGGTATTGAGATCAGTGAAAGAGACCTCTTACAAGTCCTAAAGTAAGGCATTTGAGTCTTAAACCTTTGGGTGTGTTAATTTTAAAAGAAGAAAATATTTGTGGGAAAAGTCCTATTTTTTAGAAAATAATCTGTGCCAGATTTGATTTTTGAGAGAGGTTGAATGCTAAGTTGCCTCAGGATGTCATCATTTGAAAGGGTGACCACATTCTGTGAGATCTTCACTGCACACAACCTTTTGCTTCAAAGAACTTTCTGAGACCAAGCTAGCCTTTGAGACCAGGTATTAACATTATAATCTGTTCTATTCATTGCAGTAGCCACCTCGACTACTTTTTTCTACTTTATACCACAATACCCAGCATGGTGTTGTACTTAATAGGTACTTTTTAAATTTTTTCTTAATAAATAATTATGTGTACAGAAAAGAATGATAAATAAAAATTATATTGTCAGGGGAAATTTTAATTAAATAACTTTATATTTTTCAAATAATGTTATTGTGCTATGTTTTGAGATAAGGTAGGGTCGTATGCTATAAAAAATAATACAGATAATAACTATCACATTTAACAGGTTATCCATTCCAAGTATAGACTAATTTTTTTATAGACATCATTTTACTTAATCATCCCCCAAGTCTGTGGCAAGGGCTTGTTATCTACTTACTAAGGGTGCAACCTTGGGTCACTTATCTAACCTCTCCATGATCTGTAACATAGGGACAGTAAATAGTTCTCATTGCATAGGGTTGCTGTGAAGATTAAATGAGAAAACCAGTCTAGTGCTTAGAACACCTGTCACTCAGTAAGTATCCAATAAATATTGTTATAGTACAGATTAGGCAACTAGCTGTGAATGGTTAACCAGGTTGCCTAGGGTAATCAGTGGCAGGCCACTTCCAACCTAGATCTTACCCATTAACTATAGGTTGCTTGGAGGTCTAAACTGCCTCTTCTATATCACATTCTTGTTCAGTAAATACAGGGACAATACCTTGGGTTAAGTTTGAATTATGAGGGATAATTTATACCTCCTCATCTCTCAAGCCTCAGCAAGAATCGACTGATGTGCCCTCCCATGTTGAGTCAGTGCCTACCTTATACAGGATGGATTTTCTGTTTATGACTGTCTTACTCAGGCCCTGCTTCATTAGATTCTCTGTTCTTAGCACAGTGCCTGACACATAGTAGGTGCTCAATAAAATGATTTTAGAGTAAACATTACTTTTCCAGAATTGTGTCCTGGGAATTTACGGCTTTTAATATTAATTTCAGGTTTTTAGGATATAGCCCATGTTTTTGGGGGGATAGATACTGTTTCTATAAAAATTGTCATCTTGAGCATAAATAATTCCCACATATCTTGATTTCTGTCACTTGGGAGAGTTTAACTGGATTTGTAGAAGCAACCATCCTGCCGAACTGGGTGTATCTGTAAAATCTAAATGCTATTGCTACAAATCACCTTATCTAAGACACCATTTCTTCAAAACTAATAACTAGCTCATTCACTTTCATATAGGAATCTTTCTTTCCTTGAAGATATGTATGTTTTATCTTGCTGGTGAGATAAAAGTCTGTAAATTATCTCCACAGCTGGCTCTGATGCTTGATTATGCCCCTTTCTGCATCTATAACATTGATGTTTCATTTTAATTACTTTTCATCACAGTACATGATGTGGTCTTCAGACATAGACCAGCCTCTACGTGTGGCTCTTCGTTCTTTTTATACATCTTTCACTGTCAAACTAAGCTCTAAAAATCATCTCCCTAATATCTCTTCACTTGCCAAGAAAATGTACTAGCTTTGTATTATATGTAATACAGCATAAAGCTCTGCCTCATCTGGCCTCCTCCTTTCTAGTCTCATTGTAGAAATGATAATTTTTATTAATATTATCAGTGTTAATTAATTTCTCTCATTATTCTAGCATACATATCCTATATTTGAGTTTTTAAATATATCAATTCTTTAGTATAGTGGTTATAATCACACTATATATGTATAGAATGAGGTTTTATTCTCACTTTATTATGAAAGAGTATCAATAACTATTTTATATCATTATATGTAGTTTTGTCAGAGAACATCCTGAAAAATTAACTTCAATGTTTTAAAAAGCCATAGTTCTCAGTGTGATGGAGATGGTGAGGATTGGAGAATGTCATTAGGGAAGGCAGTTGTATCATTTATCAGAAATAACTGCAAGACTTTGTTGGGGGGAAAGTAATAAGGAGTATGAAAATCTGGAGGTTGAAGAGTGGGTAGGAAGAGGAAGTGACAGGTATATTTTGATAAAGCATTCGAGGGTTTCATACCTCTCTCTCTTAACCAGTAGTACAATGCAAGGGAAAGATCCCATGCTTTAAAGCTGTATTGAACCAAGTTCAAATTCAACTCTGATGCTGACTGGTTAACTTTGAGCAAATCACCTTTTATGAGCATCACTTAACTCATTTATAAGAGAAAAATAGAACAGTTCCAATCACCCAGATTTACTGTAAGGATTCAATGAGATAATACATTATTTAATTTGTCATTTTTAAACCGCAGCTTTTCCCAGGCAGCATTTAAGACAACCAACAAAGTTATATGTGCATAACTTATAGGGAGAATGTTGATGAAGGGCAAAGAGAAATAAGGTATGATGTTCCTACTCACATATGTATGTAATAGTTAAAAAATATATATATATATATTACCTTTACAAACGGCACCAGAATCCTCTTGGGGAAGGAAGAAAAATGTCTTTGCTAGAAGATATTTATATATATATATATATAAATATATATTTATATATATATATATAAATATATATTTATATATATATATAAATATATATTTATATATATAAATATATATATAAATATATATATTTTTATATATAAATATATATAAATATATATTTTTATATATATATATATATATATATTTTTTTTTGAGACAGAGTCTCCCTTTGTTGTCCAGGCTGGAGTGCAGTGGTGTGATGTCATCCCACTGCAACCTCTGCCTCCCAGTTTCAAGCGGTTCTCCTAGCTCAGCCTCCCGAGTTGCTGGGACTACGCATGCAAGCTGCCACACCCAGCTAATTTTTGTATTTTTAGTAAAGATGGGGTTTCACCATGTTGGCCTGGCTGGTCTCGAACTCCTGACCCCAGGTGATCCACCCATCTCAGCCTCCCAAAGTGCTAGGATTACAGGAGTGAGTCACTGCAGCTGGCCTAGAAGAGCTATTTTGAACGTGCCCTTGGGATAGGAAGAAAGTCCCTGAGGATCTGACTATAGGTAGGTGCTCAAGTGCTCTAAGGGTGAAAACTTCTCTGCATAACAGAAGAAGAATTTAGTGCTAAAGAGCCAATGAGAATGATGGAGATGAGGCAGAGAAATTAGGAGAGAGGACAGGATGAGGAAAATTCGCCCTGGGAAGGCTGAGAACTGCGGGTATACTCCATAAACAGATCCCTCCCCAGTACTGACAGTGGTTCGGTGGGTGAGGGGTATTGGGGAGGGTACAGGGAGTTGCTAGGGGTGGGAAGACCACTAATATATGTATGTCTTACTTGAAGCCTCAGGAGTACCTGAAGTAAGTGATTTTGATGGTGTTGGTGGCATGTGAATCAAAATGAGCTGTGTTGTGTTGGCAAAGCAGGTCAATGAGCCCAGCCTTTAGGAAATTATCAGAAATTTAGAGGTGAGTTTTGGGATTCTTACTGGTCATGAAATTAGGAAGTTCAAATCAATTTTGTTTAGATCTCAAGGGAGGCAGAGGGCCTTCCATCTTTCAAGAGTTAAGCAGACCATGAAGTCCAAGGGTATGCAAGATGGAATGTAAAGTTCTCACTAAGCTTCCTAGGATCCAGGGTAAATCAGGAAGCTTAAACACAAATCCCCGTGTCCATTGGATAAACAATTTGATGGATCAGGGAAGCACACCACTTATGATACTAAGATCAGAAAGAAATTTGTCCTAAGTTGTGCATAAAGATTAATGATATACATATATAAATCATGGTATCTGCTCAACTTAGTGTGTTTGATATATTTTAGTTCCTCTCCTGTCCCTTTTTTCCCCTATGGATTTCTGTGGAAGATTGTAGTATATTTGAAAGTTCTTTGAAAATTGTAAATACTATTGTTAGTTTATAATTAAAAGAAAGCGGCCGGGCGTGGTGGCTCACGCCTGTAATCCCAGCACTTTGGGAGGCCGAGGCGGGTGGATCACGAGGTCAGGAGATCGAGACCATCTTGGCTAATATGGTGAAGCCCCGTCTCTACTAAAAATACAAAAAATTAGCTGGGCGTGGTGGCGGGCGCCTGTAGTCCCAGCTACTCGGGATGCTGAGGCAGGAGAATGGCGTGAACCCGGGAGGCGGAGCTTGCAGTGAGCCCAGATAGCGCCACTGCAGTCCGGCCTGGGCGAAAGAGCAAGACTCCGTCTCAAAAACAAAAACAAAAACAAAAACAAAACAAAACAAAACAAAAAACCTGTGTACCAGATTTCATTAAAATCTGATTAAATACTATTAAAGAAAGTATAATAAAATAGATAGTATAAGAAAAGGATAATCCAAATAAAAAATATGTTTCTTATTAAAAAATGGTATGTCTTGCCAAATTTTGAAGTTAAAAGCACAGCATTCTCACTTCTTTAACCCAACTTATAGCCCATTATAGCACTAGATTTTAGAATCCTGAGTCCTATGCCATCTGTAATGGCAACAGTCTTACAGGGTGATACAACCTTTTGTAATTCTTAAGGAGACTTGAATTTTTGAGGCAAATGTTGAGTCTATACGTGGACATTTGTTGTGTAAGAGTGGAAGTGGAAGTCAAAATTCTGAACAAGGTTGCTCCCAATAAGATCTGTCAGCTCACAAGATTGCTTCCCTAGGCTTGAAATGTTTCAAGCACAAATTCAATTCATAAGGAAAATGAGAATCATGAAAATGATTATGAAATAGCAAGCAGTCTGGAAAGAGGATGTAGACGAATGCCAAAGCTTCTGGAATTTATGAAATATTTCCATTTATGGGGCCAGGTGAAATAAGTTGTTCTTTCAGAAATGTGTGACATGGCTATTATATATTATCCCCCTAAAACTATTTGATCATAAAACAAAACAACAAAAACAAAAACTGATAAACAGCAATGACAAAACAACTAAATAAAAAAGAAATGCAGTTCTTGAATACAGGATATAAAGGCTCAGTGCACTTTTTCATTTTCTTATTATTTCTTTTCCCTGGCTAGGTGAGTTGGCTGTTTTATATTGGCACTAAGAGTTTGATACCACTACTAGAATAGTCAAGTATTTGACCTGGCCATGAGTAAAAGATGTTTGATTGACAGATGAGTCTATCTGTGTCAAACAGCTTTACCTTGAGAAAAATCACAACTTTGAAAGCAGTAACACTTCAAAAGAATATTGAAGATTGTGGCCACTTTCCCCCACCTCTCCCCAAAATCTATCTTCATTCAAGTTCATTATAAGCAGCTCCTTTGGGTAATTTGGGTTGCGTGCTTTCTCCACCCCTTCTGTATCCTTGGCTTCTTCAGAGCGTCAATCAAGACAAGCAAAAGATTCAAGAAAAAAAGGGAAATGACCTTTCAGTACCTGAGTCTTCACACCAATTCATCATTGCTAAGTGCTCCAAAACTGCTGAGTACAGTATTTAGGAAGTGTCCAGTACATCAGCCTGGCATATATTGTTCTTAACTTGAGGTTACTAATGCCTATTGCAAATGTGCTTTACGTCAGCCAAATGATGTGTTTAAAAACCTCTATGTCTAGCATGAAGAAGAATCTCTTTCATTCTCATGTTACCTTAAAAGATTTTCATACCAATATACATCAGGGAGGAGCAAATTTTTGTTTCATATGTTACACATGTTATGGTGCACATGAAGACTGGAAACGGTAGTTATTTGTTGGGCATGTGTATGAATTAGTATGTAAAATACACAGCATTTTTTTCTCTTCTAAGTTACTAAATATTAGATATTTAATGTATTTCTTTTGCTTTGCTAATTTATTCAAATGTAATCCTGACTAATCCATTATTTTGTTAACATGTCTACTTGATTAATGTGTTTTTCCCCTCTTCTAATTCTGATCCACAAATTTTATAGCTATTCATTGTATTACTTAATCTAAGTCCACTAAAGATTATCCTTATTCATGTTTCTCCATTAAAGACAACGATAATATCATTGAGTTAGCTTAGTTCGGATAGAAATTTGGCTAGCATTCATTATTTGATTTTCTTGGAGTTTTGCAATTTTTTTTTTTTTGCATATTTGTCAACATTGTATACTCCTGAAAGCATTGTGTTTAAAATACCTATTTCTTGATCAGTAGAATTGATATAGCTGACTTACACGGATCAATAACATGATTTTAAGAGCATTTCAAGGAAATCTCTCATCTGCATTGTCTTTTTTTCTAACACAGTTTGCACTATTTACAAGTGAAAATTTTATATTACTTTACATATTTTCCTGTAAAAATTAGAAAACTGTATTCTTTGGCACCCGAATGTGTCCTTGAATTATTAATTTGTTAATTTTGTATGACATCCTTATTTATTAGAGAAGCAATAATATTTCTCATGGGAATGCATGTATTAATACTTTCAGAGGTCCAGAAAGTATCAGGAGATTAAATACTGAGATTAAAGAGTACTCTCTTCCCACTATTATGTTCAGTTCTGATTTTCCAGCTGTGTAGCTAGAACAAAGAAAGAATGTGGGTTTTTTTTAAAGAATAAGACAAGGCTAGAAGGTATGCCCTTGTGAGGGCGCCACTGACTGTGTCATCACAGGAGGGCCCTGATACATGAATATTCGGTCTCCAGGAAGCCAAGTATGATATTCACAACCACATAATAATGTGCTAACCTCATTCACGGTAATCACAGATAATGTAGTATTTGTGTCTGCCATACAGTTTTGAAGGTAAAATATGGAACCTATTTTGGAAATTTCACATAACATCTTAAGCTGTATTAATAGAACCAGAATAACCCAAAATAAAGAGGTAATGAATGCACTTGACCCTGCATCATTCAGACCTCAGCTGGAATATTGTGCTTCCTTTTGGGCTGCAGACAAACAGAAGAGGACTCAGGAGAGTGACAAGAGAGGAAGCAAGCTCATGCCTTGTCACATATAAAGTGGTTGAAAGACTGCAATTGTTAGAGAAAATGATGCAGTAATTGAAGGATGGGTACTGGGAAGAGGCTAGTTCTTTGAGGCTGCTAATCTGAAATATAACAAGTGGATGCACCTGCAGTAAAAGAGATTAAGCCCCAGAATGAGTCTGGATGTTCTAATGGTCAGAACAGGCATTTCATATGACATGGCCTGCATTGGTCCAGGTGGCGAAGTAAGGATGGACAAACATGCGTTGTTTGCAATGATAAAAAATCATAAGTAGATGATAACATTGATTTGCTGAAATTTTTCTCTTTTTTGTTTGGTGTAAAACTTTATATGTCGTACTTTTTGCCTTGTGGTTTTTTTGTATCTTAGGACAAAGGTATTCTTAATCCCTTTCTTTGTCTTCTTGAAAGATGCAACCATGCAGAAAATGCATACCTCCTGTAAATTGTTTCCTGTCTTTTAGTAAACCTTTGTTTAAATGAGTCATATGTTTAGCAATTTTAACATTTTAACTTGGCTCTAATTAATGATAATATAGCGTGATTTATGGTCTTCTAAAGAAATGTAGACATAGAAAATGGAGATAGAGGTTAACATGTGAAGAAGAGTTTGTATTTTGGGTTAGAAAATTAAATATTGGCTTATGTCAGTAAGATTAGGCCTTACTATTTGATTGTACGAGTTTACTTTAAATTTCTAGGCTTTCAGGGCTTTGTAAAGATAAATTTTATTTTAAAACAGCTTTAGATTTGCAGAAAAATGGCAAAGATAGTGCAGGGAGTTTCCATATACCCCTCACCCACTGCCTTTTATTAAAGTCTTATATGAGTATGATACTTTTGTTACAATGAATGAACCAGTATTGGTACATTATTATTATTTAAAGTCCCTATTCATTCATATATCCTTAGTTTTACCTAAGGTTCTTTTTTTCTATTCCAGGGCCCCACTCAGGATACCACATTGCATTTAGTTCTCGTGTTTCATTTATCTTTGCTATAGAATTTTCTCAGATTTTCCTTGTTTTTCATTACCTTGGCAGTTTTGAGGAGTACTGATTAGGTATTTTGTAGAATGTCTCTCAGTTGGAATTTTCTGATTGATTTTTCATGATTAGACTGTAGTTAGTGTTTTGGGGAGAGAGACCACAGAGGGTAATGTGCCATTTTTCCATCACACTGTCAACATGACTAAAGATGTTAACCTTGATCACCTGATCGAGGTGGATTTGGTCAGGTTTTTCCACTATAAATGTATTATTTTTCCTTATTTTTATTATTTTCATACCTACCCTTTGGAAGGAAGTCATGATAAACAACCCACACTTAAGAGGGTGTTATACTCCATCTCCTTGAAGGCAGAGAATCTACATAAAATATTTGCAATTCTTCTCCACAGAAGATTTGCTTATTCTCCCTCATTTAATTATTCAGCATTTATGTATATCAGTATGGACTCATGGATATTTATTTTATGCTTAGGTTATAATCCACTACTGTCATACTAATCGTGCTGTGAAATTGTTCCAGCTTTGGCCATTGGGTACTATTTCTTGTGTCCCTTTGATACATCCCCACAATTGTGGTGGTTTTGTTTTCTGTTTTTTGTTTGTTTTGTTTTGATGCACTTTCATCCTTTCTAGCATTACACAATACTTGAGGCTTATCAACAATATAACTCCTTCCTCATCATAGATTCAGCCATTTCTCCAAGGAGCACACGTTCCTTTCATTGGAAAATGGTATTAAAAACCAAGATTTGAGCAATAGGTGTGTTCATTGTTTTTGGGTTGTCATTTCCTTTTGGCCTTCTTGGCTGACAGAGCAAGGACATATATTTGTGTATACCAACCTGTGTATGTACACATATCTAACAATCAGGAAGCATAAATAGATAGATGATAGATAGATAAGCATTAGTTCATACTGATATTTTCAAATCTAACTCATTACCACATGGGTCATTCTAGCTTCTTCCTCTTGCTTATCTATAATCTTCCACTCCAACAGTGAAAAACTACCATCCATCATTTGCTTACTTAATTGTTCAATTCCAGTGGTGCTGTTCCATTTATCCTTACTGAAGTTGAAATACATAAATATAAGCTGAATTTTTCTCAAACCCTTAGAAAAATTATTTTTCCCCCAAAATGTTTTTTACCCTGCAAACTCTTAAGATTTTAAAATGTATTTGTGTCCCAAATGTTTTTCTGTACATAAAAATTGATATAGTCAACTTTATATTGTTTGCAGTTAACTTGGGACATGGATAATGGAAATTCTCAGATAATTCCACAATTTAAGTTTATCTCTTGCTTTCATTATTTCTAATCAGCATACTCTCCATATGACAACTATATCTATGATAAGAAAATTGACTTCTTTACCTATAAATCTCTGTACTTTCTTGACAGACACCAAAGAACTACATGTTGACTGTATCTTGCTGGTAACTTAAGGAGAATAGTAACTTGTAGTTTCCACCTTTAGCAACTGGACATTGGCCATACTCTGATTTACCAAGAGAGTCCTTGTAATCACAAAGGAAAGCAGCGATTTGGCTTCAGATATTAAAGCAACTTTTTTTGACGTGGCTAGATGGTTAGGAACACACTGAAGAATAGATTTTCAGTAATGAGCCATACTTTCAATGAACGTCCCAAGGAAAACAATTTTAAGATCTTGCATAAAATAGTTCATATGCCTCAAATTTGCATTTAATTCTTACATTAGGTTGAAAGCTCATGTAGAAAACATGTAATGTAAAAATTGGAGAGCCCAAGAACACAGTCATTTCCCCTTGGGTGCTAACAAAAATATACTACCCAACAGTGCCTTTGTTTGCAGTCTAATATTTTAGAAGGAAAAAAAGACCCCACAAGCAAACATGTTTTTTTTTTCTTAGTCCAGAAAGAAGAAATACAGTGTGAACATAATACTTAGGGTAGACAAAATGGCCAAAATAGATTAAGTTGGCATCCTTTTTAGCTGCAGCTTCCTTAACCTTGTACCACACCCTGACATCATCTTCCTACATGGCCACACCTCATCCCCCCATAGCCAAACATTATTTGCATTCATCACTCATTCGTAGATGCCAAATCAGACATGGTTCTTGCCCCTATGGAGTTTATGATTAACTGGGGAAGACATGCATTAATCAAATTCTCTTTCTCTCTCTCTCTCATTCTCTCACACACACACACACACACACACACACACACACACACACACACACACACATGAAACTGTGACTGGATCAGATGCTACGGGAGAAAGACACACAGGGTTCAAAAATCTGTGAAGGGTTTTTTTATCTGTTCAGGGAAAATCAGGAATGTCTTCTCTGAGGATGAGTAGTTCAGGCTGTGATTTGCAGGATCAGTAAGAATTAACCAGGAAAAGAAGGCAAGAGAGAGAACCTTATGTGGTGAATGAACAAATGTTTAATATAAAGGCAGCAGAAGAGCCAGGGTGGAGGCAGGCACAGAGGTGGGAGATAAGGCTCTGGTGGCCATGCTAAAGATCCTTACTTCACCCTGACAGTGATGGATCATCACAACATTTCCAAGATCAAGAATGCACTTCCCATCTGTGTTTCCTCTAAAGTCAAAATATGGCCCATCTTTCAAAAGGAAAATTCAAATGTTACCCATTCAGTCTTCTAACACTTTCATTTCCTAATCTAATTAGAAAAGATCATTCTGGCTAAGAGGTGGTATAGTAGTTTAACCCACCCACTCATATGCATGTGTTTGTATTTATATATAAAATTTTATTTTCACATTTCTTTTTCCTAGTGGCATTAGCAAAAGCACTCCCAGTTTCATTGAGTCTCTTTTAAGTTTTGCTTCCCCTCTCCTCCTCTCTTCACTATGCTCTGCTGTCTTGGTGTCTCCCCACTACTCATGTACTCTCCCTCCATTTCTCAATTCTCATATGAGGGGAGGTGCCCCAGAGGGTGACGAAGGACAGTGTGGCAGAGGACAGGAGGAAGAAAACATAGGCACAGCTGCACTTCAGCATTCTGAAGCTGTAATCATCCTGAGCATCTGTCCAGGGACTTCCTTGCCCAGTTGCTTTGCCATCTGTACTTGAAGCCAAGGAGCATCAGGTGCTTTGCCTTTCCTCACCAGGCTTACGCCATAGCCTTTTCACCCCACTACCCACACCTCCCAGTGATGCTGCAACTATTTCTCCTCTGGGCTCCATGCAGTAACTTTCTGGGTTTTTTTGGTTGTTGTTTTAGAGCATTTTTGTAGACAGGGTTTTACTCAGTCATCCAGACTGGAGTACAGTGGTGCAGTTATGGCTCACTGTAGCCTTAACCTCCTGAGCTCAAGGCATCCTCCCACTTCAGCCTCTCAAGTAGGTGGGACTACAGGTGCAAACCAACATGCCTGGCTCATTTTTTATTTTTTTGTAAATATAGGGTTTTTCCATGTTGCCCAAGTTGGTTTTGATCTCCCGGGCTCAAGCGATCCTCCTGGTTCAGCCTCCCAAAATGTTGGGATTATAGGCATTATCCACTGTGCCTGGCCCAGTAACTTTCTAAATAGTGTACAGGCCTCCAGTCTCACCACCTGTCCCATTCTCCTTCTCTTTCCTTCTGCAGAGACCTAAGAGCCAAGCGGAGCCCATCTCCTTCCTACACATTCTTCCAGCCTCTTTAGGACCTGATTTCACAACCTCATGTGCCACACCCCAGCTGCACCCTCCTGGTGGAAAGTGTTTTGCAGCTTCTTAAAGATATCATTCTGCTTCATTCATCAACCTTTGTCCATGGTGTTCCTTCTGACTAGAATGTGTCCCCCAACCCCTTTGCCTGGTGAGACCCTCCTCTTCCTTTGAGACCCATCAGAAGGCTTGTCTCTTCTTGGAAGCTTCTCACCCCACTCCAGTGCTGCATCCCTAGTTTCTGTGCATCCCCTGCAACCTGTGCATCACTTTTTCAAACATCGCTCCTCAAGTAGCATTGTGCATGCTGTTTTCTTGCCTTTCTCACTCACACAAATGGGAGTTTCCTGGGGGCCCTTTGTCATCACCACCTGCCTGACTGGATACACTAACACTCAGCCTACCTGCCACCTACTTGGAACCTTACAGGTGTTTCTTTGATTAATTAATTAATTCATGTTTTCTCCTCTTCTGGTCAGTTCTTCCACTTTACCTGTGCTTGTTTGGATATGCAGAGCTCTAGCTGGCGAGAGTGTCCTTCTGGCTAGATTGTCTCACCAAAAAGAGAATGGGTTTTCCCCATCCGGGTGTCTCTTAATTTTTTCTTCCACTCGTGTTTGGACAAAATTATTTATTGACTGGAAGGACCACATGGCAACTCTTCATGGCTTTGAGGCCCCTTAATGAGTGTCCAAGGGAGATTCTCTCTCACTTCCAAGTTCATGGCAGACATTTACCTACCCAGTCAGCTTGAACTGAGCTCATAGAAGTTTTATTTCTGGCTTTTGCGGATCATTTTTTATGCTGTTCCTCTCACCTGAAGCTCCCTTTCTATCTCTCCCTAGTTGGATAATAGTACACATATTAAATGTGTACCTTGTACCAAGTATGCTGAGACCTGC
This sequence comes from Homo sapiens, assembly GCF_000001405.40. Classification (NCBI taxonomy): domain Eukaryota; kingdom Metazoa; phylum Chordata; class Mammalia; order Primates; family Hominidae; genus Homo; species Homo sapiens. Next base: position 59,564,198 of record NC_000005.10, on the reverse strand, counting down.
TTATAACTAATTTTGCTTGATCTTCATGAATAGTGTTTTGAAATAGCATTTTTCTATCCCTGCAGATAGGAAAACTAGAAAACAAAGAATAAGTAACTTCCCCAAGCTCACATGACTTGTAAGTGGCAGAGCTGGGATTTGAACCCAAGCCCCTCTGAAGCTAAAGCCTGTAGAGTACATGCTCCCTTCCTCCACATCACACTGCCCCTGCTTGTTCACACTCAATGTGAGAATCCACTTCTCAAGTTTGTCTTGCTTATTCCAACCTGTTTTGCAATGAATCTCTTTCAACAGCTCTATAGTTCCTGGCACTCACTTGGCATCCATCATTTTCTATGTTGTCATGTTTGGTATCTTTTCATGTATGTAATGTGCATCTCTTCTTAGGAGTAAGACCAGAACTTTTCTGCTCTGCAGTTTTCTCCCTGTGAGGGATGGTGAAACTTGGTGGCTAAGAGCATGGTTTATACAGACAGACTTCTTAGGTTTATATTCTGGCTCTCCTCTGTACTTGCTGTATCAGCTAGGGCTGATGTCTTCACTTTTTTATGATTCCATTTCTACCTCTGTACAATAAGGCAAATATGAATACTTACCTCAGAGTGTTGTTGTGAAGATGGAATGAATTAATGGCCATAAAGCACTTACAGCTGTGTCTGGTACATAGTGACCACTCACTAATGGTCACTTATAATTCCTTCACAACCTGTAAGGGTCCTTTCCACCCAGGTGATGTCCCTATGTCTCAACTGAATGACTGGTTAGGGATATCTTTCCATGGGCTACTGTGGCTGCAGATAATTGCATTCTTATTTGAGAGTTATGTTAACTAGTGTGGGCTTTTATTTGCTTCTCTCTTTCTATCAATGAGTCCTGCTGCTTCAACCCTGGGTTAACTGAAATTTGAAACCTTTTTCTACTCAAATTCCTTTGATGCTGAAATTCCTCTGCGGTCACAGCTAAGCACTTTGTGTGGTAACCTTCTCTTCTGTCCTCAGGCCTGCTGAGATCATCTGCTCAGCAGCATGTCTGACACCTGTTGCCACCTCACCCAGCCACTTCCTTGGTGACCTGGCAATGCCCAGAGGGGCCCTGCCAGCTTGGAGCCCTGTGGCAATGCTGTTTGATTCAGCAAACTGATAGCCTTCTGACATCCTTTCTTCATTTTAGCAGCCAAATCACATGCACCTTAATATTTATCAATAGCTAAGCAACACCGGAAGGAAGTGAGACAGAGCCTCTGGGCTAGTCACTATCTCTGATTTTACAGAATGGTTAAGCCAGGTGTAAAATATCTCACAATAACATGCCCTGTTGTCCTGAGGATTCAATTCCACCGAGATATAATTACCATATGAGGAAGTGAGAAATAGGGTTTCTTTCTAATACACAGAAAATAGAAAATAAGATGCTTTTCTTGGCCACTGTTATCAGTTTCCTGTTAAGGTTCTGCTTTGTTTAAAACAGTCCTGTTTTGCTTAAAAACAAACTCTAAGGAATTTTTCTAAAACATGACTCAACCTAACTAGGTATATATACTGTACTTTAAAGTGAACATATTTGAAATAATTGTGAGTGACAAAGAGACGGAAAAACATAGATTTTGAAACTAGCATTATTCTAATGATTTTTATCCCAGTGGTTTATTTGGAAATGAATTTCCATTCACAACATCTTCATTTGTCTTCTAATTTTCATGCAATTTGAAAGGGTTAGTTTCCTTACCCACAGGATCATCCTGGTCAAATCTCAAAAGATTGGCTAGGGCATTCTGATTTTACAGGCAAATTTATATTTTGCCGTTTCAGGAAATAATTCCTTCATGGTTATCTTTTATAAAGAGCTTATTTGTATAATATATACACATAGTATATATCAAATAAAAGATCTGGTGTTATAAACATAAGAATAAGCAATTTCCCTTTTGTGATAGGAATATGAAATTCCTTCTGGTAGAGGACGTTTAAGAGCATGTCCAAAGAATGGCTAATCAATGAATTCTCTCATTTTGTAAGGAGACACTTAGATGCATTTCTGAAAAAAACAAAACAAAACAAAACAAAACAAAAAACACTTTGGGCTTTCTCTGTATTCTTCAAGCATTTCTAAACATTTATTGACATATGCAGTAGAGAAAAACTGGTATCAGGAGGAAGGCAGTAAGTAGCCAGCAGTCACAAGGTACAAAGAATAAAATGCATGCAAACATGTACAGTATTCACTTTCAGGAGTTAATCTACATTTTATTTAATTTTTTTTTTTTTTTTTGACAGCGTTTCACTCTTGTTGCCCAGGCTGGAGTGCAGTGGTGCGATCTCAGCTCACTGCAACATCTGCCTCCCGGGTTCAAGCAATTCTCCGGCCTCAGCCTCCCAAATAGCTGGGATTACAGGCATATGCCACCATGCCTGGCTAATTTTTTTGAATTTTTAGTAGAGACGGGTTTTTGCCATGTTGGTCAGGCTGGTCTCAAACTCCTGACCACAGGTGATCTGCCTGCCTCGGCTGCCCAAAGTGCTGGAATTACAGGCGTGAGCCACCATGCCTGGTCCCTTTTAAAATATTTTAACACTGAGACCATATTACTGATGTACTACTTCTTTCTAAAAGTAATTAGAATAAATGTACACCCTCTTCTTTAAACTTTGCATTTTTCAAATTTCCAAAAACAAAAACTAATTATAAGTAAATCCATAAGCAAAACGCTGTTAATTACCACTTCCAAAATCTGGAAGCGGTGACTTGCTTTACTAAGACAAGAAACTTTAGACAGGTGAATACTTTTAACAAGGAACACACTTAACTTTGTCTAATTGAGCAAATTACAAATCAGAGCTAGTAGCTTGTTAATTATAAGAATATCTCCATTACTTGAATACGTGTACTAGTCATGGTAGGCAAAATAATACTCCAATAACGGACGACCCCACTGTGGATCTGAGAACCCCGCAGGCCAGCAGTCTCCATGTGATTGCCAAAAGCAATGCCGCCATATAAACCACAGGTGTCTACCTTCACCATGACAGAAGAAAGGGTTAGAGATTCCAGAAGTCACAATTAAATGCTTCCACCCCGAAAAGTGGATCATATTTCATTTTCCAAAGCAATGCAACTTTGTTAACCTCAAAGAGGCAGGGAAGTACAATTTTCCTGTGGGGTTGGAAGAAGAAAACTGGAAATTGGTGAACAGTTTTGAAATGTCTGCCATAACTTTTAAGTGAGGAACTTAGTGTTCTCTTACTCTGTCATGTTTTTAAATATCTTTTTGATTGAAATCTTTCAAGGCTTTCCAGATCCCTGAAGATAAAATACAAACTCTCCAACAAGACCTTTTGGCCATCAGGAACGCAGCACCTGGCTCTCTCACTAGTATCCTCTCTCTGTTTGCCATGTCCCATTAAGACTGTCTCCAGAAACAATGAATTTATTGTTGCCTGTTTCCTGCTAGCTTTTCCCCGTATTTACACAGTTTGCTTTATCTGCTGGGATTACCCTTCCCTGACTATGCTCAATCTCTATCTCCCTTGGCAATTCTCCTCCAGGCCCCAGACCTGAGAACTGGACCAGTGCTCTGCTCTCTCCTCTGAGCTTCACCACATCCTGTGAAAACTTGAACCTAATTCTTACTAGGTTTTAATCAACTGTTTACCTGTCTTTTCTCCCCACTAAAGATGAAAAGTCGCAGAGATAGCGGAGAACAAGAACCAGATCTCACAGTCATGGTGCCAAAAGAGTATCTAACCCTGAATTGGAGTTCAATACATACTTGTTGAATGAATGAGTGAGTGAATGAATGAATGGGTTTTTTTTGTGCTTTCATCTACCTGATTGGTAGCATATTCAGGACAGTATGTTTTTCTCACCTTTTTACATGCTATAAGACATAAAACAGATAATGCGTGTAGTGGGTTCATAATAAAGGTTTAAATAAACTTTACCTACAGTTTTATCACTAGGAATATATTTCTGATATCTATTACCTTTGAACTTTTTATGCCAGATTATGTTTAAAAACATGGTGTCACTCGTAAGCCACATCTGGGACTGATTTTCATGGATTGATTAAACTTTACATTTCTTCGGAGTATTCACTGCCAAGCCCTCTGGTGCCATGTCCTAAACCAAATATTTCAGAAACATTGCAAAACAAGGCTGCCCTTGTGCTTTGGAAACGCTTTCAAATGACATGCCATTCCTTTCAACTTGAATCTATTAAAGACTTGAAATTGTAGCAATCCATTGGACTATATGTCAAGAAACTGGTATTTTTAAAGGGTGGCATGTTTCTTCATTTATATGTAAATTATTTCCATGTGCTTTGGAGAGAAAAATGGAAATTTTGTGAACGTACTTAGCCCTTAAAGAATGTGATTGATCCTTGATGATGTCGTTCCAGACAACAACAAATACACAAGAACTCTTTTTGAGTGCTGTAAGAAGCTTCTCAAAATTTCCAGTATAATCCTAGGAAAACATTTTTTTTTAATCTTTTCTAATCAGGAAGTCTTTAAAGTGTATTTTATCAAAATGTTCAGTATTGTGGAAACATACTCATGAGCTATTAGCTATAGCTGACTTTTGAGGTTATAGGTGAAAAGTTTTCACATCAGGAAGTTTCATGTAGAACAACCAGCGTCATTCACGCTCATATCTGTGGCTTATATCCAAGAGGGCCACTGGAGGCTTAGGGGCTTTGAAGTTAACAGCATGAAACTTCTCCAAAACAAACATTTAATTTTTTTCTGTTCGTTTCCTTAAACAAAGTCCATGTAATAAATGAAATAATTTTGAAGAACATTGTAATGAATCCCACATACCAGTGGGTCCCAAATTACTGGAAATCATAACATGGCTCATGTGAAGAAAGAATTATACTATTTTCAAGCTGTTGTATGTTAAACTATTATAGTAAGTAGCATAATTGGCATATATTTTAGGCCGTATTTTCAATAAATCAATATTTTTGCTCAAAAGGCAAAATTTAATAATTTAATAATCTCATAAGGTGAAGGATGGACAGGTACCATGTTAGGAATTTGACATGTGTTGTTGCTAATAGACTCATTTAATAAATGAAGTAAATGATATTAAGCAGTTTCCTCATGACCACAGAGCACAGAGCCATAATTTGATTTAAATATGAGTATTTCTGGCTCATGCTCTTTCTCTTTCTACCTATTGCCATTAGTGAAGGCTGCATTTAGTTTTTTTTTCAAGAAGTGTCTAGCTTACAATTTTGAGCTTCACTACCCCCAACCTCATACACACCTCATGTGGCTTAGAGCTATATAAAATCCATGTTTTTTAAATACTTCTAAAATTGGACATTCATATTATGTGTATGATGTTTTACATATAGTATGAGTGCAGTGAAAGTTAGTTTCCTTAAGTTTTCCTGAATTCAGCTGTTACCCTAGCATGACTGCTTCAGCGAAGAGATAAGAGCTTCTTTGACTTTTTCCACTGGAATTTTTCATGCCAGAAGAAATTGAACATGTGAGCCTGGTGTCTGGAAGAGTAGCCTGGATTTATGGTATCAGATGCACATTTTTAACACCTTCAGTTTTCTCTTTAAAATATCTCTTCAATCCCTTACTTTTCTCTATTTGTTTCAACATTAAAATATGTTATTTTTCTTCAAATTGTTGGCATTGACACCTCTTCTACAATTCCCAGTCATCTGCATGCTACTGCTTCAGAGGAATAGTCTTATATATAGAAAATACTTTTTTTTTCTCAGCACATTTATATCTAAACAAGAGAATGATATGCTTTTACCCAGTTATCTGCGTGGCTCACTTCCTTCAAGGCTTCACCCCAAAGCTACTTCAATGTAACATTTTCTATCCATTAGATTGAGAACTGCAGTTTTAATCCCTAACCCCACTCCCAGACTCCCCTGCTAAAGTTTTCTCTATTGTCCTTGTCATTTTCTGATATACCTTCTAATTTACCTATTTATTTTGTTTAATATTCATATCCCTTCGACTGGAATGTGAACTCCAACAAAAGTTCATATTTATTGTCTTGTTGTATCTCCATAGCTACAGTAGCACTTAATATATAGTAGATGCTCAGGAAAGATTTATAGGAAGAAAAAATGAAAGCATGGTTTGCAATAAATCTAAATCTATAAACATTCCTTTTTTAGTAGTATTGTTAAACCTTACGGTTCCTGTACAACCAGGTGTATGCCCTCTAGAGCCACCAATAATATTCCAATATTAAATATACATAATTTTATAAACAGGTGTGATTTTAATGTCTCTAGACCTTTCCAACCAGAAAAGCTGAATCCAGGTACTGCTGGTCTTTTTCCTTCCATAGGTTCTCATTTTCCCTGATGCAGTTATTGCCTTTTCTGTTTATACTTTCTTCCCTTTAGGTGACTTCACTTACAAATATAGGAATGCTGATTCATGTTTAGCATTGTGTGGTTTCAGTATTTATTTTCTGTATTTCCACATTGCTATTTTAGCTCATTCTTTAATTAAATAAAATGCCTTATTCTCTCACAGTATCAGCAACTAAAAGAAGGATACATCACCTACAGTTGTTAGTGTGAACTGCTTATATTAACTCATAGGATATATATTGGTAGACATAAACCTACTGACTAAATTATTTCTGAAGTATACTCTACAAACCATCATTGTATTTTTACATTTGACAAAGTGGAAAAAAAAAAACCTGGCCACAATCTTTAACCCTGCCCAGTGTCTCTGGCTTTTAGGCACACAGCCAGTCGGCAATGGCGGCAGGGGTGGCATATAAAGATTCTAGATCTCAAAATGCCAACCTGGCCAGAAAATAAAACTCACTATGTGATACCATTGGAACAAGCTTCTATACCAATGTAGGGGGTGATGGAGGATAATATACATTGCAAATTTATGTAAAACCAGACCATGTGGTATTTCCAATAGTTGTTACAACATTGCTTAAAATGATATAAATGGCCTTATGGATAAAAGTAGAAGTTTAATTTTAGAATAGTTCCTATTTTAAGACTAGATTTAGCAAAAATCCTTATGGCATATGTTTACTCTTGGGGAACCTTGAGAGATAGTGAACAAGAAACGTTAGATCATAGACTTCTTGGCTGCAAAAAGTTTATTTATTTCATCATTTTACTCGTATTCCTTTTATTATTTGAAAAGCTTTGTATAAAGGATTTTTAGAGATGGCATTTCATTAAGGTTATATTTATTAGAAAACAAACTTGAATAATTTAAAATTACAAAAGGTAAGTCATTTTATGTATTTGCCTACTTGTTTTTGTTTTCTCCCTGCCACCCTCCCTTTCTTCCTTTGTCCTTCCCTTCCTCCCTTCCATCCTTCCATCCTTTCTTTATTCATGCCCTGCCTATTTAGAAAAGGATTTGCAGTAAGTTACAAAAAGTACAAAGTCAATAATTTTTTTTTAATTCAGAATGTTAAAAAGAGAAAATTGGGTGAAGAGAAAGTGAATATTTCAATAATAAGAGTCATAGTGCTTCCTCTGAAGGAGCCCAGAAACCCATCTCATAGTTACGTGGTGGCCAAACTTAGCAGGAAAACAAAAGAAATGCTAGACGAGAAGAACACAACATCCATTTCTCAGGAAAGACTAAGTTTTCCTCGTACAGAACCCTGAAATGTATTCTCCCCTGGGATACTGTTTGGATAAACAGTGAGTGCTGTAATAGTCAATGTCTTTACCCACTGCTTCACAGCAAAGCAGAATTCCCAAGGTAAGAATGTGACCATGTAACCTCATTGCCTCACCATTGTTCTCTCCACTCTAATATTTCAGTACTAAATGTGTGTGTCTCTTAGGGTTGCTGTGCTGAATAAGTGAGAGTCACCTGGCACAGCAGACATCTAGTGTGTGCTAAAGAAATGTACAGAGAATGAGAGAGAATTTGAATAAAAAATGTAAATAGAATATTATACAGAAGTTAGGAATTAATTCACAAGTGTGTAAGAGATACTCTGTCTCAGATGTGCAGGCCACTAGTAGTGCAGTGTGACACTCACTGCCTCTCAAGAGAACTTAGTAGTCAGAAAAGTGAAGAAATGACATAGCTTTTTTACACTATATTATGTAGAAAGCTTATTTTTTAATGTTAACCAAGAGCAAGGTCCATAAACTCTAATACCTTCCAGAAAGCACAAAAGACATTGAGATACATTTAGAGAAATAGAGGAAACTGAGCTAGATATTCACGTGAAATAGGATCATTCCACATCTTCCAGCAAATAAATTGAGGTGACCAAGGTCCCAGGGAGCACAGATGGTCATATTCTAATGAAGCTCTGGCTCAAAAACACACAAGCTGAAAACAAGGCGAGGATGCTTCATAACAATGTCCTTTTGTAGGAGAAGTGAGGATTAGTGATGAGGGTAGGAGTGGAGCAAGAGACAGGGATTAATTTGCATAGCCACCTTGGAATCCCAAACTGTCAATGGTGTCAGTGATGCTGTTTGCTTGAGTCCCTAAAGGGTTGAATGAAAGAAGTTAACTAGATACAGAGTTCACAGAAGGTCAATAATCTTAGCTTTCCAACAAGTTGGAGATCGGGGTAAGGAGAAGGGCAGACCTTAAGAAAAGAGTTATACTTATTGCCAGGAAACAGTGCTTCCTTTTGCTGTTTTTCCACAAACAGATTTACCTTTGCCCTATGCATTTCATCTTATTTTAAAAAACAAAACTTTTATTTTAGGTTCAGGGGTACATATGGAGATTTTTTTTAATATAGGTAAGCTCCTGTCATGGGGGTTTGTTGTACAGATTATTTCATCACCCAGGAACTAAGCCTACTACCCAATAGTTATTTTCTCTGGTTGTCTCCCTCATACCACCCTCCACCCTCTGGTAGGCCCCAGTATGCTGATCCTCTTTGTGTCCATGTATTTTCATTATTTAGCTCCCACTTACAAGTGAGAGCATACAGTATTTGGTTTTGTGTTCCTGCGTTAGTTTGCTAAGGATAATGCCTCTAGCTCCATCCACGTTTTGCAGAGGACATGATTGCATTTTTGTATGACTGTATAGCATTCCATTATGTACCTGTACCACATTTTCTTTATCCAATCTGCCATTGATGGGCATTTAGGTTGATTCCATGTCTTTGCTATGGTGAATAGTGCTACAACGAACATATGTGTGCATGTGCCTTTATGGTAGAATTATTTATATTCCTTTGGGTATATACCCAGGAATGGGACTGCTGAGTTGAATGGTAGTTCTGTTTTTAGCCTTTTCAGATGTCACCAAGCTGCTTTCCACAATATTTAGTCTTCTTACACCCCCAACCCCCTTGGAAGTTTAGAATGGAAGCACATTTCTTCAGATGATTATTAACTCTTTGCTTTTTCTGTTTTTACTGCATCATTTAAATTATGGTGTGGAACATCGAAAAGGGCCCTAAAGCCTCTATTGTCAAGTATGACTGACCTCTCTTGGTAAAGCGAGACCTAGTTCTGACTGAGATTCCTCCAGTCGTTTCATGGTTAACTTTCCATTCAGTTTCAGTTGTATTTCATTGTGTTTCCTGCCCAGTGGAGATTCAGCATAGATGACACCTAAGGAAAAATGCTAGTCATAGTGTGAGAAATCATAGCCTTCTCTTTCAAATGCTTTTATTCATATTCCTTTGGACTTGATTTTAGATATTGCTCGCCAAATTTAGCCATCTTTCTTGGTAGACATTTCTGAAAGTTTAGTGATTAAAAGCTTAGAGTCTAGAGTTAAATGGAGTCTAGAGTTAAATAGTCTGGGTGTGGACTCTGGCCTGGTCACTTGCCATCTGTGGGCAGGCCACTTCTTTAAGCCTCAATTTTCTCCCCTAAAAAATGGAGGGGGATGGGGGCCATCATGATACTTACTTTATAAAGTGGTTGTGAAGATTCAAGGAGAAGTTGATACATATAAAGTTCTTAGAACAGTGCCTGGCAGGCTGTAAACAACTATAAAAAGTTAATCATTATTTTCAGAAAAAAAGTTGAGTCAAACCTGAAACAGTGGTACAATGTCAAGAGCAGGAACTTTGCCTTATTAATTGTGTCTTCCTAACTCTATGGACTTAGGATCTGAGACTCTAGTTCCTACAAACTCATCCATCCTGGGGCCTGGCATATGGGAGCTATAAACCACATCAGCCCTCCTTTGCTCTTTTTCCTTAGGGCTGCCCTGAGGAAGAAAGCTAATGTGTATAACATCTAGCATTATGCCAGGTATGTGGCCAGAGCTCAAAAAACTATAGCTATTATTGTATTATATACTTTGCTCTATTTTTTATACTCCTGGTTAATGACGGAGAGCTCTGTGAGGGGCTGCTAGAGGGAAGGTTCAATTATTTTAGAAGCTTTAGTTCTTCCACATTTCACTTTGTAATGTTTGCCTTGCCTTGTATTTATTAAACAATAGTTTACTATACTCGTTCCTAAAATATTAAGTATAGCTTATTATGCCCTGTTAATCTTTCTCAGTGGCATACAATAATTTAAATATCTGCTTGAAAAATCTCACCAAGCATTCATTTTAATGTGGCTTAGAATGTTATATAATATGAAAAAGTACGTGTTCTTTCAGAAATTAGTTCCAAAGAACTCCCTATATCTAGAGACAGGCTGTGAGAATGGAGAAAGTTGAGGAGTGTCTCTGTTAGGAATCTTACTACTGCTTTTAAATTTCATGGAACACCTATTAAATTGCTTCGCAGCTAGGTTATGAGGAAGGGGAGCCCTGCTCACTCTTTTAAAGTTAAAAGTGAAAAGTTACTTGCGGGTGATTAGGGAAAACCATCTCAGAGGAGTGGACTGTTGGCATGGAGACCCCACATATAACTCTTGGGGGATGGCAAAAACTTGAGAGAGGATGCTTTATTTCTCACCTCCTAAAATGCCTTTCCCAGCTTTCTGTGGTGAGAGAGAATGAGACAGCAGTCATACCTAACAGTTGGTGAAACAGTTCTATGGGAGTGAGGGAAAGTGAGGGGCCTAGGATGAGTCAGAAACATGTACATACGGAAAGGGAGAGAGACAATCCTGATTAAATTGTGCCTTCTTGCAAAAATATATATATTTCCACATTTGATACAAAGTGAAGTATATAACCTTGACAAAGCGATATCTGTCAGAAAAAAAATTAGAAAAATTGCTTTAAATAAACAGTCCTTCAAAAGATGTCAGGCACAGAGACTTTCTGAGAAAATGTTTCCAAACTTTTAAGGAACAAATAGTATGTTATATAAATTTTCTAGAGTTTGTGAAAAGAAAATCAACTTTTCAATTCATTCTATCAAGTAGACCTATTTGCAATAAGAAGGAAGTCCCTCAACCAATCTTACTTTTCGGTAGATAAAATCTTAAATACAACTTGGTAAATTGAATCTTGCATTTTGTTAAAAGATTCATGCTCATGTCAAATAAGGCCGAGTCTGTAAATGTACATATAGTTAATTTTGATCAAATCTGGTCACAGAATCCATCATATTAATATGGTGAAAGAAAAAGCAATAGACTTGTATTGACAGGTGCCACAGTGGCATTTGACTAAAACTTAATATCCATTTGTTGTTAGTTTTTTTTAAAAGGATGCAGTGAAATAGCAACAGAAGAATATAGTGTTTATTTCAATGGTGAAACCAATTTTTAAGTGTGAGTCGTTTCTATTAAAGTCAGCTTAGTTATAAGCAATAAGACGTAACATAATATTTGTATGTAATATTTGTTTGGGAAGTTGTATAGTTATTGTCAAGTTATTGTTCTAGTACAACAACTTGAAACATAAAATATAAAATGAAAACTGACTTTATAGCTATGTGGGTATTTACCTGGAAGAGCCAAAGGAATTAGTTGAAATGTTATTAGAAATGATTCAGTAATTCAGATAGGTAGCCAAATACAAAATTACATATAAGAAAGCTATTAGCTTTTTTATAGAAAGTAATAATCAGTTAGATATTATAATGAAAAAAATAAAATACCTCTTTATTTACTTACTTTCTTACTGTTGTCCAGGCTGGAGTACAATGGCACAATCTCAGCTCACTGCAACCTTCACCTCCTAGGCTCAAGCAATTCTTCTGCTTCAGCCTCTTGAGTAGCTAGGTCTACAGACATCCACCACCACCCCTGGACAGTTTTTCAAAAATTTTTTGTAGAGATGGGGTCTTGCTGTGTTCCCTAGGCTGGTCTCAAACTCCTGGGCTCAAGCAATCCGCCTGTGTTGACCTCTCAAGGTGCTGGGATTATAGGTGTGAACCACTGTGCCCGGCCAATTCTTTTTAAATAGCACAAGATTCTAGTCACAAAAACATACTACACCTATATTTATGAGTGAAAATAATAAGAAATTAGAAGGGTTTTTTTGGTATTGTTGTGAAGAAAACAAAAATGTCTTAACTAATGCTAAACAATCCACAATATTCATTCCACTATAGGCAATTCCAATCACATTTTATTTTTGATTTTAATAAAGTATTTCAAAAATCAAGCTAACATGGGAAAATCAAGAAAAAGTTGAAATAAAGCACAGTGGGTAAAGGTTGGAAGGATGTAGAACACACCATTCCAGAGATTATATCATAAAAATTACAGTAACATATATCATGTAATATATAATATTGTAAGAATTAGGACGGTGGCTCAAATGAAGAATTAGATAAAGTTGATTTGGATAGACTATAGATTTCAAATAAGACTCATTTATGTATTTGTGTGTGTGTGTGTGTGTGTGTGACTGAAGTAGCATTTTATTCAATGAGAAAAGGGATGATTATTCAATAAATGGTGTTGAAAGCAACAGCTATCGTTTGGGAAAATAATATAAAGTTAGATTCTTTCTTTAAACCTTATATAAAAATATACATTGGATATATATTTTATTAAATATTTATTTAAATAAAGATTTCATTAATATATAATATATAATTTTATTAATGTAACAACTAAAAAGTAGTTTAGTTAAAATTACTAAAATAAAATAAAAATGAGTATTTAAATTTCAACATAGGGAGGATATTTCTAAGCATATCACTAGAGCGAGAAAGCATGAAGAAAATGTCTGATAGATGTGTATACATTAAGGAATCAAATTTTTCTACACATCAAAAACACCATAAAGAAAACGTAAAGGCAAATGAAAAGGGTGGGATTCTATTTCCAGTGTTACTAAAGAGACATTGACTTTAATGTCTTAAAAATCCTTAGAAATCGTCCAGGTGGGGTGGCTCACGCCTATAATCCCAGCACTTTGGGAGGCTGGGGCAGGTGGATCACGAGGTCAGGAGTTTGAGACCAGCCTGACCAACATGGTGAAACCCCGTCTCTACTAAAAAATACAAAAATTAGCCAGGTGTGGTGGCACGTGCCTGTAATCCCAGCTACTTAGGAGGCTGAGATAGGAGAATCTCTTGAACCTGGTAGGCGGAGGTTGCAGTAAGCTGAGTCATGCCACTGCACTTCAGCCTGGGCGACAGAGTGAGACTCTGTCTCAAAAAAAAAAAAATTCTTAGAAATTAATAAGGAAAAAAATGACCTTTCTTCCAGGAAAATGAACACAATCCATAAGAAACACAATTGGTGAGTTACATGAATAAAACCCCAACTTTAAAGAAATACAAATTAAACAATAGTGAACTAACATTTTCTCTAAAGAGTATTCAAGATTAAAAAACAAAGTCAAAACTAGATGATAACAAATTCAGCGTATTGACTAAAGTCAGGACATTCTTATTCATTAGCAATGAAAGTGAAAGTTTGAGTAGCTTTCTAGAAGAGAATTCAAGTCACACTATGAACCAACAATTTTACTTTGAAGAATTTATCCTAAGAAAAAAATTAAGAATATGTGAAAAGATTTAGTTACATCAATGTTTATTATAGTGGAAAACTGAAAATGTGCCAAGAAAAAAAATGAGCCAAATATTCAGCAGCGGGAATTAGCACAATATACCTTGATATGTTATCAAGGTAAATGTGTATGATAGGATACTGATGCATAAGGATAATTTTTAACATGGTAGATTTTCATTATGTTAAATGAAAAAATAAAAAATACATAAAATGAGAGCCCATTTTTATAATAAAAAATATATAGTCATTCAAGGAAAACATGTAGACGGACATCACAAAATACCAACAACAGGTATGGTTCAAAGTGTTATAGGTGGTTTTCAGCACATAGATTACCCCTAGCAAAGAGACCTCTGTGACACTTCGTTTCTTCATCTGTGAAATAAAGGAATCATACTAGATTAGTTCTAAATGCTTTTAGCAAAAATATTTCATAATTCTATGAGTATTGATGGTTAATAACCTTGAGAAAATTGTTATTATTTATTGAACTTTGGAGTTAGTAGAGTAAAACCAAGTTTATCCTGAGCTATCCCTTGTTTTAGTTAAAATTAGTTAAATTTAACATCCTGATGTTTATTTATAAATTGTGCATGTGTACATGTGTGTGTTTGTGTGTATATATATAGCGCTTTCTCACAAATGCCTGTTTTGCTGTGGAGTGGGTTGGGTGGGTACAGAGTTTCACTGAAATGTATATTCCCCTATAGAATTCTTAGAGACACAAATATATCTTGTTAATAGGTTATATATATTTTCATGTTTCATCTACCATTTGAAACCCTATAACCATTTGAAATCATTCTTGGTTTTGGTAGGTTTCTTTAATTAACATTCACATTGAGAAACTATAAGAGATTCAACCCTTGAAAAAGTCCTTTTGCTAAAGAGATTTGCATGTGCTCTAAAAATTGGTGGAAAATGGTTCTGCTCTAATCAAACGAATGTCACTCTACTCTTATTTCTAGCTAACAGTAAAACTGCCTGGAAAATGATAACGTACAACAAATATCTCAAGTGGTTATTTAGTACCTTGTTGTGATAGTGAATGAAAAACACACTCAGTTTTAATTTGCTGTTGAACACTTAACATTTCACAGTGGCTGGCTGTTTGGAGGCCATATACAATGGTAGAAAAAGTAGCTTTCTAAAAGTGCTTTGCCTCATTCTTGCTTAACCTGGCAGACGTCATGAACTTCCAAGAGGGAACATATTTTATTTGCCTTATACCACCAGAGGACTTGGCCAATTATTGCTATTTATTTAATGTTGGTGTTGACATAGTGCCTTTGCCCTGAGGAGCTCCAGGTGCTTTATAAAATTAGTCAGCAATTCACCTCACAGCCTTTACGCCAGAGAGTGAACATTGAAAATAATAATGATTCGTGGAACCTACAGCCACCCCTAACTCCTATTTCTGTTTGCCCAGTGAAACAGAACAAATATGCCCAGTTCCCTCAGAGAGCTAGCAGAAAAAAGTTCTAGTGGGGTGTCATGGGAGTTTCTCTCTTGTGTAACTAGGTGAACTCCTGTAAGGAAAATTTGCCATGCACCCTGCAGAGCTGAGACTTACTATTCTCTGTTGTAGGACCCATACTTTCCCCAGTAAGGAACTCCATTTTTTTTCAGGCCTTTGCTCAAATATCACTTTCTTAATAAGACCTTTCATGACCATCTGTTTTTAAAAACAACTAATCAAAACCTATCCTCAAGTGCAGACTTTCTGTATCCTCATTCCTGCATTATTTTTCTCTGTAGCACATGTAGCTATTCAGCACACTTAGATTTTTATTTATTTATTAATTAAGGGTTGACTCCATCCCACCAGATCGTAAGCTTTATGAAGGTAGAACATTTGTCTATTCTGTTGAGTTATGAATCTTTAGAACCTAGGTGGGTGCCTGGTACCTAATGGGTGTGAAATAAGCATTTGTTGAATGAATGAGCGAAGGAATGAATGAATAAATAAATTTTCCCCAGTGGAGCAACAAGCAACAGTTGGAGTCCCTTGTTGTCAATCAAATATAAAGATAGCAAAGAGTAAGTAAGCAAGAGTGAACTTGCATCATATCAAGATTTCTTTTATATTCCTTAACATTGAAAATATTCATGTGGTGAAATACAGTATTAGAGTTTTCTCCTTTAGTTGCAAATAATAGAAACTGAATTTAAGCCGACTTAAACAAAATAGCAGTTTGCAGGATCTTGAAACTCAAAAATTCAAAGGATACAGCTAGTTTTAATGGTTGTGAGGATTGCTGCAGGCCCTCTCATGATTTGATTGAGCGTTTGTCTCTGTCTTTCTCTTTCTCTCCTTCTGTCTCACTGTGTTTCTAAGACTTTCTCTATGTGGTAGCAAAGAAAGCTCAGACAGCACAAGGCTGCCTGTAGTAATTCTTGTGACATGAGAGCATACATCTCCCAGTAGTTCCAAGGAAAACCCAGGGCTGACTTGAAACGTGTGCACTTGGATTACAGGTCAACCTTGAGTCAATTGTGACTGACTGACCAGGCCTCTGTGTGTCCCGGTTGTGGAGGTCAGTTCCATCAGTAGGAGGGGGATTAATCAAAGGAAAATCAGAATTCTTTATCAGAATAAGAGGAGAAGATGCATGACAAGTATTCAGAGATACACTGTAACCAGAAAAAATGGTCATATGTGAAGAGTATCTCATTACAACAGGGAGGAATGTAGTTCTAAGTCTTTTAAAGTTCTGCTTTCCTATAATATCAGATGACCACATATTTCACAGCATAATTGTGAAAATGATATTTTGAAAGGAAAAAGGAATTCTTATCTGAGATAAAACTGTCAAAAAAGTCAAAATTTGGCTGTGAAAAAAGTGAACGTTTACTTGAGGTTGTCATTACTTATTTCCTTCTTATATAATTCATATAATTCTATATTATTATGACATTCATATAGGCAAGGTGTTAAATTCTAATTTGATTTTATAATTTTTCAAAAGAGACTTAGAATGTGCTAGAAATCCTAAAAATTTCTGTTCCAACTATTGGTATTTGAATTATGTATATACTGCCCCTTTTTTTCCTATAAAAAACTGATAGAAGTTCATAGATAAATAAAATTCACAGATAATGTTACAAATTTATTTCAAATGTTACTTCTTGCCTTTTTCTATGCCAAGATACTTAACAAATACTTCAAAATTGAAAGTATTTTTACTCCTTATTTTATCTATTCCACAGAATAGTTAGAGGTAGAGGAAGAATTAGATAATATATTTATTAATAAGTCAACATCCTATTAATGGATGAACATAGAACCAACTCATAGGCAACACAGTCAGAAAATCAAGGTGTGGCTTGGTTGGCATGAAAGCATAATGCCCACAAGAACTACTGTTGTTGGTTATGCTGTACTGTATGAGAAGGGCATTTCTGACGTTAGCTTTGATACTAGCCTTTTAGTAACTGAGTAAAGTTAGTGAGTATACTCACCCAGTTCAGATTATTAATTCAGTACTAACTCAGTAATTTGGTGTTACTACATACTGAGATATCCAGCTGGATTCAGGATTTGCTCAATTCAATTAGCAAATCCAGTGTTAAGGGGAAAAAGAAGCTTTGTGGGTAAGCATTTCTAAATTGGTGTTTTTATGAAGCCACAATATTCTGGTAGTTCGTCTTTTCCTTCAGTTCTCTGAAGTTGTAATCATTTCTAAATTGTTGCTTTCTAGGTAAAAGATGTGAGATAGGGGAAAGGAAGGCTTTCTTAGGAATTTTTTTTCTTTCATTGCCCAGTTAAATTGGATTTGTGATTTATATCCATTCATCCTATTCATACCCATCATATATCTGTATACATCTGTCATATATCCATCCTGTTCATATCCAATCCAATTCATAAGACTTTTCCATATTTTTCGTGAGATTAGATTTTTTTAGTGGGTGAGAAGAAATAAAAGGCACATAATATTAACATGCTCCTGGCATTCCAGCAACGAATAATGCCATAGCAATTTTATAAAGATTAAAAATACCCTAGCTCACTATGATTTTGATGAGCGCAACGCACTTTTGGCTTTGTGGGTCCCCTCCTCATAAAAAATACAAAATTATATTTTGTAGCTGCATTTATGTAAAGATAAATATAATCTAAACTGTTTTGTACTCATTTTTTCAGATTTTAAAAGAGATTTAACATTTCTATGAGCTCCTAAAATTATGAGCTCTAGGAATAGTGCTTACTGTGCTATTGGATAAACTAAGCTGGCATTGTCATAGCTAAATTGGTTACATTTTAAGCTGTGAATGAAAGGGAATTTGGTAAACCAAACAACTGTTGTATGCTTATTGTTCATTCCAGTATAAATATATTTTTGCTATTAACATTAGTTATTACAAGTGGAATACGAAGGGGTGGACTCAGGGTTTGGAAAGAGAGTTAATGCAAGTGAGTATTTGACTCCATCAACAAAACTTTACAAGTAAAATCCTCAGGTTTTGTGCCTGTAATCTTTTTACAGGATTTAATGCTATTTTACTTCGTCAACAATTTTTTTTTCTTCAAAGATTTGTATTTTTAAATGACTGATGCTATGAAAGAAAATACCCTCATGATTATATTTATATTGTGAATTTTTACAGTAGGGGCAAACTAGAATTTTTCATGCGGAGAGCACTTTGGGTTTTACTCAATATAGCTCTTCAAAGTTCTTCAAAGTTCAAAGTAAAAATTGATGCTAGAGTAATTTTCCTGTAATCTAGGTGAAAAGCCCACATATCATTTAACAAAGTAAATGCTCATTCATATTTAATACAAACTCTTTTTTCTTCTGTTGAAGCTGACTTTTATCCAATTTTTAGTTTCCAGTTATCTATGGTTTTGGGAAACAGAGCTAATTTGGATTCATGAATTCTGTAAACAAGTATTTCTTGAGAAGCTCCTGGTTGTGAACTACCTAGAATGAAACTGGGTAAACTAATATCAACATCCATTCTTTTGCCAAACATCACTGATAAACTGCAACATTTTTTTTTTTACGTGAGTGGTCTTGGAATCAGACATTTCTGCATTGAAAACCCAGCACTGTTGCTGACTGGCTGCATGGCCTGCATCTACTTCTCACATTTCTGACTGCCTACCAGGTTCCAGGCACTGTTCTAGGCACTGAAGATGAAAAGATGAATAATATGGAGTTCCCATCTTCAAAGAAGTTACAATTTTAAGGAAGACTGGCAAATAAAAGTTACCCCACAAAATAATAAAAATACAGGGGTAAAACTAGGGCATAGTTATATTTTGGCTGGTCTCTTTACCTCTGAGGTTCTTTTGCTTTTTATGTAATTGGATTTTAACCTCAGAAGACTGTAAGGTTAAAGATGATAATGTATAAAATCAGTACTCTGAGTAATGATCAAAATTTTCTGTTGCCATCCACACATTTGAGTGAGATGTAGTGAGTGCTAGAAAATAAAGCAGTTCGTATCAAAAAGGGTGTGTTGAAAGAAATAAACTAATCCTTGAGAAACACTGTCATGCAATCTCATATCTAGAAATTGTGCCTATGTTCTGTCTATAAATTGATGAATTGGCAGGGTGTTACATTTAGGACACACATTGACACTACATATGACATTTGTAAAAACACTTGCTAATTCAGCTAACAGCTCGCTTCTCCCCTTCTCCCCACTACTCACTGTGGAGAGAGCTTCCAGCTAATAGCTTAGAATCTCCCAGACTAACCAACCATTGATGGAACCAGGTGCTATGTGATTGTAGGAATTTATTTGTTGCTCTGAATGTTAACTAAAAGTAATGGGCTTCTTATTTTGTCCTTTTCCTTTTGTGTTATAGACGGCAAAGACTGTTTCTCATCAGTCTCATATAGCTAAATTAGATTTATCTCTCATGCTGACTGATTAAAAGGGTTAAATTCTGGGCACGTTGTCCCCTGAGTCCTCTGAAATCCATGTCAGAATAGAAGTGCTCATTACCAGACTCGATGAGGAGCTCCTTTTCCAGAACTTCTCTCTGCTACACTCTAAGGACCAAGCACCTCTGCCTAAATTCCAAGCAACCATGGCCTGTGGCAGTCTTGGAACTTTTGCCCTCTGGCATGGGTAGAACTAGCGTCAATTGGGTAATTCAATCCCTGAGTTCCTTCTTCAATGAATGAGAGAATCCAGGAATGTGTTGCCAGTTGCCTTTTCCTTGTACCTAGTTTTCCTTGCTGCAGAATGATGACAGTCTATTTCCACACCTCCCCTCCTGCCACTACAGGATTTATGGTCTGCATGCCCCAGTTGTGAAGCTGGCATGTAGCATTTTGTTGCCACAGGCCTGTGAGTGTTTAGAAGTTTGTGTTTGTATTTCCAGGGCTACAGTTTGAATATTGAAGGAACAAACAGCAAACAATTCAGAGGTCAAGCTGTGACTGCTTCCTCATTTGGAGAGCTTATTTTATGTCTGTATATTCTATACTCAGATTCCCACATAACTTGTTTTTTCCACCTTCATTGCTTTGGTTAGATGCTTTCAAGTGCATTTTTTCTCTAAGAAATCTCCATAGAAGAGTTGTTTACTTGAAGTGATGGGTGAGCAAAGTTTGCCTGACGTGGAACCTCAGTAACTTTCCCCTAAGGAAAAGTTCTGGCGTGTAGGGGTGGGCGCTCTTCCATCCAGACGGATGGGAACATAGCCAAGCAGCCAGGAGACACATTGACTTGTGACCACTGGGAAGGATGCCTAGCCAGAAAAGTCCCAGCAGCTGGGTCTGTTAATCTTTTCTGAATGAACCAGCAGGCAGTTGACCTCTCTAAACCTGTCCTGGATTCCTTTATATCTTTGTAGTCACCTTTTTACCCCCTCAAGAATTCCCCTATAAAGTTGTTCTTAATAAGACTCTTTTTGCCCACTTCCCCCTGACCTTCTGAGTTGAATATGAATTTCACTAATTGGTGAAAGAAACCACCATGACCTTGATAAAGCCATTTCTACTCTGGTTCCTCCCTTCTAAGAATTTGTTCATTCAAGCAAGTATTTGAGTCTAAATGGATCCACTTGGACATTTTAATAATTATCATGAACCTCAGTATCCTTAAAGTGTGGCTAAAACAGGCTCAAAAAATTCAGATAGTGTAATCTACTTTCTCTCTCCCTCCTCCAGATTTAAGTGGATTAATTCACTTCACTATGCCAGCACCTGAGTACAGAATAATTTATTTCTGTGTCGTTTCATGATGAAAGTCCAGCTGGCATTAGCTCAAATTATGCAGCTGGCTATTAATTGAAGAAAACTTCCCTGTCACTCCTCAGTCAAACATGATCTGATTCAGCAGATCCTTTTCACTCTCATCTCTTCTATTCTACCAGTAGAATAAATGTAAATAACTTTCACTTGGCTCTGCTTGTCATGGATTGTAAATTACCTGGCAGCATGCAGACTGACCACATTACTGTTTTGGAGGCGGCTTGTTTCAGTTGATTAGTATTTCTAGAAGAGTTTTGCACATTTCATCTCTGAGGCCTGAATGATGTCCACTAGCAGGAAATATTGTAGTCTGCCTTTTTTCTTACATACTGTATACTAAATTTCAATCTAATTTCAACAAGATGTCAAATTCTAGCACCTGTAGGGCAGGTGTTGGTCTTCTATGAATTGATTATATGTTTTTCTATCATACTGGATGGTGTACAAGCCCAGGTTGTATTTTAAATAGAATTTCAAGAGAGAGATTTGTTCTGGAATTTAGAAATATATATTATGTGCCAAAATTATTTGATGAGTGCATTTTGTAATTCTTAAAATACAAAACTACTTGGCATGAAGAGATGCTATAGTATGTTAACAATTGTGGAACTTTTTCATAAGATGAAATTCTGTGCAGAAATGAGGGAGCAGAATTCTTGTGGGAGTGCTAAAATGGTTCATCAATTTGATCCTCACAGCATATGAGAATTCACCAATTATATTACTCTCTGAAAATATGTTTCAGTATCAAGGGCCTCTTTTTGCCCTTCCTCCATCCCAATGTCTGTACTCTCTGTACAGTGTGATCACTGGGTGCTGCATGACCAGTCATTATTATACGCTCAGCCCTGAAAATGAACTTAAGATGGTAAAATCATACCTTGCCAGGATTTGGGTGGCTGTGAGGGATTCAGTAGGATTTTAGCAACAGGGACTGGAAAAGAAATCAGAACTTGGCAGAGAAAAAAATAGCACTAGGATACTAGAAGAGACCTGGGAGAACTAGCTTGACCTTAGAGGCTGGTCTTGTGAGTCATTTGAGAAATAGTATCAAAAGGGCATAAGAGGGCCCGGCATAGATTAGGCTATTTGGGGTTACAGGAGATCCAAAGCTAGAAGGGGCAACAAAACATTGTGGTATGAGGCCATCCTAATTTGAACATCAGGCACAGGATCTAGTGTCCATGAAGTAGATCTCAGGGAATGGGCAGCCTGAGAAGAAGAGTAGATCATGCAGAAGCCAGCAGTCACCCCTAGATCCAGATCTGAGTGTCATGACCTAGATGCAATTAAAATCCTTATAATGGGTCCCACCCTGGCAGGATTCTTTCAGGAACTCAGGCTGAGCCTGAAGTGAGTAGATTCAGCTGAAGGGAAGGTAAAGAACTATAAGTTGATAGACTTGCAAAATGGAGAGGCTGCTTTTAGGAAACCATTGATAATAGTATCAATCCCATTGATAATATATGTGATTGCCCTTTTATAAGGCCATGTGCTTTCTGCACAATTATGATAAAGTATTTAGCCAAACTTGTATTCCCTATATAAAGGGGGAGGAGATAGTATCCCATGGGGAATTCCTTCCCATATTATAAACTGGTAGACAACTTAAGCAAAAATGTTTTTACTCATATGAACACTGTTGAAGTATAAAGCCAGGTATTTAAGTCATGATAGGTGTTTATTTACTTTGAACATTTGCCAGAAGTTTGATGATGGGTATATTTGTAGACTGGGTGTTAGAGGTTGTTATATTCTAAAAAGATATCTTCTGATTAATTTTCTTCATTTATAAAAACAATCTATTTTGATAACATTTAATTTATGAACTTTGGTGTCATGTTACACTTTATACATTTTGGTTGTACATTCCCTGTAATGCTTACAGAGACAGCCAGTCAGGCAATAATTGCTACATACTGAGCGCCTTCTATTTTCTGAGTACTATTGTAAATTATAGAGATAAAGCAGTGAACCAGACAGAGTCTCCATCCTAAAAGAGCCTAGTAGAGGATGGGAACTGATGTAGTATCTTGTAATTGTCACAGCATGGTACACTTGCTTCTTCAGATGCCATTATTAAGGGCGTCGTTTCTTTAAATTCTGAGATCCCTAACTCAGCTTATGCCAGAACTGATGAGAATTAGACCTTCCTAAGGTCTTCTTTCTTCCTAAAATGAATATTGAAATAAATCTATAAGATAAAAATAATCCTACCACCAAGCCCCAATTAAGACTGGATTTTTAACTTGCTCTTCTCAGCACAATGACACAACAGAGGACACAGAGGTTAATGGAATGTCTTTGGAGCAAAGGAGATTTCAAAACCACCAGTTTGTTAGATTTGATGATCAGCTCTGCAAAATGTTTAAAGAAGATTTCTTACTCATATCTTATAAGTTAAGACTATAAATGGTTTAAATGGGGGAGGATGTGACAGGATTGAAAATCTTCCCCTTCCTTTGTGGCTATGAGAATTCACACTGAGCAACAGGGAAGAGAAGGAACTAGAACTTGGAATGAGCCTGTGTGTGGGCCCTCATTGTTCCAGGATTTACAAAGGGCTACGCTGTCATCATATTAAATAAATGGCTCCTGCTCCTTGTGCCAGCTTAATTGCCACCTTGGCTCCCGAACAAAGAAATCACAATTGAGGCAAAACATGTTTTGCTATTGAAGGCAAAACCTCCTTAGAGCAATTTTGGGGTTGTTTTTCCATTTAATTTTTTAACTTGCAGAAATAGCCCTCTTTTTTTCTGTTTTTTGGTTTTTTTTGTTTTCGTTTTTTTAAATGATGTACACTTGTGCTGTTAAGTTTCAGCATGGAATACAGGCTTTATGTATTTAGGCAGTAATGCTGAGTTAGATATTGGTACCAAAAAAAATGAAAGAAAGAGAGCAAGAGGACAGCACATGTCAAAATGCCTGATAGAACTGCATGGACAGAACTAAATGTGCTTCCCTACTGTTAGTTACACGTATAAGTCACATCTCAAAGCGTGTTCCCCAGGTTAGCATCAATATCACCTAGGAACTTGCTGGAGATGCAAATTATCTGGTTCCATCTCAGGCCTAATGAATCAGAAACTCTAGGTGGAAGGGAGCAGTCCAGCAACCTGCATTTTACAAAGACCTCCAGGACACTCTGATGTATGCTAGAGTCTGAGATCCACTGGTGCAAAGAATACCATAGGACAGATGTACACTAACTAAACTAGTTCTGTTTCTCTTAAAATGACTTTGACAATATTTAGAATTTTGAAGAATGGTATAGAAATTCATAGTTCGTGTGTGTGTGTTTGTGTATGTATGTGTCTGTGTGTGTGTGTTTTAGCAGAATTCTATTTTAGAAAATATGGGGTAGACTTTTATTTAGTTTTGTTATTTTTGTTATTTTTGAAAAATTAAGAGGTAAGCAGAGAAGTATAGCCAGCTACTTCCATAATTTTGTAGGAATAATGAAGTTTATTCTAGCAGAAAGTTATATCTTATGGAATAACTTCTCTAATATTCTCTCTAGACATATATTCTTTTTTGAGGCAGGAACACAAAAGAAAATTGGCTTCTTCATCAAGTTCAAAGAAATGGTGTTTTAATTATGTAGAGAAGTAATTTCATTTTCTCAGAGAAATGGGTAGACAGATATTAGTAATTTAACTCTCTTCTTAAGTAATGGCTGCTATAGCTCTTACCAACACTGAAAGAAGTAGAGTCAAATAGATTTAAATCTGGCTAGTGATTAGAATTTTTTGGGGGGTAGGGTGGGTGAAACTGTATTGCAGGGAGGTACGTTGTAATAAGACAGCTAGTTATTATGCACTACCCTCCAGTTCTTTGACATGATAGCTAAGGGCATAGACAAAAATCTGAACTCTGTGGTCTTTGTACATATCTGCATTCAGATTAATTCACTTAACAAATATTTGTGGAGCACCTACCATGGGCTTATCACTATAATGGGCTAAGGTTGTACAGTGAGCAAGATACTCACATATGTGATTCTTGTGAAGCCAGAGGTCCAGTGGTAAAGCTAGATGAGTAAACATCAATTACAATGAAGTATAATCACTTCCAGGATGAGGCAGAATATAGGATGTTATGCAAGCAGTCATCCTTGATTTTAGGACTGGGTGATGTGGAGTTCATGAATGGTTCATGGAAGAGGCACTAAAGCCTACAGTGTGAATAGAAATTAGCAAGATGATGGACAGGGCAGGCAGAGACAAGAGCATATGCAAAGTTGGAAAGTGGAGAGTTCTTGACATTACCACATTACTGAATGTGCATATGGTGGAGTTTAGGGTGCAGAGAGGACAGTTGCACATGCTCTGGAGAATGATGGGAGATGAAGCTGAGAATAATACAAGGAAGAGAAAATAACAGGCCTTGCTATCCATGTTAAGAATTCCGGACTTCATTCCAACAAAAGGGAAAGTCTTTGAGGTTGT
This sequence comes from Homo sapiens, assembly GCF_000001405.40. Taxonomy (NCBI): domain Eukaryota; kingdom Metazoa; phylum Chordata; class Mammalia; order Primates; family Hominidae; genus Homo; species Homo sapiens. The sequence goes on along the minus strand of NC_000005.10, from coordinate 59,538,690 downwards.
AGTATTTGGCTGTGCTGTAGAGAGTGTATTGGGGAAGGACAGTGCTGAAGGAAAGGAGACCAGCTGGGACATTGCTGCAATAATTCAGACCGGTACTCATGGCTTGGACCAGCAGCAAGGGGAGAATGAAAAGTAAAGAGATTTAGGAAATAGCTACTTAGGAAATAGATTGAACGGGAACTGGCATTCAATATGTGTGACAGCGAGGAACAGGAAGACACTTGGGACAACTAGAAGAACAGTAGGCCATTCACTGAGTTTGGGGTCCAGCAAGAGGAGTGAGTTTGAGGGTGAAATTATGTGTTCCATTTGGGCTAGTAGGGTCTGAGAAGTCTGTGGTTGTCCAAGTAGAGATGTCCAATAAACTGTGGAAAATGCAATCCCTTAGGCCTCTTTATTCTCATAAATACTTCTCATGCTTTTTCACAGCAGAGGCTAAAGCCAAAAAACTTTTACAGTTGTTGATTACTCCCATAGTGATTGGGCCACTACTCTCGATGTCAGTTTTAAGTGTTATGTGAATTTTAGCGTTGCAGAATTTTAGCATTGCAGAATTTTTCTGCACAAAATCCTAGAAAGCAACTTAGTTTACTCAGTGAAACCTGCCTGCCAACTAACAAGACCTATTATTTTTCAGTTGGGATTTTACTTCAACAGTGGAAACTATGACACAACAGGGATGGTCTAACCCCAATTTGAGCACTCTGTTCTCATTTTCATTAGGAATCACTTCCCTGTAATCATAAAATGGAAATATATTTACTGTAGACATGTTGTTTGGTGAAAGCAACACTAAAAATGAGTAGATGAATATAACAGCTACAGGATAAAATAAGAGTTCCCATTTTTAAAAAGAAGGACTATGTTTACAACACAGCTCTCCTTAATGTTATAGTGTTATTATAGCAGTGAATTTTCAAATAAAATATTTAAATTGGAATGTTAGAAGTTTTCTTCTATCATATCAAATAAGTGGAAGGCCACCTGTTTGATGATTACATATTCAAGTGATAGTTCTCAAAAACTAAAGAAAAATCTCATATAAATTATAAATGATTCTGCAAAGTTTCACCTAACATTTTCTCCATACTTATGAAGCTTCTGAAGTTATTTTACTTTTGAGAAGCCACAGACAGAAAAATTAATATAAATGAGATAAATTTCAACTAGCCTTGAGAATAAAGAGAGCAAGGATAGTCATCAACACAATTAAGAATGACCAAATCCTATTAATGTTTTCAAATTACCAAATTAGAAAAGTTAGGAAGCATGAATAATTTATTTCTGACAACATATTCTTTTTAATATCTGCATTACTTTGGTCGGCTAAGGAGATAAACCTACTCATGTGACATACCATATGTAAACATTTTCCTAATTAATAACTGGAAAGCTTCTATGTGAAATACAAACTTTCTGCTCATACATAATGTAGACTACAGGCAGACAGTTAAGAGTTGGTCAAAGCTGTCAAAGCTTGTTTTATGGAAATCTCATCTTCTTTTCCTGTGCTCTTTATCCTAGTCCAGGTCCTCTGAATTCTTTTACTCTACAGTACTTAGCTAATACAGTGTTTATCCTCACATTCTATCATAGCTTTTATATTAACCACTCAGCAAAATATGTGTGCATGCACATACACGCACAACCATACCTATATTTAATCATCTAGTAAACTATATTAAATCTTCTGTAAACTTCAGATAAGCCTGTTTAAATTGGGGGTGGGTCGTATTGTAGCATACCAAATGGTTCATATACCAAGTATATATTTGTCATACTATGTGGAACAGTATTATATTTAAAACTGAAGTCTTATTTCATGTAGGTTGTACCAAATTTGTGGTGGTAAACATTGTATTTAGGTCATTCACAAAGAGTACAGAAATACAGATTAGCCATATTTTTCTATAGTGCCATTCAGTGTAATAGGTACACAATACATCTCATATTAAAGAAAAAAGAGTCTTTTCAAAAGCCTGTAAGGGTCTGAATAAAGGTCTTAGAAATGTGTCATAACAGCTGAAATCTAAGAGATTTGGAAAAAGTGGGAGAAGTTAAATATTGCAAATGCATAGAGCTAAGACTTCTTCATTGAAAGTTGGGTAGTTCCAACATTCATGTGGAAAATCTTTAAAAGTAGCCAAAAGGTAATTTTTTTTTTTTTTTTTTTTTTTTTTTTTTTTGAGGCTGAGTCTTGCTCTGTTGCCCAGGCTGGAGTGCAGTGGCATGATCTCGGCTCACTGCAAGCTCCGCCTCCCGGGTTCACGCCATTCTCTTGCCTCAGCCTCCCGAGTAGCTGGGACTACAGGTGCCTGCCACCACGCCTGGCTAATTTTTTGTATTTTTAGTAGAGACAGGGTTTCATCGTGTTAGCCAGGATGGTCTCAATCTCCTGACCTTGTGATTCACCCATCTCGGCCTCCCAAAGTGCTGGGATTACAGGCGTGAGCCACCATGCCTGGCCCAAAAGCTAATTTTTTAAATTTTCCAGATAGAACTTCATGTGTATTTGATATATTCCATTTTCGTGTATCCAATATTACCAAATCCATGGTATTTTTATTCTTTGTTTTAGATATTCTAATCATTTCACAGCACTTTCATTACACATCTGCCCAGATTTCCTGTTGCTAAATTTCAGACACTATTCTTTAAGTCTTGGAAGAGATCAACTTTTTCAGCACAACCCATCCCAAACAATGTAATGTTACTGTGCTATATTAAGACAACACATGTGCTGATCTTTTTCAGGCATTTCCAGAATTTTTATTGAATGTCAAGTATGTGCAAGGCAAAGTCCATCTAGCGATTTTAGGATTTCCAGGACCTGCCATTTATAAACTTCCTGGAAGAAAAATTAACCCCCTCAAAATGGGTGTTGACATCCAGTTTGCCTTTATAGCTCCTCTGATGCCTTTTAAAAACTATATTTACCCATCTTATGTCAATAAAAAGGATGTATTTATTATAAGTTGTGGCAGATAGTGTTTTATAGACAATTTTATAGCCCACGTGTTAAAGGTAAAAGCAAAGAAATTATGCTACTTTGCTGTATTTTCCCAGTGATTTATGTAAGTATTTATTCCCTGTAGGAAAAAGTTGAAACACTATTGTTGACAACAGGGCCCAAATAGGTATCAGCTTGATGTACTTTATCACATATTATCTTTTTGTTTTTGCATCATCCCTAGGAGGTAAATATGTAACACTTTGGTTTCATTAGCATCACAACAGATTATTAGGCAAATCAACAGAATGAAATTAAAGTTATATTATCTAATTGAAAAAAGCCTTCACTTATATTTTCAAGCATTAGTTCTTATCCACTTTCAATCACCTGGGGAACTTTAAAAAATCTGATGCCTGGGCCAGACACCCAGAAAAATGACATCAGACTTTCTGGGGACAGGACCCAGGTGACTGTATTTTTCTAAATGTCTTTCATGACTCCGCTGCTTTAGAGGTTCACAGACTTCCACTTAAAGAACTGCTGGTTAAGAAATGCATCCCTACTTGCTCGGACTCCCAGGGATATCACTTTTCACCTGTTCCTATCATTTAGAAAAAAATGATTTGAATCAGCTAGATACATGATAGAGGACCCCCCCCCCACACACACACACACACCAATCTAAGCACAAAATTATCTTGTTGTCCTCAATAGTTTGCATGGATAAGTAATGCAGAATAAGCATCATACCCAATATTAATAAATACTTAACAAGAAGCCCAAGATTTTACCTTGTTTCCTATTTTTTCCTTCAGCCATCACATTCAAACCTGGCCCAAAGGTTTCTCACATTCTGGCCTCCATCACCACCACTACTGCTTTGGCCTGGCCTTTTGTCAAGCTAGAAATTGCCAGAATTTCCTGACAACAGGCTCTGTAAGATTCAGTTTAGAGCTTACACTTTGGCTGGAGTTCATCTTCCTAAAAAGAGACTGTGATATGTAAATCCACAACCTGAAATCTCATTGGCTCTCCATTGCCTACCAATAACCCAAAATCCTCTACTCAGGAAGTCCTGGATGGTGTAACTCCATTGCACACAGGTTCATCCCACAAGGCCTCTTGGTAATGGGGTACTTTCATGTGCATACTATTCTGCTGCTCTTGTGGAAAGAGTCTTCAACCCCATTCTGTATACCCTGGACACTCACCTGAGACCCAGCTGAAACAGACCTTGTCATCTCGGACCCTGCCCTTGGTTCTGTTGAAAGAATTAGCCACCAGATCCTTGAGGCTGTCTCAGGACTTTTGCTTCACCTTTATTATAACAATTGGAATGCAGGCAAAATAGTGTTTCCAGTTACTAAAATAAAACTATAGACCATACAATATGTTTGTTTTGTGCTTATTTAACTCGCAGGGGAAAATACCCATATTTTTAAGACTCTGGATTTAAAAAATCTGGTTGATTATATGAGAATATTGTTGGCTTGTCTGTTTGATTTTGCTTTTTTTGGGTTGCCAATAAAATTTTAGAGCAAGAAAATCAATCTCTGGAAAATATGTCTAAAATGCAAGAGAAAATTCCAAGAAAATAAGCTAGATTTCAATTAACATGTGAAAAGCATTTCTTAATATATACAATGTTTATTTTACATGGATAATTTATGTAAGTTATTGAATAAATAATACTTTTAGGTTTGGGTTTTAGGGGAGGTTTTAGGTTTGGGTTGCAGCAGAGGCTTTTTCAGCTGATTCAAATATCTAGTTTTCAAAATACTCTGCCCACATGATTTTTAGATATGACTTAGCCTTAATTGCTGACTCAGATTTTCACCTTTTAAAAAGCAATTGTGCTTTTTCATATACACTATCAAACAAGATTATAAGATATTTTAAGGTAAGAAAGTAAAAGGGCATCCACTAATGATCATCAGAATCACCTGGAAGGGCCAATAAGCCACACATTACCAGGCCCCTTCCCCAAAATTTCTAATTCTGTAGATCTGTGGTACAGCCTCCAATTTTTTGCTTCTAATAAGACCCCAAGTGACACTAATGCTGCTAGTCTGGAGACCACACTTTGAGAATCACTGCATTAAATTAACAATTTTATTGGTTGAGTTTTCACCACAGTGTGCATATCTGTTGACTAACAATGAATAGCTTTGTTGTCGCCAAACACTGTAATGTTTCCAAATATCCATATGTAGTCACAGGCCCAGAGAAACAAACCACATCTATATTAAGACTGTTTTGTTGTTGTTTGACCCCCCCACCCTTTAGTGTTTTAATTACATCAATCCTGGAGAAAAATAACTGTTTTCTAATTTGGGCATTACAGATTTGCTAAGGCAATAGAAAATTCTATCTTAAACCTTTAGATTTTTAGTCTTCTAGTAAATATAAGCATATGAGTTCCAAGCAAATTCTGAGTTTTAAAAAATTTAATAAAATTGACAAATGTTTTCAATAAAATTGGAGAGGCCCATTTCCTTGTACAAATATTCTAAAAATAGATGATAAAAGTTCTAAGTGCCATTTTTTGAAAGATCAGCAAAATAATTCTACAAGTATTTGTGGGCATGTTATCTTTTCTATGATACTGGTTATAAACTTAAGTTATATGAAGACAGTGTGTTAGTTAAATTATGTTCTAGTCCTACCTTAAGGAAATAAAAACAATAAGGCTCTTAGGGCCTTTCTTCTGCACCACTGCAGTACTTGCTAACATGTTTTAATAACATGTAGCTGAGAATGATAAACTCTAGGCAGCAGGGTGGCTTGGAGATACTAATGGAAATGCCCAGTCAAAAAGAGCCTGGACTAGACTGAGGTCTGAAGACTCCAAATAACTTTCTGTTATCCCACCATCTTCTCAGATGGTCCAATCATGCTACACTCAGTCTAGGGCAATGACCCTGAGGAATGGTATGTTTGGCAAAAAAGAAACCAAAGAAGGCTACTGCCATGCTTTAAGATTTTCCCATATATCTTTTTCAGCATCTTGAATGGGGTTTCTGAAAGTCTGAGGAGTGAACTGTGACCAAAATGGCTGATATTTTGAGCTCAAAGAAACTTAAATTTTTAGGTAAGGATACTAAGACCGACTTAAAAAGTATAGTATCAATAATTTACATTTCTTTAGCTAAGAATTTTCAGACCACTTCAGTGCAGATCACATTGACTGATTCTCTAAACCACTCTATGAAGTGGGCAAAGTGATGGTCTCATTTTTCAAATGAGGACTAAGGTTTATTTAATTCAAGTGATTAACTCTTCAAACATCTAGTAGAGGCTAGCCAGATGCATTGGCTCACATCTGTAATCTCAACACTTTGGGAGGCTGAGGCAGGCAGATCCCCTGAGGTCAGGAGTTCAAGACCAGCCTGGCCAACATGGTGAAAACCCATCTCTACTAAAAATACAGAAATTAGCTGGGCATGGTGGTGGCAGGTGCCTGTAATCCCAGCTACTCAGGAGGCTGAGGCAGGAGAATGGCTTGAACCCAGGAGGCAGAGGTTACAGTGTGCTGAGATAACGCCACGGCACTCTAGCCTGGGTGAGAGTGATATTCCATCTCAAAAATCAAAACAAAAAAATCTAGTAAGGGTCTATGTCTAGCGCCTGCACTTCAAATATGTGTTTGTCATGACATCATTAGCCCAATCCAATTTTCTTTCATTAATTTTCTGAAATAAATATTTTTTGAGTTTATACTATATACCAGGTGCTGCTGTAAGTGCTAGGAATATAACAGTGAATCAAACAAATAAAAATCTGTGACCTTTTGGAGCTTACATTCCAATGAATATAGGCAAAATAATAGCCCCTGCAAAGAGCTCCACTGCCTAATCCCTGGACTAAATGAACATTACCTCACATGCAAAAAAAGATTTTGCAGATTTGATTAGGGGCACAGACCTTGAGATGTAGTGTCCGTATTAGCCCAGTGGGCCCAATCTAATCACACAAGTCCTTCTAAGCAAAGACTTTTCCCTGGTTAGGTTAGAGAGAGATGTGATAACAGAAAAAGGGTCAGACAGATGCAACTTTGTTGGCTTTGGAAATGAAAGAAGGGGGCCTGGAGCCAAGGAATGTGGACAGCTAGAAAGGGCAAGGAAGCAGATTCTCCCTTAGCCCACTCAGAAAGGAATGCAACCCTGAAGACACCTTGATTTTAGCCCATTGAGGCCTGTGTTGGACTTCTGACCTACAGAACTATAAAATGATACATTTTAATTGTTAAATCACTAAGTTTCTGATAATTTGTTACACCAGCAGCAGAAAACTACAGAAAAGATAGACAATATTCAAGAAAAATAAGTAAAAAATATATGTTGGATAGTGATAAGTGCTAAGGAAAAAAGTCAGGGAATGACATAGGAAGTTATCAGTAGGGATGCAATTTTGAATAGGGTAGCCCTCCAGGTTAACATTTGCATAGACTCAAAGGAGATGAAGGGCAAGAACATTTCAGATGAAGGAAACAGGAGGCTAAAAGCTGAGACTAGGACAATGATCAGCCTGACTAGATTCTGAATATCACCATTAAAAGAGCAGTTTCTACTTCAGAATATATGTACAAGCTTCACCTGGGAACCATGTGTGATGATTTAGGATGAAGTTTCAAAACTCCACAGATGACATTCTTATTTTTCTATAAGCAAACAGTCTTGCCCAAATAACATCATTTACTTTTTCATGTTTGCTGGAGAGTTCATTAAGAAATTCAATACACCGTATTCAAAGAAGATGAATTCTTACAATCACTTAGAATTTGGTCTAAGGCAAACAATTGAGGATGTTCAGACTGAGTCTTTTTGGACCATCTACTCAACATCATTATCAACCAACAGCTTATACCCCTTCAAAGGGATCTCAAATTATATTTGATCCTGAGTTGTTGCTATAATAAATTTAGAGCTGGAGAAAAATAGTCATTGTAATTATTTTGTTATTAGAGACCGGCTTACATATGCTAAATAAATAAAAACAAAATGAGAGTTAATTCTATGTGAAATTCACCATCAATTTTGATGAAATTTCCTATTGATACTTCCAAGTACAGTAGGCCTTTCGTATCCATGGGTTCCACATCTGTGTATTCAATCCAATTTTTTTTTTTAATAATATGGTTGTGTATATACTGAACATGTACAGACTTTTCTTGTCATTCCCTAAACAGTACAGCATAATAACTATTGACATAACATTTACATTGTATTAGGTATAAGTAATCTGGAGATGCTTTAAAGTATATTGATGTGTGTAGGTTATATACAAATACTATGTCATTTTATATAAGGAACTTGAGCATCCATGGATTTTGGTATCTGCCTGAAGACCTGGAACCAATCCCCAAAGATCCTGAGGGACCACTGTAATCTAATTGAGGCCAAGTTTCATGGGTTTGTATCCTCTTAAGTACCTGGGGGAAAAAACTGTCTGATTTTTTTTTAAGTTTTAGTATACCATATATTTTAATTTTCAAAGAAAGGAAAACAGAAATTTTATGATCTGTGTCAATAGAAGTGTTAATATATAAAGCAAAGAAATGCCTAGGTGAATATTGGCCTAGTAATAAACATTCTGCAATGGTGCTTCATGGGAAATACGCCTTACCTTGCTACTCAAAATGTGATCCATGAACCAGCAGTATGAATATCACCTGGACTTGGTAGAAATTCTTGGACCCCACCCTGACCTAGTGGGTAACCATCTGCATTGCAGTAAGATCCCAGGTGATTCATATGTGTTTTCAATGTGAGAAGCACAGCACTGGGGCCTTACCCGGGGCCCTCCTTAGGAAACACACCAAGTATTGCATGTTTTTTACATCCTGACAGGTCCATATGAACTCACATTTTTCCGAATACAGTGCACTAGCATATCTATCATATTTTGAAAAGCTATTTTCATCAAGGGAGCTTAGTATCTGGTGCTCACGAGATACCTACAGAGAAGTAGACAGTGTTATGCTTTTGAGAATTTATCAAACCTTTTGGTCATATAATGTTTTTATTTCAAAACCTTAAATTGGTCAACATATTTTTAAATATTTAATAGTTGAGGGATGAAGAGGATAGAAGTTTAATTAGTTCAAAGGAAGGTAAATTGGGAAGGAAACAAACTTTTTTGTTGAATCAGAATTTTCAGGATGAAAAAAGACACCAGTGCCCTGTGGTTCAGTGCTAACACAGCTATGATGTGACTCTTCAAAGGTCAATGCTTGTGCCCCTATTGCTGCACATCCTTCTCCTTGTCAGTGTTGATGTGTCATTGGCTGGCTCTGTGTCATTGGCTTGGTCTTGCTTTCACTGAACTTTGGCCTCCGTGAAACTTCTAAGTAGCATTGCTCCTACCTGTGAATCTTGGAAACACACAGGGCAAGTGAAATTCCATTTTCTTCCTTTCTTTCTTTTTTTAATGATTAATAGACAATTTATTTAAGCAAGATCCTTATAGTCATCATTGCCAGACTTAATATGAGATGTTAAATGTTCCATCCAATTTTCCTTCCTGGATAAGTTTTTCTTTCCTATCCCTGTCAGTTTTGAAAACATAATACCAGAAGAAGAGGGGCCCAATTCCACACAGAGCTCCCAAGAGTGAGTTTTAGGAGTGAGTCTGAAATTAGAATAGACATTTGCTGATCTTGCATAGGTCCAACGAATTAAGGCAAGATCTTCGATGAGCCCTTGGTGGTTAGAGTTGGTTGTTGTACTGAAGCAGGTACTCTTGTTTCAGCTGGGCTCTTATGGCCAACCGTTCAGCTTGCATCTGCCAGCCTTCCAGAGATATGTCATATTTGGCTGAGTCGAGGGTCAAGGGCAGAGTGGCCAGGTGCGATGGAGTAAACTTTGGGAATGACATTTTGGTGACCCAGCACACAACTGCCTGAAATTCCATTTTCATGTGACACTTTTGTATCTGTAACCATCAGGTCTGTTCCCTATGTTTTCTATTCCTTAACTTGGCTACCATTATACCATCACATCTCTTTCCTTTTCTAGTGACTCCCCATTAGACTAGCTCCTATCTCATAACCTCCTTTTGTAATTTAATGGCCCAAAGATTAGCAAATTCCAGAAATTCCTAAAGTAATCCAATTAGCTCAGAACATCATAGAGACTTTTTTTTTTCTTTGCCTCATCCTGGGGTTATTTATCAATGAAAGTGACTTTAGATTAGATAGACACTGGCTGCCACATCGTATCGTTGTGACATCCTGCACTTAACTAAAAGGGCTTGACTTAGGCACCATCTCCTTCTCTCTTGGCAGCTGCTCAGTTAGATGTTTTTGTTTTAACCAAAGGGCAGGACTTCAAATGTGACCCTATTTAACTCCATCTGGTTATATTTTGACCTTATGCTCTTTTTATATCCTGATTCTGTCATCCATTCTCTTAGCTGTCCTTCCCAGCTTGATGTAATAGTATTTTCCCAAACTACACCCTTTTCCATAATAAAGATTGTCACTCCTCCCTCAAGCTTCCTTAAGCAAGCTTTATCATATGTCTGATAGGATCTCTGTTTCTGATTGTACTCAGTATAGATTTGTTTCCTGGCACACATGTATGCACTATGTCACTTAATCACAGTGCCCCTATTAGATTACAAACTCCTGTCACCAAGGGTTTTGTTCCCTCTTTTCAAAGCAGAACTTAAAAGAATTTTGCTTACCTTTAAGCGTGCAGTTCACATCATTGACTTTAACTGGATGGTGGTTGATGGCTGATGGTCAACTAACAAAAAAGGAGTTGAGGAGTTGAGGTTTCAGATATAACAGAAGGATACTTAAGACTTTTAAGGAATAAAAAACTAATTTTTCTTAGCACAATGGTTCAGATGAAAGTAAGGGTGCATCAGAGAAGGCTGTCATTGGTTTATTTGTTATATTCCTAGCTCATGGTGATTGTATGTTAGCCAAATATCTTGCATTTGATTTTAAAACAAATCAGAAGTAGATGACTCAGAAATGTTGACAATAAAATTATGGACAAGCCCCTTGCTACAGCAGCTCTTATTAATTAAATATCTGAGACAGCAGAATTAAAAGAGAAGAAAGTGATATACAATTTGGAAGGTTTGGAAAGCTGGCCATAAAATTATTTCTTTCAGCTGGAGATACCTTACCTACTTATAATATATAAAATTTTTGAAGAAATAAGAATAGGTCTTATTTTACTTTGCAGTGAAGGCTTGAAATATTTGAAAGTTCACTTTATTGCAATAGGATTAAGTACATCAAACTTCATCCATTCTTATCTCTCTCAAATATTAGGAGTATAACTTTCAACTGAACTTCTTTGCCTGCTGTAATATACTGTTCTATAGTGATATTTTAAAATGAATACTTTGTGAACATAGTACTAGAAAAAGGATAGTGTTTTGAATATTTTAATAGCCTTACAGGGTTAAAAAAGGATCTTATAAAAAGTATGTTTAGTACCATTCAATTTTTACAAATTTATGCATTTGCTTATTCATATATGTAAATTTAAAATTTACATATAAGCTTATACTCAGAAAAAGATAAATGTTGTAAACACACTTGCATGCACACACACACCATAACAACCACCATGCCATTCAGTGGTTATTTCAGGGTAAGTAGGATTGCAGAAACTTTTACATATTCACGTTTTGCCTATATTTTCTGTTATAAGCTTTTATTTTGGCATGAGAAGAAAAAAATTTTAAAATTTCCCAAAAACATTCTTTGTAATAGTCAAAAATTAAAATGAACAGTGTCTATCAATAGGAGAATGGCTACACCAACAAAAAAAGTCAAGTAAGAAATAAAATTGGCCAGGCCTGGTGGCTCATGCCTGTAATCCCAGCACTTTGGGAGGCCAAGGCTGGTGGATTGCTTGAGCCCAGGAGTTTGAGACCAGCCTGGGCAATATGGCAAAACACCATATGTACAAAAAATACAAAAAAAATAGCCAAGCATGGTGGCATGCACATGTAGTCCTAGCTACTAGGGTGGCTGAGGTGGGAGGATTGCTTGAGCCTGAGAGGCAGAGGTTGCTGTGAGCCGAGATCACGCCACTGCATTCTAGCCAGGGAGATAGAACAAGACCCTGTCTCAAAAAAATAAAATTAAGCAATGGGAAAAGATTCCTCTTGCTATTTTAAATGTTGATCAACATTCAAATTTTCAGTGGTTTTAGGTAACAAGACATGTCAACCTCCTGAAACAGTAATTGTTGTAGATAATAAGAATATATATGAGTTTGGCTTTACCTGATTTTAAAAGTGGAGAGAAAAGCTGAATTGAAGCAAGCATACAATTATTTTCTAAACATATCCTCTCCAGTTTCAGTGTTTTTTAATCAAACCACCAGGAATGGTGCAGCAGACAATGCCAGTCCATGTCTCCCCCTTCATGGTCCCTTAGTTGTCATTAATGGGTGACTGCAGAGAACCATAGGCATTTGAGGACTTAACAGAGATATGTTTTATATTGAGAGTGGACATAAGCTCCTCATTGCCTCATTGTGGTTTGCACTTCAAACTGCAGCGTGTACTTTTTCTAAGCTCTGTGGTCTGCCTTCCTAGGACTGCTTGCCCTGTACTGTTATTTCAGAATGTTTATCTAGTGAGGAGTGCTGCATTGCTCCATTGTGCATCACAGGGCACAGGAAGCAATGGTATGACATTTTTGCTGCACATCTATTTTTGATTATTCTCAAAAGATGAAAATGTTTATCACTGCAGGGGTGTATTAGTCCATTTTCATGCTGCTATAAAGAACTACTTGAGATATGGTAATTTATAAAGGAAACAGGTTTCATTGACTCACAGTTCTGCATGACTGGAAAGGCTTCAGGAAACTTAAAATCATGGTGGAATGGGAAACAAACACGTTCTTATTCACATGGCGGCAGGGGAGGGAAGTGCAGAGGAAAGGGGGAAAAAGCCCCTTATAGAACTATCAGATCTCCTGAGAAGTCACTCACTATCATGAGAACAGCAGGGGGATCTGCTCCCATGATCTAATCACCTCCCATGAGGTTCCCTCCCCCAAAACATGGGGATTACAATTTGGATTACAATTCGAGATTTGGGTGAGGACACAGAGCCAGACCATATCATTCCACCTTTTGCCCTCCAAAATCTCATCTTTCTCACATTTCAAAACACAATTATGCCTTCCCAAGAGTCTCCCAAAGTCTTGACTCATTTCAGCGTTAACTCAATAGTCCAAGTCCAAAGTCTCGACTGAGACAAGGCAAGTCCCTTCTGTCTATGAGCCTGTAAAAGCAAAAGCAAGTTAATTACTTCCTAGATACAGTGGAGGCACAGGTATTGGGTAAATACACTCATTCCAAATGGGAGAAATTGTCCAGAACAAAGGGGCAACAGGCCCCATGCAAGTCCAAAATCCAATAGGGCAGTCATTAAACATTAAAGTTCCAAAATGATCTCCTTTGACTCCATGTCTTACATCCAGTTCATGCTGTTGCAAGAGTTGGGTCCCCACCACTTTGGCAGCTCCACCCCTGTGGTTTTTCAGGGTACAGTCCCCTCCTGGCTGCTTTCATGGGCTGGCATTGAGTGTCTGCAGCTTTTCCAGGTGCGCAGTGCAAGCTGTTGGTGGAGCTACCATTCTGGGGTCTGGAGGATGGTTGCCCTCTTCTCACAGCTCCACTATGCAGTGCCCCAGTGGGAATTCTGTGTGGGAGCTTGCACCCCACATTTTCCTACTGCACTGCCCCAGCAGAGGTTCTCCACGAGGGCCCCGTCCCTGCAGCAGGCTCTTGCCTGGACATCCAGGCATTTCCATACATCCTCTGAAATCTAGGTGGAGGTTCCCAAACCTCAGTTCTTGACTTCTGTGCACCTGCAGGCCCAACACCACGTGTAAGCTGCTAAGCCTTGAGGCTTGGACCTTCTGAAGCAATGGCCTGAGCTGTATGTTGGCCCCTTTTAGCCATGGTTGGGACTGAAGCAGCTGGGATGCAGGGTTGCACAGAGCAGGGGGACCCTAGGCCCACCCCACAAAATAAAGTCTTTCCTCCTAGGCCTCCAGGCCTGTAATAGGAGGGGCTGCTGTGAAGTCGTCTAACAGGCTCTAGAGACATTTTCCTCATTGTCTTGGTGATTAACATTTGGCATCTCATTACTTATGCAAATTTCTGCAGCTGGCTGGAATTTTCCCCCAGAAAATGGGTTTTTCTTTGCTATTACATCATCAGGCTGCAAATTTCTCAAACTTTTATGGTGTGCTTCCTTTTGAATTTTCTTCCACCAGATACTCTAAATCATCTCTCTAATTCACAGTTCCACAGATCTCTACGGCAGGGACAAAATGCCACCAGCCTCTTTGCTAAAGCATAGCAAGAGTGACCTTTACTCCAGTTTCTAACAAGTTCCTCATCTCCATCTCAGACCAACTCAGCCTGGACGTCATTGTTCGTATCACTATAAGCATTTTGGTCAAAGCCATTCAACAAGTTTCTCAGACGTCCCAAACTTTCCCACATCTTTCTGTCTTCTGAGCCCTCCAAGTCTCTAGGAAGTTGCACATTTTCCCACATTTTCCTGTCTTCTTCTGAGGCCTCCAAACTGTTCCAACCTCTGCCTGTTACCCAGTTCCAAAGTCGCTTCCACATTTTCAGGTATCTGCAGTAGTGCCACACTACTCTCAGTACCAACTGACTGTACTAATCTGTTCTCACACTGCTATAAAGAACTGCCTGAGACTGGGTAATTTGTAAAGGAAACGGGTTTAATTGACTTACAGTTCCACATGACTGGGGAGGCTTCAGGAAACTTACAAACATGGTGGAAGGGGAAGCAAACATGTTCTTCTTCACATGGCAGCAGGAGAGAGAAGTGCAGAGTGGAGGGGAAAAAGCCCCTTATAAAACCATTAGAGCTCCAGAGAAGTCACTCACTATTATTAGAACAGCATGGGGGAATCTGTTCCATGATCTAATCACCTCCCATGAGGACTTTCCCCCAAAACGTGGGGATTACAATTTGCATTACAATTCAAGTTGAGATTTGGTTGAGGACACAGAACCAGACCATATCAAAGAGTTTGCTTTGACAAAAGGAAGTGTATCTTTTTATTTACTTATTTACAAAGCAGCTTATTAAAGTTATTAAATAGTTTTCAAAGGGGCAGCTTTTTTTTCTACTTTCTGTATTAGTAAGCAACCATCTATGATTGTAATACAACTGAGGTCTCCCAAGAGAGAATGTAGCACAAAACAAGGTGTGCTATCTAAACCTGTAAGAAATGTTGTGCAGTGAACCAACTCCAGCACAGATATGGAGCTCTCTCAGAAACAACATAGGAAATTTAGATATGTGAAATTCAAATAGAAATAGAAAACTCAATTTAGAGTTTAGTTTGCGTAATATCTTAGAAATGTTTTCATGGTTCAAAGCTGATATTTGACAATTGTGTTAGATCTATAAAAATTCACAAAACATCCCTATAATTTTCAGATACAAAATGCTAATAAGGATTTTAAAGTTCAATGTGGACCACAGGGCTTCTGCTTTTGCAGGTGTACCTTCATTTACATCCTTTCAGTTGAGGAAGGGTGGGTGTTTGAGAGCAAAATGTATGTATAAGGTAAGAAGAAAAGAGAAATGAGAGAGAGAAGCAGAAGATAGTGAGCCATCAATAATGATATTAGTTGGCATTCATTTCAAAAGCCAACCACCCCAATTTAGAGGATTTGCATTTAGGACTAATTAAATTATAAGCTAATTGAGCAGGGACTGAGTTAAGCCTACTGATAGTGCTTCATAAATATTCATATTAACAATAATACAAGATGTTCCTTTTCAAGGCTAAAAACTTTTTCTAAATGGTGTATACAACTTGTGAGTCTTGGTAAGTCAATGTTGTTGCATTCCTGAATTTTTCTATCCCTTTTAAGGATAATTCTAACTCAAGTGAACCGAAATTTTCCCTGTAGCAGTAGAGGTCCTCTGAAAATTGAGGAAGCTCTCCATGTGTAATGCTCTGAAAATGGCAGACATTTCAGAGTCACATTCTGTATATCATTCATGTGAAATGGCATAGGCAATTTTACTCCTCAAGATTCTTTGCCCAGAATTCGCAATTTAATAAGAACAAGTATTATGAATTGTTGAAGATTCTTCCAGCTCTCTTGGAAATAAAGGGTCTTCTCAAATTGTAGCTTTGGTACATTAATAGTTACTCTGGGGGCCTAAATGAGTTAGTTAATGTGCAGCTTAAACATCTGAGGCACACCCAGAAGTAACTCAGGACTGAGGAATTCACCTTCCCTTGCTACTCAATTGCCGTTTGTGTAAAATAGTGGACAGTGACACTGTTTGTGTGCAGCTAGCAACTGTCTCTAAGTCTTGGGTTTGTTGGAGCATAAAGTGCACTCCAGTGCCCTGAGTATACCTGTAAGGGTATTTACCATGATTCATAAGACTTGTTTTAAAATTCCTCTCCAAATAAACACCCTCTTAAATTTAATTTTCCTCATATTTCTATGTGGTTATTTATAGTTCAAGAACAAGTATTTAAAATATTTAAATGATAGCCATTCAATTAACTATTCCAAATTTTAGTTTTTTTCACCAAGGAGCTGAGCTGATTATCAAATATGCTTTATGTGAACTCTGTTTTGTTTAAAGTGTACTGTATTTTTTAAATTTGTGAACATGGGAAATTATACAATGTTCTATAATAATTTCAAACCTGAGTTTTTTTTAAATCTCAATGAAAGCTGTACCTTATCTGAAATGTAAATTAGTGTAAAAACCCTTTCATTCTCAATAATTGTCGGCTACTATCTTTTTATCTTCATGTTCATCAATAGTAAACATTCAACCTTCAACGGTTAACAAATATTAAGTGTTTACCATGTACCAGACACTTTTCTACATTCTGGGGTGACAGATCTAGAATTACAAGTGTATCAAATATTATAACAGACAGGTGGAAGGTGCTACAGGATCAAATAAGAAGAGGACATAAACTTAACTGTAGAGATGGGTTGGGGAGGGAGGAAGAAGTTAGTGTTAGAACAGGCAACTTTTAAAGAATTAACCAGGAAGTTATGCAATTTGGGGTAAAGTGGGGAAAGAGTGTCAGGAAATGAGGTTGAAACAGATAATATAAGATTTGCTATTTATTCAAAAATAGTTTAGAGGCCAGTAATTGGCTGGGAGAAGAATGGTGCACAGATGGGCAAGTGTTGACCTGCAAGGCCAATTAGAAAGCTGTGTCTATAAGTAAAGGCAAGAGATGAGGATGACCTGGATTAGGAAACAAAAAAATCCTCTCTTTTACCTGCAAAAATAGCTGTTGACTTTGTCTCCCTTCCATACAAGACTTGGGGTCTCCACGTTTCCAGCAAGAGACTGGGCAGTTATACATCTGTTTTTATTTTTACTCTGACCTGACTGCTTTATGCAAGATGGGCCAAGTCTCCCTTATACATCAGGAATGCACTGATGTAAAGACAAGATATCTGCTCCTCCAGCCACCTTTCTTCCAGGTCTATCTGCCTTAATTCCTCTTCCCCCATTCTCAGTGGTGCATCATTCTCTACTGCTGTCCTAGTCCTGCCTCAGTTTTCCATTAGTTTTATTTTGCAGCAGAGATTTTTTTTTTTTTTAGTGATCTCCTATTGTTCCTTAATCACCCTTGAAATATACCTAATTAACCCAAGTAAACCTTCATGATGCATGTCTCTTCATCCTAGGAGTATAAATGATCCTTGTATATCTATAGGAACGTTTCTATTCCAGTCTTTGAAATTGAGGAATTTCATATACATTATATATATATACACACATACAGACACACACACACAACGTGTATATATGTGTATATATGTGTATATATGTATATGTGTGTGTGTATGTGTGCATATACATATTCCATTAGTTATGAACAGCTCTTTTTTATCTCTTAAAAGCAGCAAAATAAAATATTGACATTATTCAGTGAATTGATAGTTGAAATGTAAGGATTTCAGAATGAAAGTTATGTAGTAAATCCTAGCCCTTTCCGAATCCTGATTTCCTAAATCTAACCTATATGGAATTTCTTTTTTTTTTAATAAAGGTTCCATGAAACTTGGCCTCTTTCCTATCATCTTAAATCGTTCTCCTCTTATACTTCTCTTAGTTCTACTTCTTTCACGTGAAATCCATTCTAATGTGAACCTCGGTTTCTCTGAGAGGTGCCTCACCACAATGCCCATGCCTTTCTGCACTTCCCACGTAGATCTTCTTGCCCCAAATACCTACTGTGAGCCTTCTTTCCTCTGTGCCTTTCATTATTCCACTCATCTGAAATTCAGTCGCACCAACTTTTTAAGCACCTTTATCAGGCACTGTGGTCAGTAAGGTTTACAGATGAATAAGGCATGATTGCCAGTCACTGACAACAAATTTGGGGCAGGGAGAACAGCCCCATCCCCATAAATGGTCTCATGTTTCTTTTGTTTGTTTGTTTGTTTTGATAGAATCTCACTCTGTTGCCCAGGCTGGAGTGCAGTGGTGTGATCTTGGCTCACCATAACCTCTGCCTCCCAGGTTCAAGCAATTCTCCTGCCTTAGCCTTCGAAGTAGCTGGGACTACAGGTGCTGGCCACCACACCCAGCTAATTTTTTTGTATTATGAGTAGAGATGAGGTTTACCATGTTGGCCAGGCTGGTCTCAAACTCCTGACCTCAAGTGATCCCCCCACCTCAGCCTCCAAAAAAGCTGGGATTACAGGTGTGAGGTACCGTGTCCTGCCCATAAACAGCCTCATTTATAAACCATAAATACATAAGTGCTGAGATAGAGATTTGTGTGTGTGTGTGTGTATTTGGGGGGTGGTGGATACACTTTGCCCAACAAATCCAATATTGTTTACTACTTCCTGTGCTTCCCACATGACTGTTCTCTCATCTTTCTCTTAAATTAATGGAAATACCCTCCTAACCAGTTTTCCGACTGGTGCTTTTGCCCATCCAGTCTAATCTCATAGCAGAGTTATTCTACAAAAACAGTAATTAGTTCACATCGTGTTGCTCTCTGCTCAAAGCCATCCAATGGCATGCCATCTAGAGTCAAAGTCAAATTCTTGCTATGTCTGTTAAACTTCTACATGATCTATGTCTACCGCCCCTTTCAAGTGACCTGGATCTGACATCTTCTCAAACCACTGTCCGCCTCACCCACTCACTTCTCCACTCTGACTTCACTGGTGTTCCCTGAATGTGCCAAGCATGTTCTGCATCACAGCCTTTGCACTACCTGTTCCCAGTGCTGGGAATTCTCTTCCTCTAAGTATCTGGATGGCTGGTTCCATCCTGCCCTTCAGATCATCGCTCATATGTTACTTTAGCAGTAATCCTTTCCTATTCATGCTTTTTCTTCCACCTTGACGTTCCCTGCTGTATTTTTATTCATAGCACCTATGACCTACTGTATCCTTTGTTATCTGTTTATTGACTGCTTTCATCCAACAAGAATGTAAGCTCTATAAGGGCAAGGGCTTTTTTCTGTTTTTTCACTGTTGTATCCTCTGTGCCTAGAATGGTACCTGTCACATAATAGGTGCTCAATGAATATTTGCTAAAGGATGGAAGGAAGAAGGGAAGAGGAGGAAGGAGGGAGAGAGAGAAAGAGGAAAGTTGAAAGAAGAAAGGAAGGGAAGAAAGATGGTAGGGAAGAAGGAAGGACAGCAGAAAGTCTCATGTTGGCTTTACTAAGTCTCTAACACTTATTAACACCTGCTTTGTCTTATAAACAGAGATAACACCGGCCTGTAGCCTAGTGCCTTTCGAAGGCAACATTATCTGGATAGAAACTAATAAGGTTGTTCTGTTTATGCTGCATTTATGGCAAGAGTTACTGACTTTCCATTTATAGTTGTGATATAAAGTTTCTTCTTTAAATGAAGACATTTTATTTCAGTTTTTAAAAAACTAGTCTATTACAGAATTTTTAAAATTAATAATAGTATATAGGGGATGCAGAAACAACAAAAATCATGATGTAGAAATGTGGATATGGCAGAATCATGAAGCTGGTAGTCGAATGCCTGAATTGGGGATAAGTGACCCCTTCAGCCATGAAACATTCCCTGACTATTGCCATCTTCCCCTCTTTCATTCCTGTTGTTTATTCGACTCCTGTACACTATCATGGGTTGAACTGAAACCATTTGGTATTGCTCACTGTTGTTTTGGGTGTTTTAGTTCTATCTTCCTAAATTGATATAAGATCCTTGATGTGAGTGCTCATGTCCTGCCCCCCTCCTCCTGGGCAGCCACCATAGTGCACAGCCCAGCACTGACAAAACAGAACATTAAGGATGTTTGCTTGTTGTATTCATCATGACTCAGCTACACAATAAGACATGAGGTTAAATAGTGTGCAGACAGTAAAAATACTCGAGCGTGCTTTATTTTTTTTTTTAGCAAAAGAAATACAATAGCAAACATCATTTTGCCTTGCAAACTGGCAAAATGAAATCACTATTTTTGCCACTGGTGTAAATTTTATACACACACACACACACACACACACACACAAACACACAAGTACATACATATATACTTATTCAATCTGGTAGGATAAATTAATCACTAGGACAAAACCATGAGTTAATAGGAGCCAAATTCCAGCACATCCAATTGGAATGCTTGAGAATTAAACCTGCTAAAAATACTGACTGGAATAGGAAGACATTCATAAAACGATTAGGCACATTTTAGTGGAAGTCAGCAACAACAAATAATTAATTGATTTAACTAATAAATTTAGATATTTAAATTGTCAAGGAATTCTTTGTTCTTCTGTTTTATAAATGGTATTAGCATTATCTTTTTTACTGGAAACTTTAAAGGTGTAAAATACTGTCAAGAGCAAAAGCAACTTAGATTGCCTGTAATGACCATTACATTGACACCATTTTTTGCAGTATGATTTGCTATTAAATGTGAATAACGTGAAGAACAATAACACTCCTAGATCACCTGCTATGAACCAGGCACTGCTCTAAATAGCTCAGGTATTTTAACTCATGTAACTGCTACAACCCTATGAAATATATCCTCCTTTCAGCTTCATTTTACTAGTGAGGAAACCAAAGCTCAATGAGGCTCTGTTAAGTTACCCCAGGTCACACAGCTAGTAAGTGTCTGAGCTGGGTGTTAGTGCACAGTGATCTAGCACCCAAGTCCATATACTTAAACACTACCTTTGAATGCTGCTCTGTACCCTATATAAGGAAGCTGTGGCCCAAATAGGCAAACCTGTGACAAACGAATCCTAGAGTCTAAAACAAAGGTTGAAAGGTGACTGTAAAAGTAGGCATTTGATCTTTAAAAACCAGGTGAATTTGACCTGCCATTCTTGACGGCATTAGTAAACATTACATTTCTTATAATTTACATTAAAAATCTAATACTTCGTTTACAAAAAAAGACTTTCAAAGAATATGCATGCATTTTATGCAAGGTTAAAGAAGTTTTCAGTGCTGGCTAGTGAAATGGGGGTTAGATGCCCTGTCTATACTACATGTTTAATCAATGTAATCTTAAAATGAGATGACCTTGTAGCCAAGCATTTTTTCTTTCCTTTATAAGCAATATTAACTATATTAAATCAAGAAAGCTAATAGTTTTTCGTATTTCTCAATAACCATTAAGTTCAAACATTGGAAGAGTTTAATATTTTACATGAAAAATCCACAGGCAATAATTTTAAGTGACTTAGAAAATATTTACCGTATTTTAACCTTAAATGACTGTGTATGTGTGTGTGTGTGCCTATGTGTGTGCCTATGTATGTGTATGTATGTTTATAATCTAGTAGTTCTCAAGGAGTATTGGAGAAAGAATATGTGATCACATGTAGTTTATAAAAGCTCTCGTGTTTTTTGAAAGACAAATTTTTTGTCAATCTAGTGGTAACATGATACTAATTTTTTAATTAATTTTAATTTCCCTGATAATACATTTAAGCCTTAAAAATATTGTTAGTGATTCATGTTTCTTTTTCTATAAAAATTATTTCTAAGCCTTCCTCAAATTTCTTCCAGACTCTTTTTTCTGATTGATTTTTAAGAATTTTAAAAATATTCTGCAATTTCTCTTGATCACAACAAGTGTTGGAAATATCTTCTCCCGAAGAAAAGAATGATTCTTAAAAAAATACTTTAGTAGCAGTTTTTTTCTATGAAAAAATTAGAAGTAGCTTTTTCTTGGCAGCGTTTTCTTCTAGAGCAATAGGGAGGAAAACAGAAAGCTGTAGACTGTTATCTTCGTCCATACATATGTTAGTGCTGGAACTCAACTCCAAAAACTTTGTTCCTTTGAAAATCATATCCCTCCAGAATTGGTGGAGTGGTGATGGTGTGGTGTTGAAGGCCTATTGCCAGGACTGAGAAGGAAAAGCTAAAGAAAGAGGGAAAAAAAATCCAGAGAAAGTGACTGCCTGGGGAGGAGGGATAGGCAAGAGACCAAACATCGATTCTAAAGGGAATCTTGCAAATGCTCTGGCAAGTCTATGTATGGGAACATCATTTGCCTAGAAGATGCTCCCCTTTACTCCCTTTTTCCCTATTGGGCTGGTTTAGAGGTCAATAAACTTAATTATTTTACATCTAGTAATGTCCCAGATGATATAAAATGTCATTGTTTTCATTCTATCATATAGTTCATGAATCACAGTTAAAATAATGTTTCCCTTCTAAAAATTTTTCAAGTTTTTTATTTCACCGTAAAGTTCTTTTACATATGGAATTGAATTCTGTGTGCAGTGTGAGAAGAAATCCACTTTTGTATGTTTCCCATATGGCTAACTAGTTATTTCCACACCATCGATTGACTGATCCATCATTTTTCCACTGACTGGTAGTGTTACCTTTGACACGCATCAGTACAGTTGGTCTGCTTTACCTTTCTAGCTATAATTGTGGCGTATCCCTCTATTAATTGCCTCCTTTAGTGTTATTCAGTGCATTTTATACATTTTGTTACGAAGATCTTATACATTTTTTATTCACATCCACTGTAGACTTCTGTTGCTATTACAAAATGGCAACAATTTTCAGTTATATTTTCCAAATGCTTGCTGCAGCTATATCCAAATCTAATAATTTTTATATCGAACAAATATTTAGAAACTTTTCAAACTTTGATGTACTTTTAATGATGTTTCTTCTGATTCTTTTAGGTATTCTTTGTAGACAATCGTATCATCTGTGAATAACAAAAATTTGTTTCTTCCATTCCAATTTTTATACTCTATATTTTATACCACTTTTTAAAATGATTTATTGACTGGCTGCACGGATGCTTCTCTGACTTTAAAATATGAATCCCTGAGGGATCCTTTTAAAAGGAAGATCTTGGTTCAGTGGTAGGTCAGGCACTGAGAACCTGCATTTCTAACAAGCTCCCAGGTGACAGTGAGGACACTTGTCCAAAAAAAGCAATGCTTTCAAAAGACTGTTAAATAGAAATGGAGAGAACAAGCATTCTTTACTTGTGTCTACAATTAAAGAGCATGCTTCCACATTTCACCATCAAGATTAGATATCTTTGATTAGTTTTGGTAACTTCCTCCTATTCCAAATTTGCCATACATTTTTATCGTGAATGGTTGTTTAGTTGAATAATTTTCTGTGGTTTTTCCCCTTTAATCTCTTAACATTGTGAATTATTAGAACATCTCATGTTTAAAGCCTTTCATGCCATATGCACACAAATATACATACACATATAGGTACATAGAAAAATATGTATTTATTGCTGCTTTATTTGCTAACATTTGGTTTAGACTTTTTAACCTGTCTTTATGATTCAGATTGGCTTCATGTAATCCTTGAGGATTCTTAATGTTTTTAAGTTTCATTATAGAATGAATTAGGTGTATACCCTCTTATTCTAAGCTCTTTACATGGAACTCACTTTTATACTAGTTTTTGAGACACACTCTGTTATAATCAGCATCTTACTGATGAAGAAACAGAGGTACATGGAGGTTAAATAACTAGCCCAAAGTCACATAGCTAGTAAGTGATAAAATTCGTTGGTTTTTGTCTGTTGAACAATGAAGAGAATGGTTTCCTAAAATTTGTTTTGTTTAGTCACTGATTCACTAGTTCAATCTTAAATGTAATTCAGTAGTTCAGTCCTAGAAACAGTTTTCAAAGCCACTAAAAACAGATTTAGATCCTAGTGAGGTAAAAATAAATAAATAAATAAAATGATTTTGAGGCCACTGAGAAAAGTGGGGCCCCTAGTAATTTGTAACAGCCTCCCACTCCCTATCAAGAGGAGGTGGTAGACCGAGATTCTAAATTGAAAAATGAAGGCCGGGTGCGGTGGCTCACGCCTGTAATCCCAGTGCTTTGGGAGGCCGAGGCGGGTGGATCACAAAATCAGGAGATCGAGACCATCCTGGCTAACACGGTGAAACCCTGTCTCTACTAAAAATACGAAAAATTAGCTGGGCGTGGTGGCGGGCGCCTGTAGTCCCAGCTACTCGGGAGGCTGAGGCAGGAGAATGGTGTGAACCCGGGAGGCGGAGCATGCAGTGAGCCGAGATCGCACCACTGCACTCCAGCCTGAGCGACAGAGCAAGACTCTGTCTCAAAAAAAAAAAAAAAGAAAAATGTAAACACTTACCTTGGCTTTGTCACTTAATGGCCTATGTCAAAAGCTTAATTTGCTTCATGATTTCATTTAAAGTGTATACCTTTCACTGAATTCTGCAGTGATTTAGCATAATTCACTAATAGGTATATGCCTATCATTTTCATAACCTTTCAGGAAATCATTTGGCCCTAGTATACTGACTTTCGCTCTAAGTTTTCCTTTATACCTGAATCTCAATCTCTCTTACTGAGATTTAAACCTGTATCTTTACAGCGAACTTCAGAAACATGGGAAAGACTGTCATTATCCTTCATGAAATCCTGTGGTCCACAATGAAGCGTGTTTATTTTGTTACCACTCAGTTTGATTTCTTTCACATTGTTTCATGGTTTTTCTTAAATTCTTACTTACTCTTTAGCATGTGGAAGTACTGCCTTTCAATGTAAGACATTTTACTTTAACAATTCAAAGAGATTTTTTTTTCTATGCTACGTAGATATTAGGGTACAGAAGAAAATACAGGAGACATTAGCCTGCTCATGAAGGTTATGAACTGCACAAATCATGTAGTCTTTTACAGGTTTAATTGCCTCATTTGTGAAAGGAGGTTGAACTAGGCAGTCTCTCACCTCTCTGTCAGCTCTGATGTTAAAGGATTTTGTTCATCCTTACAATGTTTTCTCATTAAAGCTCAAATATGCATAATTAATGTAATGCATTATTTTTTAGGAGATTGAAAACCTATCATCTAGATGATGTGCTAACCTGATTTTTGTCAATATCATTCTTGATTCTGTTTTTATATCTCAATATGATACAGAGTTGCAAAATATTTCTAAGCTTTGATCATTCTTTTGGGCATATTCCTGTAGATAATTTTGAAATGATATATTTAGTGGAGAAAATGTAAAAATAATATTAAATCCTTCTAAGAAAAAACAAATGTATTAATAATTAAATAGCTGCACTGTAAACCAATATTCACTATTCAATCATTGATTACCAAAAAGATAGCGGCATGAAAAACCTCTATATTTTTATCTCATGGTTTAAGATGAATATTTTGCCCTTCATATTTATCATTTTTTAAAAAAGAACACATTTAGACTTTGAAAACGATATGTAATGTGCTTCTACATTAATGGGAAAAACAACCTAAACTGTATAGTCAAATAAAATATTGGAATCTTATACCTTGACATATTTTTTTAAACTAGACATCATCTAATTTCTTTTCAAAAATAGAAATAACTTTTTATCTTTGTCCTTGGTATTACTTTATACTTGTCTGTTCAGTGGCATTGCTATTCTGTGATAAGATTTTATTACAGAAAATGTCTCTATCTGTACTTGAACATTAGTCTAATTTTTTTTACAAATGTTCCTTGATTTGACATCTGTCAACTGATTTCTGAGTTAATATTATCTTTTCAGTTTCCATTCCTTTGAAATAGGAAATCCAATATTAAACCCTTCAATAAAGATGAACCCTACATCTGTATATCCAGAATTTTGGTTTGATAAAACCAAAACTGATAAGTTCAATGGGGTTAAACATTCTTGAAGTAAAATTGGAGAGACATTTGAACACCTTTACCCCAAGTTCATTCATCTATTCATCTTCTCTTTAATTAAGTCTGTTTGAAAAAAGCTTTCATTGATTGTTAGCTTCCTGGAATATGTCCTAAATATCATAAGGCATATGGAGCTCCATGACTCCTCAGAAAAGAGCACGTTGATTGATCAGTGATTCTGCATTAGACATGCGTGCTACAAGTTTGATTTGACTGACCCAGAGAGGAATATAACCTTAATGGAAACAGAGAAAATATCTTCATGTCACTTGGCTTAGCCTGCTCCTTTCAGGGGATAAGTTGCCACAGCATTCAAAAGGGTGTAGTCTATGAATATTTTTAGAATCTCTAAAGATGAGGATTTTACAACATGGTATTCAACAGCAGAGTTTAATTTTTCTTTTTTCTCACTTAACACTGAGTCATTAACAGTTGAGACATTTTACATGACTGTGAGCAGTTGAGCACAAAAACCAGATGTTAAGATTGGGTACAGTCAAAAGTTTAGACATCCACACCTGTGTTATGTTTTGTTTATGTTCTGGAGCGCCAAACTTTGTTACATCTTTGAACCCACTTCAGACCTCAAATTACCACATTTTTTAAAAGCCTCATTAGAATGGTATCATATAGTGCTGAATCCATAGAACAGAAATTCAGTGTTTTCAGATTGCTAATCATGTATGAAAGTTTCTGAAATCATATTGTCCAACGGGCTGTAACTTGGCCTATTCTTCTATCTCCTAAGGAAATTGAATTGACTGGACACTGTTCATTATAAAGATACAGCAGGTACTTCCTTGTAACCTGTGCTCTTCTATATATTTTGAAAATTATTATTCATTTTCATATTTATCAAAGTGAAAAAAGCAACATAGCTACTCTACTTATATAGCTCATTTTAAGGAATTTTATACTTGTTTTCTAGTTTTGTGAATTTCTTATGAATTCACAAAAATAATGTAAAAGCTAATGGTCTGTCCCTGCTACCATTGTGCATATTAGTCAACAAGTACAAGTAGAATATTTAAAAGATTTATTAGTTCCTAATTATATATAGAAAAAGACTTTGAAAATTACTTAAGCCATGATTCTACCAAGATGTAACCACTTTTATTTTCTTTTTTCCTTCCCAATGTTGACTGGTTATATGCATATTAATGGAGCTATAATAATAATTGTATACTTTTTATCTTACTTTCTAAACCACATTATTATTCCTTAAATATTGCTCTTTCTTCTGACACAGTCTTCTCATGTATCATTTTGATTACTACATAATATTCTGACTTAATCGAAACTTTTTGTATTTTTTGATGTTCAAGCTTCTTTTCTCATTTGTTACTATTAGAAATGATGGCTCTAGAAACATCCTTAGAAGTTTTCCTTATCTTTTAAATTAAACTGCTTTTATTTTACTAAAATAATCTTTAAGAACTGGGATTACTAGGTCAAATTCTACAATCATATTTGTGTCCCCTGTCATTTTGTAACCAAAAAGATGCTATTTGAGTAAGACCTGCTTGATAACTTACTTATTAATCTTATTTTATTTTGTCTTGCATCACAAATGAGTCAAATTCTATTTTTCTCTAATTAAATCTTACGATCACCGGTACTTGGATTTAAGTTTTACAGTGAAACAGAAAGAATTTTAAAAAACGGTTTAAGTAGGAGAAATTATATTTTCAGATCTCCTTGCCTATCTGCTGGAATCACTAGTGCCACCACTTTTCACTGGTGCTCCTTTTGCTTCACTTAACTAAAGAGTTTTCACTCAGACCCTTATGATTTCTCCAAGATGCATTACATTTTCCTGCTGTTTCCATATACCTGGGAAATAGTTCTTTCATTTACATCTTCTGTCTCTATATTTTTCCAGGTAAGTCATGCCTCCTTTAAATTTTTACTATTTTTTATCTATGTCTGTCTATCTCTACTAAGATGTTCTCTACCTTTGTTTCTGTCTACCTAACTAGCTAGCTACCTACCTACCTATCTGGAACTCTACCTCTGTCTCTTATACTATGCCCATTCTTCTCTTTTCTCTTTAAAATTTTTTTGTTGCTGTTTTCTCTTTTCCTCTATTTCTGTATCTCGTTTGTGTCAAATTGCCAGACTACTTAATTAGTATATTCATGTTTGTTTTTGAATTTCTATTACTGTATTTTCTCTTATTAGTATTTGTTTTTATAATTATTATTTTCCTTTACTTTTTTGTGTTTATTTTCCTATTTTTTCTAAGTAAGTTGCTTTGTGCATTGAGTTTTAGCCTTTATTTCTAATACAGTGATTTAATTCTATTGCTTTAGTGACAATCCCATATATTTGATGCATAATATATTTATTATTAAGTTTTAAGTATTTTATAAATCCCTTTGATTTCTTCTCTCACTCAAGTGTTATTTAGAAGTACTTTTTAAATGTTTTCCAAAGGAATGAGTTTTTAAATAAATACATTGTTATTAATTTCTAATTTTGTTCATCTTTAACAGAAGAGATATTTGTATAGTACCTATTCTTTGACATTGTTGAAACTAAACTGAAAATATTAGTTAATTCATGAACACTGGATTAATTATAATTATAATATTCAAAAAATATAATTATATTCAAAAGTATAATTATATATAAGTTTATATAATTTATAAAGTTTATAATATAAACCTATATTTTATATATTTATAACTTAATATAAAATTATAAAGTTTATAATATAATTATAATATTCAAAAATATTAATTTAGGCTTCCTATTTATCCTGCTTTCTAATGTTTGTTTTCTTTTCACGTCTTTTCTGGCATTATTTTAGATCAAAGTGATTTCCTCCCTTTTCTCATTGTATTTTTCCTTCTAGTTTGTAAGTTTTAAACTCTAATTCTATTATTTTAATAATAACCCTAAAAAATTTTCCAAATATGTAACTTAAGGCTGAAGTTAAATAATATCTTTACCCTTTTACTGTCCTCCTGAGAAAATACAAAAGAATAGATTTTTGTTCTCTTCATATTTGTATTACATTGTAGACATTATCATTATTATTATAGTTGTAGTAAGTCATCTTTGGTGAACATTTTCTAACACATTTTCCATTTTCTTTGCTCAGCATTTTTTTTTTTTTTGCATCTGAGACCATCCTTTTTATTTAAAAATGTCTTTTAGAAGTTTCTCTAGTGACTCTCCAATAGTAGGGAATTCTCTTCATGTGTGGTTTTCTTACTATCTTATTTTGTGCTTAGACTTGGAAGGTAGTTTTGTTGTGTATGCATTACTGGGTTGACAACTACTTCTCTTCACCTCTTTAAATACGATACTACCTTGTCTTTTGAGAAATCACTTTTCAGTCTGACCAGTGTTACTTTTTTCTTTTTGGGTGCTTTGAAATTCTTATTTTTATCTTTGTTGTTGTGCAATTTCACTCTAATGAATCCAGAAGTTGAGTTTTTCAAAAGTTTACTTAAAATGTATTGGTATTCCTAAATATGAGTGTTGGTGTCTTTTATTTATTTTGGAAAATTCTTAGCTATTATTGTTTCAAATATTGCCTCGTTGCCATTCCTTTTAATCTATCCCAACCCTAGTAAGACTTATGTTGGCCCCACTCTGTCATTCACCTATCTTAACCTTGCTTTCATATTTTCCACTTCTTTTTCTACTGCATTCTGAATGTTTCATTCATATATGTTTTCTGGCTCACTAATTCAACCTTCAGTAGAGTCTAATTTGTTGTTTCACCTGTTTGTTGAGTTTCTAATTTCAGTTATTAGACATTCAATTTTAGAAGTTCTATTGGTCTTTATTCTAAATATGTGTGTTGATTTTTATTGTCTTTTGCTCATTTACTAAATTTTTTATCATTTCTTTAAACAGCTTAAATATTTTTTTTTATTTTAGTTCCTTGATAGTTCCAATATCTGTAATCTTGTTGGTCTACCTGTGCAGTTTATTCCACTGATTGTCTCTCAGGCAAGTTTATTTTTTTTATGCATTTTCTATATTTTTTTACATATGTGAGCTCATACTCTTTAGTATTTTATCTCTGGAAATTATCTGTGTTGAAAGTGTATTTTTCGAAAGAGGATTTGCTTATAATTTAAGTAACTGCATGTCTGCTAACTATAGATTTACTTTAAATGAAATGTTCAACTTTTGGGCCACGCAAATATCCAATGCCATATTACATATCGCAAGTATACACTTGTGATTAGAAATTTTTGAAAGAAATATTTGTTTTAAATATGCTGCCTGAAACCAAGACAAGTCTTGTTCTGCATGAAAGATTGTAGCATGCCTAGTTATAGGTATTGACTTTTGGGTATAAGACTTTCTGTGAAGTCTGAATGTGAGTTCTTTCTCTGTTTAGGCCCCTTGTTTAGATTCTTGCCCTGGAACCCAAAGAATTGGTAAATGCCTTCAGGAAAAAAACAAAAAAACAAACAAAGCAAAAAACAATTCTAGTACTTAGTTATCCCTGTGGGACCAAGCTTTCTTAATTTCAAGCCTCAAAAACTTTTAATTTAATGATTTAAAGCAATCATCCAGTATAATTTTAGAGCAAATTTTGTTGAATTATACCATAAGAGGAAAAAGCACACAAACCTAAATGTAAAATGTGGTAAATTTCCATGAAGATAACATACCCATGTAAGCAGCAATTAGATTAATAGGCAGTATATTGCTAAGCTGTAGAAGCCCCCATTTGTGTACCTTTCAGATTCTGCCCCCACCCCAGAGTAACTACTATTGTGATTTCTAAGATAATATTCATATTATTTACCAAAGAGAGTGTGTTCTTTGTTCTCTAGCTTCTTTTCCTCAACACTGTATTTGGAAAAGTTATCTTTCTTTTTTCTTTTCTTTTCTTTTTTTTTTTTTTTTTTTGAGACAGGGTATTGCTCTGTCACCCAGGCTGTAGTACAGTACCATAGTCATAACTCATTGCAGCCTCAAACTCCTGGGCTCAAGCAGTCCTCCTGCCTCAGCCTCCCAAGTAGCTAGGACTACAGACATATGACACCACACCTGGCTAATTTTATTTTATTTTTTTGTATAGACTGGGTCTCGCTTTGTTGCCCAGGCTAGACTCAAACTCCTGGGCCTAAAGGAACATTTGTCTTTATATATGTAGTTGTAGTTCATTTTCATCTTCATACAAATATGTTATAAATTATTTATTCATTTTATTGTTTTGTTTTGTTTTGTTTTGTTTTGTTTGAGAAAGAGTTCCACTGCTTTGCCCAGGCTGGAGTGCAGTGGCACGAACTCGTCTCACTGCAGCCTCTGCCTCCAGGGTTCAAGCAATTCTCCTGCCTCAGCCTCCTAAGTAGTTGGGTCTACAGGCACCTGCCACTACACACGGCTAATTTTTGTATTTTTAGTAGAGATGGGGTTTTGCCATTTTGGCCGGGCTGGTCACGAACTCCTCATCTCAAATGATCCACCTGCCTCAGTCTGCCAAAGTGCTGGGATTACAGGTGTGAGCCACTGTGCCTGGCCCATTTTATTATTGGTAAATATTTGTTTTATTTTTATTTGAAACTATTACAAATCATGCTGCTATGAACATTACTGTATACATCTTTTTGTATAATGCATATATATTTCTGATGGGTATATAGCCAGAAGTGGAATTGCTTGATTATGAGGCATGCATTTTTTGAAGACTGACAGACAGTTTTCTCAAGTAGCTTCTTCAATTTAGATTCCAACCAATATTCTCTATTTTCTAAGAGCTCCACATTCTTGTCAACACTTCGTATTATCTTTTTCATTTTAACCATTCTAGTTGAGTAATATGTAGTGTTATTTCATTGTAATTTTAATTTTCACTTCACTGATGTCTAGTGATTCTGTGCATTAATTTTTTTTTCTGGACTTTTGAAGTGTTCTGTATGGGAAACTATTCCTCCATTTAGCTAGCTATTTTGCTGGAAATTATTGTATAAAATATCATCTCATAATTTAACAGTATATTCCTTCTTCTCTTCAAATTTTTATTAAAATAATTTTTCAGTACTCTTGAAGTCAACTTTTAATTTGTCCAACCTGTCTTTGAGCTCCCCCTGCTGTTTTCTATTTAAACTATATACCTGTTGATTATGCATAATTTTCTTTAAAATGATGGATTCTTAGCCAATAAGCTATTTTAAGCAGAAGCATTTTTTTTGCCAAAGACTAAGGGTATAAAATAAATTTAAATGCTAACTCAGGATATAAGAATTATTAAAATTAATGCTTGAAAACTAGTATGTTACATATGGGAAATCTGTATACCTTCATAATTTCACTGTGAATCTCACTCCTCTAAAAAATGAAGTCTTGAAAAGTTAGTATTTTAAAATACTTACCTTACTTGTAATGTGAAACCATTTATATTAATTTAGCAAATCAATGTTTCAAATTATTAACAACTAGACAAACTACTGAGCCATATGTTAGGTATATTGTAAGCATGTTGAAGTCAACAACATGACTTCTACACTTTCTACTTTCTCACGGTTCCCAGAATATCTATTTTGACATAATTATTGAAAAAAAATTAAAAGCATTTATTCCATTGTCTTGCTACATCTAAATTCATGGTGTTATGTTTCTTTAGGGCAATGGAGCTGAAATGAATAATGGATACCATGTAGTGTTTTTATATATTTCATCTATGAGCTATGACAGATATCTCCCTACATTCCAGCAGAAAAAAAAATGTGCTTCTTTCCTAAGCTTGCCAGCTATAAAGGCCTATTAGACATTCAGAGATTATCAGGAAGCAAAAAGCTTCATAGTCTTAACAACGTAAATCTGAAGTCTTAGAATGAGTTCATTAGAATATAGACATTGAATATGAGGTAAGTCTGAGTTGAAATTCTATCTCTGACAACTGCTGGATCTGTTTTTGGTTTCCAATAGTAAAATGGCACTAATAATGATATATGCAAAATGTAAAATGCTTAGCACAGTGCTTGGCACATAGTAGATTCTAAGCTGTAGTTTAAACAGCTATTGTGCTATGAATAAGCCATACGTTGACATTTTCCCTCTTGAGAATGTGCTATTTAAGTGTAGAAAACCTGCTTTCCCCTGTCCGTGTGAATTTCCTTAACATTCATCTTGGAAATGATACCACATACCCTTATATTGATGCACTGCAAGAGGCCAATCTAATGTAGGCATAAAAAGAGTAATCTGGTAATCTGCTCTTCTCAGCACCCTCTGCTAATAATGCTGTTTGAACAAATTCTAGAAAGACTGTTGATGCCAGAGCCAACTCAGAATTAGGCAGGTGAATGTTTTCAACTTCTGCTAATAATAACATCAGTTCTGTACTCTCCTCTGGGTTCTTTTTGCTGTATTAAAGCTGCAGTTCCCTTAGGTTAGCTTCTATGCATAACCTGGGAATGCATATTTTAGCTTTTTACTTCCCTCCCAAAGAAAGGAGCAGAAGAGGAGAACCAAATAGCCAAGATCTAGAAGATGAAACTGTTGTATCCATTGTGTGGATTCAGATAAGCCTCCACCCAAAATATGGTTCAAATGTTAAGACTAATGAGCAGCCCTACACTTCTCTCTCTCTCACTTTCACACACACACATACACAAACACACGCGCACGCACACACACACACACACACACACACACACACACACACATATACCCCTACCAAGAAAGTATGAAAGTATGTATTACTTATAAAATTATGAGGTTTTTCTGGGGAGAGCAGAGCAGGCCTCCCAAGAAGGTCTGAAGTAGCTTGAGAGAGCAGGGGGAAAATGACTGGTTTGAGATTTTATGACTTTTAGTGGGTGAGGCCATGCTGAGAGTTTTGTGTGGGTGGACTCTGGTGTGGTTTGAATTTCCCACCATCACCAAAGGAGAGAACACATGGGCTTTCTTAACAGTTTTCCCAAATGTAGGACAGAGGGGAAGAGAGAGGTATAACACTTTAAAGCTATCAGCAATGACACATCAAAAAATGGACATAGATTTTTTATTACAGAAATTAAATTGTATGAGAACAGAAATGAATCCCGGTGCTACACAGCTGATGTTTCCTAGGAATGAGAACTAGGGTAACTTTTTTAAAGCACGTGTTTATATTGATTGGTACATACTAGTTAGCCAAATTTAACTGGGTTGAGATGGTGGACTTTCCTTTTGAACCTCAGTTATGCAAATTGTAAGAATTGTGTTTCCTTCAAATTACTCAAAATAATATTGAATTTCTTACAAATGCAAAATGAATTGTGGCTTAATGTGCATATGTATATAACAGATACTTTGTTCAACTATATTATGAAATACTATAGTATGTAACTTTCTTAAATAAACAGGATGACAAATCAGTGTTAGGATTCAAATGGGCCCTATATTACTCTGTATCTCTCATAGGCCAAGTGTTAATTCTGGTACACATGACATTTAGCACATGCTATTACATTTATTGATTGCATATTTTTATCTGTTATCTTTTGGTTCATTCTACAAGGATTCTTCAAAAGAAATCAAGTAATCCTAGACCCCAATATATAAAAGAAACCAACTCATCCTAGACCCAATATATAAAAGTAAATGACATTTTGTTCTTGTCTTAATAAGTTCACAGTATTTCAGGAAACATGGGAATACAGAATAACAGATAAGAAATATTATAAGACTTCTAGTAGAGAAATATGCTTAAAATCATATGTATGTTCCTTTACACCTAAGAACCTTTAGATATAAATGCATTTTAACTG
The DNA here is from genome assembly GCF_000001405.40 of Homo sapiens. Lineage (NCBI taxonomy): Eukaryota > Metazoa > Chordata > Mammalia > Primates > Hominidae > Homo > Homo sapiens. The sequence continues at coordinate 59,503,816 of NC_000005.10, read as the reverse complement.
TTCTGGAGAGTTCCAACTCCAAAATAGCCTTTGTTCATATCAAGAAAGTAAACCACCTTCTATTTCAGGTGGGCTTACTCACCATACCTGGGGCCACATTACTGTCCCAGCTCACTGAAAGGTCATAATCCAGGATGAAACCAAACTTGAAAATTATAGTGAAACACAGTAGAATAATTTAGAAGCATATACTTTGATGTTTTTAGAAAGTAAGGAAATAAAACTTTAATTGAACTTGGAATAAACTCAGTTCTGAGCATTCCATTCTACTCTGCAGTTGTCATTTATAGACAGCTGTGGATCATAATACCTATAGACTAGATATCGTTATCTACTTATTTATATTAATGACAGGATATCCCTGGGCAAACAGCATCACCACTGTACTGTGTATTCTTGGTTGTCATGGGAACCTTTGCTGTGAACCAGCAGTGAGAGCACTTCCATTGAATAAAGCTGCCTCTGGATAGCCATGAGTTGCATGAAGTTATTTTACTAATTTTATTTGCCTTTTACTTGAAAGCATAAGTTTCTGAGGATGTAATTACAGTTTCCCCTATATTTCTACAGAAGTAGTTATAGATGATGGACCTCCTGAACTTTTATCACTTTGCCATACTCTGTAAAATTACCTAAGAGCTCCAGAGCATGAAATTAACACTCAGGAATATTGTAGCCTAACCTTTTTTGCTACTCTGAATAATACTGAATTGAAGGGTCTTCCACAGCAAGCCCTCTTTAAATTATGCTTTCTGATGCTTTACCTAAGGCTATACACTTGTCTTTAGATTCTTCTAGATTATTTTCTCCTAATACAGAACTTAGCATTTAAATGACAATTTTAAAAATTGAGATCAACTCTTCAAAAGAAATCAAGTAAAAGCAATTTCAGCAAAAAAAAAAAAAAAGCCTTCTAATCTCCTACAAAACACCTCTATCCTATCAAGATATTGTGATTGAGAATTAGAAATAGTGTGGAATCAGATGTTAGTTTGTCCTTTCCTTTTCACTGGAATTTCTCCATGCTTTAATTTTTATATCAAGAAAAACAATTCTTGCAATATTCCCTAAGGAGAGTTTTACAAAAAAAGAGATAAAACAAACTACACACACACACACACACACACACACACACACACACACACACACACACTACCTTAAGGAATAAAGAAATTATCTGAGTGGAAAATAATGGTGCTTTCAATTTTCCTAATTGAATTAAAATAATTATCTAAGTCTTTTTGATCTTGTCCCAAAGTGAATAAAATGTCTTTTTTTAAATTTATGTTTCATTAGATATATCTCCATCTTTTCAGTATTCACCCCAAGTTTTAATTGGGTAGAAGAATATGGAAGAAATTCCTATTGCTCAGACACCATGTTTAAAGCTTTCTGAATGTGATCTAATACCTCCATTGGTTGGAGGTAATTAAACAGAGATCTGTTCTTTTAAACAACTATTTGAGTGCTTTAAATCTGAAAGTCATGTCATAAATGTCAGACCTCTTTCTCTTTGCTTTAATCATCTCAGAAAGACTTATCTGTTAATGGAACATCTGCATATAGGTATTTTGTTGACCACAGGTGTTCCACATAAGTTTAATCTACCTATTAGTTATATGTTCATGCTATTGAGGACCTTTCAATAATAAACTTTACTGAGTGCTTACTCTCTTCTAAGAGTAATGCACTATGCTAGGAGACAGGAGGGATATAAAGGTAAAGAAACCATGGCATGAATCTTTAGGGAGATTATAATTTAGTGGAGAACACTAGTGAAAGGAGGCAAAGGAATTAATAGAACAAGACAGTTTCTCTGAGTCTCCAAAGGCACTGTAAAAATTCCTGGGGAAACTGCAAGCAAGAGCAAAATGTTAGCTATCATAAACATTCTCATGCATCTTCAGGTTTTATCTTCATCCATAAATTTACCCATTAAATTTAGACATTCTACTATCTATTCCACTTGACATTCCAATTAGCAGCTCAGCCTCAGCCTATCAATATGAATGCACATCGCTTCCCTGTTCTCTTGCTGTGCCAGTCTTTCCCCAGTGTAGTTAGGTAGTGTCTCCAATCAGTCACCATCACCATACTGTGCTGATTTTATATTCTGAATATTTTTTAAGCTTTTTCCTTTTTATCAATTGACTACACTAGTTTAGATCTTCATCATATTATTGTACACAACTGCTGGGTTTTTTCTGTCTGGAAAGTCTATTTTCCTCTTTCCTCCCCAGCTGCCTCTTTCTTCTGCCTCTGGATGCATTTCCTCATTTTCCTGCCTTCCAAGATGTATTTAATACATTCCTCTGTGCTCTCATATGCTGATACATGTCTGTCGCTGTATTTGCTGTGTAATATCCAAATTATTTGTGCATGTCTTTGTTTTTCTCCAAAAGTTGCAAGCTCCTTAAGGTCAGGAGCTGTTCTTTAATATATCTACTCTACCTAGTGTAGTCATGCTTAATATTTGTTGAAGTAAACAAATCTGAACCCCAAATGTATTATGTAATCTCCATATCCCAGCACAGATAAAGGATATGCTCTTGAATTGTTTTATTGGGAGAAAACAGCTGACAGATTAGGCTACACAACAACTAAAAACTAAGAAATGACTACATGATAAATTGTAATGAAAATCGGAAGGCAGACTGACTGAGGAATATATCTCTAACAAGTATTCAAAGATATAATTTTGTTATTGTTAAAAAGAATACAATGAATGGAGAGAGGGTTTGGATTTCACATTCAGGACTTCTGAAGACCAAGTATAAGAGATTCAAAAGTGATAATGTGAATCTGATTAGAAAATTCAATTTTGGAATTTAAATAAGAAAAAAATTAGTTGGTCTAGCAGGTGAGGCTATAATATGGAAAAATGAGAAAGGGATACAGCACTGAAAGTGAAAATGTGGAAAGAGAGAAGATCAGAAGGGGAGAAAAAAAGAAGAAATAAAGGGTTAGAGTTTATGAACTGTACCAAAAGAAATGATACAATGGCCAGTCCTGTGAGGGTAGTAGAGGGATCTCTTTATTGTATTTTCTTATTTTATTTTTATTTTAGATTCAGGGAGTACACGTGCAGGCTTGTTACATGGGTAAATTGCGTGAAGCTGAGGTTTGGGCTTGTAATGATCCCACTGCCCACGTAGTGACATAGGACCATAGGGAGTTTTTCAACACTTGCTCACCTCCCTCCTCCCACCCTTTTGGAATCCTCAGTTGTTCAGTGTTTCCATATTTGTGTCCGTGTTGCCTCCAGTGTTTAGCTCCCACTTATAAGTAAGAACATGTGGTATTTGGTTTTCTGTTTCTGTTTCAATTCACTGAGAATAATGGCCTCCAGTTCCATCCATGTTGCTGCAAGGAACATGATTTCATCTTTTTATGGCTGTATAGTATTTCCTGGTATATATGTAGCACATTTTCTTTATCCAGCCCACCATTGGTGGGCATATGGGTTGATTCCATGTCATTGCTCTTGTGAATAGTGCTGTGATTCACATATAAGTGCAGGTGTCTTTTTGGTAGAATGGTTTATTTTCCTTTGGGTATACACTCAGCAGTGAGATTGCAGGGTCAAATGGTGGTTCTATTATTAGTTCTTGAGAAATCTCCAAACTGTTTTCCACAGTGGCTGAACTAATTTGCATTCCTGCCAACAGTGTGCAAGCGTTCCCTTTTCTCCACAGTCTCACCAACATCTGTTACTTTTTGATTTTTTTAATATACTAGCCATTCTGAGTGGTGTGAGATAGTATCTCATTGGTTGAGTGTGGTTTGCTAATATTTTGTGGAGGACTTTTGCATCTGTTCATCAGAGAGATATTGGCATGTAGGGTTTTTGTTGTTGTGTCTTTGCCAGATTTTGGTATCAGAAAGATACTGGTTTTGAATTAGGAGTTCCTCCTCCTTGATTTTTTTTTTTTTTTGAATACTTTCAGTAGTATCTGTATCAGCTCTTATTTGTATGTCTGGTAGAATTCAGCTGTGAATCCATTTGGTTCAGGGCTATTTTTGGACATTAGGTTTTTTATTACTGATTCAATTTCATTACTTGTTATTGGTCTGTTCAGGATTTCAGTTTCTTCCTGGTTTAATCTTGGGAGGTTGTGTGTGTCCAGAAATTTATGCATCTCCTCTAGGTTTTCTAGTTTTTGTGCATAGAGATGTACATAGTAGTCTCTGAGGATCTTTTATGTTTCTATGGGATTGGTTGTGATGTCACTTTTGTCATTTCTGATTGTGCATATTCAGATCTTCTCTCTTTTCTTGTTAATCTAGCTAGCAGTATATCAATCTTTTTTTATCCTTTCCAAGAACAAACTTCTCATTTTGTATATCCTTTGTATAGTTGTTATGGGTCTCAATTTCATTTAATTCTGTTCTGATTTTAGTTATTTCTTTTTTTTCTGCTAGCTCTAGGTTTAGTTTTGTTCTTGTTTTTCTGTTTTTTTTTTTTTTTTAGGTGCGATTTTAGGTTGTTAATTTCAGATGTATCTTCTTGATGTAGACATTCAGTGCTAGAAACTTTCCTCTTAACGCTGCCATTGCTGTACTCTAGAGGTTTTGGTATGTTGTATCTCTATTTTTGTTTGTTTCAAATAACAGTTTGACTTCTGCCTTAATTTTTTGTTTATTTTAGAGTCATTCAGAAACAAGTTGATTAGTTTCCTGTATTTGTGTGGTTTTAAGAATTCCTCTTGCTGTTGATTTCTGTTTTTTTTCCACTGTGGTCTGAGAAGATGCTTGGTATGATTCTGATTTTTTGAAATGTATTAAGACTTGCTTTATGACTATGTGTTCAATCTTGGAATATATATCATGTGCAGATGAGAAGAATGCATATTCTGTAGTTGTTGGGTGGAGTATTCTATAGATGTCTATTAGGTCCAATTGGCCAACTATCAAATTTATTAAATACAAAATTTTTTGTTAGTTTTTTGCCTGTCTATTGCTTTCACTCGTGTGCTGAAGTTCCCCACTATTATTGGGTGGCCATGAAAGTCTTTTCATAGGTCTATAAGCAATTATTTTATAAATATGTATCCTCCAATGTTGAACATATATATATTTAGGATAGTTAAGTCTTCTTATTGAATTGAACACTTTATCATTATGTAATGCCTTTCTTGGTCCTTTTTTACTGTTGTTGTTTAATGTCTATTTTTTCTGATATTAGAATAGTGATCCTTGTTCTTTTTTTGTTTCCTATTTGCATGATAGATCTTTCTCTATCCATTTACTTGCAGCCTAGCCTATGGGTGCCATTACAAGTGAAATGGGTATCTTGAAGTTAGACTTGTTTTTAGTCTAATTTGCCACTTTTTGCCTTTTAAATGGAGTGTTAAAACACTATGACAGGAATAAAACCTTACATATCAATATTAACTTTGCATGGCCAAAGTTAATATTTTATGTTAAAACACTATGGCAAGAATAAAACCTCACATATCAATATTAATTTTGACTATGCAAAAGTTAATATTGATATGTGAGGTTTTATTCTTGCCATAGTGTTATTATCTGGTTGCTTTGTAGTATTGATTCAGTCACTGCTTAGGGCCTGTGGGCTATCTGCTTGCATGTGCTTTCATGGTAACAAGGATCATCCTTTCCTTTTGTTTTCATGTTTAGAACTCTCTTAAGTATCTCTTGTAGGTCTAGTGTGGTGGTGATGGATTCTTTTAGCAATTGCTTATCTGAGAAAGAATTTATTTCTCTTTCATTTATGAAGTATAGTTGGTGGGATATGAAATTATTGGTTGGCATTTTTTTTCTTTAAAAATGCTAAAAATAGTCCCCCAATCTCTTCTGGCTTGTATGGTTTCTGCTGAGAAGCCTGCTGTTAGTCTGATGGGTTTCCCTTTATAGATGATATGACTGTTTTCTCTAGCTGCCGTTAAGTTTTTTTCTTTCACGTTGACCTTGGATAGTCTGATGATTGTGTGCCTTGAAGATGGTCATATTATATAGTATTCTTCCAGGAATTCTCTGGATTTCTTGTATGTGCATGTTGACTTCTCTGGCAAGATTGAGGAAATTTCCCTGAATTATATCCTCAAATATGTGTTCCAAGTTGCTTAGTTTCTCTTATCTCAGAAATGCCAATGTCACTTTACATAACCCCATATTTATTGAAGGTTTTATTAATTGTTTAAAATTATTTTTTTCTTTATTTTTGCCTGCCTGGGTTGATTCAGAAAGCTAGTCTTCGAGCCCTGAAATTCATTCTTCTGCTTGGTATAGTCTGTTGTTAAGGCTTCCAACTGTATTTTGAAATTCCCATAGTTAATTTTTCAATTCCAGAAGTTGTGTTTGGTTCTTTCTTAATATAGCTATGTTGTCTTTCAAATCTTGGATCATTTTTCTGGCTTCTTTGTGTTGGATTTCAACTTTCTCTTGGATCTCATTGAGTTTCTTTGCCATCTAGATTCTGAATTCTATATCTGTCATTTCAGACATTTCATTCTGGTTAGGGTTCATTGCTTGGGAGCTAGTGAGATTCTCTGGAGGTGGTAAAACACTCTGACATTTTGTATTGCCAGAGTTCTTGTGCTGGTTCCTTCTCATCTGAGAGAGCTGATGCTTTTTTCTTTTCTTTTTTGAATTTGCTATTGTTTGGATGGAGCTTGTTGATTTTAAATTCTTTTTTCCCTTGTGGGTATGACTGTGGTGTAAAATGTGTATGGGTGGATCAGCTTCATTTCTGAGTGCTTTCAGGGCGCCAAGGCTCTGTATGGGTTCCTTGGTTGCAGATAAGTTTGTGCGGTGGCTGAGACGTTGCTTCTTGTAGTGATGTAATTTTGTTTTGTAGTGTAATTCAGGCTGCAGCCCAGTAGGTGGCACTTAAGAGTGAGCGCCAGAAGGTAGGGGCAAGGGCAGAAGCAATGGAAAAGTCTGCAAAGTGCCCTCCTTCAGCGCGTTTGCCTTCAGTGGGAGTGGAATTGCTGGAGAAGCCCCAAAAGTGGTCTCTTTCAGCCCACACTCTCTCGGTTCCGCTGGGGAGAGCCACCTTCGAGTCCGCAACAGTACACTGAAGAGGGATGAGAGAGGTGAGCGATGACCCCTTCTCGACAACCATTCCCTGGCTTTGGTGGCGCCCCCTTCAGTGGCTAGCGCAGTGCTCCTGTTTCCTTTGACCCAACCTTTGACCCAAGAGGGGCTTTAGCCGGCTACATCCCCCTCCCTTAGGGGCCGACTGAACCGAGGGCTAGATTTCTAGGGGAGTGGGTCCCTTCCCTTACCACTTTTCAGAGCTGGTGGGTTACTGTCCCCCAACTGAACAAGGAAGCCGACTGGGGAACCCAGTAGTTGATATGTAAGGGATGCTGGGAAGTGCTGGGTAAAGAAGGGTGAGTCCCTGGCGAGGGCTCCACCCCCAGGCCTGTGCCCACGGACCTAGGTGAGGACAGGCACTCCAGCCTTTGGGCCCAAATGTTGCATTTCCCAAGACCAACCTAGCCTACCATGCCCCCTACCATCCTGTGCCTATAAAAACCCCAAGACCCTAGCGGGTAGAGACACAAGCAGCTGAAAGTGGAGAGGACATCGAGGGGAGCACGCTGGTGGAAGAGCACACCAACAGATGCTGCCACCTGGCAGGCCGTCCAGCAGAGGAATGACGCGGAGTTTGGTCGTGGCAGTCATAGGAGAGCCCGGGCTGCTGAGCGGCTGGACTCCAGGGGGAAACCATCTCCCTTCTGGCTCCCCCATCTGCTGATAGCTACTTCCACTCAGTAAAACCTTGTACTCATTCTCCAAGCCCAGGTGTGATTCAATTCTTCCCTCACGCCAAGGCAAGAACCCGGGATACAGAAAGCCCTCGTCCTTGTGATAAGGTGGAGGGTCTAATTGAGCTGGTTAACACAAGCTGCCTATAGACGGCAAAACTGAAAGAGCCCATGGTAGCACATGCCCACTGGGGCTTTGGGAGCTGTAAACATCCACCCCTAGATGCTGCCGTGGGATCGACCCCCACAACCTGCATGCTCCCCTAGAGGTACGAGCAGCAGGGCACTGAAGAAGCGAGCCACTTCTCCAGTTGCACACCTTGCAAGGGGGACAAGGGAACCTTTCTCATTTCGTAGCAACACACGCAGACTGGTTCCAGGTCTCAAAGCTGCCCCTAGCTGCATGTCTTGCCACCCAGAAGAAACCTGGCTTCGGGAACTCTCCTGCCCCTGCAGTCTTCTAATGCTTTATGTCTCTTCTCTATCGCATCCAAGCATTCTCTCCTAGACTATCTGCTCAGAAGGTGTCCACTTACTATTCTGGCGTTTCTCTGTTGGGGAGCCACACACTACCTGCTTCTGCTCAGCCATCTTGATCCCTTTCATGTCTCTATTTATGAAGGATGAAAATGGAATGGAGACATGGAGATTGAGGATTGATGATGAGGCTTGTTGAAATTTGATGATAATTTCACTAAGAAACTTAGAAACAGGGCCAGGGGGTAATAAATGAGAGACACAAAGAGAATGGAGTAAGTAGATATGATGGACTTGCAAAGAAAAAACCTTGTTGAAGAGCAGACGTGAGCTAATGGACTAAGAGAAGCATGCAAGTGGGGAGACTACTTCTGATAGTAAACATTTTGGAAGAGTGTGCCATCAGGAGAAAGCCCGACTTCAGTGTGGTCAAGGAGCTGAGCAAGTTATATCCAGAAGTGATCAAGGATATTTGTGAGTTTGCTTACAATATCATAAAGGCAGGACAAGACTCAAGGAAGATTCCTAGGGAGGAAACTGGTGGGGAAGTCAAGGCCAAACTGGGCTGGATAAGGTAGAAAGAGCATATTGATGAAAATAACAGCCTTAGGTGGGAATTGTAGGGGGTAACTTGAAGGGGATTTGAATACAGGAGCCTGTGTTAAAAACTAGCTTTTTCTTTTCTTGCTTTTTTTCTTAGAAATGTATAGAACACATCCATTTATTCCAACACTCCAAGTGAGGAATAAGGTTTGGGCTCAGCTTGTAGTCCGCACCAATCACTGAGTATTATTTTGAGGGGCATGTTTACGGGGAAGGTACGTTGCTGGTGGGATTGTTTCAAAGTCTTAATGCAAGTGCCTCAGGTCTATTGCTAGACATTTAGAATTTTCTTGGTTTTTTGAAAGAGAAAGATTAGGGATAGTTAATAGTAGTTTAAAAGACTGTGCAACCTTAGTAACATTTCTTTGCAATAATTAATTAAAATCACAAGGAAAATTTTTGCAAAAGTTTGGGCATATAAAATAAATGAAAGTTATGACTAACAGTTCAACTTTCTCCTGATGTCTCACTTTTGTGAGAACTGATGTAGACCAGAAAATAAATTTCTAGGTGTTTTTTGTTTGTTTGTTTGTTTTGTTTTGTTTTGTTTGCTTAGGTTGACAGATCTAATTTTCATGTCAAATTAGGACACTGACTTTCCCTAACAGATGTTCAGGAGCTGAATTTGTATCCTAATTCTAGTCTTGCTAGTATTTATTTTTGAGACCTGCAATCCATCATTATACTAACATGGCAATGCCTAGGAAGTTTAATGGCTATACGACTTCTAGAAAGTGCCTTTATTACATATCTGACACATTGCAAATTCACAAGTGGAGTACAAACAATTTCAGCAGCTTAGATGACATTTTCCTTCCTGCCAGTGGTCTGAACTCACCAGGTAGCAACACCCAAAGCATTACATTCTGTCTCCCTGAGTTGCATTGTATTTTTGATATCACAGCATAAACTGTCAAAGGAAGTATTTCTCTAATTTTAATTGGGGTTACTAGGGTCAAAGCCAAGTTTCCAAAGCTCATTTTGTTTTTATCTTATTATCATGCATTTATAGTAAGCCATTTATTTTTTGAAGCAATCCTTATTATAACTTGGAAAAAAACTATTTCGTAATGTGGTCAGATGTGATTAGATCACTGTTTTATGCTCAGACGTATGTTCCACCTTTTCCCATAATGCTGTGACATTTGGGGTTTGTATAGCTTCATGAATCGAACTTAAACAGTAATGCATTTTCACAAATAAATAGAATCACTCTTCCTACCTATTATGATGGATCTTAAAATATCCTGCCACATCTCTCTCGTTATTCATTCAGTTTCTGATCTTAGTAATTTACCTATACATTAAAACATTGTAATTATGTATTTAAATCACCAGGACACCTATCATTTGGTCTCTAAAACTGAGTTGCTGGTTGTTAGAGAAAAATGTATTTAACTTGTATTTATGAATATAACTGGATGAGATTCTGGTTATTTAATAGGCAGTTTAACTTGAGAAACAGAGTAGATGGGAAAAATGAGAACTTACTGTGCTTTAACAACTTTACATTAATTTGTTGGTTCATTGTGAGCTAGTTTATTACAGTATATTGAACTGTTTACCAAATAGTAAACTCGATTCCAGTGTTTAGAACATGCTTTTTTAAAATGACATTCTTAACCATTTTGCCTTATTGCAAGGCATTTACGTATATACATTGAGAAGCTGTATCTGATCATGTTTCTGCAGAGATGTGTTATGAACTGCTTTAGTACACGGATTTTTGAATCTTAACAAAGGATTTTGGCCACCTGCAAAATAAGAGGTTTTCATTCTTTTTAGAATAGTCTTTTTTCTGGGTCCCCAGTGTATATTTTGCCAAAATGCCTAAAATATTGCAATAAAAAAACTCAGAGTTTGGTACCAATCTGACAATTAATTTTTTTAAGCCTTTAAAAGTATATAAACAATTTTAGCCAATGGACACCTCTCACTGAATTGACCATATAGATCATATTAGTCCATTTTCACACTGCTGATAAAGACACCCTTGACACTAGGAAGAAAAAGAGGTTTAAGGGACTCAGTTCCACATGGCTGGGGAGACCTCACAATCATGGCAAAAGGCAAGGAGGAGCAAGTCGCGTCTTATATGGATGGTGGCAGGCAAAAAGAGAGAGCTTGTGCAGGGGAACTCCTCTTTATAAAACCATCAGATCTTGTGAGACTTATTCACTATCATGAGAACAGCACGAGAAAGACCCACCCCATAATTCGATTGCCTCCCAGGACACATGGGAATTGTGGGAGCTACAATCCAAGATGAGATTTGGGTGGGGACACAGCCTAAACATATAATAGACCTATCAGTTCCCTACACTAATAAACTTCCCTGGTATTATTTCCACAGCACATGTACCCTGGAAAATTAGCTCCAGGTGATGAGAAATTCAGTTGAGGGCAGTAAAAAAGAAACCAGGTATTCTCACACTAATTTGAGGGTTTAATCTCACTGGGCCTCCTGTTTGTTTTTAGTGCATTGGAGGAAAATTAGATTTTCTGAGTAAATAGAAATGAGCAATGTTCCTATGTATATACACTTAACTCTTCAAAAAGAACAACATAGGTCTGTACTGGCACAAGTAAAATGTTGTAGAAATTGGGTCAGGTGCCAAGTGTGAGCAACCTCACTCTCCCTAATCAGACAGCATTTCTTATATTATTTCTGGATTAATATAAGTAGGTAATCTTGAATAAATTCTCTAGTGAATGTTCTACATCATTTATTGTCAGTGAATGTACAGATGGGATAGTCCCAGTAAATTTTTTTAGAAAACCAAACCATGTTCAGGATCATGGATACTTGTATTCAAGGTTTTCATGGGCATTCAAGGAAGAAAGAGGTGATGCAACATGCCGTAAGCCAGATTCTCTAGAAAACAGACTTGGAGGCAGAGATTTAGGCCCAAGAAATTTGTTTGGGGGTGGGGTTCTCTTAAGATCAACACCTGTGTGCAGTAGATTTCTCTCTCTTTGGATAAAGGCAATTCCAGGAGAGAGACTTAGCTGAGAAGACTCCCAGCTGCTGGGGGAATGAATGCCTCAATCCTGAATGGGTATCTGGGTTGCATATTTGAGCAAAACATCCTAACTTTAGTAAATAAAGCTACAGCTTTTTCTTATTTCTCCTATCTGCTTCTTGCCTGGGCAACCTAAAATTTATCCATTATCCCTGCTATCTCACCAGGAAGAGTATAGCGATAAAGAGCAATTTCTATATCTTATACATTATATTTAACTATAACATTTATTGTTATTAGATAGTTAGATTAAGTAAGAAATAAGGTATTCATGATTCTTTTGAATCTGTGTGAATATACATATAGTTAAATAGTGACATTGAAAGTATGGTGAATTTTTATATCATCTTTCTGGAGAAATACTGAGGAAAATACTTGAATTTTGCATAACCAAGGCATCAGTTACTATTCACAATGAGACTACAGAGAAAGCTTTCCAAAATGTTTAAATGAAATATGCTTTCAATGTTATGTGGTTTTCCTGTGATGTAGCTACTTAATTAGCATTGTATCAATCACCACTGACATCAAATATGATAACTTGCTTTACTGGAAAGTCACTGCTCAATCTCATGAATGAAATTGATGAGGTAGAAGGTAATGGTGCATTGCCAAGAAAACAAGAAAGAAGGGAGCTAAAAATTGAGAGTTACCTACTTTGCAGTATCTGCTTTATATATGGTATCTGATTTCAGTTTATCTGAACCCTCCCCTGGAAGTAGCTATTATCAACTTTATGTTATTTACTTACTCATTTTATTCTTTTTAAAAAGAATAATGAGATGTTTTAAACATAGAGAAAAGTGCACAGGGCAATATAAAATCACATACATAATCATCTCCCAAGAGTAACTAATGTCATTATAGGTAAAGTTTGCTTCATATCATTTTAAATATAAATATTGCAGATATGCTTGAAATATATGTTAGGCCATATGTGTTCAAGCTGAGGAAAGGTAGGTTCAGAGAGAAATAATCTTGGCCAATCTCACTCTGCTAGTAAGTAGGGCTAAGATTTGATCGTCTATACGTGGATCGTGGAACTCATGTTCTTTCCCTCCACTATGTATACTTCCTCTGTACTCCCTGAAGACTTAATCTGGATAGAGATACATTGCCTAGAGTTTCTCTATAGTGGGAGAAATGAGCCTTTTACTTTCGTGGTACCACGTCAGTTGCCAATTGATTCTGGCACATAAAAATGTATTATATCTTTACCTGTTTAATTATTTTCTGTACCACATCAAAGGAACAAGATAAATTTGGTTATAATAGTTTATTTTACTTTAATTTACTATTATTAGTCATTGCAGTACACAAATGCAGATGTCTGAAGGGATGCACAAAGATGACAAATGAGGCATGTAACATATAAAGAAATACTACATTTCTAAGTGGTTTACATTATGTGTATGAACATGAATTACCTGCATGGATTATTTTTAAGTTCAGAAACTGTTTTTAGTTGGTTTTCTTTCTTTTCTATAGCTGTTATTTATGTCTCCAGCTTCATCTTCAAAGTGGAGATCATAATATTTATCTCATAAGACTCTTAAAAAATGAGATAAAAGCATTTGATGAAAGCATATGAAAGCATTTGACTGAGCAATTAGTATAAAGAAGCTACTTAGTACTTATTTGCTATGGTCACCTGAAAAGAAAAGCTATTTTGCATGCAGTGGTAGGGTTGAGAAACAGCCAATATATTAAATATTTTAAAATATTTTTGTTTAAGTTCAACCACCTACTTTTTAGAAAATCACTTAGCATATGAAATTTATTTTAAGAGGATACTTACTCCACAGTTGCTTTAGAAGAAAGAAAAAGAAAATCAGTTTGTAAAATGAGATAATTGTAAGGGTATCTCATCTTTGTAGCCATATGAGAGAGTCCAAAGAGCTAAGCAAATATTTGCGAAATGATATTTTTACTATACTGGAAGTAATAAACAATTAAAATGTTGTTATTAAGGCAGTGCTGATATTATAATTTTACTATCTCTAGAGGAATACCAGAGATCTTATTAAACACATGCTTTTTTAAAGTTGAAATCTTAGATAACTATTATCATTACTATATGTGTAAGAAAACAACGGCATGGAGAAAGATGTGCTCTATAGAAAACTGGTAGGTTATTAAAATATAAAGAAATAGGGAGAAAACTGAAAATTGCATGATATTGTCAAGTCTCCCTTGGGACTCACCCACACAACAGTTCTTTCATTGCAAGTTTCTTTTTTCCTTAATGAGTCATTTTGAGTTCTTTTTAATGTGGGCACAAGGAAACAAATAAGGATTCTTCCATGCAGCTAAGGCACCCCAAATCTTATTAATTCAAATGTTGAGAGCATTGAAGCCATAAAGACAATAAGAATACTGAAACACCATGTATCTGCTTTCATTTAAATAGCCAAACAATTCTGTATTTTCCAAGTGGGCTTCCTTAATATACATATTTTAAACCTTGTAAGGTAATTCTCCAGAGAAATATGGAGGTCTAAAAGACAAAGTAATTCCATTTATCACCTTAAATCTCATTTAATTAGGGAATAATTCTGATATATCAAGAAAGAAACTAATTACTGTCTTCTAGATGCTTGTGCTTTTGTAAGAAACAAAAGAGCTCAAGCAAGTAGAAGCCTCAGGAAGAGAGCAGTATTACAGAGGGACCACAGCAACAATGTTTTTTTTTGTTTTTTTTGTTTTTTTTTTTTGAGATGGAGTCTCACTCTGTCGCCAGGCTAGAGTGCAGTGGTGTGATCTTGGCTCACTGCAACCTCTGCCTCCAGGGTTCAAGCGATTCTCCTGCCTCAGCCTCCTGAGTACTACCACACTCAGCTAATTTTTGTATTTTTAGTAGAGATGGGGTTTCACCATATTGTCCAGGATGGTCTCTATCTCTTGACCGCGTGATCCGCCCTCCTCAGCCTCCCAAAGTGCTGGGATTACAGGCATGAGCCGTCACGCCTGGCCAACAATCCTTATTAATATTAAAATTTAAAAATTGGCTTGAACTGGAGAACACTTCAAAGCTCATTTACCACAGAACTTTGTCATTTTTCTCCTTATTTGACTCATCTCAGTTGGAAAGCACAGATGTTTTATGCGTCTGCCTTGCTCCCACTCTCCCTAAAATTTTACTTACCAGCTAAACCGCCAATCCTAATACATCCAACAATATTTTACCATGAAAATACATTCAATTTTTGTATTTAGATGCATACAAGTCTCCTGAAATTGTGAAATATTCCAACTGTACTTGGAAAGCTCTCTGAAGATCCCCCCCTCAAAAAAAAAAAAAGAAGATTATCTCTAGTGGTTATATTTTTTGAAAGGTTTATTGTTCTATTGAATATATATCTAGTTCTTTTTCATAAAAATGAATATCCTGGCTTTAAGTAACTGTTTGCTAAGCACAGTGTGCACAGCTATGCACACACTGATATCACCATTGCCAATTTTATTAAAAGAACCACAATACAGAGCAAAGAGAAAAAGAGAAGTGTCCCTATTAATGGTATTTCAAATGCGTATTTAAACAGCTTATCTACTCCAAACTAATTTCTGATAGATTAAATAGCTGTATTCCAAATCTTACAAGATGCACATCTCTCCTCTATTTCTTTCTCGGCTTGCTTCAGCTGAATAGCTCAAATTGTTTGGCACTGGTAAAGCATGAAAATGTGAGATAAAAAAGGAAACGAAGCTACAGCCTGAGTGGCCTACAGGCCTTAGAAATGGCAACACTTTAAAATTCATTATATTTTACATTGCTTCAACAGTTACACATTTTTTTTTTTTTTTTTTTTTTGGCTCTTGATGATGTCAGAAGATTTATCTGGGATGTCTGTCTCCACGGGTAAATAGTGACCGGGGTGAAAACTGAGGGAACTAGGGAGCACCTAGACCCCAAGCCTTAGTAGTCAGCTCTGGAATGCTCCCTGCAGTGTGGGGTGTGAGTGTGGTGTCTCTGTGTCTCTGTGTACACACTGTGTGTCTGATGTGCAGAGGGGAAGGCAGGGAAGAAATACTATGGCAGACAGTCACTTGTGGTAGCTCTCTAAAGGGATCTGGCACTTCCTGCCATTTCATGGAAAAGAGGAATGAGAAGGAAATAAGCATTTGTTACATGCGGGATCTCACTGGATGCTTTCAGTGCTAGAAGGGAGCTATTTCTCCTCCTAACGTCTGTAACTCACCAGATTTCACTAATTCAGAGGTTGCTTTGAAACTCAGAGTCAAATTCATAGCCAGGGACTAAGTCTTCATGATGTGCCTTTTTGTTTTAGCCTCCTTTCCGGCATGTTTTTTGTGTTGCTCTCCTTCCTGATTACTTTTTATTAGTGCTATCTTAGTTTATGTATTTTTATAAACTGCCTTAAATGCTTTCTGGAACCACTGTGCATTTAATCAAATAGACTAATAACTAACTAGGAAAATGATAGGGCTGATAGCATCGTCTGACCCATGAGGAAGCTGAATTTAAGTAGCTTGTCCAAGGTCACTCAGCAAGTCCCTTGTGCTGTGAGTCTGGTTCTTGGCTTTCAGTCAGTATTTTCAAGTTTTACCTACTTATTTCCTCTTAACTGAACACGAAAAAAACCTCAAATGCTTATTTCTTTAGCTATTTCTATTTCTCTGCAGTTAATGTCCTATCAACTTGAAATTCCTCCCCTGCCTTTCACTCCCAGTAGAAGTTTCGCTCACCTTTCCCAGGATGCTTGAAATACCTTCTCATGAAGCATTTCTTATCCTGAAAAAGCATCATTGTTACATCTCTTCTTAGACGCTCCTTTGCCTTCTGTTTTCAATCTAGAAATTTGTTTCTCCCCCATCTCCATACTGACTAGGATTTTGTTTGCTTGTTTCAGTTTAGATCACAGGTGTTAAAAAGATGATCTTACATATTTAAATGATGGACATATGATTCCTATTATCTTCTACTTCTATGCATTCCTGATAGACAACTCTTAGGCTGGAAACTAAAACAAGAAGGCCTATTAACTATTTTTGCAAAATAAAATTGTATTCTTAAAGTTAAGTTCTTGATGCAGGGAGAAAACATTTTATGATTTTCATTTTACTTCCCACAATAATACAAGCATGTCAAGTATTGACCTACAATAAATGCTTAATAAAAACCTAGTATTTTTCAGTCACTTTAACAGGGCATTGTATATTTAATGCATTAACGCTCCATAGGCCATGTCTCCTATGTACTTTGTATGCTCAGAAAGGGAAGTAATGTACACTGGTGGTTAAGAACATATTAACCTGAGTACATCTTTAAACCTCAGCTCCACTCCTTGCATGTTGTATGACATTGGCGAGTCATTTAACAGCTATGGGTCTACATTTCTTCACCTGTAAAATGGGGATAATAATAATGTCTATTTAATAAATGTATTGTGATAGTTAACTGAAATAAAACATGTATAAAGCATGCAATAGGGCACATGGGAAGTATTTTATAAGTGTTGTATGTTATTATTAACCTGTAAAGAATTCATACAAGAAGGCACAGAAAAACATCAATTGCAACTAAGATGAAAAGTTTGTTGCTGTTAGAGCAGGAGTAGTTAAGATGGTATGTATTTCAAATATCCAAAAGCTTCTTCTATTTCTGGAGAGCAACCATGGGAAGTCTATTGTGGCATTAGATAGTGCCACAGAGAAAAGACAACAGGATGGTGAGGACAGGAGTTGGGAGGGTGGAGCCAAGGAATCAAATAATGTGGTTTCCTAGATGACATTCTTTTCAGAAGCCCAGAGGTGCCACATCTATTACAAAGTCTCTAACCAAACCATATCCATGAACCTATACAAGATAAATTTTAACAGAGTGCAGATTGTCTTTCACTCTACATCAAACTATAGAGTCCAGAAAAAATATTTTATATCATGATAGTGATAATAATTGAAGGAATCAGAAGGAGTTGATCATTCTCTACAAGCTTGTTGTCATGAGGAGGGAGGTGAAAAGCATTAAAAAAAAGCTTAAACCCTTTTCCCAATATTTCAAAGTAGCTTTGATGGTATTTAGATAGCAAACTCATTTTAAAGAGAATAGGATTTTCACAAAACGGAAAAATCAAGCAGCTGGCATAGTAAGTTATCTGAATTTGATCTGAATTGACGTCAGGGAGCTGGGAATGCCCCTGGCAATCCTGCATTCTCTCTCTTTGTGCAGTATTTTGACAGTAGTGAGAATGTCTGAGTGTTAATCATTTTCTGACAGTGTAGGCTCTAATCTTATGCAAAATGAAAGCATTTAGAGATTTTACCTTCTTGGTTCCAATCAGGGCATTTCTTCTAGAAAAACTATTCTGCAGTAAGATTGTGTATAACTTATTTTACATTTGTATATGTTTATATATATTTATATTTATATAATAAACCTAAAAATATGTAACTGCTAAGTTTGGTAGTAGCCTTTCTTCAAAGCATCATTCTTGAGAAGAGAGTTTATTTTGTAAAACCTTACTGGTAGAGACATAAATCTAAAAAACAAAATTCAATCCAGACTTTTGTATCCAAATATGAATGTTAATTTCCTGGGTATATCTTTTTTTAAAAACTTGCAGTGTGGGTATATAAGCAGGGCCAGATGTCTCTGTGTTAATCATTTCTACTCTTTAATAAATAACGGTGGCGTACAGTGAAAATAAAGCCCAGATGGCTGACACATTGCACAAATCACTGGATGCACTGTATATTCATTTCATAGTTTCCTGAATACTAATAGATGATAGAGTCATCATCTTTTTATCTGTTCCTCAGTCAAATAACAAGTAACTACTTACTGTGTCTTCTAAAAGCCACTGTGCTAGTGGCTAGGTAGGTTATAAAAACCCACCAGATATTGCAGATAGTACCACAATATAATTTGCTTTAATCTCTATGACCTTCAGAATCTATTACATCCTAGTCTTCCCTAGGAGACTGGGGTTTCTTGGAATTATTTTAAAAAAGTGATCCAAAACTGGATCTGATTTTGCCATGGGGATTGCTTAACTAATTGGTTTATTAGCTTGAGTCTCATGCATCATGGTGGATATTACTGGTTGTCAAGTTGTGGTTGGTGAATCGTAGACTTTTAGAACTCTCAGAGAAATTCAGAGTTGACCCACATTACATTTTACAGATGAGAAAATGTGAAACAAATGACTA